>NC_000004.12:107671381-108296381 GCF_000001405.40 Homo sapiens | reverse complement strand
CTCTTCCCTATTCTTTTTTTTTTTAACTTTTTTTGCAGCTGTGTTCCATTCATGGTACAAATGCACCTTTATTTAGTGCATTTTATCAGTCCTCTTCGAATAAAGGAACATCTAGGCTGTTTCCAGTCATTTGCTATGCCCTCTGAAGAAGGAAGTTTCATTTTGCCCTAAGCAGTGACAACAAGGCAGGAAGGGAGCGTCTCTCCAGTGCAATCCCGCTGAGAGATCCCATTGCTTGCTTCTCTTCTGATCCATGAGACAGGCTTTTGGAATCTCCTCAGTTATTTTTCTCAGCCTCGCTCAGAACTACATGATTGGAGGGATGTACCTCAGCCTTTTTCTTAAAAGTCATTAACATGTTGTGTTTAAGACTCTGAAGCTAGACTACCTGGGTCCAAGAGCTGGTTCTTCCCATTTACTATTCAGATTTTCTCTGCCTCAGAGTGGGGATAATCACAGTGCACCCCTCACAGGGTTTCACATGACTTAGTGAGTTATTATGTGCACTGGTGACTCTTATGATGTCCTCCATCTTTTGGAGGATATTCAGTTAGGAGGATCCACCAAAGCAAATAAAAGGCATCTTAATCTCAATAAATTATGCCCTAAATATTCCAAGTATGGTCATGGACCAACAGTATCACCTGAGAACTTGTGAGAACTGCAAACCTACCGAATCAGAAACTCTGAGGGCAGGACTTAGCAATCTATGTTTTAACAAGCCTTCTAGGTAATTCTGTTGCACACTATAGTTTAAGAATTATTGCTCTAAAATATAAGGATTGACAGGGGAAAGTAGTTTTTAAACATATTCAGATCATGGAACACCTGAAAACAATTCATGTCACCATGAATTGGTGACATAGAATTCCATGCATTTCACTAGTAGAAAAATATCCCCATATTATTTGTATGCTATTCTCTGCACCTCAAAATATACATATGGAATTGTTTTCCCTTAAATCACATTTCTAAAGTTTTCCCTTAACATTTGTTTGCTATGAGTTCAGTAGCACTGCTAAATTAAATATCAGCAGATCTCAATATTTTATTTAAAGGTAGAAAGGAGAAAAATTCAAAACAAAATATTCTGGTAAACTCATTCTAAATTACAAAATGGGAATAGAACACCATGATTTAGCTTTAGCCATTTTTTCTTTTCTTTTCTTTTAAATTGTATTATTTTTTGAGACAGCGTCTCACTCTGTCACCCAGGCTGGAGTACAGTGGTCCAATATCGGCTCACTGCAATCTCCACCTCCCATTCTCAAGGAATCCTCTCACCTCAGCTTCCTGAGTAGCTGGGACTACAGGTGCATGTCACCACGCCCAACTAATTTTTTTTTTTCGTGTGAGAAATGGGGTTTCACCATGTTGCCCAGGCTGGTCTTGAACTCCTAGGCTCAAGTAATCTGCCCACCTCAGCCTTCCAAAGTGCTGGAACTAAAGGCGTGAGCTACTAATCCTGGCCATTTTTTCCATTCATTTATTAATTCAGCACACATGTACTAAGTATTGACTACATGTCAAAGACAGCAAAGCACTTGGAATGTTGGTGCAAACAAGACAAACAGGAGGAAGATATTACCTGTCTATAGATCTATCCTATGATCCATCCATAGAAAATAACAGTCCACTTGTACTATACTCATGTTTCCATGGTATTAGGCAGACCTTCCAGAAAAAAAAACAAGCCATTACTCTTCCTACTCTTCCTGGGTCCAGCAAAATGGTTTCCC
Organism: Homo sapiens; assembly: GCF_000001405.40. NCBI lineage: Eukaryota > Metazoa > Chordata > Mammalia > Primates > Hominidae > Homo > Homo sapiens. Next base: position 108,294,642 of record NC_000004.12, on the reverse strand, counting down.
CAGTGAAGAAATGCTGCTATCCTATAGCATAAATCGAAGATGTCAAATGGGTCTGAGGTTAATTTCAGCCAGTTGGTAAGGCCTCCTTGGAACATTACTTTGAGAAGGATTATCAGACGATATCCTGGCTGGGCAGGAAAGAGTGCTGTGATGAACAGTCATACACAAGAAAGAAGGTAGTACCAAGATAAAGGTCTTTCATTTGCATCCCTTGGATAGTTCAGCCTTCCTTTTCCTTTGGGATATGGGAGGCTTTTTCTCAGCATTTCTTGGATTACAAAATCAGGCCCTTCACCTCTGCCTGAGGCTACCATTATTCCCCTTCTCTTTTCCCCTTGTACTTACCAATGGCTTCAAGAGCCGTTGGGAATGGGGTTGCAAAGTTCAGAGTCAGTGAACAGTGGTTTCCTGATGCCAAATACATTACCATGGAAGATGATCTCTGTGGTGTTTGGGCTGAGGTCCAAGTGCCCAGCCCTAATTCTTTCTTCCACTGGCTTTGAGACACCTGGCTTGCTCCTAAGCATGAAGCAGCAGGATTTGTATTTCTGAATGAGAGAGGACACACTTTCTCCTTTGCTATTTGGCTTGTGTTACATAGATGTGAATAAATGGTCCTTTACCTTCCACCTCCATGTAAACCACCCTCTCAGAATAAACATAAAGAAGAGTCACACTGCAAGCTTTATGCAAGAGAACACAAGAGAAGATGAAGTGGGCATTATAGTCAAGAATCCACTGTTGGGCTTGTTCTCCATTTGCTGTACAATTAAAAGGGTGCATATGACATTTCTAGATAACTCTATTTGTTTACATGCCTCTCCTACAAGAAAATAATAAATCCCTATTTAGGATCCATTACACTCATAGCTGTAGGGAAGTTTTATCAGCTCAATCTGGATCATATGGTCAGCTAGAACCATAACTTGGAATGTATGGTGCAGAAAACCTGTTCCATGATTTAAGAAATGACAAGGACACTGGATCTCTATGTCTGAAGGTCAAAAATTTTGTTTCCTAACCAATTTCCTTCAAGAAGATCCAATATGCAACATTCCTAGGAGATTCTTCATTAGCTCTACTGAGAGTAAATGGAGATTGTATTTATCCTGATTTGCTAAAGACATCTAGAAATCACCTTTCCCAAGAATGTTATTTTATTTCCCTTTCCTCATATTTTGCCTCTTTATCAAAATCCAAAAACGTTCGCAATACTCACTTGTCATTTGATTATTTTTAGGTACTCTTTGGATCTCCATTTATTGGCTTTCCTGTCTAAATATTTCTGGTTTTTAATTAGTTTTTTTTTAAGATCTTATTTTACCTTTCTTTCTGGTCATGAAAAAGTACATATATATTCTGGAGTTATCTAATTCTAAACCCCACCACGAAGTCATGCTTTATACTTTTTGTAAAGCTGTAAACAGGGAATTAAATCAATCTTCCCCCCAAGATAATTAACTGTAAAACTATTAGGTCTTCACCTGGTTGATTCTAATTTTATGCCATCTGATTAAAAGATGAACAACTCTCAATTACTCCCTAGTAATAATGGATAGGAAGAGCAGTCTATATTACATTAAATTATAAATTGCTTTTTTAAAAAATATTATTTTTAGAGACAGAGTCTTACTTTGTCACCCAGGCTGGAGTGCAGTGTCATGACTATAGTGCACGATGGCCTTGAACTCCTGGGCTCAAGCAATCCTCCTGCTTCAGCCTCCTGAGTAGCTGGGACTGCAGGCACACACCACCATGCCTGGCTGTAGATTGCTATTTTTATAGTAACATCAGTTTCCTCCATCACCAAATGTGTACACAAAGGTAACACTGAAGAGTAAAACTGATAGATGAATGCTCACTTTCTTGTTGTTTTTCTTCCCGTCTTCTTTCAGAAGAAAAACAAAGAGTAAAGGAGAAAAAAAGAGAGTAAAGCAGAAGGAACGTGGCTCTGCTGACATGTTAATTTTGAACTTTAGCTTCCAGAACTGTGAGAGAATACCTTTCTGCTGCTTTTGTTTTTAAAGAGAGAGAGAGTAAAGGATGAACATCAAAAAATGGGAAAATGCCATGAAGAGTAAAATGCCCTGGAGAGTAAAAAATTGGCTTTGGTTGGGACTTTCAAGATTGTGGACAAAAAAATGTAAGCCATGTCCATTCCTTGGCTCTAAGCACAGGTTTTTTTACAGCCAGTCATAAAAGGGAAAGTAAAGGTTCATTGTGAAACAGTTGGCACATATTTAACAAAGGTAAGACAAGCTGGCACCACTATAATTTATACTTATTAGTCTTAGGTGGTTAGCCTATGGTGGAGGGCATAGCTAATAAAGAACTTCAAAAGAAGAGAGAACAAATGATAAAGCATAGTGTGAGCAGTTCACAATTTCAACTATGGTGAAACTAAATTCTACTTGCAAAGATTAGAAAATATCACTATTAGCACATATAAATAGCCCAATGATTCTATACATGAATGCAGATTTCACACAATGAGTTTTACCATAAAAAGGCCCTGTTATCACTGTACTATTTAACTTTTAAAAGAAATGAAATGGAAGCTCTTGAAAGCACTTAAGAGAAGTTATCTGTCAAATCTTCACTTGTAAAGATTTTCCTTGTGAAGAAAGAGAATAACTGGATCTCTTTGCCTCATAATGACCTCCCATATTTCTAAAAATGAGAATTAAGTGACTCCTTCATCTCTACCTTTACAGGTAAAACAATTCCATCCCCATCAGCTTTTTCTTAAAGAACCCATTTCCATCTCCATGGTCATTTGGTTACTTTCCTGTGGATCTCCTCCCTGCTCCCACTTTTCTCTTAAAATAAGAAAAGTAGTTAAGTCTCACTAAAATTCTTCCAAACCTCGCCCAGAAGCATTTCCACTTCTTCCTCTTGTGTACCTTTCTTTAGCTTGGGCAGTTTCATAAAAAAATAAAATTAGACTATTTTAAATTCCTGAGAGAACAGATTTGAACACAAATCAAAGATGTCAACTCATCCTCCAACATCGTAATAATACCAAGCTCTCCATTAAGTGTATGGAGGGTCTGCAAATCACATGAGCTCATCCTAGCAAACATGCTGTTTACCTGTGAACCAGCAGCTTCACCATGAGTCAGGGTCTCTGCTCCTCTTAGGTTTTGGCCAAAGAGCTTACAGCGTAATACACAATATAGAAGGGAAGGAGAGCAAAACATTGTGATTAGGACACTTATATCTGTTTGGTTTTTGTGCATTACATTAATTGTGAGAAAGCTGAATGAGTCAAACTCTTTCTGAGACCCCAGATATCAAAGAGAATTCAGTTAAGGGAAATTGTTTGAAGAGTAGTAACCATACTAACCTTTACCAAAAGTTCTGAGAAATGTGAGTCTTGGCACACTTACTTCTGTCGTTGTTAGGCACATTTCACATGTCATGGAAATCTGTGAAAATGTATATGTGACCATTTGAAATTTGTCTGGACTAGCATTTTGTTGTAGGATAGCAGATTGTGGCATGGCGCAAGCTGAAGGCATGTCTTGATGTTATTTAGTAGTGCCACAATGGTTACATCAGTGAAATCCCTCAAAAGTTATGAAATAAATACACACAACTGTAAAGTGCTTGGTAGTCAAACTAAAACAGAGACTTTTGTTGTTTAACCAGAGGGACTACACTTCAGACCTAAAAGAAGTGCCATAAATACAACATTCATAAACCCTTGTCTCTGTTTTTCACCCGTGTTGTTCAGCACCTTGTTGCTCAAAGTGTGGTCTCCAAATCAGCAGCATAGACATCACCTGGGGGCTTGATAGAACTGCAGAATCTCTAGTCTCATCTCAGACCAGTTTTTAAATTAGTTAAAAACACTAATTTAACAAAAAATAGAGCAGCTGCAACTCTCTTGTAGAACCATCAGCAAAGCCTTCTTTCTGTCTTTAGATTCATAGGGTGGCCTATTCCACTATTTCACCCAAGCACTAAGGCAAGGGAATAAAAAATAGTTAAAAGAGTGCATTCAGTGTCTTACCTTGTCTGGTGAAGGATCTCTCTAGAAGCAGCTTTTTTTTTTTATTTCACATGCTTTCCTACTACTTAGAATTTTTAAAAATTTCAAAGGAGAACCACGTGCTCTAAGATTAACAGCTATTCCTTATTGTAATTAATTTACTGAAATAGATTGTTTAATTCCATAGTCATCCTAAGGAGATTTTGAACCAACCAGAAGAGCGAGTAAACTATAGGTGGACTCGCCAAAGATCACTCTATCCTGCAACTCGTAAAAAAATGAACCTTAAAAGATAGGGGAGGTCCAGGCGCGGTGGCTCACGCCTGTAATCGCAGCACTTTGGGAGGCCGAGGCAGGTGGATAACGAGGTCAGGACATTGAGACCATCCTGGCAAACACGGTGAAGCCCCGTCTCTACTAAAAATGCAAAACATTAGCCAGGCATGGTTGCACGTGCCTGTAGTACCAGCTACTCGGGAGGCTGAGGCAGGATAATCGCTTGAACCCGGGAGGCGGAGGTTGCAATGAGCATAGATCGTGCCACTGCACTCCAGCCCAGGCAACCCAGAGAGACTCTGCCTAAAATAAGTAAAAATAATAAATATATTTTAAAAAGATAAGGGAGGGGGGAATATTCTATTACCAAAAGTTCTTGGAATCTTTTCTCATCTGTTCAGATTAACACAGGAATGGAATTGTGGGGATCTAACTCGAGGTGAATTGCTTTTCTTTTGCAAGGACCTCGAAACAAGCCTGTGGTTTAGTCTTCCATGATGTCAAGCACTTAGCAAAACTTCCCTGGGTAAGGATTTTAGGAGTGGAGGCATGGGTTCTGATGAAGGAAGGGTAGATTTCCAAAGTTTGGTTTCAAAGGATATGGGAAATTATTTCTCACAATTCTAGATAATTTTCACTGGGGACGAAACAGAAATTGATGGTCATTCTTGCTGGTTCTGCAACTTATCCTTCTCTAGAAAGTACTTAGATATTTTCAGGCATTTTAAGGAATCATTTATAAATGGGTTGTTATGTTCTCCCTTTTTTGTTTTTTTCGGCCTACCATATGTGTGGCAGTATCTTCAGGGGATAGACTGTAAGACAAGCACTGTAAGCGATTCCTTACAGTAGTGTTTCTTAAAAACTGGACCAGAAGTCATCTGTACCAGAATCACCTGGAATGCTTGTTAAAATAAAGAAATGTGGGTTTCACTCCAAATCTACTAAACTAGAATATATAGGAGTTGCATTTTAGAATCTCCCTTTTTAGCAAGCTCTTGAGTGATTTTTGCATGTGTGAATTCCTGCTTCCAGTTTAAAATCAGTTGAATTTCGGACTATGAGAGTACTCCAGCCTGCATAGTACTCCATTACTACCTCCAACATTTAGCTAGGGTTGTGAGTAAGCCTGAGATGTCTTACTATGCTAGAAAATTCAAACCCAGCCCAGATTGTTTCTCCATATAAATGCATTAGGGGAAGGAACAAAGTATACCAGTAGACACTTTGGCAAATTGAAATGCTCCCCTGGTGACTTAAATTGTAGCTTGGTGGATCTCTAATCCAGATCCTCTCTGCCCAGTTAAAGATGTTTTTACACCAGCTAGCTCCAAACTGTGAGAATGGAACAATCACTGCAGGACAGGAAGTGGTATTCCAGCTAGATAATTGTAGAGACCCCTAAAGTTTCACCCTAGTAGACCACCTTGGAACATATAGCCTTACCAGTAGGTATCTGCTTAGTCCATGTTTGAACTTACCTTGCAGCTGATTGATTACATCTTGTGTTGTTTTAGAATTTATAACACCACCAAAATTATGCTCCCAATTCTTGGTTTGTACACTAATAAATGGTTAAGTTTAAATTTTCCATCCAGGTAAGTAGTAGTCAGCTGTGGTTGAGTGTGCCTATTCACCAATCTCTAAATTCACTGTGTTTTTGTCACATTATAGGTGTTGTTTTTTGTTTGTTTTTGTTTTTTATCTTTCCCTGGTAGAAAGGGAACATTCATATGAACAGTAGAATAAGAAGGTGGTCCAGAAAGAGAACCATCACAATAATCAGTGTTTATAAGTGAGTACTGATGCATATTTTAATTTAAGCTCCAAAGACAAGTGAATTATCCAGTACACGCTTTAAGCAACATGTATAGCAAAAGAGTTATCCTTCAATTATCTGTTTCTTATCAACATAAATTCAATCTTCCACTGAAATTAGCAATGACATAACAGATTTTCAGCAGGGTTTTCCCACCAACCCATATACCCAGCCCAGATTCATAAGCCATCATCTGGACACCTACATATTATGATTAATAGCCAACAGTCTCATGTTTCACTTAATGTGAGATTTCCTCTTTGAGGTCCTGTATTTAAAAAAAAATACACAAACAATTAAGTTTCGCTTCAAAGGAGCAATAAAAGAAATGTTATGCTTGGCCCAAGATCTAAATGATTTCCATCCTCTTGAAAAGCAGACAGCCATAGGTGTATGACCAGTAATTGATTCAGGTCCCTAATATGTAGTCATCAATTCCTTTTCCCTAAAATGACCCTATAAATGACTTACAACTAACAAAACTCAGAATGAAGTAAGCTTGGCCTTTGGATGACAGGAAGTGAGCATACCTGAACTTTGAGTGACATGTAGCCACCCTCACTTACATTTTTAACCCTTTGTTCTCCAAATGTCATTGATATGTAAAGCAGATATGTATTCAGGATGACTCAAAAAATTATTAGCCCAATGAACTACCTATTTAGTGTTTGATGTTTCTTGATCTGAAGTGTCCATACAATTGGCCAATTTATTTTGAATGTTTTAACAAAGCTTTGTGTGTTCAGGTGACAAAAAGGCAAATCGTGTATGACAGCAAGTCAGAGGTAGGGGAAAAAAATGGCTGTTTTCAATGTGAGTTTTGTGAAGCATGCTTTCATTGTCAGGTAGAAGTGAAGAAGTTGCTGCTTGAGCATTCATGAAGCCCTGTGGAGACAAGATGCACCCTTATGCCAAAGTTCATATTGCTCCCAGCAGAGCTGTGCATTTCTCATTGATCATCAGTTTACGAAATTACTAAGAGCTTGTTTGCCCTTAATTTCCAAGATTAGTAGGAAATATCATCAAAGATTATCACTATTTAATAGATCAAAAATACGGTACTTTTCAAATAAGTTGAATGATTTGACTCAAGTTATGTAATAATTACATGCTGAGGCTAGATTAAAACTCAGAATATAAAAAGGCCTGGGAAGAGGATATAGAGTGTGTTCTCTGGGCCCATACCTTATCTAACATAACAATCTAACAAGAATCCTGTGAGGTAGGTTTTCTTATACCCATTTTACAGGTGAAGGAATAGAGACTTGGCTTAGGTAATTTGGCTATCTTTACAGCATTGGAAAATGTAAGAGCCAGGAATTAAATACAAGCCTCCTTATTAAAAGCTCATGCATTCTAAGCTCTAAATCTAGTGTTTCCCAAAGTGTAATGAGCACAGCCCATCACTAGCTGGTATGTGGAAGAAAACTTCTTCAGTCGTGCAGTAGTTCTCAAACTTTATTAATTTTTTTTTTTTTAAAGACAGGGTCTCACTCTGCCACCCAAGCTGGAGTGCAGTGGCACAATCTCAGCTCACTGCAGCCTTGAACTCCCAGGCTCAAGCAATCTTTCCACCTCAGCCTCCTGAGTAGCTGGGACCACAGGCACACACCACCATGCTCGGTTAATTTTGTATTTTTTGCAGAGATGAGATTTCGTCATGTTGCTTAGGCTGGTCTAGAACTCCTGGGCTCAAGCAATCCACCCAACTCAGCCTCCCAAAATGCTGGGATTACAGGTATGAGCCACCGCGCTCAGGCTCAAACTACTTTGAGTGAGAATCACCTGTGAAGCTCATTAAAGCGCTTTCCTCCCTAGGAGCTTCTGAGTCAGTGCTGCCCAGGTGATTCTGGAGCAAGTTCTGATGGTCTCACGCTAGGGATGAAAATTTAATTAGCACTATGAGCCCAATTCACAGGCATTTTCCTCTAAATAAACTTAAGATTTGGGTATTGGGTACACTAAAAGCTCGGACTTGACCCCTACACAATATATACATGTAAGAAATCTGCACTTGTGCCCCCTGAATATATAAAATAAATGTTAAAGTTTTTAAATAAACTTGAGTGAAAAAGTGGGAGGGTTAAACCCACACACATTAACGCTATTTTTTAAATTTAACTTTATTTAAAGAGGCAAACAGTAAGGAAATAATAGTAGCAGTGATGGCAGATCTGCCAGTTTGGGGAGGTGGTCTATGATAACTGACATTTGGGAAACCCAGTAACTCACTAATCTGAGATTGAAAGGAAAGAAACATACCTCTGTTTGTCCAGATATAGGCATAAGCTGGTGAGCAAAGACCTGTCTGGAAACTCAGGGACCCTCTGCTGCTTCATAGCCTGATTCTGGCACTGGGGACATGATGGAGGTGAGGGCACAAGAAAGATCACTGGAGTCCAGACAGCCAGACCTTCTCCTCACTTAGCCAAAGTCACAAAGAAGCACCTCCTGCACTACAGTGGTTCAGTTGCACAAAGGAACATCACAGCTCAGGAGCTTGTTCAGCTCCTCCTGGGTTTTGAGGGTTCCTGAACTTTGGGATCACAGACCCCTTTGATAGTTAATGAAAGCTTTGTACCCTTTCCCTAGAAAAATGTGCTCATACACAGAAAACAAGTCTCATAACATTTCAGGGGATTCTCAGGCTCCTTGAAGTTCAATCACAGACTCCAATTTAAGAATCTCTTCTTTATGTGAGAACAGAGAACATTTCAGCTCATGGCAAGTTTTATTAATTTCATTCACTACTGATTAATATTGAATTTTGTTTGAATTCACCTTATCCCTCCCTGAGTAAAATATCTTTTAAACAGGAATTCTCCATCTGGAGTTCATGGTTCCCAGTGGAGTGGAGCTGGGGAGGCAGGGGTTGGAGGTGTCTACGGATCCCTCAACACCACAAGAAATAATCAGATGTTGATACAGTTTTCTGGTAAGGACTTTGATCAGAATGTCAGAGAAGCTTACGACTAAAACACGGTTTTTAAAATACATCTTTTAAAAAAAACTTAAAAAAATCTTTAGAAATCTACAATAAAATACAGATAACAGAAAACCGTCACTAAACGAAAGTCTGGCTTAGTGAATTATTATTGAGGCAGGAGAATAGGGTCTGGAGGGAGGGAACCTAAGGTCAATTCACACTGACTTCCTATAACTCAGTCAAAAGGAAAACCCCAACTTTCCATGCCCAAGTAACAAAAGACCAGAGGCTACTCCCTTTGCAAGCCCCCTGCTTTTTTCTGGATGGCAGACGAAAAATTAAAAGTACCTTTGATTGGTCCCCTTCTGCAACCAAACGGGCTGGTCACAGGCCAAGTCTTCATTTGCATAGGAGTATAACGTTGTAACTTCACTTCAGCCTCTGATAGGTCACCTTCCGCAACCAATCAGACATTTGCATAGGGTGTAACTTTGTAACTTCACTTCAGCCTCTGATTGGTCCCTTCCCACAGCCAATCAGACTGATAACAGTCCACTACCTTATTTACATAGGATGTATACCACATAACTAATGGGAAACATCTAGAGGACATTTAAACCCCAGAAAATTCTGTAACCGGCCCAGCCCACTCCCACCCTGTGGAATGTGCTTTCATTTTCAATAAATCTCTGTTTTTGTTGTTTCATTCTTTCCTTGCTTTGCTTGTGCATTTTGCCCAATTCTGTGTTCAAAGTGCCAAGAACCTGGGCACCCTCCACCAGTAACATTATCAGGGTAACATCCTGTAACCACCAAAGTCAAGAAACAGAACTTTGCCACCAGCAGCTCTTCTCTGTGCCTCATTCCAGTCACAGGCTCCTCCCTCTTTCCAGAAGTAACTACTATCCTAAGACTAAAAGTAATCATGTCCTAATAATATTTTGCTTGAATAGTGAATGCTATGTTACCAAATAGGCTTTATTATTTTTAATATCTTATATTAAAACTTTGTGATTCAATAATAATAAAAGTAATCATGTCCTTGCAATTCTTTATGGTTTTATCACCCAAGTGTGCATCCTGAGACACTGTAGTTAATTCCTGCCCATTCTTTAACATTTGAGATACATTTTCCATTTCTTTTAATCTACGTGTTATCTTCCAACCTTGTTTTGATTATTATTTTTACTGTGTAAAGTGTAGAACATGATGTTTTGATATACTTATCTTGATATACATATACATCGTGATCACAATAGTCAAGGAAGTTAACATACCAAGCACCTCATATAGTTACCTTTCTCCTTTTTTCTTTTCTTTCCTTTTTCTTTCTTTTTTTTTTTTTTTTTGTGGTAAGAGTAGCTAAAATCTACTACGCTTTTGGCAAATTACTAGTATACAATACAATATTCTTGACTATAGTTCTCACGTTGTATATTATCTCTAGACTTATTCATCCTTCATAATTGCAACTTTATACCTTTTGCCAACACCTCTCCATTGCCCCCCTCTTCTCTCCTCCCTGACCTGGTAACCACCTTTCTACTCCCTGTTTCTATGTATTCGATTCACTTTTGTCTGTTTCACATATAAGATCATGTAGTATTTATCTCTTTCTGTGTCTGGCTTGTTTCACTTAGCATAATGTTCTCATAGTTTCATCTATATTGTTGTAAATGGCAGGATCTTCTTCATTTTTAAGGCTGAAAAATATTCCATTGTATATATAAATACAATTTCTTTATCCATGTGTCCATTGATGGGCACTTTGTTCCATATCTTGGCTATTGTGAATAATGCTGTAAATAAATATGGAAGTGCAGATATTTTTACAAGGTGGTGATTCCTTTCCTTTGGGTATATACAGAGAAGGATTGCTGGGTCATATGGTAGTTCTATTTTTAATTTCTTTAGGAACCTCCATAGTGTTTCCATAATGATTGCACCAATCTGCATTCTTATCAACAATATACAAGAGTTTCCTTTTCTCCACATCCCCCCCAACTCTTATTTCTTGTCTTTTTGATATTAGCCATCCTAACAGGTGTAAGATGATATCTCTGTGGTTTTGATTTGCATTTCCTCAATGATTAGTGATGCTAAACATCTTTTCATATGCATATTGGCCATTTGTTACGTCTTCTTTTTAGAAAATGTTTAGTCAAGTCCTTTGCCTATTTTATAACTGGGTGATTTGGTTTTTTTGCTATTGAGTTGTATGAGTTTCTTACATCATTTGGATATTAACCCCTTATCAGATATATGGTGCACAAATGTTTTCTTCCAATCTGGAGGCTGCTTTTATTTCCCTTGTAATTTATCTGTTGAAAAAAATCTCTAGCTATTTGATCTGTAGAGTTTCCCACAGGCTGGATTTTGCTGACTGCATACCCTTGGTGTGGTTCAATATGTTCCTCCAACCTTGGTATTTCCTGCAAATTGGCAACTGGTTCCAGAAACCAGATCAGATTCAGTTTGTTAAAACTCTAGATGGTGTTGTGTTCTTTCATCAAGAGGTACAAAATGTCTGGTTTCCCTCCATTTTGATGTAAGAAGCCATTGATATTCATTGTTTGGATCTGTTAATTCATTAGGAGCTGTAAAACTGACATTCTAACTGTATCATTTTGTTTCTATTTGTTAGCTATAATAATTTTATAAGGAGATATTTGTTTAGTAGTACAGTTCACAGAAGAAAAGCAGATAAATGCTTGATTTTTCTCTTTTATCAACCCAGTTTTCAAAGCAACAAATTGGTCCTTGTTATATACACACGCATAGCAGCTTGCTCTCTAAAATGTCCTGGCTCAGTGCTCTCAACCCACCCACCTTTGCCTGAATCTTTTCTTCTCATCTCTCTGGTGTGGGTCTCTACCTTAGAAGAGAGCCTGGGACATCAGTTTAAAGAGCTCACAAGGGATATGCTGCTCCAGTCATTTAAGCCTCACCATGGGCCTCCTACATCACCAGCAACCGGGTAGGCAAACACTTGACAGTTTCAGCAGTTGTTATCAAATTGATCTAGTGTAATTTCTACTTTCATCTATTTTGGGGTCCTTCTATTCTCAAACCCATCCAATTCAACCTCATTCCTTGCCTGTTTTCTCTTATACAGATGCCAGAAAGGCACAGTCTTGTGGCTAATATTTTAGGGTTTCTAGGTTCACTTTATCCTCTGGCTTTGTCATACATGTTGTCCATGAGTTTTTGGTTTTATGATCTAGTTGGTCTGGTTTTTTTCCTTATAGTTTAGGATCCTGAGCTTTCACATATATATACATATATATTTCACATATATATATATATGTATATTCGCATATATACACATATATACATATATGTGAAATATAGATGTATTTTTAATACAGGATCTCACTCTTTTGCCCAGGCTGCAGTAGACTCAAATTCCTGGGCTCAAGCAATCCTCCAGTCTCAGCCTCTCAGCTAGCTGAGACTACAAATGTGAGCCACTATGCTTAGCTACTTTAAAAAAATTTTTTTGTAGAGACAAGGTATTGCTATGTTGCCCAGGCTGTTCTTCCTCCCAGCACTGAGATCAAAGGTGTGAGCCACTGTGCCCAACCATGTAAATATATATATATATATATGTATTTTTTCCAACAGCTTTATTGAGAAGTAATTCATATACCATAAAATTCACCTTCTGGTTTTTTTTTGTGGGGAATTCAGGAAGATCCAAAAATCACAGTACCACCATTTTCTCAGCATTCCAAAACCATACTTTAAGACAATCATCAACATTAGACTTTTGAGATAATGAAGATTTTATTATGGTAGCAGGTAGCAGACCCAATGGCTAGTGTAATTAGAGACAGATTGGGAATGTGTAGTGGGTGGCAGAGACATGGTGCTGTAATTTTCCATTTATTTAAAAGCAGGAACTCCAAGGGCTTCTTGTCACGCGTGGTACATGAGCAGTTCACAATTATTGACAGTGCTATGATGGTGACATTGTGATATGGTTTGGCTCTGTGTCCCCACCCAAATCTCACCTTGAATTATAATCCTCATGTGTTGGAGGAGGGGTCTGGTGGGAGGTAATTGGATCATGGGGGCGGACTTCCCTCTTGCTGTTCTCATGATAATGAGTGAGTTCTCATGAGATTTGATGGTTTAAACACGTGGGTACTTCCCCCTTCAAGCTCTCTCTCTCTCTCTCTCCTGTTTTGCCAGGGTAAGACATGTGTGCTTCCTCTCACTTTCCACCATGATTGTAAGTTTCCTGAGGCCTTCCACTTATGCTTCCTGTTAAGCCTGCAAAACCATGAGTCAATTAAACCTCTTTTTTTTCTTAAATTACCCAGTCACAGGTAGTTCTTTTTTTTGTTATTGTTGTTGAGACAGAGTCTCGCTCTGTCACCCAGGCTGGAGTGCAATGGCACAATCTTGGCTCACTGCAACCTCCACCTCCCAGGTTAAAGTGATTCTCTCACCTCAGCCTCCTGAGTAGCTGGGATTATAGGCACCCACCATCGTGCCTGATAATTCAGGTAGTTCTTTATAGGAGTGTGAAAATGGACTAATACACATTGGCAAGGACATTTGAAGTCCACCAATTATCCCCCAAATTCATTAATTTTATCTTTGTTATCTATTGCCTGAATTTCTTCTAGTTGATCCATGTGAGAAGTAACAAGTAATGAGGGTTGGAGGTGGCTATTCATTGGGTATAAAGTTTCAGCTATGCAAGATGAAATAAGTTCTGGAGATCTTCCGTACAGCCTCATGCCTAGAGTTAAGAACACTGTGTTAAACACTTAAAATTCATTAAAAGGGCAGCCCTCATGTTAAATGTCCTTACTACAATCAATCAATAAATACATAAATAAATAAATTACACACGTGTAATATTTCCACCTTCTGCCAGGGCCTCCACATCTGTGTGGAATTCTCCTTGTCTCACCCAAGAAGCACAGTTCTGCACTGAAGAAGTTCTCAATGATTCAAAACCCAGGTCACGTTGGAACAATCAACGCACTGTGAAACAACATACTGGGTTGGCGCAAAAGTAATCGCGGTTTTTCTCATTGCTTTTAATGGCAAAAACCGCGATTACTTTTGCACCAACATAATAGCTTATTTCCAGGGGCTCATTTCTGAAAACTTCTTAACACAATAACAAACAGAACACTCAAGGTCTCATTTGGGGCTCTTCCTAGCTTTTATGACTTGGAGGACACAGAAGCCTGTAATATCATTTTGAAAAGTGTTTTCCAGGCCTATCTGACAAGAAGGCTATATTTTTTTATCCAGGCCCATGAACTTCTGATTCTACTACTAACTGATAGACATTTCTAGCAGAGCCTGATCATACAAAAGTCTGTAAACTGCTAACTAAGCAAAATTAAACTTGTTGGAAAGAATCTACTCAGCCTACAACAATTTCTTCCCACAGGTGTTAATAAGTCTCAATATAAATGTATATAAATCTCATCTCTTCTGTCTGCCCTTGCCCATTTTTTAGGCAATGTGTTAAAAGGCAGCCAAGGAGAGGAAGTAGAGCACCCTCACATAATCCACAGCATGGATAATCAGTTCCTAAGAAATGGACACGAGACTTCATAATATTTTATTTTACAGCTGCACCTAGACCTTGTAGGTACAAAACAGCAGCCCTTTCTCCCCAAAACAGTCTAAGGATAGAAGCCACCCTCAGAATGCCACTCTAACACAAACTGATTCTCATATACACCCCACTAGTCATGATTTGTTTTCTTAAACAGCAAAAGTTTATTTTATTTCACTGCTCCATCAAAATTATTTATCTCATTTATCATACAGTTCCTGTCTAATGTATTTTGCCAGAACTAACATGCATGAAAATTATGTTAATGGGCCCTGGACTGGTTTTAATGTACTTCATATAATCAAGAAATTAAACAAACAGAAAGCTTTCTGAAAGGTGCTCATTCTACCAGGAAGGACCGCTTGCTCTCCTAAGACACGTTTTTGAGGGAAGGAACTGCCAAGAATCAAACCACCAGCAGTGCCCTTAGAAAAGACCAGTTTATTCAAAGAAGAAAATCGACTGAGAACTTATGGTTGTATCCCACTCCATCAAGTACCCGAGGTTTCCATTAACCAGTGGTGGTTTCATGGAGAGAGACTGGGAAGTGATTTGGAAAAGATTTTTAACACGAAAACTAACCGACAGAAAAATGAAGTTTCGATTTTTGAGGAGCAGCCAGCTTGGTGAGACTTGTCCACTGCATGAGGAAATCACTGTGGGAACACACAGGATGTCACTATCATGCTGGCCGGTGGGCCCTCCATAGCACACTGATGTAGAGAAAAGCCGGATTATAAAGAGGTCTTTCTGCTCCTTCTGAGAAGTGAATACCCAAGGATTTAGGACAAGAGGAACCCACATTATCATAAATTTTCCTCCATAAATAGGTCTTACGGAAAAGCTCCATTAAACTTGTTCAAGAACTGAAATTTTGAAGCACAAACTTTAAATAGTTTTGTGATATTGCTTTCAACAGTTATACTCCCATGCTGATTTTTTTATAAAAAACTGCAAAAAAAATTATTGAGAGCCAGGAATTGGGCTAGTCCCTGCAATACAACCACCCTCACAGGAACGACAACAAAAAACCTTATTGGCAATATCAAAAGAATGCTAAAATCAAATAAAATCTATTTTCTGAAATGAAAAAAGTCATTATTTTCTTTAGCTAATTTAATGATAGTAGCAGATGGACTGATTGACGAATCGAACCCATGGATTTGGACTTAGTAGTTAAGAGGGTCAAAGTATGTGATCTCTAAGGGATTTCAATGTGTAAAATACGTAACTTTCATTTTTATCTCAGATTCCATCCAGGACATTGACATCATCTCTGCACTAGTGACAGGAGGACCTTTGTGCATTTCACAGGAGAAATGGAGCTGGCTTCCAAGTTTTTGTTTTTGTTTTGTTTTATTTTTGCCTAATCTGTCTTCCATTGAGAACAAGTATTTTGATTAACAATAAGACAGCAAAACTCATGGCTAGACATGACCAAGCTCAGAAGAGCAGGCCCTAAGCATGCTGGGCCATGGGACAGGTTGCTGGAGCAGGGCTAGAGATTACAGGCTGGCAAAGAATCTACAAGTGAAGCAGGGAACAAAATACATGATATAATTTTGGTAAAGCACCCTCCCTATATGGTTCAAAAACAACAGCTACAGCTCCACAACTGGAACACTTGCTTTGATTGAAACTAATCAAGTCTTGGTGTATGGAAATAAAAATATATACTCTTGATGAGAGGTGGCATATTAAGCTTATCACTTATTTTGCACTTCAACTCAAATTCACTCCTTACTGTTTGTTGTAATAAGGACCAGCTTGGTGGGGAGGGTTTGTGGGGGTGGAGTAGGGGTGAAGGTAGCAGTGATGGGACAGACAGAAAGGGAAAAAAGTGAGATGACCCCTGTGGTGAAAAGAGAAAATAAACTCTGAAGGAGTAAAATAATAGAAATAGAAGAAGTAAAAATAGAAAAAGAAGTCAAGTCTTAATCATGTTGCCCCCTTAGGCCCTTCACTTATAGTCAGTCCTGCAGGCAGAACAAGACAATAATTCCTCTCTACTGTAAACTATTCAAATTTATGACAAATATTAGGTCTATGAGTATGCCACATTTTTAAAAAAAGACATTGACCAATTGTAGTATGCCCAGCACAGTATGACTAGAAAGATGAGAATTATGTAGAATCTTTTAGGAGGCTAAGTATGTTTAGCTAGGGAAGATTTCGCAGAGGCATGATAATTAACTCAGAGTTTACAAAGGGCACAAGGCAGGTACATGTACACTTATGACAAGCTTGGGCAACATAGGGAGACGTTGTCTCTACAAAAAATTTAAAAATTTGCTGGGCATGGCGGCATGTGCCTATAGTCCCAGCTACTCAGGAGGCTGAGGCAGGAGGATCGCTTGAGCCCAGGAGGTTGAAGCTGCAGTGAGCCATGATCGCACCCCTGCACTCCACCCTGGGTGATAGAGTGAGACCTGTCTCAAAAAAAAAAAAGATGTACAGTCATAACACAAGTGTTGCTACTGATAGCAGATATAGGGTCAATGAGCTCAGACAAATTTGGAATCAGTGTAGAACTTTGTAATATTCAGAATCACCAAAAAGGAGATGAACTGCTTCACAAAATGGTGGGGGCCCCTATCACTAGATGCATTCAAGAGTTGGCTGCTGAGTACTCATTAGAGTTATCACAGAAAGGAATTATATTTCTCAGAGCTCTCAATTGCAAGTGACAAAATACTAATTCAAATGGCTTGAGCAAAAAGGAAATGAATTTGGTTCAATATAATTCTAGATTCAGGCATAAATGGGCCCAAAGGCTCAAATAATATCATCAGGACTCTCTCCATTGCTCAGTTCTGCCTGCTTTTGTGTTGGCTTCATACACAGGAATGTCACCCCTGAGTTAGTGGCAAAGATGGCAATCTACAGCTCCAGTCTTACATTACACCAGCAATGCCTTTTTCTTGATAGCACCAGCAACTACTAGAATTCACTCCAGCTTAGGTCAAGTGCCTCATCTCAGCCTACTGCTGTGGCCATGGGAAAGACACGATCCCATCAGCCAGAAGGCATATGCTTACTTTTGTACACATCTTGGTGGCCATGGGCATAGAGCACTTTCTATGGCCAGATCTGGGTCATGTGTACACACCAAAGCAGAAGAGAGGGACGGGGGCCAAAAATTCCTCCTTCCTAGATCATGTGGACTGAGAGCTGGCAAGAGAAAACTCAAGATGTTATTATCAGAAGAGGGAAGAGATTCACCACAGACAAAATAACAGCTATCCTGTAACACGAGTTCTTCATAAAATAGGAGGCTGGCCCACAAAACTTTTACAGCCTCTTCCAGTTAATATTGTATTTATTTCTAAGTACACATGCTATGTCAAGAACTGGGTACTCATTCTATAATTTAAAGCTACATTTTTGACATTTTAGGTACTTAATCCCTTTAGATATTCTGTAAAATCAACACAGAAAGTGGATTATTCAAGTAGTAGCTTGTTACCTCCCTTTGTAGGATGTGTATAGACAGAAACAAGTGTTATGCTGGTATGATGGCTATCTGAAAAATGAACCCCTGATTTATAGCATTTGCCAATTTCCATGGTGTTAATACTCCCATAATTGCCAATTTCAAGCTATCAACATGAGGTCACAAAACACAGAGTTGGTGAGAGATGCAATGCTCATGTACCTTCATCTCCCTGAGCTGGTGCCATTCAGCTCTAACACATCACTTAACAAGAACTACTAAATGTTACAAGTCTGTGAAAAATGATCTTGGATGATGGTGTCTAGCTTGATCCCATTTCGTTTGAGGACATAGTAAAAGACTGTGGATTGTGGTGGCTCACGCCTGTAATTCCAGCACTTTGGGAGGCCGAGGAGGGCAGATCACCTGAGGTCAGAAGTTCAAAACCAGCCTGGCCAACATGGCAAAACCACATCGCTACTAAAAATACAAAAATTAGCCAGGCATGGTGGCAGGTGCCTGTGGTCCCAGCTACACTGGAGGCTGAGGCAGGAGAAGCACTTGAATGCGGGAGGCTGAGGTTGCAGTGAGCCGAGATCGCATCACTGCACTCCAGCCTGGGTGACGGAGTGAGACTTTATCTCAAAAATAAACAAATAAATAAATAAATAAAATGTGTATATATATATATATATATATATATAGAGAGAGAGAGAGAGAGAGAGAGAGAGCATAAAAATTTAACTGTATCAATTTCCCTACAGCAGATGCTATTAACTACATCAGTGAGTTTTTTTCAATACGATATGGAATTCTTAGTGAGGTTGTCATAAAATAGTTCTCATTCTCAAAGTTCGAGAATTGGAATGGTCTTGAAAGGAAACAGAGGTACTGTTAATTATTGATAGCTAATGATGATACCCACAGCCCTGTTTGAAAAGCCTAATATAAGACCCCTCTCCACCTAACAAAAACTGGTATAAATTTTGTCAAAAAGAACCAAACCTAATTGGGAATACAACACATAAGTTTATGATAGTTTATCAGTGACTTGACTTATTTTGTAATCAATATGAAAATATCACAAAAACAAATATAACTATGTATCAATGTCACATAGCAGGCAGTCAGCTAAGGAAGAAAATATGGGGGAGTGGCACAGAAACTCAACAGAAGAGTCATTCCTTATAGTGTGAGAATACATTAAAAGTGCCTTTAGCCAAGATTCTTCTTATGTTTCACTCCCAGATGCCTCAGTTCCAACTTCAAGCAGCTTGTATCCCAGATAGACAGTGGCAATGATTTAAAAGGAATTACTTATAATTCCAACTTCTTCAAATACTATAAAATAGAATATAGCTAAATGTATTTCTTAGTTTGTTCATAATATCCTATATGAATTTTAGAAACTAGTTTTTGTCCTCACCATCAGCAGCCTCAACTATTTAACTATTTTTGAACTGTGATAAAGACAATTTCAACTCAACACTGGGAATAGTGACAGTTAACACTTATACAACCCTTACTTTGTCTCAGGCACTGTTTTACTTAATATGGGCCCTTTGATGCATTCATTCAACAAACAATTTTGCACCAGACTGTGGTCTATAGGCCCGGTAAATGGGTCCCAAGAGGTCATTCAAACATGTAAGTGCTGAATCAGGGGTTAGCAGCAGAAGCCCAAGCACAGAGGTTGCATAGAATGACAAGAGTGAGGGAGACCTGAGAACAGCCAGGAAGGCCAGAAACAGGTTCTTTCTTTGCTATATGAGGCCTCTCAAGAGTGCTTGTTCCACTTATACCATAGATAAAATAAATATAGAACATCTTTTTAAAAATTAGAAATCTGAATTTACAATGAGAGAATTTTTAAAAATTCTGTAGGGAAAGTATTTTTAAGGAAAACAGAAACCATAAAAAAAGATTAATCTACTGAATTTGTCTCAAAATTTAAAATTTCTATAGGAAAAATATGCCATAAGTAAAGTCAAAAGACAAACAACAAACTTGAATACAACTTTTGCAATACATATTATTTCATATAAAAAGATCTCTTATAAATCAGTGGAGGGAGAGAAATAGAGAAAGAGAGAGGAGAAAGGAAAAAGGTAGAATTAAGAAAGAAAGGCAAAAAAAAGCAAAAAACAAACACAAAAACATCTCATAATTTTATATACATCATTCATAATTTAAAAACATTAACATCCCTCATAATTTTAAAAAGTCAAATTAACACCACAATGATGTATCCTGTTATAACCTACACATCCAAAATTTAAGCAAGCATGTAAGCAAGTATGTGGTGAGAGATAAATTATGCAACTTCTCTCGGGGACAAATTTGGCAAAACATCAACATTTAAAATACATGTATTCCTTGACTTCGAAATTTGATCAGAATCCAGAAAATAAATGAAATCAAGATTTTGACTAACAAACAAGCAAGCTACCTAAAAATGAACACTACCGTTTCTAGGTGATTGATGATGTGACTTGTAATATGGGAGAATCTGAGTTTTCCTGGACTGTCCTAATGGATACAAGTCAACTTAGCGGAATATTTATCAGCAAAGCTAATAACAAATTCTGGGCCTAATTTGATCTGTGCCTTGCTTAAATTGGTTTTGCCTTTGCCCTCCCCCAGACTCAAGAAACCCAGAGAAACCAAGGCTGTTCAATACCCAGCATATTACAACCCAGATTAGCAAACCATGTGTTGCACTGTGCCGGGGACCTGGGAGGAGAGAGAGAAAGCAAGAGGCCAAGTAACAGAGAAACCAAATGCTCTGTGAATGCATGGGTGGAAACAGCTTCACAGAAGAATACTACATGAAACAGACCTTGAACAACAGGAAGAAATTGGAGAGCTGCAGAGGATTAGAAGAGCATTCCAAGGGTAGAGAAGAGCAAGGCCAAGAGTCAGAAATGGGCAGGAAAATTCGAGACTTAAAGACAAATCTAGAAGATATTGGAAGAGGAGCCATAAAATTCTTGGCACTCATCCATAGCCATCAACAGACAAAGGAAAACAGAGTCCCTGTATCGCAAGATGCCCTATAATGGTGTCTCAAACTTCATACATTCATGAATTTCCTTCAAAGTCTTGCCATATTGGCCTATAGGCATATTTACTCTAAATTTTTTCTTTAAGTTGACTTCTTTTTTCTTCAGCCTCATTTTAGGAAACAATATCCATGAAATAGCAGGTTTGGTATGCCAGAAATAGTCTTCTAATACATGTTAAATAAATATATAGCCAATAAGATGTTTTTAAAAGTTCATGGTTTACCACCATATCTCATTGTGAGGAATGTTGCTCTTCAGAGATAGTCACTTTAAACTGAGCACCAAGAAAGCTGTATTTGTTCATGTTTATACCACATATGACAACTTAGACCAAACATGGAGTATGAAATTGGGGATACCAGATGGCATTGTAAAAGTGTGCTGAGGCATAAGTTAACTTACTACAGTAGAATGATAAGCTAACATTTTTTGAACAACTGTTATGTGCAGCCTGTGTACTACTTACATAAAATAGCTTATGAATGCACATGGAGTTTATAGAAAATCAAATAACATAACCAAGCAAGTAAGCTCCTAATGCAAACACCTTCACATTCTAAAACCCTGACAACCTGACATTAAATTAAATATCATTTCAAAGTCATTTTGGCTCAGTTTTGACTTCCAACCTTTGAGGAAGGTTGTTGTATCCCACTTAAAAGGATGACTATCCTTTAAGGGAGAAGACCACAATACCACAAGAAACAAGAAAAAAGATACAACCATCAATTATCCTACAACATTTACTAAAGACGGGAGAGGTTTCACAATAGTGTGGCAGCTGGTTGGAGTCATGGTGTGGTTTCTCTTTATCTGTTTATTTGCTCAAGGTACATGCATTTATGTCTCCCACCAGCATAGTTTCCTGGGTGACTAAGGAAGATTTTTAACTAGGATTCTAATTGTGTTAATATACACCTATCTTCATGGAAAACTAAACGACTCATCTTCCATGGGTCACAGAAAGAAATGAAGGAATTGTTTCTTATACTCCTAGTTAAATGGCCTATGGCTTTGGGAATTTGAGCAAGGTCTGTTTCTATTCCCCTGTTCACCCCTAAACCATACAAAACCCCTCTTCTTCAAGTAGCCATATGTGTTTGCTGAAGTGGAACAGGGCAGAAAGTACCAGCTGAAGCATGTTCTGGGACACTTGGAGAGAACAACCAAAATGATTAAATGTTTGGGAAATAAGTTTCACAACAAAAGAAATAAAGGAATTTGGGTATATTGTGCCTTAAGAGAAGAAGGCTGAGGGCAGACATGTGACTATGTTCCCAAGGGACGGGGGTAGTTCTTGACAGGCAGAAGACAAGGATCTGCAGGCATATACATGCAAGTGAAGCAATATTGACCTTAACAGATGTGTTATGTGAGCTCTAATTCCCTGTAGGTGAGAAGCAGGACAGCAAACAAGTTAGGTACACAGACTCTGGAGCTAAATTGCAGCACTCCTGACTGCATCACTACGGGCTCGCTAAGCCTCAGTTTCCTTGCGTGTAAAATAACAACAATAATAGTGCAACAATAATAGTGCCTACCTTATTAAGGTTTTTGTGAAAATTAGATTTGTTACCATATGTAAAATGTCTGAACCAGTGCCTGGTGCATAGTAAATGCTATGTGTTTGTTACTGCTGTTGTTGTTTTGTTAGGGTTACACTAATTATAAGCATTTGCCATATTTCCATTAAGAATAAGAAGTTTGGGAATTAAAGTGCATGAAATTGAGGTGAGATGTTGAATAGAATGAAATTTCTTACTAAGGGAGACTGGGAGTTTTGTCCTTCAGGATTGTTTTGACTTATTTTTATTTGTTTCTCCTGTTTAAGCTGGGCTGCTATGAATGTAGTTCTTCCTAGAAGGTAAGGTGGATACAAGGTGACCCACTGAGTTCTTCACAGCCTGCGCATTTGGTATTAACAATGTGACCACACCAGCCTCGGATAGAAAAGTTTTTCTTAAATGCAACTCACAAGAAACGTCTCCTGTCAAGGTCAATGTTGTTTCACTTGCATGCATATGGCCGACAGATCCTTGCATCTACCAGTCAATAAACATGTGTGATGGCGTCTCTTCCTACATTAGGAGTGGGGGTTGGGGAGTGTCTCTGAATCCAAACTTTACAAAAGATGTGAGCAGGCTCTGTGTGTCTCTGCAGTCCATGTCAGTCAATAAAATTAGTTCCTTACATCTCCCTTTTCTTGAAGACATTTAATAAGTTACATATTCATTGTTTTAAGAAGCACACTTGAGTAACAATACAGCTTGTGGGCAGAAAAAAAGAACACTCAGGCTGGGTTCTGATGCCATTAAAAAACTTGGTGATAAGAAGTAACCTCAAACCCTGGTGAAATCTTCTGAATAAAGTAGGAGTCTGCTTGCTGAAAGACTGCAGGGTTCGATCTGAGGGGAGCCACTTAGTAGTACACAGATGTGGCTCATTGGGTATTTAAATCCTGTAGAGCCTCGACATTTGCAGATTCAGCTATTCACAGTAGACCATTGGAGAGAAACCTCAACAGTCTATCCCATGTAATCATTCGTACTTCTACTGCAAGACTGGAGTTCATGAGAGACCACATAGCTAATGATGGAATACAGTGGACTACCTAGGGCAGTTCAACATAGTGCCAAAATTGAGACAACTTATTTATTGTACATATTGGGACAACTTTTGACAGTAAAGGGTAATTATTAATAATTACAAGAGGACGACAAGCATAAACTGAGCCTGTTCTGGGCAAATAGAAACATGTGGTAAGCCTATTTTTCTTAGTCCATTTTGTGTTGCTATAACAGAATACCACAGACTGGGTAGTTTATAAACAATAGAAGTTTACTCAGCTCACATTTCTGGAGGCTGAGAAGTTCAAGAAAGAGAGGCCACATCCGGTGAGAGCCTTCTTGCTGTGTCATAACATGTGGAAGGCATCACATGACAAGAGAGTGTGCAAGAAAGAGAGGGAAGGGGGCAGAACCTATCCTTTATAAGGATGCCACTCCCGAGATAGTGGCATTAATCCACTCATGAGGGCAGAGCCCTTGTTACCTAATCACATCTTAAATGTCCCACTTGTCAATGCTGTTGCACTGGGAATTAAGTTTCCAAAATGTGGGCTTCAGGGGAACATTCAAATCATCGCACTACCCCATATCCAACTTTAGGATCCTCTATTAGTGTAAGCCATATTGCTGATTAATTACTTTTTTAAAAATAATTTCTTTATTTAAAATAGTAGTAAAATGAGATATAAATTTTTAATTGTTCGATTAACTTGTGTGAAGGTTTACAGACAAAATGGATAATGGTGGGAAAATCAGGGAGCTATATAAACATTTCCATTTTGGATATTTATCAACATCTTGCTCTAGAACCATCATGAGATTCCGAAGAGTTTACTGAATTGTCACACAGAGAATACATCTGAAGATTTGTATGTCCTAGTCCTATTTCTATCAAATTGAGCCAGAGCACTTAAGTAACAAGAAGACCACCTGAGCTCAACTCCAAACACCAGCACCAGGGTTTGTTATTATTCTGATAACTACAATAAACGGTCAAGTGGGCCACTGGTGATATTGATTTCTTGTAAGGCATTATTTGGTAGCTGAAACTAATTATTTAACTTGGAAAATTTTGGAATCAGGAACATCAAATTTTGGAATTAGCAGCCCTACTAAGGCTCCAGGTAAGAAGAAATAATTAACATGTGCCATACACTCAGAATTGCCAGGCTCTGGGCTAGACTACATATATGAATGCTCTAATTTAATCTTACCACTCTCTGAAGGAGGTATTATCCTCATTTATCAGCTTGAGAAATCAGACAGCTTGTGTAACTTGCTCAAAGAAAGTCATTTATATTTTTCCTAGATGTTTTTACACAATCATGGCAAGAAGCATGCTTAAAGTTGAAAGCAGAAAAGCAACTTTCATCTTCTGTTCACCTGGGAAGGTGAAGAGATGTTAATTTTTTGCTGCTCCCAAAAAAACACTACTTTTCTATCATGCACTGACAAACTTCTAGAAACTAATTTGGCTAATCGGTGCTTTCCTACAAACTAGCCTGTCTATCCGTTGGCCGTGACTTTGTTGCTCTGTGCAATTCCCAGGAGATCTAGAGTAATTCTGGAGCCTAAGTGACATAAACAGGGCAGTGGTTTGCAAATATTTTACTATCAACAATCAGAAAGCCCTGTTTTGGGTAATCTCTTTCCTAGTCTTCAATTAAACATCTGTATTGAAAGAGTCATTAAAATGAAGAGGAACAAATTGGCATTACAGGGTGTAATGGGAAGACACAGTAACTTCAAACTGAAGCCAAGAGGTGGCTGAAAAGCGTTTTCTTACAAATGCAATGATAAAGAAGTGTAGAGAGCACCAGTGTGTTCAAAACTTAGCCACCATCTGTAATATGTGACCTCCCGTTGAACTCACTTCAGGTTGGAAGGTGAACAGACTGAGGTCTATGCTACAGTAATTACCTGTAATTATCATTTTGGAATGTTTTTTACATAAAAGGAAATCGGTTATAGTTATGCTGTAATCATCTACTTATGTACAGTTTTTGTCAGTTCTGCCTATGACACAAGATGGGAGGGTACAAGGAAGAACACTCTCTAGTCAAAGCTTTATATGAAAGTGACACCACAAGTTGAGCAAATAAAATGACCCAGAATTTTTATTTTTTTATTTTTTTATTTATTTTATTTTATTTTATCATTATTATACTTTAAGTTTTAGGGTACATGTGCACAATGTGCAGGTTAGTTACATATGTATGTATGTGCCATGCTGGTGTGCTGCACCCATTAACTCGTCTTTTAACATTAGGTATATCTCCTAAAGCTATCCCTCCCCCCCTCCCCCCACCCCACAACAGTCCCCAGAGTGCGATGTTCCCCTTCCTGTGTCCATGTGTTCTCATTGTTCAATTCCCACCTATGAGTGAGAAGATGTAGTGTTTGGTTTTTCGTTCTTGCGATAGTTTACTGAGAGTGATGATTTCCAATTTCATCCATGTCCCTACAAAGGACATGAACTCATCATTTTTTATGGCTGCATAGTATTCCATGGTGTATATGTGCCACATTTTCTTCATCCAGTCTATCATTGTTGGACATTTGGGTTGATTCCAAGTCTTTGCTATTGTGAATAGTGCCACAATAAACATACGTGTGCATGTGTCTTTATAGCAGCATGATTTATAGTCCTTTGGGTATACACTCAGTAATGGGATGGCTGGGTCAAATGGTATTTCTAGTTCTAGATCCCTGAGGAATCGCCACACTGACTTCCACAAGGGTTGAACTAGTTTACAGTCCCACCAACAGTGTAAAAGTGTTCCTATTTCTCCACATCCTCTCCAGCACCTGTTGTTTCCTGACTTTTTAATGATTGCCATTCTAACTGGTACAACATGGTATCTCATCGTGGTTTTGATTTGCATTTCTCTGATGGCCAGTGATGGTGAGCATTTTTTCATGTGTTTTTTGGCTGCATAAATGTCTTCTTTTGAGAAGTGTCTGTTCATGTCCTTTGCCCACTTTTTGATGGGGTTGTTCGTTTTTTTCTTGTAAATTTGTTTGAGTTCATTGTAGATTCTGGATATTAGCCCTTTGTCAGATGAGTAGGTTGCGAAAATTTTCTCCCGTTTTGTGGGTTGCCTGTTCACTCTGATGGTAGTTTCTTTTGCTGTGCAAAAGCTCTTTAGTTTAATTAGATCCCTATGACAAACCCACAGCCAATATCATACTGAATGGGCAAAAACTGGAAGCATTCCCTTTGAAAACTGGCACAAGACAGGGATGCCCTCTCTCACCACTCCTATTCAACATAGTATTGGAAGTTCTGGCCAGGGCAATTAGGCAGGAGAAGGAAATACAGGGTATTCTATTAGGAAAAGAGGAAGTCAAATTGTCCCCGTTTGCAGATGACATGATTGTATATCTAGAAAACCCCATTGTCTCAGCCCAAAATCTCCTTAAGCTGATAAACAACTTCAGCAAAGTCTCAGGATACAAAATCAATGTACAAAAATCACAAGCATTCTTATACACCAATAACAGACAAACAGAGAGCCAAATCATGAGTGAACTCCCATTCACAATTGCTTCAAAGAGAAAAAAATACCTAGGAATCCAACTTACAAGGGATGTGAAGGACCTCTTCAAGGAAAACTACAAACCACTTCTCAATTAATAAAAGAGGATACAAACAAATGGAAGAATATTCCATGCTCATGGGTAGGAAGAATCAATGTCGTGAAAATGGCCATACTGCCCAAGGTAATTTATAGATTCAATGCCATCCCCATCAAGCTACCAATGACTTTCTTCACAGAATTGGAAAAAACTACTTTAAAGTTCATATGGAACCAAAAAACAGCCCGCATCACCAAGTCAATCCTAAGCCAAAAGAACAAAGCTGGAGGCAGCACGCTACCTGACTTCAAACTATACTACAAGGCTACAGTAACCAAAACAGCATGGTACTGGTACCAAAACAGAGATATAGATCAATGGAACAGAACAGAGCCCTCAGAAATAATGCCGCATATCTACAACTATCTGATCTTTAACAAACCTGAGAAAAACAAGCAATGGGCAAAGGATTCCCTATTTAATAAATGGTGCTGGGAAAACTGGCTAGCCATATGTAGAAAGCTGAAACTGTATCCCTTCCTTACACCTTACACAAAAATTAATTCAAGATGGATTAAATACTTAAACATTAGACCTAAAACCATAAAAACCCTAGAAGAAAAACTAGGCAATACCATTCAGGACGTAGGCATGGGCAAGGACTTCATGTCTAACATACCAAAAGCAATGGCAACAAAAGCCAAAATTGACAAATGGGACCCAGAATTTTTAATGCATATACGAAATGTTGAAAGCCTGGCACTGGCAGATTTCTTTTTTTTTTTTTTTCTTTTATTATTATTACACTTTAAGTTTTAGGGTACATGTGCACAATGGGCGGGTTAGTTACATATATATACATGTGCCATGCTGGTGTGCTGCACCCATTAACTCGTCATTTAGCATTAGGTATATCTCCTAAAGCTATCCCTCCCCCCTCCCCCCACCCCACAACAGTCCCCAGAGTATGATTTTCCCCTTCCTTTGTCCATGTGTTCTCATTGTTCAATTCCCACCTATGAGTGAGAATATGCGGTGTTTGGTTTTTTGTTCTTGCGATAGTTTACTGAGAATGATGATTTCCAATTTCATCCATGTCCCTACAAAGGACATGAACTCATCATTATTTATGGCTGCATAGTATTCCATGCTGTATATGTGCCACATTTTGTTAATCCAGTCTATCATTGTTCGACATTTGGCTTGGTTCCAAGTCTTTGCTATTGTGAATAGTGCCGCAATAAACATACGTGTGCATGCACTGGCAGATTTCAAAAGTAAAATAAAAATTTGAGTAACCTAGCGAAGATCACCTAGACCTGTGTATCCAACTGGGAAATGTGTTCAAAGATGAAAAATCATTTTTGGCTGACTTTCTCCAGGACACCCCTTTGCTCTAGAAAACTCCCTTGGTAGAAGCAGACTTCCCACTCCTCCCATGCCCTGTGGCAAACTCCTGCTCATAGTTCAAGATGCATCTCAAATGTCACCTCTGCTGTGAAGCCTCCCCTGAACCTCAAGGCAAAAATTTGTGATCTCTTGGCAGGCTCCTTTAGCTTCTTGTACAGAAATACCTTTCCCACGGCTCGCTGCACATGGTGTTAGTGCCTGAGAGTGGTCTGCCTCCAGCAGGTCAGCCCACTGACCTCTAGAGCTGATTCTAGTGACCTGAAGGATTAGACACAGGAATTCTTCCTCATTCAATATCCAAGAAAATAATGTGCACACCTGGTGGAAGGCTTTTGTTCAGTACAGGGCAAGGAAGTAGGTCACAAGTGTCTGCTGTTCATGTGTGTGTTGTCTACTAGGTGTGAGTTCCTAGAGCCCAGGTAATTAGGTCCTACTGACTTTTTATAATCTGTGCATTTGTAATATAGAGTATACATGCCTTATACATAAATGTATGCTCATACAAGAAACTGCAAAGTAAATCATGTAACCCTTCTCCGTTTCTAGAAATGCCATTTTCCCGATTTTTATTTGCTAGGCTTTATCTCAATTTGAAAACACTTTTTTGACTGTAACTGAGGTAACCTCAAATTTGCAAAGGAATTCAAACTTCTGTCTCCCCATCCCTGGGATCCAGATACATATATGCAACTTCTGACCTGACTCTCTACTTATAAATCTAATAGGCATCTCAAGTTTATCATGGCCATAAAAGAACTATGGAGTTTACCCTCACCCCATCCCTGAAAGTGATCTTCCCCCACTCTTCCCATCTCAGTAGCTTCAGTCTCGAATCTAACCACTGCTATCACCTTGGTCCCAGCCATCAACATCTCATCTGAATGACTTCCATCTAGTCTCCTCGTTACCATTGTTGTTCCCTTACACACAGGAATAGCTTTAGTGTTCTTCTTAAATTATTAATGTCATGTTATTCTTGAACTCAAAAGTCTCCAATGTTTTTTTAAGATAAATCATGCGTCACTTAACAACGGGTACATTCTGAAAAATTTGTCCTTGGATGATTTCATTGTTGTGCAAACATCACAGTGAGTACTTTACACAAACTTAGATGGTATAGCCTGATACTTACCTAGGTTATATGGTATAGCCTATTGCTCCCAGGCTACAAACCTGTACAGCACGTTACTGTACTGAATACTGTAGAAAATTGTAACACAATGGCAAGTATTTGTATGTCTAAACATATAAAAGATGTAATAAAAATATGGTATAAAAATAAAAAATGATACACCTGTCTAGGGCACGCACCATGAATGGAGCTTGCAGGACTAGAAGTTGTTCTGGGTGAGTCAGTGAGTGAGTGGTGAGTGAATGTGAAGGCCTAGGACATTGCTATCCATTACTATAGATTTTATAAACACTGCGCACTTAGGCTACACTTAATTTACACCAAAATTTTCCTTCTTCAATAATAAATTAGGCTGGGCATGGTGGCTCATGCCATGGCTCATGGAATTTTAATCCCAGCACTTTGGGAGGCTGAGGCGGGTGGATCACCTGAGGTCAGAAGTTCAAGACCAGCCTGGGCAACATGGTGAAACCCCATGTCTACTAAAAATACAAAAATTAGCTGGGCACAGTGGCGCGTGCCTGTAATTCCAGCTACTCAGGAGGCTGAGGCAGGAGAACCACTTGAGCCCAGAAGGAAGAGGTTGCAGTGAGCCGAGAATGCACCATTGCACTCCAGCCTGGGTGACAGAGCAAGACTCCATCTCAAAATAATAATAATAAAAATAAATTAACCTTAGCTTACTACAACTTTTTTACTTGATAAACTTTTTAATATTTTTAAGCTTTTTGACTCCTGTTACACTTAGCTTAAAACACAGATTGTACAGCTGTACAAAATGTTGTCTTTATATCCTTATTCTATAAGTTTTTTCTATTTTTAAAAATGTTTCATTTTTTACTTTTTAAGCATTTTTGTTAAAAACTAAGACACAAACACACACATTAGCCTAGGGAAACACAGGGTCAGGATCATAAAGACATCACTAGGTGACAGGAATTTTCAGCTCCATTATGATCTTATTGGGACTAGTGTTGTGCATGAAGTCTGTCATTGACCAAAACATTGCTATGCAACCCATGACTATACTGAGGACAACATCCAAACTCCTTAGGGGACTCCAATGTTGAATATGGTCTGCGTGCTGACAACCTCTCTGAGTTCATTTCCTACCTCTCTCCATCATATACATTGGGCCCACATGCCCTCTTTCTATTCCAGGAACCTGCCAGGCTTTTCTCCTCTTAAGACATTGCATTTGGTCTTCCC
Organism: Homo sapiens; assembly: GCF_000001405.40. Lineage (NCBI taxonomy): Eukaryota > Metazoa > Chordata > Mammalia > Primates > Hominidae > Homo > Homo sapiens. The sequence goes on along the minus strand of NC_000004.12, from coordinate 108,263,645 downwards.
TCCCTGGAATGCACTGACAGTTCTTCTCCGGGCTGTCTCCATCTGGTCATTCCAGTTTCAGCCTGAGCATTGATTCTTAGAGAAACCCTCCTCAACCAACCCTCTACAACAGATCTCCATGTACTCTCCAGAGCACCCCCTATTTTGTTTGCTTTGAAAATTACTTTGTTCATTGTCTTATTACCTACACTAGGATGCAGACTCCATGACAGCAGGGACCTTGCCTGTCTCATTCACTACTGAATCCCCAGCTCCTAGAACAGGAGAGGTGTTCACTTGTGGAAAGAAGAGGGAGGAATCCTGAAAACAAAACAAAAACACTGCCATGAGAAATTGAATTGTAATGCAAATGCCAGGAGGCGGCTGTCCTATAGACACATGATGCTCTCCTTGTTGTCAGCTGTAGGAGTAAGTGAGAATTACACACAAAGAACAATCTGGTGACAAATGTGCAACAGTTTGCTTTGTGACCTCCCTAACATGGAAGTTTGTCAGTGTGCTGGCAGAACAGATGTTATCCAAATTGCCTGTATGGCCAACACAGCTATGTTAGACATGTGGCCTGCTCAAAAGATAATGGGCAGGACTCTCAGTTCATAGACAAGGTTCTCATAACTGAAAACATGGTAGCAGATCCAAAACATGCTGAACCAAACAAATAGCCCAGCCCTTCAGTACAATGGAAAGAGGCTGAAGAATCGATCAGTGTTATAAGTTACAAATCTCAATCCTACCCTGTCTCAAATCCAGATCAGGGTGACTAATTAGCTCCCAATCCTAGTACACTTGTGTGACAGGCAAGTTAGTGAACTTCTGTGATCCGCGATTTCCTCCGATATTTAATGTCCCTGTTTTAAGCCCTTTTGTGATCAGCAAGTAACAGTGTGGCCATCACCTATCACCTAAGCAGAAATGTTATATGTCTCAAGAAATACCTCTCTGTGCTGTTTCTTACACGACACAGCATACCTGCTAGTGACAGGGCAGCGATGGGAAGAGAAGGACCTCCAGGTTCTGGGATGAGGTTATTGGAGAAACAGAACGGGGGCATGCCCCATTTCTTCTGTGGCTGTGAGTGAAATAAAGGACATGCAACAGAACTGGGTTTTAAATGAGGCAGTTAGGAATTCAAGCTCTGGAATTAAAAATGCCATATTTTGCCATTTATTGGTTTGTGATATCAGGTGACTAACAACCTCTTTAATTTCAATTTCTGAAAATGAAAAAAAAAATACAGCACCTACATTGCAGGCTGTTGGAAGGATTAAATTAGGTAATACATGTGAAGTGTTTAGCATAGTTCCCAGCATATGGTAAGTGTGTCAACAAATAGTAGCTTTTACTTTCACGGTGTAGAGAATTTGAGTTTTCAGATGCTATTTACTGATAAATACTGGTTAAAATGCATCTTCAATTACACTTATTGTTTGATGGCTTTGTTGGAAGGGTTTGGGCAAGGAAGGTGGCAGGCCCTTCCTGCCATGTATTTCCAGTGTTCCTGCAAGGGCTACAGGATACACAGAATGTGCCAGCAGAGGCATTAGTCCACAGAACTGATTACCTGGGAGTCTAATACACAGGTGCCCTGGCATGGGTACTGTATGAAAAAATGATAGAAATGCTCAATTTATAGGATAATTATAAGAAGTAAGTGAGATAAATTATGTAAAAGTACCTGGAGTCTAAGAAGTAATTTTTTTTCTCTTTCCTTGGCATGGTTTGGAAAATGCTTAAAGTCTTTACGTAGTAATTTACAATAATTTTTTTTTACCTGAAATCTAAAAGGAGATTGTTTCTTTCCATGATAAATTCCTGGAATGCTATGTGTTTATTAAACATTTTTTTCTAATAATCTCCCTTTCCCTTCTCACCCTTTGATCCTTTCCCTTGCAGTCCTTCCATTTTTCACATTCCATTAATTTACACTTTGTTGCAGAATCCGGTACAAGAGCTTTATTGTGGCACCAATCATAGAAAGACTTTTTCAAATGGTCAGTTTCTGTAGAAAAGAGAAGAATCCTGGCAGGATGCATCCTGCCACACTCTGATAGATGTTCTTTCTCCGAATTAAAAAAAAAATGGCTCTTTTGGTATTCTATGCAAATGATCTTTGACTGTAAGTTAGAAACACATTCAGCTGCCTCCTCAAGCAAAGATGTCTTTTCAATGTCAGAATTCTTAAAAGTCCTTGAATAAAAATTCACTTCCCTCTAGAGTTGTATTTGATGTATTTTTAATATTGCTATTTTTCTTTCATTGTTGCATAGAGATGCATTCCAATTTTGTTTGTTTGTAGTTTATAATAAAAAGGAACCAAGGGAAAAATTAGTAAGGGTCTATTGAAAGAGTTAAATCATTTCCCTACAGCTTCCCTAAGCGGAACTGATAGTCTTAGTCTGACTTAGGGAGATGGAATAGAAAGGCTGCCAACATCTGTTTTGGTCAGAGTCAGATAAAAGAGACTAATTCATAGTGGGAATAACCCATGTATGGCATTCTGTATTCCATTACCCTTTTCACAAAAAAATGCATGATATAGATACACAGATATATTTCTACCTAAACTTTTCCACAGTGGAAGTAAAAGAAAGGTGAAAGGCTCAATAGAGTTGTTACTGATTTATTTACCTAGAATAAAGACAGGAGGCATAGCACATCAACATTACCACCACTATGTTGTAGGGGCTAGGTCTCAGCCATTTGACAAAACTGATTTTGAAATTTTTAAAAATAGAAGTGAGAATAACTCCTCAAATACCAATAGAAACATGGGTTAGGACTGACATAAACAGCTGAAACACCAGAATAATGCAAAACCCTAGTTTTATCCATTAGTTTCAACTTTCTCTCTATTAAAAGTAATTCAAGAACTGCTAATATGTAACCAAATGAACTAGTTCGAGACCATCTTCTCTCATTATTGGTAAACAAGCTAACAGGTAGGCAAGAGAAGTAGTAAACGATCTGAATAATTGACAAAGTGAGTAAGGCACAGAGAAATAATCAGCTCATGGCTATATCAAGAGCTCAACACCAGAGACAATGTTTTGCATTTGGCAAGGGTGCAGCAGTGGAGGTGAGTGAACAGACAGTTGGTTTCGTTGACTGGTTGGTTGATTGGTTGGTTGTATGGGAATGAATACTATCAGTTCCATTTCTTACCCAAGGATACACAAAAAGCCTCCAACACCAGGGTCATCAAGAAACTTGTTTAGCTCCAAATTCCTTAATACAAACAGCTCAGGCTTAACATTTATTTTATTTTTTGAAATCTTTGCATGATTGAAATAGTGTTGTGATAGGAAGAGGGTTTTATGATATCCTGTTGACAAGAAGCAGGAAAGTCTGGAGTCAAAACAGCCCAGTGGATGAACTACATGCCACAGTTTTGATACCTAGAACCCATGATTCCCATTAGAAGACAGGCTCCACCGCAGGCACTCTGCAAGTGGATGCAACTGGTGTTCTTGTTCATAGAGTTCGAATTCTGTTCTCCTACTTAAAAATTAATCACAAGCTCTGGGTGGCTAACCCTGCTCTTTTGCTCTTCTATCTCTTTCCTTCTTGGTCATCTTTCTCACACTCCCTTTCTCTTCCATTGCCTTGGAAATTGGTCTTGGTCGTTTCAGAGAATATGTCGTGTACCTGAACACTGGAATGCAAGCTCCTTGGAAGCTGAGACTGCATAACGAGGACACATAGATGGTGCTCTAAAAAGCACTTTTAATTAAAGAGTAAGGCCATGACCACCCCAAAATCCAGTACTGAGGAATTAGCTGCATCCAAGGAAAAGCAGCTCCTGCCACAGGGTGGGTCAGGCTGAAAACATTTGCTTATGAGCAACTGTCTTGTTAAATAGCAACTGTAGTCTTTGATACCCAGAACACAGTACAAATGTTTTATGTTTCTGGAGTCTTTAAACATCTTAGCACTTTAACCAGAACCCAGCAAAATGGAACACTACCACCACCACCCCCTAAAAACTATTTGAAACTTTTTTGACATTCCACTTTTGTGAGAGAGATTTAAACTTTAAGTGATTCATGGAGACCACAGACATAATTAATAAAATATATTATTTAATCAATAAAAATGTCTATGCATGAAGTAAAAATACAACTAATAAAAGGGTTTTCTAAGATATTATATGTTTAAGCCAATCTCTTAAATCTTCTACAGGCAAAGCAAATGATGCTGAATGCATAATGATCATTCATATTCCAAATCTCAATTCTGCAGCAGAACAGAGCCATGATAATAGGAGAAATGCTGTTATGTTCTCTGTTTTTACCAAAGCAAGAAAAACTGCTACTGCCCTTCAAAAAGATTTTCAATAGGAGAGAATATTCTCTTTTTTTTAATTTGCATTCGAGATAACTGAATTTCTTTTTTCATCTGCCAAAGAATGTCGGTGCTCTGATCCTTCTAAGAAATCTGGGAGTAGTAGCCTGGAATTATTTATGATTTATGCCTACTGCCATAAAGGATTTGAGACCTGGGATTCAAATAATTGATACGACCAACATGCTAGACTCTGCCCTTGACTTTCTCACCAAAGACGTGTGTGTCATTCACCCTGTGAAACAAAAGATGAAGTGTCACAGAATGACAGAGTTATAAGGAAACTTTACTACTGGAAACTGTAGATAATTTTATATAAAACTTAGTTCCAAGGAAATAAAATAACCTGTACAAAGCCAAAGGGCTCATTAGTAACAGAAATGAGAGTAGAACCAAGTCCCCTGAGTTCAAATCTTTCCCCACTGGTCCACACAGTCCTCCCTCTGTGCAGGAGTCATTAGAAGGATACTGCTATGAGGGTGAGAACATTTTCTAAAGTCTCTGAATGCTTGAACATGCCCAGAAAGTACAAAATAGTAAGTTTAATTTTCTTTCAAATATGGTATTCTATCTGATACTTAGACTAACTCAAGGGGCACCCCAAATGAGTCACAAGCAAGCCACCATGTGGCCACCATCATGTTCCTCTTTTCCCTGTTACTGTCCCTGGCAAAGCCACTGGTTAAATGACATCCAAAGAGCCCCTGCCTTTTGGTAGATGCTATTAGGCTACCAGCCTGCCCTCTCTTGATGGTGTGGGGATGTGGGTGCCGGGAGGTACAGTCTGACTCACAGGCTATGAGCCAAAGCTGGTGGCATTAACAGATCCCAGACCATTAAGGCTGGGTGGAGTTGCATTAAAGAGAAGGAAGTATAACACATTGTCAAACTAAAGCATGTATTGGGAGATGGAATATGGCTCCATGCGCTCAGAGTACTAGAACAAAAAATGCCATGGGAAGGCAGCCTGGGTAAGTAACTGAAAAATTTTTTCACATGTATTTTTCTGATGAATAGGATCCATATTTAGGGCCTGGGGAGGCATGAACAGAAAGACTTCCTGTTGCCTCTTCTCTTCTGGCAAAGCTGTAGTTCTTTTTTTGGGGAATCCCTAGAGTCATCTTAAGCAGGCTAAGCATGTTTCTCCCTCACTTGTGCCATTGCTTCTCCAGTATCTAATACAGGAGGGACTTTGGCTCTGGGAAAACAAAGGCAAATTCCAAGCAGGAGGAAGAAACCCAAATTTATTTATGGGCAGTGATGTGCTAGTAAAAGTCTAACAATCAACTCTCCAGGAAAGAAATGTATCCATAAATATGTGCATTGATTTACTATCAATGTTACCAACATAAAGGATATAAGGACATAATTTATAAGTATAATAAAATATACAAAACTCTATATTGTAAATTCTATGTAGTAAGTTGATTTCTCACAGGATGCTCTCCTTGATTTTTATCTAACTCGTGTCCTTAGCCAACCTATAATGGCAGTTAACAAGTATAATTCCTGCATAAATTGTTGTTTAGTATTTTCACTTATATTAAGGAATAATAAACAACAAAGACTTATGTCAGTACAACACTTGTTCACTGATGACATGGGCAACTTCTTTGCTGAATTGGATACCATTTTAATAGTTGTTAAATACTGGAAGAATCTTTTCTCAATGTTTAGGCTATTCATATGTAATAACTGCAAGCATAACACATGTTTAAATTTAGTATGCATTATTAACATTTCCTCCACTTTCTTGTCTGGATCATCAATGAAATGATAAGTCAACGCCCTGATTTGTAGTCAGTTTCTGTGAGGCAACTACTCCCAACATGTTGACTTGAAACTATCCATGTGATGTCACTGAACATGGAGATGTAATGAGATACACAGTGGCCCACCATTATACAGTATTTCCATCAAATAGGTACAAGAGATGTAACTAACCTCAAGAACATAGATCATAATAAAATGTAGCAAAATAATTAGGAAATGATAATGAGTTTGGGACATTTCTTACCCTTGTTTTTAAGATAACTTTGAAAGTTTATGTAATTTAATTTTTAATAGCAGCTGTGTTTGACAACTGGCTCACAAAAGTCCTGAAAACTTAACAATCAGCTCTCATAAGCTAGTGTGAGCTGGCTCCAGTACTCCATGAGGGAGGAAAGGACATCCTTTGAAAATGAAGTATCAGGAAAAGGATGACTATTTATAAGATATATATTCAAATTAAGTTATAAAGCTTTGTAAAACCATTTGTTTAAAAAATGAATTTCCCAAATCTTGTCCAGTCAGTAGATTTGGCATTTCTGTCCAAGTGTGTGCAGGGTTAGAGTTTCTCCACTTTCCCCACAGCCTTTGACCACCCCCTCCAGCTCTCCCGCAGTTGCCCACTGCACAGAGGGATGCATTTAACACACCTCATGAGAGCTTCACCTTGTCCTGTCCAAAATAACTCGTTCTGGAGCCAATTTTTTAGTGTAATTTATTCCAAACCTTTGATGGGGAAACTTGTACTCCTGAAGCCGTTCAGATGTGCAGCCAGCAGGGAGCTCCTGAGCCACATTGGCTTCTCCAGCCACAGATGTTCTGGCCAAGCCTGACACCCAGGGACACCACGTGGATTTATAACATTCCTTGACGGAGAGTGGACCCATATCCTGTAAATGAATGCATTATGCTTATCCGCGTTCTTGTTTTTCATCTGTGACAGGTATTTTATGGATTGGAGGTTTCATTTAAACGTTGCATAATCCTCCTTTAATAAACAATGTGAATACTCAATATAATTGAAATAAGAAAGACCGCCTTTGTTTCAACATAACTGATTCAAAAATAAAAGGACTCATGACTAGAAATTGATCTTCAGAAATATCAGTTAGATTGGAAGGTATGATCACACGTGTATCACAGTTTAATCTTAATGAAAGAAGAATAAACAACCTAAGAATTTATGCCTTTTTATATGGTTACCATGAACCCCTCAGACATAAGACGCTAGAGAATGTACATTTGGTCAAATTACTAATTTGGCTTAGTTCAAAGCAAAGCCAGGATGTATCAATAAAAAATATTAAGTTATAAAATACTTTTAAAAGAAATTAAGTTGCATTACCTTGTAGTACAAGATATAATTGAAATTGCTGTCCACATTATCAAGTAGAGCTCCTGCTTAGGCAGCTTGAATGTGTGGGAGATTATGTGAAAAAGGGAATCTGTGACTACGTCTTAAAGAGTTTGTACCTGTAGCACTTAGCACAATGCCTGACATGTGGTAAACAGTCAAAAGTAGTTACTGGAATAAATTAATTAATAAATGTCTTAATGATTCAAGAAAATTTACTCTCATTATTTTAAAAGCTTCTTCTGTTCTATAGACTAAACATAATTAGTAATGCCATCTATGACACTAATTTCTTTAAATAAATATTTTCTCTATTAATACCATTAAAATTTAGGCCTTTACGTAAATTATCACACTTTGAATTATGGGAGTCAATAATTAAGAAGTTATAGTACTCTTCTGTTGTTTTTTCCTGCCCAGGGTCCATTTCCCTTTCTACCACTAGTAGCACTCTTATTTTACCTTGGGAAACCATGTCTCCACTTCTCACAGTCCATGAAAATACTTTGAAGCTGACTGCAACCCCTGTCCAGAGTGGGCATATGATCTAGGCCTGGCCAGCAGGGCTGTCCACAGTGACTGATTTGGGGATGAGCATATGACCTATTATGGGTCAATAAAATAAACTCCCAAGAACTTTGCTGGAACTCTTATGAGAGCTATTCTCTTTCGGCTAGTATGCTAACCTGGTAAGATGTAGGCCTGGTGTTGATGGCTATCACATTTAAGCTTAGGAAAAAAGCAGGACCAGGACTGAGGCCAGTGCAGGAGAATGCAGAGCTGAGAGATAAGGAAAGACAGACTCCAGATGGATGACATTATCTGCATATCTTCACAGTGACAAAAGGCTGCTCTACCCTTGGAGTTTTCCATTGCAGAAGCATGTAATTTAGCGGGATTTCTGTCATTAATAACCAAATGAGTCTATTCCATAAGTTTGTTCTATGCATATTTTCATAGCATATTCTTCTTGGTTATATTTTAAGTCCCAATAAAAGTACATAGGTTTCTTCTGCTGACAAAACACAAAATTTTAAACTCTGCTAACCATTCCAAACATTTAAATTACAGACTTCAGTGATTGAGAACTTACTGTATAATTTAAGCCAAGAACTGACTTTTTAATTCTTTTTTTTCTAGGAAAAAAGAATATTTCTGTGTATTTTGATCGCTTACAGAAGCTAAGACGGTACCTTGCTTTCAGAAAACAACTCAAATGTTGAGACATTATGATTTGGAAAGTCCTTTCCTATACAGGACCTTGGGTGCCAGCTTAATCATACCCGTCACTGCCAAGGGATAAGGGATCCAAGGTACCCAGAAGTAAGTAAGACATTAGGGTGACAAGAAGTACACAAAATGAGAAACAGGGTGCTCTTCTTCTAGAATGCATGAAATGCCTCACAAAACTCTTGTCTTCAGAGGGGAACTAGGAACTTTAAAGATTCCGAAACAATTTTTTACCATCCCAAATATAGTCTTATGAAACCAAAACACTGTAGAAGGAGCCCTGATCTTGGTGTGATGCCCACTTCTGACGTTACCGTCTCTGTGATCCCATGTGTTATTGTTGGTCTCTCCATCTAGAAAATGGGGACCATACTTTCTTCCTCATGAGAATCAATGGAGATAGTCAATTTTAACTACACTAGAGCTTATAAATGTGCATCAACTATATTTTCATCAATGTATTATTAATATGTTTATTGACAGAGTTCACATACTTGAAAGAAGCTCTGGTAAGGTGAGTAGTTAGTATACAGGAGATTTTATCCACGAGTCTCCTATTTATATACCTGAGACAGACTTATACCAGGCTAAGTACCCTGTAATAAGGGGATAAATAGTATGGGTGCTCCTCTGCTTTTGAACTGTGCTTAACTTTGGCTTGGCATAGTTAACCTTGCTTTTCTGTGCAGGCAGGATGCTAAGCACTATTAGTTACAGAGGTGTGTGTAGGACAGTCTTTAATTTCTAGGAACATACAGGCCGGCTGTAGAGCAGATGTAGCTCATACCAAGCACAGCATGAGCGCTAGCCCTGATGGGCATGCAGAGGACTATCTCGGTGGCACATAAAAAGTGGTTCAATCTAGTTAGCCTTCATCAAAAAGGGCATTTCAGCAGAATTTCAAGAATAGCATGGTTTTTAACAGGTGCTATGAAAGAGGCCTCACAAAGGAAAGGAAAAGTATATGGCAAGGTACTGAGCTGTGAACATGCATAACGGAATCACAAAAAGGCAGAGTTGGAGAATAAACTACGAATGAAGGCTTTATCAGATTGGGGAGGGCTTTGAACACCTAGCTAAGAAGTTGGACTTCATTCCATAGGCAATGAGGAGTTATTACAGGTTTTTAAATAAATGAGCTATAAAAAGCAAGATAAAATTTAGGAAGAAAACTCAAGTATCAGTGTGAAGAATTTCTTGAATAAGAGAAAGTATGTTGGCAGAGAAAAGAAGGAGGGAGCTGCTATGATTTATCTGGGCAAGGAAATGTTAGAACCTGAATTATGGAAGAGCCAGTGAGCGTGAAAATGAAGGAAGATATTTTAGAGACTTCTGCATATAGAATACAAATATTGCTTGATAAGTAATTAGATATGGGAAATAAAGAGAGGCACCAATATTTTTTGATAGAGTGACTGGGAAGTTGGTAATAGCATTATTGAAGTAGAAAATTCAAGTAGAAGTACATGTTTGGAAATGAAGTCACATTTTGTACTTTTTGAGTTTGAGGTGCTGTGACACAGTGTGAGAGATGTTACAAGGCAACTGGAAATAAAGACGTCAAGTCAGAAAGAAGGTTAGAGCTGGAGATTTAGAAATCATTAGATTTCTCAGGGAGGAAACGTAGACGGGTATATAAAATTACATGAGAAAAGATCCAAAAGTAATTCAAAAAGTAGAGTTCAAAACCAAAAGAATCCAGAGTCATTGAAGTGAAAGAACGAAGGACTTTAAGAAGAAAGGTGTGGTCCCCACCTAACAGGCTGCAGAAGGAGCAAGAAAGAAGGAAGATGAAGAGCATTTGCCCACTAAAAGCTCAATCTGCCCATTTGACTTTAACCAAAAGCTTGCAACTTTTAAAAAATCGCAATGCATACATAGATACTTTCGAGAGATCCCCCCCCCGCCCCCAGGACTAGGGCCAATTAACACACTAGTTGTAAAACTAGATATTATAGAAATCTGGTACAGTAAGAATTATCATTTATATTTCTTAAATCCCAACTTCTCTCTCTAATATTATTTTTCTAGTTTTTCTCTCCCCAAATTACCTTTGTTTCCAACAGAAAGTGACATTCGGGATTCAGGTGTTTTTTTTGTTTTTTTAGCCTTTCACTTTTAGGTATTTTTCTATTTTTAGAAATATTTTAGTCTGGGTGCAGTGGCTCATGCCTATAATTCCAGCACTTTGGGAGGCCAAAGCAGTTGGATCACTTGAGCTTAGGAGTTTGACACCAGCCCGGGCAACATAAAGAAACTCATTTCTACAAAAAATTTAAAAATTTGCCAGGTGTGGTGGTGCGCACCTGTGGTACCAGCTACTCAGGAGGCTGAGGTAGGAGAATCGCTTGAGCCCGGGAGGTCGAGGCTGCAGTGAGCTGAGATCATGACACTGCACTCCAGCCTGGGCAACAGAGTGAGACTATGTCTCTCTCTTATCAGATTTCATATATATATATATATATATATATATATAGAGAGAGAGAGAGAGAGAGAGAGAGAGAGAGAAGAGGTAGATATATTTATATAAATTTATATTTAAATTTTTATAATATATAATAAATATATTAAATATATATATACATAGAGAGAGAGAGAGAGAGAAACCTCTTCCTTTCTGAGGAAGGGGTCCCTGGATTCAGGTTTTCAGCTGCCACAAAAATATATATATAATAAATATATCTATACTTTGTTTACAGAGCGCTTATGTATAAATTATAATTTTAAATAGCTCTTATTTGAGAAAACTATAATTACTTAATGAGAGAATTCAAAATTACTTCAGAAAACAGACAAAAAGACCTTCGATTTCTCCCTGTTCTGGAAGCTCAGCAATGGGAGGAAATCCATGGAGAGGAAAATGAGAACTCCTTGGCGGATAGATACTTCTTACTTAGATAGGAAAATGTTGCAGACCACCAAAATGGCTTGGCTGAAAAGATCCTCATGGTGGTCCACACAAGCTTTCTGTAGAAGTAAGAGGATGAGGTCCTGGTGTCATGAACTGTCCTTTTGGATAGACGAGCACCACAGGTAGTTGCACTGCAGTTAAAGGTGGAGGAACAAGGCCTGGACACCAAGATGAGAATCTAATAAGAGAGAAAGGAAGAGGTTTCCCTGATGACAGCTGAACTTCTGCAGAGGACCGTGCTGGACTACTCTCAGCTGGGTACTCTAATGCAAGAAGCTACCAGTGATTTCATAGGCTTGATTTTTGTCCTAGTGACTCTACATTTCCAGAAATGTCAGCCCTCAATCTACCTAGAGCTAACTATTTAGACTTCTTTGTTTAGGTTTTGTTCTGTTTTGTTTTTTACTATAAAATCTATTTCACTCTGAAGTATAAGAATTGGTTAAATGGAATTAACTTTTACCAGTCACCCACCTCTGTTCAAGCTGTTCCTGATCACTCATTATTAAGGCTGACACCTTTTAAGGGTGAATTGAGGTCACTAAATGTTTATCTAAGTTTAAACATCTCAAGAATTTTACATTTTCTCTCAAATACTTTAGAAAGTTGCATAGCAAGGTGTTTCCCCTTTCTCACAGCTAACTTCTTTTTTTTTTCCTCTTTTTTTTTTTAATTATACTTTGAAGTTCTAGGGTACATGTGCACAACGTGCAGGTTTGTTACGTATGTATACATGTGCCATGTTGGTGTGCTGCACCCATTAACTCGTCATTTACATTAGGTGTATCTCCTAATGCTATCCCTCCCTCCTTCCCCCACCCCATGACAGGCCCCAGTGTGTGATATTCCCCTTCCTGTGTCCAGATGTTCTCATTGTTCAATTCCCACCTGAGTGAGAACATGCAGTGTTTGGTTTTCTGTCCTTGCGATAGTTTGCTCAGAATGATGGTTTCCAGCTTCATCCATGTCCCTACAAAGGACATGAACTCATCCTTTTTTATGGCTGCATAGTATTCCATGCTGTATATGCGCCACATTTTCTGAATCCAGTCTATCATTGATGGGCATTTGGGTTGGTTCCAAGTCTTTGCTATTGTGAGTAGTGCTGCAATAAACATACATGTGCATGTGTCTTTATAGCAGCATGATTTATAATCCTTTGGGTATATACCCAATAATGGGATGGCTGGGCCAAATGGTATTTCTAGTTCTAGATCCGTGAGGAATCGCCACACTGACTTCCACAATGGTTGAACTAGTTTACAGTCCCACCAACAGTGTAAAAGTGTTCCTATTTCTCCACATCCTCTCCAGCACCTGTTGTTTCCTAACTTTTTAATGATCACCATTCCTACTGGTGTCTCACAGCTAACTTCTAATTGAGTGAAAACTTTTGCTCCAAAAAAATTACCCAGAATCTAAGGATTGCTGCCCATGCCACCATTTCCAAAAGAAATCTGCAGTAATGAGGTCCCTGGATTCAGGTTTTCGGCTGCCACAATCTCATACAGCTTCTGCAGGAGAAGCCTGAATAAATCTAAAGCAGTTCACAGCCTCTTTGTGGCTATGATGACCAAATAGAGCTGCTTCTGGTTGCCAGTGTCCTAGGAGTCACAACAAACAAGTAGGACACTCCACACAATTCAACCTGGTTCCCAAACTGCTCCCAGTAAACAGGAAAGTGCATCAGTTAAGTTGTTCAATGGCAAAGGAGAGGCACATCCAAGGCGGAGCTGTTCAATGCTCTCTTTCGTTCCTTCCTCCCTCCCTCTTTCCCTCCTTCCTGTCTTCCTTCCTCCCTCTCTCTATGTGTTTGTCTTTCTCTCTCTTCCCCCCTCCTCAACTTTATTAAGGGACAGACATAGAATAAGCTGCCCATATTTAAGCATACAATTTGATGAGCTCTGACATAGGTATATAGGTATAAACCCATCATCGCAATCAAGGTAACAGACATTTCCGTCACCCCAAATTGTTTCTTTGTGGCCTTTTGTAATTCATTCCTCCCCCTCCCTCTCTCTGCAGACAACCAGTGATGTGCTTTCTGCCACTATAGATTTGTTTATATTTTCTAGAATTTTATATAAATGGAATCATGCAGTATCCACTGCTTTTTGTCTAGCTTCCTGCAGCCTACAGATTTTTAGATTCATCCATGTTATTCTGTGTATCAATACTTCATTCCTTTTATAGTAGTATTCTAGTATCTTGATATACCATAATTGGCTTAACTATTCACCTATTAATGAGCCCAGTTCTACAAATAAAGCTACTATGAACATTTATATACAAGTGGAAATGTTGTCCCAAGGCTCATTAATACTGTTTGGGTATTTTCTTTCACTTTTTTCTTTATTTTGTTTTCCTTATTGTTTTTTCAGTCTTTTTTCTTTCTGTGCTTCATTTGAGATAGCTTCTATTGCTATGCCTTCAAAATCACTAACCTTTTCTTCTGCAGTGTTTAATCTCCTATTCATCCCATCTGGTATATTTTTCATCTGAAGCATTGATTTTTCATCTCTAGAAGTATCATTTTGGTCTTTTTAAATATCTTTCATGTATTTCCTTATCATGATCATGCTTTCCTATATTTTTTTGAACATAAGAAGTGTATTTATAATAGCTCTTTTAACATCCTTATCTACTACATTTATGATTCATGTCATTTCTGTGTCTGTTTCTGTTGACTGATTCTTCTCCTCACTATATTATGTGTTTTCCTACTTCTTTGCTTGCCTGGTAATATTTTATTAGATACCAGACATTGTGAATTTTGGGCTGTGGGGTAATACATTTCTTTTGTTATCATGTTTAAGTATTCTTGAACATTCTTCTGAGACAGATAAGTTACTTAGAAACAGGTTTGTTAGGCAGATCTAGAACAGCATTTAGTGTAGAGCTTGACTGCACTACTAAGAAAATGCCTTTGTGAGATCTCTACTCAATGCCTTATGTGTTAAGAGGTCTTTCCACTTTGAATGGTGGGAAGATGAACTATTTCTGACTTTGAGTGAGCTCCGGGGATTGTTCACCTGCTTCTTCCCACTGATTCCTTCCCTGGGCACAGCACTTTCCTTACATACATGCACTGATCAGTAATTAGGTAAAGACTTGGGGTACCCTCTGCATATCTCCAGAGCATTTTCTCTGTGACTGTCTCCTGTTTGTATTCTGCCCTGTGAATTCTAGCCACCTTGGTCTCCTCAAGCTACAGACTCTTTCTCCTCATGGCAGGGAGGATTGCACTGCAGCCTGAAAACATTCACCAGGCAGCATCTGGGCCAATCATAGAGCTCACCTCATTTGTTTCCCTTCTCTTACAGATCACTGTTCTGTACTATCTATTTTTAAATAACATGATTGTTCCACATATTTTTGTCCTTTTGTTAAAGTTGTTTAAGGCAGAAGGGTAAACCCAGTCCTTGTTACTCCATCATAGCTCAATGCAAATAGCTGATTCAGGGGATTTAATGCCAGCTTCAGAATTCTAAATTATCATTTCTAAGGGTTAATGTTGAATAGTTGTTACAAATTTCTCAGTCCAACCCAGAGCCACATATGTGGACTAAGTGAATTCAGTGTTCCTTATATGAGTCCTATTTTCATTCCCATAAATCATGGTTCTAAGTATTATTGTGTTTTATACCACCATTTTCAGATTCAAGCCCAATGATCTATTGCTATTTCCTCTCTAGCTGTGTGCGTGTGTGAGTGTTTGGGAGGTGTTCCTGTAAACACACAGCATATATATTTTATATCCAGCTGTGTGCCTGGATTTAGGCTTAAAAGAAAACTTATAAGTACACCTTGTTTAATGTCCATAAACAGGAAATAACTACTTGTGAATTCATTAATTAGAATCCTGTTTATGCAAGTATTGTAAAGGATAATCCTTTGTTTGCATGAGTGAGGTCCTGCTGTCGGTATGGAAAAAATATGGAGTGATGTCCTGCTAAAGAACCACCTGGGAGCTTCACTGTACAGCCAGCCAGTCTCTCTCAAGAGCCCTCTGCACTACCCATATCCTAAGATTAGGTGTTACTCTCAAAGGCTAATTAGCTCCTAGCTGGACTAGAGCCTTGCATGCGAATCAGTGGCCCATTGACCTGCCCCCTTCCTTTGACTCTGTTCCTAGAGCCGCCTTGGCAGGCTGCCCAGACCCTTGACAGCTCAAGTTTCAGCCCACCTTGTTTCTCATGCCTGACTGAACCCAAGGCCATTCGCCTTTCCTTGACTTTTGGTATAAACTTTCTAGGCTCCTGTCTGCCTGTCCACCTGGCCATTGCTTGGCTTGATGCCCAGCATACACTAAAAGCAAAAGGCAGTATACAGGAATCTACTTGTTTCCTCTGAACTGCACAAAGTCAGCCAGCAGTCAAGAGAGATGAATATGGTACATATTTATAAAGTTAAGTGAACCAATGACACAGCTACAATATTAATGCAATTCAACAGTACATTTCTTAAGCTAAGCACTATGCAGAGGTCTGTAAGACAAGTTGAATAAGATATTACATTAGCCTTGATGATGGGGCCTCACCCTCTAGCATGGGAGACAGGCAAGAAAACAGATTATAATATACCACTGAGGGGACCACATCTTCTGTGTGCCTTTCTAGTTTCTAATTCACTACATATATATATATATATATATATATATATATATATATATATATATATATATGTTTGTACAACAGACTATGTTACTACTTGATGACACTGACACCGTGCCCAGACTGACATCTACCAACAGTTTATATGTCGGTGTTTCTAACTAAATTGTAAATTCCCAAAGAACATGGGTCATATCTTATTCCTCTCTTGTCACTCCCAGTGACCAATATAAATTTCCCTTGAATTGAAATACATGCGATGCATATACAAGGGTTTACTACAAAGTAATACACTCATCATACAAGCAACACATAATAAACTAAAGCACACTTCTTGATAAATAGTAATGATCCTAACTTAAGAAAATGTAGATTGTCACAGTTCACAATGGGAAGTGCTATAAAGGCTAACAAAGTAAACGCATTAAAGGTGTTCATTGTTCACCTTCCGGCAAGTTGCATCTTTAATGAATATATGTATGTGACCAGGTTACATCCACATATAAGCAACTCTAGCACTGCCAGCACCACACATTTGGGTGACTGACAAGATGGCAACTAGAATTCATATTTTCAAACAAGAAAAATCCTAGATCCCGCCACTGTTACTATTTTCTGGTTCTTTGGACATAACTTCAGCTACCATACCTTTATCCTTGCCTGGAGGAGAGAGGATAACTCCAGATAGTTTTGTGCCTAGGCAGCAGTAGTAAGGGTTTAGCTAGCAGTCAAGGAGAGGCAGGAGTTGGGGGTGGGGGGAGTCAGGCCAGCTCTGGTTAGGACTCTTCCAAGTGACAAAAAGCCAGACTCAAGCTGCTAGAGCAGTAAATAAATAATAAATGGAAAAATGTTCATGCTTCAGGCACAGCCAGACTCAGGGGGCTCAAACAGTGTCATCAGAACCCTGTCTCTTCATCATGTGGTTCTACTCTCCTCCATGCTGGCTTCATTCTCAGCCTGCATTCAGCTCATTGAACAATTCTACCTTTGGTAGAAGCTGAATGCATATTTTCCAAAAACTTCTTAACATGGCATTTGATAATAAATAAAGGATAAATGAAACTGTTTAACCACTCTTTGCTTTAGTAGGCTGCAATGTCAATCTCATTGACAACTAAAAGAATTAAAACAAGATCTAACCAAGAGAGGGCTGGCACCTTCTATTTTGGCACTCCCTGAACTCAATGGTGGTCAAGTCTTATAAACGCATACTATGTTATACAAAATGATGGATACACAGTTCTGTAAGTCTGTTTATGGATCTGAACCTTAATAAGCAATACTTTCACAGTTTATCTCTCGAAGTTCATGATAGGATTTATAATCCAGTTTGTGTGTGTGTGTTTTGGAGTTTGTTTGTTTGTTTGTAGACAGGATCTCACTCTGTCACCCAGGCTGGAGTGCTGTGGCCCCATCATAGCTCACTGCAGCCTCGACCTCCTGGGCTCAAGTGATTTTCTGACCTCAGCCTCCCAAAGTGTTGGGCTTACGGGCCTCAGCCACTGTACCCAGGCTATAATCCAGTTTTTAATTACATTTTATATCCTCAGTTTTCCATTTGTCATGGTAAAATAATATCATTCAGTTCTTGCTCTTGTCTCTGCATTGGCCTGGCTTACCATGCATAATTTGCAAGGTCAGATTATGTTTGTTCAAGTATTTTTCTCCAGGAGAGTGCTTGATCAGAAGTAGGTGAATAATACATATATTTTAAATGAATGGCCTACATCTTCAACAGTCTGACTGTCAGCCCCTGCCATTTGCTAACTTTGCCAGTCCCTGTATGCCTGCTTGCTGACTCATCCAACACATACGGATCATATGCAGTGTGTGTGTGTGTCTGTGTGTGTGTAAATTAAGGTATAACTTACATATAGTAAAGTGCACCCATCTCAAGTGTACAGCTTGATGAATTTCTACCAAGTGAATAGACTTGTGTGACCATCAGCAAGCTCAAACATTTCCCAGAAAGCTTCCTTATGCCCCCTTCCAGCCAATATCGGTAGTCAGATAACTATTATTCCAACCTCTATCACTGTAGATGAGCCTGTTTGTGAACTTCAGATAATAAAATCATACAGCCTATCAGTTATCTTTGCTGCATAACAAACCACTCTGAAACTTAGTCACTGAAAACAACCACAATTTTATTTCCCCACACTTCCTTGGGTTAGCAATTTGGCTTGGGCTCAGCTAGCCAGTTCTTCTGTTTGTCTCACTTTGGGTCACTCACATGGCTGCAGCATCTGGCAACTCAATTTGGTGCTTTAAGATCTGATGGGGCCCAAATAAATATCTTTCAATCAGCTTCAAACTGAAAACAACCCAAATGGTGTTTTTGTGGGCTGTCAATTGTGCTCTATGTCTTTAGCAGGGTGGCCTGGGCTTTATCACATGGCATCCATGTTCCAACAGAGTGAGAGCTGCAAGCCTCTAAGGCCTAGGCTGAGAAGTCACACAATGTCACTTCCTTCACATCGTGTTGATTAAAGTAAGTCACAAAACAACCTGCATTCAAGGGGCAAGTAAACAGACCTGGTCTCCTGAGAAGAGTAACTGCAAAATATATGAAGACATTTTTTATTCACCACATACAACATGCACTATTTTGTGCCTAACTTCTTTCAGCCAACTTCCTGTCTGTGAGATTCATACAAAAGATTGTGTGTACTAGTAGTTCATTCTTTCGTATTGCTGTGTAGTATCTTATTACATGAAAACACTTCAAACCATTTATCTATTCTACTGGTGGTGGACATTTGGGTTGTTTTCAGTCTGAGGCTATTCTAAACAAGGCTGCTGTGGATATTCCTGTTCATGTCTTTTGGTGGACACAGGCACTCATTTTTATTGGGTATATACCCAGGAGTGAAATTATTGGATCATGAGGTATGTGTATGTTTAGCTTTAGTTGTACTGAAAAATATTTTTCCAAGTGGTTACTGCAAAGTGTTTTGGTCTAGAAGTTTCACAGTGGCTTTGGAGACTATTTCAACACTGCTACCCATGTGTCTTCTTGGGTTCTCAAACAAAACTATGGATTGTTTTTCTTCTGTCGGGGACCCCTGTTACTCCTTTAATGATAAAATGATTTCAACATAGCCATTTCTTAATTTATTTGATCCTAACCAAATTTTCTTGAGCATAAAAATATCAATCTTTTTTTCCAAATTGTGCAGAAATATATGACAAATCTAGTCAGTGTAATTGACAAAGTATGCAGCAGCTGACTCAAACAGACATGATGAGAATCACACCAACACCAAAGTAGGAGAGGAGGGGAAAGAGAAGGAAATTACTGTTTACTGGAGACCTCCTGTATGACAAGCAAGCACTGTGCTATGTACTCTGCCTATGGAATCTCATTTAATCACAACAATATAGTGAGGCTGGCTTAATGATTCCCATTTTGTAGATGAGTAAGTGAGACTCAAAGAAGCAACCTAAAATCACACTCATTTGCCAAGTGGCAAAGTCTAAATCTAAGTTTTCATATGTAATACCTAGCACTGTATCATATCATTGTGAAATAAATATCTCTGAGATGACCAAGATTCATGAATTGTAGCAGATCAGGCTGAAACTAATTGCTTGATTAGAATGTGAATATATTGAGGCTCAGAGAAAGCCAAAATGACAGGTGCTACAAATTCCTCAGCAAGTCCTCAAAACACAAACTAAAAATGTCTCATACTTTGGTTTGAATGACTTTTCAAACCAAATTTCCTTCACCTATCTCAGGTCCCAGAGGGTGAATAGCATCTTCAACCTGCCCAGGAGTGAGAAGCATTGTGTGGTTGAAATAACCCAGGGTTCAAGGAAAGCATATCTGAGTCCACATTCATGCGATCTATTTCCTCACAGTATTCTCCCAGTTCTAAATTCTGTCATGCCCCTAGATTGTAGCCTTTTAAGCTCCTTGATGAAACTCTCCATGCCTTGTTGGAGTCCCTATTCCCACCTTCACCATTTACCCCTCACTCACTCTGACCCCAGGCATTGGATGAGATTGTCTCTCTCCTGTGCACACTACACAATGACCGCGTAAGCCCCACTGCCTTTGCTCAGTCCTTTCACTGGGCAAAACACAACCCATCCTAACATATACATGGGGCATGATTGCCATTTTTTTAAAGACAGGATCTCACTCTGTCTCTCAGGTTGGAGTGCAGTGATGCAATCCCAGCTCACTGCAACCCCCTCCTCCCAGGCTCAAGTGATCCTCCCACCTAGGCCTCCTGAGTAGCTGGGACTACAGGCACACGCCACCATGCCCAGCTAATTTTTTTATTTTTTGTAGAGACAAGGTCTCACTATGTTGCCCAGGGTGGTCTCAAACTCCTAGACTCGAGTGATCCGCCTTCCTGCCTTGGCCTCCCAAGGTGCTGGAATTACAGGAGTGAGCCACCGCGCCTGGCCGATTGACAATTTAAGAAGTATTTAGTCTGTGCTTCCTAAAGTTTTGCCACATTAGGAAAACACTTGGTCTGCCTTGTATGCTATCAAAACAATGTGCCTCTACACACAACTGTTAATTCCGCCATACTTCCACACATACACACGCATGTGCGTACACACACATTAACACATACACACATTAACACATACACAACATGCAACTCTCTCTTCATGGAAGATAACCGATGTTCTTGTCCTTTTCAGTCTGTTATTAAAGAAGGCATTTTTCTTCTGTCAAAGTTGAATAGGTTCCATAATTACGTAGGCCTTTCTTAAGAAAGAAAAAACAAACAAATAATCAGTTCATGCTGCAATTGCCTCAGTCTGTGAGGTGCTTTTCGAGGCTGGGGTTCACTGTGCGGCTTTGAAGTTCACTCACCCCAGGCTAACCAAAAATGAATGTCCTTCTCCTGATAACTACCTAAAAGAACACAGGACCTGAAATGTTCTGAATTCTTAGAACTTTTACCCCTGGGTGACACCTAGGAAGTGTCTGTGAAAAAGCAACACTATGTGGGGATTTATTTTTGGAGTCTGGAAGTGTGATGATTAAGGGGACAGGCTCCGGACATTTGAATCCTAAACCTGCCACTGGCCAATAATGGGGAGGTTACTTCACTTTCTAGAAGACAGAAATGGTATTAATTGATTTCATATTACTGCCGTGGGACTCAGAGAGAGAATTCATGGAAAGTGCTTCGTACAGTGCTTAGCACATAATAAGACCTCAATACATGTTAGCTATGACTACTTCTGCAACCTCAGTCAGCATCACCATTTCATCTTCAGCCTGTCTCCCAATCTCCTTCCTCCTCCTAATCCTGAAATATTGCCCTAGATGGAAATAGTCACCATCGTCTTCACTTTGTACACTCTCATTCTGATCTGACTCAACCCAAACCTTCTCCACAAGACAAATCCCTGAACCCCTATTGGGCTGTTTCGCCATGTCCTGGGAACCTCTGTTCTAATGTAAACACACACCCTCTTTGTCCATTCTCCTTAATATTGGCTTATCCCTGAGGATACCATTTCCCTCATAACCCTTCCCCATGGTAACCACTCATCTTACAATCCATTGTCCTGTGAGGTGAGCATGCTCCAGTCACAATCAGCCTTCTCCCCACATCTGCTTACCCCTGAAATCAAGGCCATCCATATATAGCACCTTTTTCCATTTTCGTTGCTGCCATGTATCTTAGCTATTTCATAAATTATACTTGGTTCAAATTTTGTTCTTATTTATGTATTTAATAATTATATAGCATTAATGGGTGCATGAAATTCTGCACCAGGCACTGGGGAAATAAGACTTTATTCAGGTTATAGAGGAAATACCAGGTGAGCAGGAAGAAGGCAGACATAAAAAGAAGATAACCATACAATTAGCTTAATCAAGGAGATAAGTACTGGTATAGTGGAAGCTCAAACCCTGTAGGTACCTCAATATCCATATGTCAATTCTTCCTCACATTTTCTCGATCATCTCAACTATTCTACTTGCCCTTCCTGTAAAGAGACTCTCAATTTAGATCAGATGATCTGTAACTTAGAACTGCACACTTCTAAGATCTAAAACTCAAATTCCCTCTCTTTGCTCATAACCTCCAATCCCTATTAAACTTGCTGTCTGCTCTCATTTTCCTTCTATTCCTAAAACATTCCCCATTCTCACTATTCATTGGTCCTTTTGAGACCTTTTCACAATCTCTATTTATTGCTATTAATTCTACTAGCCCAAGCTCTCTAGCGTTATTCACCTTAACAATTCCTAAACCTGGGTCTTCATCTATACTCAAGTTTCCTCCTAAGGTACTAACCATTACTGGAGACACTAAAATTTTTTTTAATCTTTAAAAGCTGAATAGCTCCACTAAAATTCATATATCCAATTTCATCCTTCCCCTTTTCCTACTCAACAGTTTTTTTAACTCAATAATTCTCAGTCACATTCCCTACAAAGCCAATTCTACATAATTCCCTTTCTTCAAATCCTCCTACCACCTTGCCTCAGGTCAAGATATAGCTCTTTCAACTTCCCCAGTTTCTCCTCAAAATATCTTTAAATTTTTGTCCATTTCTCTTCTTTCCTTCCCAGCACAGAGAATGGTTCCCGCTTTCCATACCTTATCCATCCCATTCCCCTTGAGCATCCCTATCAGCTATCAGTCCACAGGACTGTTCCCTTTCTCCTTCTCCACTGAGTCTTCCCTCTCAGCCAATAAGCAAGCTCAAACCTCCCTTCCTATCCTAGAAGAGCACTCTCTTCATCATACTACTCCTTAAGCTATCATGCATTCTCTCTTCTTCTCTTCACTGCCAACTTCTTAAAAGAAATCTACTCTGCTGAATTCTACTTCCTGACCACCCACTCCTGCCTCATGGTTTTGCAATCTGGCTTCCAGCCTTGTGGTCTAGTAACAGTGCTTTAGCATGACCACTGAGGAAAATACAGGATACTAGAAGGATCACTTGAAACCAAGGTTGAAATAGAACAGAGTTAGGCCTTGTCAGTGGAATTCTTACAAGAATTAACCAACACCCAATTCTCACAGTGCTGTGTTGTTGATTTTAAAAGGAAAAAAGTGTTCTTAATTATTTTTCTGAAAGAGGAAGAAACTCCAGGATGTAAATTACAAATCATATGGCTCTTTTTCCTCTTCCCTCCAATACCCTAGAGCATAACGACAATATATGATGATTTATATAACTATCTTGATTTATAATGAGTAACACAGTACTCTTTTACTTGTTAAGGTAGTTCCCAGGAATGGTAACATGGTTTGGCTCTGTGTCCCCACCCAAATCTCATCTTGTAACTCTCATTATTCCCATGTGTTGTGGGAGGGACTCAGTGGAAGATGATTGAATCATGGGGGTGGGTCTTTCCTGTGCTGTTCTCGTGATAGTGAATGGGACTCATGAGACTGGATGGTTTTAAAAACAGGAGTTTCTCTCCTCTCTCTTTGCCTGTTGCCATCCTCGTAAGATGTGACTTGCTTCTTCTTGCCTTCCACCATGATTGTGAGGCCTCCTCAGCCATGTGGAACTGTAAGTCCAATAAACCTCTTTCTTCTGTAAATTGCCCAGTCTTGGGTACGTCTTTATCAGCAGTGTGAAAATGGACTAATACAAATGGTAATGAGTTAATTTAACGAATAGTTCCACTAAGCCAGGAAAATAAATAATTAAAATTTGGAAAAACATATCTAACGTGAAGATATAATACGTTGATCATCTCTAGCCCTTGCAAACAAGGACCAAGATACACATCCTTCTAACTAAGAATAAAATTCAATATTAATTTTCTGTTTTAGTGAGTTTAGGGAGGTTTGTACATGTAGCTGGTTCCATCCAAGCCTTTACTGTGACTCACTTTCACTAGGATTCTGCTGACAATTACCTCTAATGCATTCTTGTCTTGCAAAGTGTATCATTACTCCTGCCTTGACATATCTATCTTAGTGTCATCATCAATTAACCCCATGCTTGCCAGTTTCACAATATAGGATGCTTTATAATTATTATAATGACATTCAATCATAATATAAGAATCAACTGAACCTTCAGAACACTGAGGGTGTGGGCTGTTTGCCTGGTATCCCCATGTTTTAGACAACTAAGGACTTTTTTATTTTTGCCTTCTTCTCTATGCCTCATGCTACGTAGGTTGATATCTGAAAGCATCTACAGAGTGAGTCTTTCTGTCACTTTAAACAAATTTCAAAAGCATTGATGTATAATTATTTTAGAAAAAAAGGTGAGAAGAAGGTATGATTTGGAGAGTGTTAATACTCATAATCCTTGGTTCATAGATTTTATATTTTAGAGTGCTCCTTCTATGGGTACTTTCTTTCTTCTTTTTTCTTTTCTTTTTTTTTTTTTTTTTTTGAGATAGAGTTTTGCTCTTGTTGCCCAGGCTGGAGTACAATGGCGCCAGCTCAGCTCACTGCAACCTCTGCCTCCCAGGTTCAAGTGATTCTCCTGCCTCAGCCTCCCGAGTAGCTGGGATTATAGGCATGCGTCCCATGCCCAGCTAGAGATGGGGTTTCACCATGTTGGTCAGGCTGGTTTTGAACTCCTGACCTCAGGTGATCCACCTGCCTCGGCCCCCCAAGGTGCTGGGATTACAGGCACGAGCCACTGTGCCCAGCCTATGGGTACATTTTTAAGTAGAAGGAGCTCATTGGCAGGGCGCGGTGGCTCATGGCTGTAATCCCAGCACTTTGGGAGGCCAAGATGGGCAGATCACGAGGTCAGGAGTTTCAGACCAGCCTGGCCAACAAAGTGAAACCCAGTCTCTACTAAGAATACAAAAAAAAATTAGCCAGGTGTGGTGGCAGCTGCCTGCAGCCCCAGCTACTTGGGAGGCTGAGGCAGGAGAATAGCTTGAACCCAGGAGGCAGAGGTTGCAGTGAGCTGAGATCACGCCACTGCACTCCAGCCTGGGTGACAGAGTGAGACTCCATAAAAAAAAAAAAAAAAAGGTAGAAGGAGCTCATTACAGTGACTATTCACCATCATATAATTAAGCAGGAAATAGGGCTGAATGCTATTTGCCAGTACCTAAAAAACACAAGAGAAAGACAGCCAAGTTACATGGAGGCTATCCCCTCTACTGTAAGATCATGAAAGTAGAAAAGTACAGATAGCCAGAACTATCTCTTAGTTTCAATAATCTAAGAATACACAGTTGAGAAATTCTGCTTACTTTTATGTTTCACCAAGAGTATATTCAGTTAAGAAACTTAATTGTTAACTATGGAACAATAATGCACCTTTCCATGGCTATTTTCTGGCAAGTAAAGTCAGAAGCCTAAGGTAAAACTCCTCTACACCATAATTAAAGCTGGAATACATCTTATCCTTTGTCCAGCACAGCTTACTTATGCAATGTCATTCACATACCAAAGGGAATTCTACTTGCAATGAAATACAAGCCACAGGGACACTATAGAAATTTCCCACAATTATTTGTTCCAAAGTAAATACATTTCCTTTGATTTTGACAAAACCATAAAACACAGAAGTGTATTGTGAGCCTCTATTTAGCTGTATGTTTACCAATACCCTGGAGGCTTTACTCTTTGAAACACAACTAAATTACATCATGCTATTTCATCTCTCTTCACTTGGCATGCATATATGTTATATCTAACAAACATCAGCAGGGCAAAACAATGAACTAATTCATGAATCAAGATTCTGTTTTATAGTTCACTTGTGAGGGATAATCGTGACTTAGCTTAAATGATATTCCATGCCTTGATTAAGGTTTCAAACTATGAACGTGTTGACTGAGCCTGGGTCCCTGATATAACACACAGAAAACATAGAACATTCATATTATCTTTGCTGAAGGACCCTAAAGGTTTTAGCTCATATACGGCATATGAACAAACAACTCAGTATACAGAAGACTGCCATCCTAAATTTTATCACTGCTTGGCCATAACAACAGTAACTCTGTTTTCACTGAACTTTGTTTTCTCTTCCAATTAAAAAGGCTTCCAAATGTTCGAGTCTCTGTAACTCAGGCTTCCACAATCAGATAATTACTTCAAGGGAGCACTTTGTCTTCAATTTAGATGGCCACCTTTTTTTCTCTCTTCATCTATTTTATTAGATAGTGGGTTAGATGAGATTATAAAAATAGCACTAAATGTTCACAAATCACATAACTGAAGAAGTCTCACTACTTTATAGTTTCTATTTGTGGTTACCCTTTTATTTATTTATTCATTCAGTAAATACTGAGCATCTAAAATACACCAGGCACTAACATTTCAAGAAACAATACAGAAGGACCTCGGAGTTCCATGCCCTCCTTTATTGTGGTTTGTTCACGTCCATTCTCATGAGCACATCTTAGCTTTATTACCACCTGGAATTGGGCCATTCTGAACTCATAAATGCAAACTACATCTTCCTATCTGTGATTCTCTTCTTTTCCTTTGCTCTTTATAAACCTATCCTTTCATAGCACTGACACCTTTAGTTCCTCATCACTTGGATGTCTCCACACATACCTGGGTTCAGACACCAGCTCACTTAGAGCCCAAAGTTATTAGTAGTTAATCACTCTATCAACACTCTAGCCAGTAGGCTTCTTTCTGGCCTCCTTTGTCATCTCACTGCCTTCACCATAACCATCCCTAGCTCAGGTCAACCAAGCTGGACCCACAGAAGCTGCAGTGGAATGGCATGGCCCCAAACAAAGTCCTGGCCCTTGGAGTCAGTCTGTGGTTTGTAGCTGCTTCTGTCACTTGCCAGCTATGTGACTTATATTAAGTGATTAACCTCCATAAGCCTCAGTTTCTTCATCCAAATGAGGGAGATAATGACACCTTCATCACAGGCTTCTTGCAAAGAATATAGAACAGGCAACTGAAGCATGTAGCATAGATCCTTGCATATAGCAGGCATGAATAAATAGCAATTAGCATTATTTTTCCTACATCTTGTTCAGGACTGCTTTCTGGAGAAAATTGCATATTCATGTTGCTGGGCTCCATTATAAATTTATGAGCTCCAATCTCAGCTGGGCCCTCAAGGGTTTCTCATCTGCTCCATTTCCATTCTCCATACAAGCTGTTCCAAACCTTTACTACTTTCCTCAAGGGTCCTCCCAGCTCCCTGCTTCCCTCACTCTCAGCAGGTGGCCTAACCTCCCCCTTCCCTGAGATAACAGGTGTCTGTGAGCAAGTACAACTTCCCCTTCGGTCCTGACTTCTCCAATCAGCTCTATATTCACACCTCTTCTTCCACTTCATGATTCTCTCAGACAAGAGGTATCCCTGCTCATTTGATCATTACCTAAATGATTCAGGAAGTATTTATTGGGAAGTATTTATTGACTGTATATCAGGCCACAGCTGGGTGCAAGCCTGCCTTCAAACAACTATACTGTAAAGGATGAGACAGATCAGTAAACAAATAGGAACTAAACAGTGGGACTCCTGCTCCAATTGATGTAAAAACAGGTACTAGCCAAGACTTAGAAGGTCAGCCAGGACAGCTTCCCATGGGAGACTGCATCTGAGCGAAAAGCTGAAGGAATAATAGCAGCCAGGTTGTGGGGAAGGGGAGGAAGTTTAAGTTAAAGAAAGTGTGGTGTACAAAATTATGGAAATGTGGAAGAGCCAGGTGGTGGCCCTGGATTTCATTACAGATGTAGGAAACATGGAGCAGCACAGCAATTGGATGTAACAGCAAGGCTCAATGCTCAGTTCATGGCATCAAGGGTTAGTGTCTTGGAGAAGCCAGACGGACCCTCTTGCCTTGCTCCAATCCAAGGCATCTCATGTTATAGAGGATGATCAGGAAAACCCCTAATTGGGGCTTAATGCCCTGTGCTGGACATTATGGCTTTCCTGCACATGACTCAGGTGGGACGAATAGATTTTGACCATGAGCTTTAAGAAAGGTAGGCCAATGTCCCTGTACCATTTTCTGTCTGCACTGAAGGAAATTGTAGTTAAAACCATTTTTGTTTAGAAATCCCGTTTGCTTCCTTTTTTGCTATGTATACCTTCATACATAGATTTGAGAGGAACTTGTTCTTTTGTATCCCAAATAAGGGAAAAGGAAGTTATAAATAACCTTCAAATTATGGGCTCGCAGTTTCTTCTCTAAGAGTACAAAAAAGGTTGAAAACTTTCACCCTTTACCAGAAAGACAAGCTGTAGTGACCCTGCTATGGGCCATGGCGATTTCTGCCATTCACCTCCAGGTGCTGGGGCACCAGTAGCTGCTCTGAGATCTGGGACCTTCCAGACAGCTGCAGTTTCTAATCTCCAAGCAGAGGGTTCAACACCATGGGGATCATATCTGAATGCTGTTTAGATATTATTTCTGAAAGGCATATAAAATCATTTGACTTGTTTCTATCCTGTTATGCACAGAATTTTGTCTCATTACACTGAAAAGAAGTGAAGTCACTCTTCACAGGGTCTCATTCTGTTGCCCAGGCCTGGCCTCAAGCAATCCTCCTCCCTTGGTCTCCCAAAGTATTGGGATTACAATTGTGAGCCAGTGCACCCAACCTAGCTATCTTTATAAATATGTGTTTGTACAAGTGTGTGAGTGTTTCTGTAGGGTAAATTCCCATTTTAAAATGAGCATATTTAGATGAAGAAAGATCTATCAATCAAATGGAAAATGAAAAAGAGCAGGGGTTACTATTCTTATTTCAGACAAAACAGACTTTAAACCAACAATGATCAAAAAGGACAAAGAAGGGCATTACATCATGGTAAAGGGGTTAATTCAACAAGAAAACTTAACTATTCTAAATAAATATGCACCCAACACTGGAGCACTAAGATTCATAAAACAAGTTCTTGGAGACGTATGAACACGCTTAGAAAACCACACAATAGTCTTAAAAACACACACACACGCAATAATAATGGGAGGCTTCAGTACTCCACTGACAGTATTAGACAGATCATCAAGGCAGAATACTAACAAAGATATTTGGGACCTAAACTCAACACTTGACCAAATGGACCTAACAGACACCTACAGAATACTCCACCCAAAAACAACAGAATATATACTCTTCTCATCTGCACAAGGTGCATGCTCAGCCACTCAACCACACGCTTGACCATAAAGCAATTCTCAATAATTCCAAAAAATCAAAATCATATCAGCCACTCTCAGACTACAGCACAATAAAAACAGAAATCAATACCAAGAAGATCTCTCAAAACCATACAATTACGTGGAAATTAAACAATCTTCTTCTGAATTGGGTAAACAATAAAATTAAGACAAATCAAGAAATTCTTTGAAACAAATGAAAACAAAGACACAACATACCAGAATCTTTGGGATACAGCTAAAGCAGTGTTAAGAGGAAACTTTGTAGTGCTAAGTGCCCATATCAAAAAGTTAGAAAGATCTCAAATTAACAACCTAACATCATACTTAGAGAAAGTAGAAAAGAGCAAACCAACCTCAAAGCTAGCAGAAGAAAATAAGTAATAAAAATCAGAGCTAAACTAAATGAAATTGAGATGTAAAAAACAATACAAAATATCAATGAAACCAGAAGTTCAATCTTTGAAAGAATAAATAAGATCGATAGACCACTAGCTAGACTATTAAAAAAAAAAAGAGGGATGATCCAAATAAACACAATCAGAAATGACAAGGGGGACATTACCACAGACTCCACAGAAATATAATACAAAAAACCCTCAGAAACTATTACAAACACCTCTATACACACAAACGAGAAAACCTAGAAGAAATAGATAAATTTCTGGAAACACAAAACCTCCCAAGATTGAATTAGTAGAAATCAAAACCCTGAACAGACCAATAATGAGTCCTAAAATTGAATAAGTAACAAAAAGTCTACCAACCAGAAAAAGTCCTGGACCAGACAGACTCACGACTGAATTCTACCAGATATACTAGGAAAAGCTGGTACTAATGCTTACTGGAACTATTGCAAAAATTGAGGAGAAGGGACTCCTTCCCAGCTCATTCTATGAGGCCAGTATTACTCTGATACCAAAACTGGGCATAAACGCAACAAAAAAAGAAATCTTCAGGCCACTCTCTCTGATGAACATAGAAACAAAAATCCTCAACAAAACACTAGCAAACTGAATCTGGCAGCACATCACAAAGCTAATCTACCACAATCAAGTAGCCTTTATTCCTGGGATCCAAGGTTGGTTCAACATACGCAAATCAATAAGTGTGATTCATCACATAAACAGAACTAAAAGCAAAAACCACATGATCATCTCAATAGATGCAGAAAAGACTTTCCAAAAAATTCAACATCTCTTTATGTTTTAAAATAAAAGAAAGCCCTCAGCAAACTAGGTACCAAAGGAACATATCTCAAAATAATAAGAACCAAACCTACACCCAACATCATACTGAAAGGGCAAAAGCTGGAAGCACTCCACTTGAGAATCAGAACAAGACAAGGATGCTTACTCTCACCACTCCTATTCAACAGAGTACTCAAGTCCTAGACAGTGCAATCAGACAAGAGAAAGAAATAAAAGCATCCAAACAGGAATAGAGGAATTCAAACTATCCCTGTTTGCAGATGACATGATTCTATATCTACAAAACCCCATAGTCTCTGCCCAAAAGTTCCTTGAGCTGATAAACAACTTCAGCAAAGTTTCAGGATACAAAAATCAATGTACAAAAATCAGTAGCATTTCTATACACCAATAACACCCAAGCTGAGAGACAAATCAATAACATAATCCCATTCATCACAGCCACAAAAAGAATGAAATACCTAGGAATATATAGCTCACCAGGCAGGTGAAAGATCTCTATGAGGAGAATTACAAAACACTGCTGAAAGAAATCAGAGATAACATGAACAAATGGGAAAACATTCCATGTTCTTGGATAGGAAAATCAATATTGTTAAAATGGCCATACCACCCAAAGCAATTTACAGACTCAATGCTATCCCTATCAAACTACCAAAGACATTCTTCACAGAATAAGAAAAAACTATTCTAAGACTAATTTGGAACAACAAAAGAGCCCAAATAGCAAAAGCAATCCTAGGTAAAAAGAACAAAGCTGGAAGCATCCCACTATTCAATTTTAAACTATACTACAAGGCTACAGTGACTAAAACAGCATGATACTAGTATAACAACAAACACATAGACCAATGCACCAGGTTAGAAAGTGCATAAATAAAGCCACACATCTACAACGACCTGATCTTCGACAAAACCAACAATGACAAACAATGGGGAAAGGACTCCCTATTCAACAGATAGTGCTGGGATAACTGGCTAACCATAGGCAGAAGATTGAAACTGAGCTCCTTCCTTTCACCGTATACAAAAATCAACTCAAGATGAATTGAAAAATTAAATGCAAAATCTACAACTATAAAAACCCAGAAGAAAACCTAGGAAATACCATTCTGGACATGGCCCCAGCAAAGATTTCACGACGAAGACTCCGAAAGTAATTGCAAAGAAAACAAAAATTGATAAGTGGGATCTAATTAAAGTAAAGAGCTTCTGCACAGCAAAATAAAGTATCAACAGAGTAAACAGCCAACCTACAGAATGGGAGAAAATATTTGCAAACTATGCATCCAACAAAATCTAATTTCCAGAATCTATAAGGAACTTAAAGCAACAAGCAAAAAACAAACAATGCCATTGAAAAATGTGCAAAGGACATGAACACTTCTCTAAAGAAGACATATACATGGCCAACAAGCACATGAAAAAAATGTTGAGTAACACTGATCATTAAAGAAATGTAAATCAAAACCACAATGAGATACTATCTCACACCAATCAGAATGGCTATTACTAAAAAGTCAGTGGGGCACCGTAGCTCACACCTGTAATCCCAACGCTTAGGAAGACAGAGGCAGGAGAATTGCTTGAGCCCGGAATTCAAGACTTGCCTGGGCAACATAGAAACACCACACTCTTCACAAAAAGGAGAAAGAAAAGACAAAAATAGACAAAACATAACAGATGCTGGTGAGGTTGCAGAGAAAACAGAATGCTTACACACTGCTGGTGGGAATGTAAGTTCATTCATCCACTGTGGAAAGCAGTCTGGAAATTTCTCAGAGAACTTAAAATAGAACTACCATTTGATCCAGCAATCTCATTACTGGTTATGTACCCAAAAGAATATAAATCATTCTACCATAAAGACACATGCACACATATGTTCATCACAACACTATTCACAATAGCAAAGACATGGAATCAACCCAGATGCACATCAACAGTGGACTGGATAATGAAAATGTGGGTACATATACACCACAGAATACTACGGTGCCATAAAAAAATAATAAGATCATGTCCTTTGAAGCAGCATGGAAAGAGCTGGAAGCCATTATTCTAAGCAAATTAACACATGAACAGAAAACTAAATACTGCTGTTCACACTTATAAGTGGAGCTAAACATTGAGTACACACAGACATAAAGAAGCGAACAACAAACACAGGGGCCTACTTGAGGGTAGAGGGTGAGGAGAGTGAGCATTTAAAAACTACCTATTGGGGCCAGGCACGGTGCCTCATGCCTGTAATCCCAGCACTTTATGAGGCCAAGGCAGGTGGATCACCTGAGGTCAGGAGTTCAAGCTCAGCCTGGTCAACATGGTGAAAGCCCATCTCTACTAAAAAATACAAAAATTAGCCGGGTGTGGTGGTGCATGCCTATATTCCCAGCTACTCAGGAGGCTGAGGCATGAGAATCACTGGAATCTTGGAACCCAGGAGGCGGAAGTTGCAGTGAGCTGAGATTGCGCCATTGCACTCCAGCATGGGCAAGAGCGAAATTCCATCTCAAACAAACAAACAAAAAAACTACCTATTAGGTACTATGCTGATTACCTGGGTGACAAAATTATCTGTACACCAAACCCCTGCAACACACAATTTACCCATGTAAAAAACCTGTACATGTACACCCAAACCTTAAAAGTTGGAAAGAAAATAAATAAATAAAATGGGCCCATTTTAAAATGTTCATAAATATTGACAAATTGCTCTCCAGAAATAAATATTTTATCAATCCACATTTCTATCAAGAGCACTCGAGAGGACTGGTTTCCTCACATCTTTACAAACACTAAAATATTAACTTTTTAAAAATGGTTGCCAATTAGACATGGGAAAAATATTTTACTGTGGTTTTAATCTATATTTTTTTTTACAATGAAGAAGTCAAGGACTTTTCAATATGTTTAATGAACATATTGAAAATGATATTTTTCTCATTCTATGAACTACCTGTTAGTATTCTTTGCTTGTTCATCTTTTGGAGCATTGATATCTTTCTAATTAATTTGTAAGAGCTTTTGTTTTGTAAGGCTGTTAACCTTTTGTCTGCCATATTGTCTGCAAATAGTTTTCAATTCAATGAAGCATTTTTCAGTGTATAAAGGCTATATATCCTTGGTGAATTGTATCTTTCATTAATATTAAAATAGTTCTCTATGTTTTCTTCAATATATCTTGTATCACATTCTTCTTTTATAAATATTTCTATCTCTAATTTCCTTTCGCGTATATTTACCTGACACATCTTTCCATGGCTTGTTTTTAAAATAATCCGTTGTTATTTAAATTTTGTTATTTACTTTTAAGTATATCACTTATAAACAGAAAATAGTGATTTTGCTCTTTCACTCAAAAAGACTTTGCTTTTTAGTTTAGGTATTGTTAAGTGGTGTGACAGAAGAATTAACCATTCACATTTATTTAACAATTAATATACTCTTACTATGAGAATATATTAGGCAAAACACAGTAGCTTATGCCTGTAATCTCAGCACTTTGGGAAGCTGAGGCAGGAGGATTGCTTGAGCCCAGGAGTTTGAGGCCAGCCAGGGCAAAACCCTGTCTTTACAAAAAATACAAAATTAGGCGAGCGTGGTGGCGTGCACCTGTAGTCCCAGCTACTCAGGAGGCTGAGGTGAGAGGATTGATTCAGCCTGGGAGGTTGAGGCTGCAGTGAGCTATGATCATGCCACTGCACTCCTGCCTGGGTGACAGAGGGAGACCCTGTCTCAAAAAGAAAAAGGTAATATATTAAATAAGGCCAGTTTAGTCTCTTTCCTGCCATCTTATCTTGTGCTTTTAATTTATATTTTTTATACTTGCTTTTTCCACCCCTTCTTTTTTATTAGCTTTTGTTTATTTTAACTTTAACAAACATAACTGAAGTTGTATTTCTCTAGAAAAGTCAAGAATTATTCAGAATCTATAACCAAGCTCCACACAACCATCAAAATTGATCTTCAGCAGATTTGAATTCCTCTCCCCATTGTAAAGTTTAATATAATCTGCATTAGACTTTATAACTACATCATTAGTGAGCTACTATGAATTTTAAAGTGATTCTATCCTATATACTGGATTTCCCTTCTTGATTTCTTTATTATGTTACTTTTAATTTGGCTGGAGTACTTCTTTGAGTAACTTTTTAAATAAATAGTATGTAGGGGCATATTTTCTGTGTGTTTTCACATCTTCACAATAGCTTGACTGTGTGTACAATTCTAGGGCATCTGGTCTTTTATCCTTAAAATCCATAATCTCAGCATATATGGTTTGCTGATGAAAGGTCAGGTTCCAATCTAATTATCTTTCTTGGTAAATAATCTGTTTTTTCTGCTGAGAAGCTTACACTAAGAATTTTCAAATGATATAAAGTCAAAGGTTACATAAAAAGAAACATTAATTACACAGCAAAAGAATCAACAAAATAAAAAGACAAACTACAAATTGGAAACAATATTTTCAAGATATATATATATTATATACATATACATATATATACATATATGGTTAATACCCAAAATTTATGAAAAAAATACTCATACAACTTAATAGCAAAAAAACAAATAACCCATTTAAAAAATGGTCAAAGAACCTGAATGGACACTTCTAAAGAGAAGACATAAAAATGGTCAACAGGCGTATTAGTCCATTCTTGCACTGCTATAAAGAACTACCTGAGACTGGGTAATTTATAAAGACAAGAGGTTTAATTGCCTCATGGTTCTGCAGGCTCTATAGGGCTCTATAGGTCTGTCTGTCGATGGACTAATGGATAAAGAAATTG
Source organism: Homo sapiens (assembly GCF_000001405.40). NCBI lineage: Eukaryota > Metazoa > Chordata > Mammalia > Primates > Hominidae > Homo > Homo sapiens. The sequence goes on along the minus strand of NC_000004.12, from coordinate 108,228,354 downwards.
TAGTATATATATATATATATATATAATGAAATATTCAGCCTTTTAAAAAAGGAGCTACTGCCTAATGTGGTTTGGATCTGTGTCTCTGCCCAAATTTCATGTCGAATTGGAGGAGGGGCCTGGTGGGAGGTGATTAAATCATGGAGGTGGATTCCCCCTTTGCTGCTCAGTAAGTTCTCACCAGATCTGATGGTTTAAAAGTCTGTGGCACTTCCTCCTTCACTCTCTCTCTCCTGCCGCAATTTGAAGAAGGTTCTTGCTTCCCCTTCGCCTTCTGCCAAGGGGAAGTTTGATTGTAAGTTTCCTGAGGCCTCCTAGTCATGCTTCCTGTTAAGCCTGCAGAACTGTGAGTCGATTAAGTCTCTTTTCTTGATAAATTACCCAGTCTCAGGTAGTTCTTCATAGCAGTGTGAAAACAGACTAACACACTGCCAATTGCCACAACACAGATGAGTCTGGACTTCATTAGGCTGAGTGAAATAAGTCAGACACAGAAAGAAAAATAATGCATGACCTCACTTATATATGGAATCTTAAAATAAAAACCTCAAATATACAGAGATAGAGAATAAAACACTGGGTGATGCAGGTCAAAGGATACAAAGTAGCAGAAATTTAGGATAAATAAGTCTAGACATCTAATGTTCAACCTGAGCACTATATTTAATAATGCTGTATTGTATTCGAGATTTTTGCTAAATTAGATGTTAACTGTTTTTGCTACCAAAAAAAGGGGGAGTCACTATGTGAGATGATGGATATGTTAATTTTATTTACTATAGTAACCATTTTACTATCTGTATATATCCCCTAATATCATGTTATATACCTTAGACACAATAACATTTTTTAAAAAGAAATATTAACATTTGTGATACAAATATAATTATTTCATAAAAGTGATTAATATTTACAAAGCCATAATAGATTGCTTTTTTTTAAAACTGGGTAGCAAAAAAGCAAATGTGGTTTATCTCCATGGTAAGAAAAAAAAAAGTTTGGAAGTTATTTTCTAATGGCAATGATTTTTTTTAAGTCTGTAAAATTAAGCACTGCAAAAATGTTTCTCAATGAGGGTCTGTGGATTTGGGAGAGAACCCCTGATCCCCAGATTCCATCACACAACAATCAACAATGGCAGAGAATGTGTCAGGTACTTTTCCTATACTATTTTCTTAATGGCTCACAAGAAGCTTGAAAGGTAGGTGTTATTACCTATCTCCAACTTCTGGGAGAAGAAATTGGTTCTCAGAGAAGGTAAACACTTACTCAACACCACACCACTAGTAAATATGTGGCAGAACTAAAATTTGAACCCAGGATTCTATGACCCCACTACACATCCTCTTTGTAGTGTGCAATAAAAAGGCTCACCCCCATGTTCAAGGCATTAGTCTGGAAGCTGCAAACAATGAAAAGGTGAATGCCCCAGAGGCCCTACCTTAAATTGTTACCTAGGTAGAACCTATTTAATTTACCGTCAGCCCTCCACATCCATGAGTTTCACATTCATCAAGTCAATCAACCACAGATAAAAAATATTGCCAGTGGGGCATGGGGGTGGAATCTGTACTGAACATGTACAGACTTTTTTTATTGTCATTATTCCCTAAACAATACAGTATTAACAACTATTTATATAGTATTTAAATGGTATTAGGTATCATAAGTAATCTATAGGTGATTTGAAATATATAGGAGGATGTGTGTAGGTTATATGCAAGTACTAGGCCATTTTATATAAGGGACTTGAGCATCCTTGAATTTTGGTACCTGCAGGGGTCCTGGAACCAAATCTCCCATGGTATGGAGGGACAATTGTACTTAGTAAAAAAAAAAAAAAACTAGCATTTTTCTTCTTGATAGTAAAAATTAATTAGGCCATGAATCTGTGATTCAGAAGAAAAATGTCCTTATCCAGGTGCATTTTTATACATTAGCATTTAGGGCAAATTGCCCAGAAATCCAATATTAATTTACCCCCAGGATCTCAGCCCATAGTTACTGTTGGAATTTTTGGCAAGTATATTTCCCTGGGGGTAACAGTCAAATTAAGAAGTCTTCTTAAAGAGAAGGTGTTAGAGTCTTAGGCAATAGTTCAAAGCTCAGTGTTTAAAGGTGGAGAGGGATACCCAAGCAGGCAGTGCTCCAATGGCAAATGAGGTGAGAGGCAGCCTGTTTTCCTGCCCTATGCTCCTGCTTAATGGATCCGCTGCTGATAGTTTGATGTGAGGGTGACAATTTTTACCTTGCACTCAAACTTATAATGGACCATATTTTAACTTCTAATTGTCAAACTATTTTAGCAGATTTGGGAGGGGAACACTTCCAGGGTCAAACCTGAACTCTCTGCAAGTGTGAACTACCAGTATGAGTTTCACAGTCCAAATAAGCATTTCCCACACCTCTACCCACTCTGACACCAGAACCCAAGTAGATGGATTCTGCTGCTAAACTGAGAGTTCCCTTAGATCAACCAGGAAAATAATAATAGTAACAACAATTACTAACTTTATTGGTCATTTTCTATGTGACACACACTATTCTAAAAGTGTTACAATTCACTTAATCCTCCCAACAACTCTACGAGCTTGTATATCTATTTTATAGATAAGAAAAAGAGAGATAAAGTGATTTGCCAAAGACTGTACAGCTTGTAAGTGGCAGACCTAGGATTTGAATTCACATGGACAGGTCCCTGAGCATGCATTATTAACCGTTGCCATTCACAAGTTTGCACGTGGTCATAACTGACCTTTATAGGCAATTTCCTTCATCAGTTAGATCAATCTTGCTTGGACTAAGTGCAAATTTGTTTGAAGAAATGGACTTACTTTAGTACTAACTCCTACAAGGTGAAGCAGTATCCTTTGCAGACTCCAAAGAGATCTAAAAGAAGGAATGTCAAGGAAATTTAAACATCAAGATTGGATAGGGTGAAAATCAGTCGGGGGACAATATTAGGAGAAAGCTACAACTAAATGGGCAGGTCAGTACTCATCCCTGAAACACGGTCTGTGGCAACAAGATTAAGTCATGCCCCACTACTTGGTAAGCCAAGGGTACTGAACCTGCTACTATCCTAATCAGAATTGAGTTATAATAAAAATTTAATAAAACTGAACCTGCAAATGGAAGGACTTATAGGCTGAGACGACAGGCTGGAAACTATAATAAACTTTATGTTCCTTTTATAGAAACAATTTTCAGGTCCATGTCCAATTCCAACTTGGGAAAACATCTACTTATAATTTCCCAATTTGAATTAAAGTTCTACTCTCAAGATACCTGCTCTACCTTAATGTCTCCTTAATGCAATGTCAATACAAGTTTGTTGATTGATGTCACGTGTAAGACAGAAGGAAGGATTGATTGCATATCATGTCTCCCTGTCTCCCCAGTGATCCTCTGAGAGAACGACTTCCTCCATTTTGCTCATAAGCACCTCCCCAAGATAGGAGCTTTAATCTAGAAAACTGCAGATGAACTCACCACCAGGAGCTAGCTGGCTATGTTCCAGCTGGCCCAGCTGAGCTCGACCAGTAGGATACAGTGTGTGGCGAGCCCAAGAAGCAGCAGCCCTGCGTAAAACAGCTAATGAGGCATTTTTACTGTTTTAGAGTCACAAAAAGAATGTCTCACATTGATTAAAATTCCTCTTGTCAAAGTGAGACTGACCAGGAACCCAGAGATAAGAACCTCGAGTATGGGCATCCCTGGTTGGCTTTTTTAACTTACATGGCTGTGAAAGACGGGGGCTTGTTAGTTGTTTGCATTTTCCCTACATTCAAGGTTTTCAGTCAAAGATTTCTCTGGCTGTCAAGGGAAGACATTGGCAGCAGTAAGGGGAGACTGGCCACCTTTTATTTCCATCAAACTCTAAGGCACTGCTTTCTGCCAAACTGCCCACCCCAGAGGAAAAGATTCTCTTTCTTCTGGTTTTGATCTAGTTCCCTGGCAAGATGGATGTGATTTTTCTTAGCACTTCTCTTCCTTCTGCCAAGGAACAGGCTGTTTGGACACATGGTCTCATTTCTACAATCCTTTAACTCCAGGAAACTTGTGCACCAGCGTTGATGTCAGGTCTGTTGGGTCCTATCTGGAATGAAGGTGTAGTCAGGAGGTCACTTCCTTATGCGATATATGTCTAGAGAAAGGCATAAGCTCCACGAAGTTAGGGTCTGTGTTGGTCTCATGCAGCCCTTATTCCTGGCAGTAACACATAATGGGCATGCAATAAATGCAGGTGTTCAATGGCGTTTTTGAAGTGAATTTCTCAGTAAATTTACTTTTGCATAGAATCTAGTGGTGGTAAACGGCAATAAGTGGGATAACGTGGAAGAAAATGTATCCCGTCTTTATTCTGGGTGGCTATCACTGTAGGTTATAACATCTTTTCTTAAGGTATTTTGTGGGACACTAGACTCAGAAAGTCCTCAGCAAAAAACTGTTTTTGTGATCAAGTAAGCTTGTAAACAGTGCATACCAGAATACCCATTCAAGAGTTCCCATGTACATTAACCTATTAAAGAGACTCCTCTCTTTAGTACATTAACCTATTAAAGAGGCTCCTCTTTAGTACATTAGCCTATTAAACTAAAGAGACTACTCTCTTTAGTACATTAACCTATTAAAAAGGCTCCTCTCCCTCCTCTCACCTTCCACCCTCAAGTAGGCCCCAATGTCTGTTGTTCTGCTCTTAGTATCCATGTGTTTTCTTGGTTTAGCTCCTACTTATAAGTGAGAACATGCAGTATTTTCTGTTCCTGTGTTAGTTTGTTTAGGATAATGGCCTCCAGCTCCATCCATGATGCTGTAAAGGAAATGATCTTATTCTTTTTTATGGCTGCATAGTTTTCCAGTGTCTATGTATGACATTTTCTTTATCCAGTCTACTGTTGATGTTAAACCAGAATTTCTTAAACATTTTTTTTTACCTCAGAATCTTCACCTTGCATCTATTATTTGCTATCCCATGAAACTAGTGTTCCTCTCAACTCACCTTGGAATTATACTTGGAATCACTGAGTTATACCATGATTAATCCTCTGGCCCCCTCCACCATAGTCTTTAGAGTGGATATTTCAGACCTCCTTCTGAAATCATTTATTACATGACCCTGATGATCTATGATTTCCAAATCACCCTACATGAAAATAGGAATAACAAGCTCCCTTATGCCTTTCTATGCAGAGATTTTAGCACTGTCTTCTCTCAGAAGAAGAGCTGGCTAAGGGCAGCTCTACATCAGCCCAGAAATCATGTACATTGCCTGGTATGGCACTCAAAGGGGGCTTAGAGACCTGGTGGGAGCAGGACTCAGGTCACCCTTCATGAACACTGCTTCTTCTTGTGACTGCCTGTGATGGCCAGTCATGTATCAGTTGGCCAGGCTAATGCACCCAGTCATTAAATCAAACACTAAGCTGGGCATAGTGGCCCACACTGTAGTCCCAGCTATTTAGGAAGCTAAAGTGGGAGAATTGCTTGAGCCCAGGAATTTGAATCCAGCCTGGGCTGTAACATAGTAACACCCTGTTTCTAAAAGAAAAAATTTTAACACTAATCTAGTTGTTACTGTGAGGTTCTCATCAATCAGTTCAGTTGGAAGACCTTAAGGGCAAAACTCAGGTTTCCCTGCAGAAGAAGAAAACTCACTTGGGAACAGCAGCTTCGGTGCCTGTGGAGAGTCTCCAGTCCCCTGCTGGTTCTGGGTCTGTGGGAGAACCTGGCTGACACACTGCCCATGGTGGTGTTCCCTCATCAGCGTCCCTGCCACACTGGCCATGATTTGAGTGAACACACCTCTCAGATGGAGTCACAAGCCAGCAGGGGTGATGACAGCATCTTCTTCCAAGGCTGGGAAAGGGTCTGCCTCAGAGCCATGAGGAAGGATCAGAATCTGTAGGTCCAATAAGGCTGAGGAGCGGAGGCGGGAGGCCTTCTTGCCCTCCACCTTGAAGGAGCTGCAGTTTGTGTCTCTTTAACTGCTTTTGCCTAGTAGTGAGGCTGGGGGTGAATTGCTTACCATGGATGTATATCCATGCCTAGGCACAGCCTGGTGAATTACTTTCCGGAAAAAAAAAGTTTGCCTTAAGATTTAATTAATTTTCACAGTTTAATAATATCTCAGGGCATTTATTCTGCATTTAAGATAAAGAGCATAGATTTGTATATATTATGGAAATAAATGGAATTCTCATTTTGATAAGAAAATGTGAAAGCCCAACCCATTTACCAGCATTGATAAGAGGGAGAGATGGGACGTGTTTGCGCACTTAGTGGATGCTCATTTGGCTATATGTAAAGAAGACTTTAATTTTCATAATATATATTTAGAACCTTAATATGTGAATACTAAATGATTCCATGTCTAGAATTTATCCTGAGAATGTATATAAAGTTATAACCTATAAGAAATATCATCTCAGTTGTGAAAAATTAGAAGCCACTTGAATGTCCAACAGTAAGATATTAGTAAACTACAGTGCATCAATATACAATGGAATACAAAAAAATAGCTATCATTCATTGAATTGTGTGCCAAGCACTGTTCTATACGGATTTCATACATATTAACTCACTGAATTGTCACAATAACCTTACAAGGTAGACTCTATCATCCTCTTTTTACTAAGGCACAAAGTGGCAGGGTGAACTGCCCGAGGTCACACAGTTAGTGAGGGATAGAGCCAGGATTCCAACGTGAACATTTTGGCTCTAGAGTCTACACTCTGAGTCTATGCTGTGCCCCAGTCTCAAGAGCCAACATATGTCACTTAAAACATCCATATGTTCATTTACATACATACAAAATGAACAACAACAAAAAGTGGAAAATTCTATACTTTAACATCAGTGATCTTTCTTTTTTGCTCATCTGTATTTACTAAATTTTCTATAATAAACATCTACTATTTTGTAGTTTAAAAATAAAAATAATGAAATAATTTATTTTTTATTAGGAACCAAACTCCTAATTTCCCTGGTCAGAGACTAGAATCATACTAGTGCAGACTGATATTCAGGGCAGCTCTCAAGCCAATACATAAACCTAGGTGGCGTGGGAAAGCTCCCAAAGGCCCAGGTCCCAGGCCCCTTGTCACACATACCACCCGTGAGCCAGCAAATCAATGCACCCTGCAGGGAACAGAGCTAGTCAGACAACATCTTCTGGACCTTTTTTTAGCCAACTTCCAAAGCTCGATTTTTTTCAACCCACCCAAGTTTTATAATTATCAACACTGACTATGAATTTCAGGTCCATAACATTTCCAAAACATTTTGAAATAAAATGAGTAATAAATGGGATAATTTGAGACTTCACAGAATACTTTGTGTGACTGCTCTGATCTCCTGCAGATGGTAAATGTATTGAATGATATAAGAAATAATTAAAAATGCAAAGGTTAGAACCATCTGGACCCTTAGAGATAAAATCTATGTATCTTCATTTGACATACAAAGATGCTAACACTCAGAGAAATTAAATAACTTGCTCTCGGGTAGTCAGTCTTTTAAAGGTCAAACCAGGATGAAAAGACAAGTTTTAGTTCCTAGTCCAATACTCTCTGCATTGAGCCATGCTACTTCAAGGGCTTGGGCTCAGTTGAAAAGAGGGAAGGAAGTATTGGTTATGAGAGCAATCAATATTTTATGAAAATCATTTTCTATTCGCTTCTATTACGCTAGCAGTATATACAAAAGAGGAGCATACAGGGTAAATGGTGAAGGTCCCTAGCCACAAACTACAACTCCCTCCCTCCCCCACAGGTGGGGGACAGTGATTACCACAGTCAATCCAGTCAATAACTTGCCATTATATATGTATTTAGCGGTGTGCTAGAACCAGCTTGTACAGGTTCTTAAGAGCCAACTTAAATTTTCAGGAAAGCTATGAGCTGGCTGTTTAAAAAAAACCATTATTAAATATTAAATTGCACAAATTTATAATCAAACTATATTAAAAACAAAGATAAGAAGTACTCAAAAAGCATCACCTCCCCACTGCTTTTAATTACATTTTACCTTTGTCTATGTTCTTGGGGCCACTTACGTCTACGGTATCTCTCTGGTGGAAAGCCCAGTGGTGTGTTCCCAGCTTCACAGTCAGTGACTCATAGTGGTAGAATCCACCACATGGGGAGTATTTACACCATAGAAATTGACAAACGCTGCACAGCAAGGCCTTCCCTCCCTTCACCCTGGACAGCCAGTGTTTAAGCATTTACTAGCATATCATGATAGACACATTTTTTTTTTTTTTGAGATGGAGTCTTGCTCTGTCACCCAGGCTGGAGCGCAATGGCGTGATCTCAGCTCACTGCCACCTCTGCTTCCCAGGTTCAAGTGATTCTCCTGCCTCAGCCTCCTGAGTAGCTGGGATTACAGGCACGTGCCACCATGCCCAAATAATTTTTGTATTTTTTTAGTAGAGACAGAGTTTCACCATGTTGGTCAGACTGGTCTCAAACTCCTGACCTCGTGATCCGCCCACCTCTGCCTCCCAAAGTGCTGGGATTACAGGCATGAACCACCATGCCTGGCCAACAGACACATTTTTTTCAAGTATCATTTTTCCTTACATCAATAGACTATTGAAAACTTTAAAGGTGGTTAAATGCATTTCTTTCCATTTGTAGAAATAAAGAAAAAGCACTCGCTAAAATAAGTGAAATATATTTGCCATCAGCCAGTTTTTCAAACTACTACAGTCATGCACCACATGACATTTTGGTCAAGACAGGCTGCATATACAAAGTGGTCCCATAAGATTGTAATATTGTATTTTTATTGTACCTTTTTTATGTTTAGACACATTTAGATATACAGATACTTACCACTGTGTTACTATTGCCTATAGTAGTCAGTACATAACCTGATGTACAGGTTTGTAGCCTAGGAGGACCATCCCACATATCCTAGGTGTGTAGTAGGCTATGCCATCTAGGTTTGTGCAAGTACACTGTATGTTTGCACAATGACAAAATCGCCTAACCGTCATTTCTCAGAAGGTATCCCCCATTGTTAAGTGATACATGACTGCATTTGTCTTCTGTCCCTCAATGCCCTCCCTGTTCCCTTGATAATCTAGCCTTCTATTTTAACTAAATCCCAGTTCCTTTGAACTTTCTTCTTTGAGTACATTCTACCTCCCCTCTTCAATTCCCCACATCTTTCAAGCCTTCTTAGACAGAGAAAGATGGTAAAGGTGCAGTTTTCTGAAGGTAATTAATTAGCAGGCACCCCACTTCTGGGCTCCTGGGTGTCAGAGGGGGAGTGATATACTTAGTCCTTTTTGTTTACACACCAAAAGATTAGGTTTCCTTACATTCCTAAGTAATTTCAGAAGATTAACTTTTAGATAGGAAACTTCATAGGCCGAGCAGGCTGAGAAAAGAAAAAAGAAAAAAATTCATGTCACCCTCAAGCAGTTCCATCAAGGGATGAAATTTTAAATCACATCATGTCTCACACCCATTTCTTAGTGCAAAATAAATCACTTGAACAGAGTGCAAGCCAATTTTTACTTTAAAAATGTTGTGTCCTAAGGCTGTCTTCTTGAACTTCAAAAGCACACTTTGTAATTACTCTACCTATCAAAGGAAACTCAACATTTCACCTCCAATCTTCTTCAGCTTGTGTTATCATTTTTAATTGTTAATAAACCACATTAATTTTAAACTTATTATTCTGTTTGGGAATTCAATGTTTTCGAGGAGAATATGCTGAATTATATTTAAATAAACTTGTTTACGTACACTTCTTAAATATACTTGTTTACATCAGCTAAAGTTAAGTGGGGCTTTTTCTTGCTACCTGTCATTGGTTTTATTTTTAGTAATTTCTGTCATTTTGGAGACTCACAACATTTCACATCTCTTGTTTTTTATTTTTTATTTTTATTTATTTATTTATTTATTTGAAACGAAGTCTTGCTTTTGTCCCCCTGGCTGGAGTGCAATGGCACGATCTCAGCTCACTGCAACCTCCGTCTCCTGGGTTCAAGCGATTCTCCTGCCTCAGCCTCCCAAGTAGCTGGGATTACAGGCAGCTGCCACCATGCCCGGCTAATTTTTATATTTTTAGTAGAGACAGGGTTACACCATGTTGGCCAGGCTTGTCTTGAACTCCTGATCTCCGGTGATCCGCCCGCCTGGGCCTCCCAAAGTGCTGGGATTACAGGCATGAGCCACCACACCTGGCATGTCTCTTTGTTTTTTAAAGGAATAGTTTTCTGGAAACTGTTTTTAATCTCTGAATTAAAAATGCCAGAGATTCTATCCACGTTTGTGCTCAACACTGATATCACTTGACTGTGAGTTGTGAGCCTTCCTGGGACTTTTTTTTTCTTAAGTAGAAATAGAGAGCCCAGAAATAAGGCCGCACACCTATAACCACGTGATATTCAACAAAGCTGACCAAAGCAAGCAATGGGAGAGGACTCCCTATTCAATAAATGGTGCTGGGATAACTGGTCAGCTATACGCAGAAGACTGAAGCTAAACCCCTTTTCCTTAGACTGTATACAAAAAGCAACTCAAGATGGATTAAAGACTTAAATGTAAAACCCAAAACTCTAAAAGCGCTGGAAGAAAATCTAGGCAATACCATCCTGGACGTAGGAATGCACAAAGATTTCATGACAAAGACACCAAAAGCATTTTCAATGAAAGCAAAAACTGACAAGTGGGATCTAATTAAGAGTTTCTACACAGCAAAAGAAACTATCAACAGAGTAAACACACAACCTACAGAATGGGAGAAAATATTTGCAAACCATGCACCTGACAAAGGTCTAACATCCAGCATCTATAAGGAACTTAAACAAATTTACAAGAGAAAAACAAACAACCCCATTAAAAAGTGGGCAGAGGACATGAACAGACACTTTTCAAAAGATGACATACATGTGGCCAACAAGCATATGAAGAAAGCTCAATATCACTGATCATTAGAGAAATGCAAATCAAAAGTATGAGACAGCATCTCATACCAGTCAGAAAGGCTACTATTAAAAAGTCAAAAAAATTGGCTGGGAGCGGTGGCTCATGCCTATAATCCCAGCACTTTGGGAGGCTGAGGCAGGCAGATCACCTGAGGTCAGGAGTTTGAGACCAGCCTGGCCAACATGGTGAAACCTGTCTCTACTAAAATTCCAAAAATTAGCCAGGCATGGTGGCACACGCCTGTAATCCCAGCACTTTGGGAGGCTGAGGTGGGCAGATCACCTGAGGTCAGGAGTTTGAGACCAGCCTGGCAAACATGGTGAAACCCCATCTCTACTAAAAAAATAAAAATACAAAGGTCAAAAATAACACAGCTGGTAAGGTTGTGGAGAAAAGGGAACACTTATGCACTGTTGGGACTTTAGTTCAACCATGTGGAAAGCAGTATGGTGATTCCTCAAAGAGCTAAAAATAGAACTGCCATTCAACCCAGCAATCCCATTACTGGGTATACACCCAGAGGAATATAGAGCATTCTACCATAAAGCCAAATCACACAAATGTTCATTGCAACACTGTTCACAACAGCAAAGACCTGGAATCAATCTAAATGCCCATCAATGACAGACTGGATAAAGAAAATATGGTACATGTACACCATGGAATACTATGCAGCCACAAAAAAGAACAAGATCATGTCTTCTGCAGGAACATAGATGGAACTGCAAACTAACACAAGAACAGAAAACCAAGTACCATATGTTCTCACTTATAAGTGGGACCTAAATGATGAGAACCTATGAACATAAAGAAGGAAACAACAGACCCCAGGGTCTACTTGAGGGTGGAGGCTGGGAGGAGGGAGAGGAGCAGAAAAGTAACTATTGGGTTCTGGGCTAAATTCCTGGGTGATGAAATAATCTGTACAACAAACCCCCGTGACATGACTTTACCACGTAACAAACCTTCACATGTACCCCCAAACCTAAAATAAAAGTTAAAAAGGCCGGGTGCGGTGGCTCACGCCTGTAATCCTAGCACTTTGGGAGGCTGAGGCGGGAGGATCACTAGGTCAGGAGATAAGACCATTCTGGCTAACACAGTAAAACCCCATCTCTAGTAAAAATACAAAAAATTAGCCAGGCGTGGTGGTGGGCGCCTGTAGTCCCAGCTACTCGGGAGGCTGAGGCAGGAGAAAGGCATAAACCCGGAAGGCAGAGCTTGCAGTGAGCCGCGATCGTGCCACTGCACTCCAGCCTGGGTGACAGAGTGAACTCCGTCTCAAAAAAAAAAAAAAAAAAGGAAAAAAAGTTAAAAAAAACAGAGAGAAGGAGAGGGCTAAAAAAATAATTTACTAAACTCAGACGATAGTACCAACCTGTATGATTCATTCAGATTTGTTTAGATACTTATTTTTTTAACAAGTTTTTTCCCAATCTGAAGTTAACTAGATAAGTGCTTTTTGTTATCAACCTCCCTGCCACTGTCAGCATGGATTATGTCTATTGAACAAACGCAGTTATTTAACAACCATATTTTTCCACCCAGTCAATTTTCTCTCATGGTAACAAACAAAATGTCCTTGAGATAGAAACGTCATGCTTGTTTCCACTTTGTCACCAAGCTCAGAATTCAGGAGCTGGGAACAGTTCCTGCCTGACTAAAAAATTCTCAGAACATCCTTCTCTCCATTCTAACGGTGTCCATGTGCTGCATCCTCCACCTGAAGGGCACTCCCTCTCCCCTGCCCAGTAAGATCATGTTTCGGTGCCCTCCCTTGCCTCCTGGATAAAAGTGATATGCCTTCCTCGGGCTCCCACTTGGAGCACTATCACTACCACCACCACCATCATCATCCTCTATCTAGGGCTGGCTGTGATACCAGGCACTGTTTTATGTGTAATAATTCAAGTAACCCTCACCACAACCTTATTTGTTAAGTGCCATAATTATTCCCATTTTATAGATACGGACACTGAGGCACGTAGAAGTTAGTGCTGAAGATCATTCAGCTGGTAAGTGACAGAGCAGGCCAGCTCCAGGGGCTATGCACAAAAGCACCCTACCATTGAACTGCTTAGTTACCTACATAGTTGTCTCTCCACTGGACTACACATTCCCAGAAGAAAGGCCCATCTCTTATCTATTCTTACATCACCCAGAGTGCCTGCCACAGTAACTGGTAAATCATTAACTGTTTATGGAATAAATGAATGGCTTTCCTGGCCTTTCCAGTGTGAACTGAAAGATATTGTCACAGAAAGACAGCCTGTGATGGCATCGGGGAAAGAGCACACCAACCTGGCGGCCCTGGAGTATACATGGCCTGAAGCTAAGATCTGTCCATGCTGGACTATACAAGGTGACCAACATAGCTGACCTTTTCAGTCGAGTAAACACTGATCAAGTATCATCTCCCCTAGAAAGTGACAGTAAGTAAGGGGCCACAGATGATGCCTGACATAACATAATTCAGTGATTGAGGTCGGTATAAGCTAGCAGGGCTGATCTTGGGTTGTGGTAAAGTGGTGAAGGTTGGAATTAGCATATTTTTCTAATTATTTTAGTGCTCCACTGGAAAAATGGTTGAATCTTATTCAATTATTTATACATACTCTGTCTTTTCCCAAATACTATATATATAATATATACACATATATATATATACACACACATATATACATATATACATATATACACACATATATATACATAATACACATACACACACACACACACACACACATATATATATTCAGCAGATTTATAAACTGGAAGTGAGAAACAAGAAAACAAAAATAGAGACCAAAAATGGAGCCTAGAATGAAACTAATACAAAAACATGTGCATAATAGAATCATTATATATTTACTGTGGCTAGGGAAAAGACTGAAATATATATAGCACTTTATCACATATTCACAAAGGTTCTTCTTGTATCTTCAAAGTGGCCATTTTCTATAGCTAATGTCATTAGGTCCAGGTTGCAGATGAGGAGCTTGAGGCTCAAAGAGATCAAGAAACTTTGTTGAGTTATTCACCCACAAATAAGTGTGACTTGAACCAAGGCTGAACTCCTCAGAGGTAAGGAACTAATTCTAAAACCTGCTGCCTGAGAGGCCTCACAACTCAGCCACGCCTAACCCATCTTTTCCAAATGGGAGAAAACAACCAAACATAATTTTGGTAAAATATTTATTTGTTCCTCAAACCTACAATTATTACCGTGTAATAATAAGCACTGCAGCTGTATGAAATCTAAGTTTGATTCCAGAACTAGTGTTTTGTGGAGCCTAATGGTGCCTCTTCCTGCATTCCTGTTGATATAAGTTACATTCTCTACCTACCCTCCTCTCAGCTTAGGCATAGACGCTTTTCCTCAACCAGCTTACTGGGTTAAGAGCAGAAACTTAAGATCTGAGTTAAGATCAAAACCTCCACTCCCTTTACTGTAAGTCCCTTGGGGCTTCCTGAGCCCTCCTGGGGAGGGCTGCTGCGGAGGGGCATGGTCCCTGGCAGACTGCTGTTCACTCTGCACAGGGCATGAGGAAACATGCGGACCAGTGGCCAGACATCCAGAACGCTGATGCTGCCTCCCTACTTCTAGTTAGGTTGGAACCAAAATATGAACCTGAAGGAATGCAGACATAGAGGATGAAAAAATGTAAAAAGCCAGCAAAAGAAAATTTTGATCATGATGAAGAAAGACTACTCACAGTAGTTTATGGGACAGGTAATTTATGGGATAGTTGCCTCCTAAGAGGGGCCTGTATCTCACTGGCCTCAGTGAACCCTGAGTTTCCTCTCTTTCTGTCCCCTCCGTCCTCAGCACTCCCTCCCATCCCCCACTGCCACCATCTGCCTAAGGACCGTTCCTCAGCTGAGCAGTCCTAAGAAAGGTGATGCAGACACTGTCTGCCTAGAATGTGTCTGTGCCTCTGCTGCTGTTGTCAACATCTACAGTAGGCCCCACTGCGGGGCATTCCAGTCAACACAGTGAACACATAATACTATCCACTTAGACATAGGATTAGTGCTAGCCAGACATACTGAGGAACAAAAATTCCTTAGCCACCTGCTGACTTATTGTGTGAAGAAGAGGCCCAGCTGATGTGCTAGCAATCTTCCCTGAACAATAAAATCATATAGTGCTTTCTATTTAGAGACAGAATTACCACTAACGGGATTCTGCCAACGACACAAACACCTTTACTGCCCCATCTTTCCTGATTTTCCTAATGTGGCCTGTTTCTGGCTGTGATAATGTACCAGCATGCACAACATAGATACTTCTCTTCAGAAAATTAACCACAATTCTGGGGGAGAAAACCCCAATATCATTTTGAGACTATCTGGAGTCCAATTACTTTATCTATCCATAAAACCATCCACAATCAATAGACTGGGTTTGTCCTTTAAATGTTTGTGGAGGTACATGAAATAAAATCCAAAGATACCTCAAAAAAGAAAAGGGATTTTAGGAAATAGTTTAACCATCTTAGCAAAATACTTTGACAAAACTACCACAAAATAGCAGACAATGCATTTACTGGAACAAGCTTTGGAGAAAATGTCCTAATCTTCATTTTACGAATAAAGAAATTGAGGCCCAAAGTAGTTAAATGAGTGCCCTAAGGTCATAGTACAAGTTAGTGTTAGGACAAGAAACTACATGAGCAACACAGGCAGCAGGAGAAAAAAAAATAGTAAAAGAAAACAGCTTTGAGAATCCAAGACTGCTGGGATTAGGCAAATCGGAGACGTATACACACTCTGGTCACCACTGACTCCGTATGATTCCTTTAAGACCCACTGCAATGCCCACTGCTCACACCCCTGCTATCCATCCTGGAGTAGATGCCATTTTACAGCAGGGGAACTGATGTCACAGAAGATAAAAAAACAGTGGAGGATAGAAGTCATTTGAGCCCCTTCCTATCCTTACTGGGCTCACCTTACACCTCCAGCAGTACTTTATTTATCTGTATTTATATATGCACCTCCCCCCACCAAAAAACTTGTTGCAAAAAAATTCAAGATACTTATTTTTTAAGGCTTAAGCAGCAGAAGTGTATGACCTTCAATGTTTAAAAAAAAAGTACTGCTATGAAAAATGAGTTCAGAACATCTTCATCTTCTCACAAGTGGTTAGCTAAAATACCCTCTTCAAGTTGCTTACAAAAATAAACTAAAGGAGAATTGGTTAGAAGACTGCAGTCAATATTATTGAGTTTTGGGGTTCTTTAAAAAAATCAATGTTATCACTTAAGAACTAGCTTCCTATTGTCTACCACCTGGTACTTGTAGATTGAAGTAACAATTGGTCCTTGCTGACAGTGCTCAATAAAGAAAACACATCAGCCTTTAAGGATTCTCATGGAGGCTGAAGACCAAGGTGGGAGGCCTTAATGGAGACCCAAAGACTGTTTAGATCTGAATTTATTCACTGTTGACTCATTTACAGACTCTTTTTTTCTCAACTCCTTTGTGATGTTTAATAATACATGAAGGTAAGTTTTACCATATGAACTAATCACCACTGCCAATTGCAACAAACATAACTGTTAAACTGCGAATCTTTGCAAAGATGGAGAGTGTTCAGAGCCTGGATGTGCAAATCAGCATCTAATACTGCATGTTACAAGTAACTGAACACATCTGGGACAAGAAACCCACTGCCGCTTAAAATATCTACTCTATTCTCTAGCACATCCCTGGTGCAATTAAAGAACCTAGTGCACAACTAAAATTCAGGTCAGCACACAGCAACAATGGGGCTCTTTGATGTGAGGTCAGCTTTGGTCATTCTCATATACTCATTAAACAGGTTAATCAACTTAGTGCAGAATATAGGATAGGAGTAACCAAACATCTATTTAATTACCATTACCCGGAGAGTTTTGGCAGAAAGAATCTGTTTTATGTGTTTGACATAGCAAGTGCAGTTGCCTTGTCAGTGCATGCTGGAGCTTTATAAAGGTGATATTTCTGGAATTATGTGATTTTTTTTCAGGTTATGAAATGTAGATATTAGACAAGTATTTGTGTATTATACTTAATTATTAATTAAAATAGAAAAATAGATGGTCTGGTGGGTGGCTTTCTCTTTCTCTCCTGTACAGTTCTCTTTCTTGGTTAAAGTAACAAACCATGAGTCAAATTTGTAGATTCTGTCTTATGCTCATTACATTGTTTGCCATCCTTGAGTCAAGATGATGCTGATGTGACACATTCAATTCAGATGAGTAAACTTGATTCATGTTCTCCTAATGTGCTTTGTTCGGTATACAAAAGGAAGAACAGTTAACATGAACTTTTAGTGCCTATGGCAAATGCTTTAGTAGAAAGGCCTGGACTTTAAGGTCAAATAGACGTGGATTTAAATCTAGCTCCCTGATCTGCAGATGCTCATTTGTGAAATTAATACAAGTCCTATTTTGCAGGGTTGTTGTGAAGATAATAAAATAATGTATCTAAAGTGTTTAGTACAGTGCTTGGAACACGGTAGAACTTAATGGCAACTATTTTTATCATTAAGAAAATGCTTTTCTAACCATTTCCTCACACTTGTAATCCCAGCACTTTGGGAGGCCAACGCAGACTGATCACTTGAGGTCTGGAGTTTGAGACCAGCCTGGCCAGCATAGTGAAACCCCGTCTCTACTAAAAATACAAAAATTCGCTGGGTGTGGTGGTGTGCACCTGCAATCCCAGCTATTCGGGAGGCTGACTCAGGAGAATCACTTGAACCCAAGAGGCGGAGATTGTGCCACTGCACTCCAAGCCTGGGTGACACAATGAGAGACTCTGGCTCAAAAAAGAAAAAAAAGAGAAAGAAAGAAAAAGAAAATGCTTTCCTAAGTCACTGAGAAATCCATAACATCATTAATCAGAGTGCAATTTTACTTCCCTCCCTAAAAACTATATTCAGTACTCCTAATACAAGTCATTGTTTTTTAAGGATGAAACTGAATATATGACATTGTAAAATTAAACAATGAACCCCCCTCACTAGACTTTTAAATAACAAGGTCTAAATGACCTCAAGAAAGAAGGCATAGTAAATGCTTCTTGTTTCACGATCAAGTAAGATACAGGGGAGTCCCATCTTTGGGGAGCGGGGAGTGGCACGAATACTCTCAAGGTTGAAATTCCCAAGTAGCCCAAATAATCCTGGAATATTCCGTAGAAAAGGACACTTGATTCTCATTATTTGTGGTAGGTATGTTCTATAAAGTTACTGCAAACAGTAAATTAGCAAATCCTGAGCCATTGCTCCTAGAGGACATACCAGGTTAGGGTCCTTCAAGCCTCTGGTCACAACATTTTCATAATCGAGATGTAACCTTGTTTCCTATGTGTTTCTGTTTAAAGAAACCTTCTTTAATATATATTGTTGATTCATTAACATTGAACTTAGAGCCAACAGCAGTGTAACTCATGCCTGAACAAAGCTTACCAAACACACATTTTTTTTCTCTGTAAGGCACATCAAAGACTTTCTGAGCTTAGGAACACTAAACAACACTTCAGCACTGTGCTTGAAGGGCATCTTAAACAGCAAAATCACCAACAAGAGCACAAAAATGCAAAAAAAAAAAAAAACAAACAAAACATGGCACTAAATTGATCTCAGAAAGGACAGTTGGCAATATGAGAACTGAAACAAGACAGCAGAGCATTGCCTGGTTCAGCCTCAGCTGGGAAACTTGCGCACTGCGCAACTCAAAGTTTTTCACTGTTTGTTGCAGGTCTGTGAATGAGTGTGAAAGCACAGCAAATATTGATTTGGGGGTTACAAATTAATTTCAGTGAGTAGGTGGATCCACAAAGGTACAATCTGCAAATAATAAGGATCTACTGAAAATTGACATATCACCTCTCACTAAATCCAACATAGTAAGTCTTTTATTCACTATTTTAAGGAAAACTGTTTCCTTAGATAAGCACAAGATGAAGTAGTTGACTGGCATTTAGGAGCCACATTGTGCAAAAAACATGAGAACAAAACTAAACACTAGAACAAAATTTTAGAGAGTCTCAGAATGAGAAGATCCTAACTCTATAAGAAGCAAGAGTGAACTGAGACCAACTAAAGGATGAATAAATTCAGATCTCCCATCTCAACATTTATTATGAAATAGTCAATTTAAAAATAGCAACAAAATATGACAGCTAGTAATTATGTTATGTTTATAAGTACCAGGCACAGTTCTAAGTTTAACTTATTGATTAAATATAGATCAACATAGTAATTTATTGATTATTTTTACTATTATTATTTAATGATCTGAGTTGTTGTTTCCCTCTATTTTTTCTTTAGAAATGTCAGTTTTGGAGTATGAAAACGGACGCTATTAGGCTGGTCAGAAAAAGTGAAGTGTACTGGCAGGAAGACTAGAGGCTACTGAGTTTCTAGAAGTGCTGTCAGCTCACACCTTATATACGGGCACTTATTGGTTCATGCAGAAAGCAACAACTACTGAGTTGAACATGGTCAACATGTGGAATCTTCTTCAGAGACAGACAATTCTTAGGATGATAAAATGTTAGACCTGGATGGGAGCCTGACAGTCACCTAATTGAACACCTTCTTTTGGGGGAAGAAAATTGAAGCTCAAGATGTTATGTAACAGAGCTAAGTAATAACATATATATAAATTGATCAGTTAGAAAAATTACATGATCATATCAATAAATGTTGAAAGTAATTTTATGAAACCCATACTAATTTGAAAGAAAAGAGGCTGGGCATGGTGGCTCACTCCTGTAATCCCAGCACTTTGGTAGATCCGCCAAGGCAGGGGGATCACCTGAGATCAGGAGTTCAAGACCAGCCTGACCAACATGGTGAAATGCCATCTCTACTAAAATTGCAAAACTAGCTGAGCATGGTGGTGGGCACCTGTAATCCCCGCTACTCAGGAGGCTGAGGCTGAAGAATCGCTTGAACCCAGGAGGCAGAGGTTGCAGTGAGCAGAGATTGTGCCACTGCACTCCAGCCTGGACAACAAAGCAAGAAAAATAAAAAAAGAAATGAGGATGGGTGCTTGCCCTATCACAATAAAAATATGTTATAAAACCACATTACTTTTTAAAATGTGACAAAAGGATCAACAGACCACTGGAGTGGCACACATAGCCAACAAATAGAATACAGTGTTTGCATGTATGTATGGGTATACACACACACACATAATATTGGGAAAATTGTTTAGGAATTAGTGAAAAAAATCACCTATAGTATCACTTGACATTATTCACCAAAACAAGTTATAGACAGAATAGAGTTAAATATTTTTATGAACTAGAAAATACAGATAAAATATAGGTTGACATTTATCAGACCTCTGTTTCAGAATGAAGTTGTAACTTTGATATATTGGATGGAATTAGAAAAGAAAATATATACTACATAAAATTTCTAATCTTTTGTTTTAAAAAATGACCAAACGTTAAAGTACACAAGATGAGAAATATATTTTGGCAGAGTCTGATGGTTGTCTACCTAGCATGGTTCTCTCCTTTTTACTTTACTAACAGAACCCCTCCAACCACCTTTTTTTTTTCTTTTTGAGACAGAGTCTCAATCTATCACCCAGGTTGAAGTGCAGTGGTGCTATCTCAGCTCACTGCAACCTCCGCCTCCCAGATTCAAGCGAGTCTCCTGTCTCAGCCTCCCAAGTAGCTGAAATTACAGGCACATGCCACCACACCCAGCTGACTTTTGTATTTTTAGTAGAGGCAGGGTTTCACTATGTTGGCCGTGCTGGTTGTGAACTCATGACCTCACGTTGTCCACCCGCCTCAGCCTCCCAAAGCGCTGGGATTACAGGCATAAACCATGGCACCTGGCCAGACCCCCAATTTTGTAAAAGTGGCAATGTATCCAATCAGAATTCCCATTTTAGATATCTTTGCAGCTAGAAGAGGTGGCTATATGGTAAGTCTGGATCAAAAGACTGTATTGGAGCTTGCTAAATAGAGCATCCAGAGAAACTTTATATAATAAAAGAGACAAACTGCAGCAAAGTCATGGTACTCCACCCAGACCGCCTCCAACTCTCTACCTGCTCAGTGAGCTCACTCCCTTATTTCTCTGGGTTGTATCCCTAACAACAGGCATCTGTTACTTTCTTTAGATGACTACTTTGGACTGTTACAGCCTCTTTGCCTGGATGTCTGAAGGGCGTGGGTGGTCAATCCCCACCACTGCCACCACCACTACTCCTCCCCCATCAACTGGAGCAGGAGTCTGTACACTGAGCTACTTTGCTTCAAGCTGACACAAACTCTAGTGTAATTTACACTCAGGATTCCTCTTGAGACCGTAAAATCCTTGACCTAAAATCACTCTTGCTTGGCTTTCTCTTCTCTATGCTGCCTTCTTTATCCTATTTACAGATTTCTCCTGGAAACACTTCCTTAGTAAATCACTAGCATATGAATGGGTGAGGGGCTGCTTCTGGAGACTCTGACCTAGGACATATACTCAGCTGACATGCTCTTCCATCTTTCATTCCTTTGCCCTTCACATGGCCACTTTTTTTCTTTCCTGGAGCATGGATGAAATGCCTGGATACTCAACAGCCATCTGGCAACCATGAGGCAATAGCACAGAGTCAAAGGCTCATACGCTAAGGATGGCATAGCAGAAAGATGGAAAGAGACTGGATACTTGATGGCATAATTAAGATGTCATGCTAGCCCTAGCCTTCTTTTTTGTTTATTTTTCTCTTTGTGATCCTCTCCACCACTGCCCCAGACTTCCTTTTATGTAAGACAAGTAAACACTTTACTTGTTTATATGCCTGGTATGGGAGGCAAAATGATGTCCCCACCCCTTCCCCACCAGGGATATCTACATCCTAATCCCTTGGACCCGTGTCTATGTTATGTTACATGGCAAAGAGGAATTAAGGTTGCAGATGGAATTAGGGTTGCTACTCAGCTAACTTTAAAATGGGAAGTTTATTCTGGATTATCCAGGTAGGCTCAATGTAATTTTAAAATGTCTATAAAAGTAGACCAGGTTCAGTGGCTCATGCCTGTAATCACAGTGCTTTGGGAGGCCAAGGTGGGAGGATCACTTGAGGCCAGAAGTTCCAGACCAGCCTGGGCAACATAGTGAGACCCCCATCTCTACAAAAAAATAAAAACAATTAGCCAAGTGTGGTGATGTGCACCTGTAGTCTTGCTGCTTGGGAAGTTGAGACATAAGGATTGCTTGAGCCCAGAAGGTTGAGGCTGCAGTAAGCTATGATTGTGCCACCGCACTCCAGCCTGGGCAACAAAGTGAGACACTGGCTTTAAAAAGAAAGTGGAAGAGGGAGGCAAGAGAGAGATCTGATTCAGAGAAGGAGGTGTGATAACAAAAGCAAAGGTGGGAGTGCACATATGCAAACAACTCAGCCTGTCATTGCTGGCTTTGAAAACAGAGAAAGGGATTGTGAGCCAGGGAATACAGGCAGCCTCTAGAGACTGGACAAGGCAGGGAAACAGATGCTCCCTTGGAGCCCCCAGAAGGAAGCACAGCCTTGAAGGCACTTCCATTTTGGCCCAATGAGATGCCTTTTGGCCCCCTGACCTCCAGAACTGTAAGATGATAAATTTGTTTGATTTAAGCCACCAAGTGTGTGATCATTTGTTACACAGCAATGGAAAAATAATGCACCTAGTTTTCTGTTACTTGCAGCCTAATACAGCTCTAAATGATATTTTTAAACTAAAAAATTGATTTTTCATATATAAAAAGCTTATGCAAATCAGTAAAAAGCACTAAGTCCAATAAATTGATGGTCAAATAGCACATGTAAAAACAAATAAAGAAGGTGCTGAGAAGCAACATGGAAACAGGTTTTTCACAAAAATACATAAAGCATTTTTAAATATCAAGAGAAAAAATCACTGTTACTACATGAAGAAGTAAGGCAGAATTTATATCATATGTTTCCAACTATGTGAGAAGAAAATAGCATTAAAAAAAGACTGAAAAGAGAGATTTTACAAGGAGAGATTTGGGGTGCTTTTTCCCTCTATTACTTTTTTGTATAGGTCATATCTAAATGGCTAATTCCCTCACTTTTTTCAGGCCTCTTTAATAGGAAATAGAAAATAAGCTTTGCCTTTAAAAAATTACAATACAGTATGGTATTTATAATAATACATGGAAGGTAAAGCCAAGTGCTCGCACAAAGGAGGGGGAGGCTTTGCTTAGGAAACAAGAGGACTTCACAGAGGTACGGGCAATTGAGTGGGGTCTTATTCAGGCCAACAAAGGAAGGAGAGCATTCCAGGTAGAGGCATGCCTGTGCACAAGTGCCAGGGTGTTGCATAGACTGCGAACAGTCCATGATGGCTGTAATATAGAGTGGGAAAGAGAGGGCAGTGGAAGATTGGTTATGGTGAGGTAGAGGCCAGACCTGAAAGAGTTTGACCTTTATACCACAAAGAAGTAACTTTTGTCAGGAAAGAGCCATGATCAGATTTGTATTTTATAAAGATGTTCCTGCCATAGTGTGAGGATAGACAGGGGACCAGAGTCAATGAGATAAATTAGCTCTACTGCAATTGTCCAGGCAAGAGGTCTGAACTGAAGCGTGAACAAGGGAGATGGAAAGAAAGAATAAATTCAACAGAGAGTTGAAAAGAAGTGTCTATGAGTCAAGGGTATGAGTTAGAGGAAGTGGTGAGCCTGACTCTCAGTATTTATTAAACATCTTTCTACCAAATTTTTCCTAGGTTTTTAAGTGAGAGGCAACATATGTAACATTGCAGAAAGCCATGCAAATAATGCACAGTATTTACAGCTCAATGAATTATCGCAAGTGAACACATTCATGTATTCCTCATGCATCCAATCACTTCTTGGACTACTGGAGCCTCAAAAGAAGTGACAACCACTTGCTAAGGCCATAAACCAGAATGTCACCCTTTCATTCTTTTCTACATCTCATATCATACATCTCAGCCATCAGCAAGTGCTGTCAGCTCTATCCTCAAAATATGTCCAGAATTCAACCTGTTCTCACCAACTCCACTGCTACTACCCTACTCCAAACTCATTTCTAACTTGGACTCTTGCCATAACCTCCTGTGTGTTCTCCCTCTCTTTCTAATCTTGCTCCCCTTCAATCTGTTCTCCACACAGTTGCTGGAGTGGTCCTTTTAACACGGGAATTGTATCATGCTACTCCCTGTAGTGTATTGCCATAATGGTGGTAGTTCTTCACCTCTCGCCGTATCGGTGCCCTTTGCCATGTAACTTTGCAGTAATCTGCCCTGCCTCTTTGACTCTAGGTTCAGCCATGTGATGGCTTAGTAGTAGACAAAATGCAAGCAGAAGCTTGAACTGGATTCAGGCAGTATGGCTTTATCTTTTGCAAAATTGTGTCACACACTATGCTTCTCCCACCTTAGGTCTGAATTCAAGTCTCACGAGATGCATCTAATTGGTCCAACCTAATTCACACCCAGAACTCCAGCTGCAAGGGTGTGTATAAACCATGGGCTCTGCAACACAAGAAGGAGCACTAGAATGAAGTTGCCATGAATGAGGAATGATCCAAGTCATAGTAGCCACCACCTCTCTCCTGCTTCAATGTGCCTTTCCAGATTGCCTTGCATAGTCTTGCCCCTGTCCCTGGCATTACCCCCAGGATCCCCCTACTCTACTCTCTGGATCTCAGAGTCCTGGCCAGGGTCCCAGGACCCACAGAAGATCCCGTCTTTCCCATGGGCCCTTCCCTGCCCACAATGGCCTATGTTGGTCTCTGCCCCACCCTGCACAGTGTCTTTTAGTAATCTCCTCCCACACTCCACAGCTGGCATCAGATAAAAAGGGATCTCCAGCCTCTCTCACTATGCACCTGTCCCCACTTCCTTCTCACCGCACTCAAGACTCGACCCAGCTGACCATTCTATCTCCACCTGGCCCTGGACACTAACCACTTAGCATCATCTTTTTGGCTAAATTTGAATCCCACAGAGCCATAGTTTACATCAAATCTCCTCCTCTTTGGAGTTTTTTTTTTCTCTCTGTCTTTTATTTGGAAGCAGGACCATCTTATCCATTAGGTAGCAGTAGCGTAGTGCCTAGAGGTCCACAAAAATGCTTAATTTCTTTTAAAATGAGAATTAAAAAAACAGAAAATAAGAATAACAAATCCAGCCTGGATTATATTCTTTTTTGAACACATTTATAGGATATATTTTTAAATTTTTCTTTGATGAAGAAAGGGGCCCACAAAGGCAAAAGTGCCTAAGGCAAACAAAAATCATAATATAATCCTGGTTGTCTCTTAATATGTTGTCACCTTTTGTAGGTGTATGTACGCTTCAACTTCATGCTATGAACATTGCCCAGGCTGGAGTACAGTTGCGCAATCATGGCTCACTGCAGCTTCGACCTCCCAGGCTCAAGCAATCTACCCAGTTTAGCCTCCCAAAGTAACTGGAGCTACAGGTGTGAGCCACCATGCTCCACTAAATTTTTTTCTTTTTTTTTTTTCTTTTCTTTTTTTTTTTTTTTGAGACGGAGTCTCGCTCTGTCACCCAGGCTGGAGTGCAGCGGCGCGATCTCGGCTCACTGCAAGCTCCGCCTCCCGGGTTCACGCCATTTTCCTGCCTCAGCATCCCGAGTAGCTGGGACTACAGGCGCCTGCCACCACCGCCGGCTTTTTGTATTTTCAGTAGAGACGGGTTTCGCCAGGATGGTCTCAAATCTCCTGACCTCGTGATCTGCCCGCCTTGGCCTTCCAAAGTGCTGGGATTACAGGCGTGAGCCACCGTGCCCGGCTAAATGTTTTTATTTTTTGTAGAGACAGGGTCTCCCTATGTTGCCCAGAGCTCTATTTCTCCCCAGCATTCGTCAGTTGAGTGCACAGGCTGCTTGGCCTTGGATCAGTCCAACCTGGCTACACGAATCCCCACATATTCTTATTCACAGGTCTTTGGTGCAATGTAGGCACTTCGTGCCTTACCATGCTGAATGTCTGCAGATAGAGGAGAGAATTTGTCAGCATCCCCACAAGTGGAGTTATAAAAGAAGCATCTCCAATGGTTGGGGGATTACTACAACAGCCAACTAATGGCTTTCCAAATCCAGTTTTGCCTCCACTTCAGAACATTGCCCACTGAGCAGTGAGAGATCTTTTTGACGGTGTGTACCAGATGGCATCACTTCCCTGATTATCCCTTTAAAGGTTTCTCTTTGGAGGTAAAGTACAAACTTACAGTGGCCTACTGGGACCTCCACCCTCCACCCCTACCGGCCTCTCCAGTGTCTCTTTCCCACCGTCTCCCACTCCCAGCTCCACACTCCAGACCTAACCTGAGTGTTCAGTTCCTCAAGCAACAACTTCTATTTATTTCACAGACCTCCTACCTGCCTTCCCCTGGGCTTTCCTCTGTGGAGGTCAATTTTCTCTTTTCTCTTCACTTGGCTGCTTTTCAGTCCCCTGCTGGGAAATGACTCTGACCCCAAGACTGGATTAGATTCCCCTGCTTTGCTTCCTCAACAGCACCTAGTATTTCCCCAACCACCAATGCAGTCTACTGTTCTTATCTGTTTAACATCAGTATTCCCAATAGACTGTAAGCTTTGTGGGGCCACCATTATGTCTGTTTGTCTGTGACTACATCCTCAGCACCTACCACAGTGCTTGTCCCATAGTGTCCCTCAACATATTTATTGACTGTAAGAATGAATTAATACATTAAAGAAGAAAAAGTCTCAAAAAGATAAAACCAAAAATAACTCTCAATGCCAAGAATCAGTTCACATCCACTAAAAGAACACAGGTGTGGGGCCAGAGAATAAGAGAGATATATGGGTAACCACTCTGTGCCTCACTTTCCTCATCTGTTAGGTCTATTTAAAAAGCCCACCTTAGAGGGTTGTTGTGAGTATTAAGGTAGTTAAATAGGCCAAGTATGGTGGCCTCATGCCTGTAATCCCAGCATTTTGTGAGGCCAAGATGGGAGGATCACTTGAGCCCGGGGTGGAAGAGCAGCCTGGGTAACAAAGTGAGACCCTGTGTCTACAAAATATACAAAAATTAGCCAGGCATGGTGGTATACACCTGTGGTTCCAGCTACTCAGGAGGCTGAGGTGGGAGGATCACTTGAGCCCAGGAGTTTCAGGCTGCAGTGAGCCAAGACCGTGCCACTGCACTCCAGACTGGACAACAGAGTGAGACCTGGCCTCAAAATAATAATAATAATAATAATAATAATAATAATAAAATTTTTAAAAAGGCAGTTAAGGCCAGGCACAGTGGTTCATGCCCGTAATCCCAACACTTTGGGAAGCCAATGCAGGAGAATAGCTTGAGGCCAGGAGTTCAAGACTAGCCTGAGCAACATAGTGGAATGCCATCTCTACAATAACTCTAAAAATTAGCCAGTGTGGTGTCATGTGCCTGTGGTCTCAGCTACTCAGGAGGCTGAGGTAGTAGTATTGCTTGAACCCAGGAGTTTGAGACTGCACTGAGCCGTGACTACACCACTGCACTCTAGCCTGGGCAACAGAGTGAGACCCAGTCTCAAAAAAAAAAGAACAAAAACAAAACCAGAACAAGATAGTTAATATAAATAAAGCACTTAGAACAGGATTTAGGATATGTTGGTATTGTACATGAGGATGATGATGATTTACTTTTGACATCTTTCCAGGGTAGGATACTCCACATGACAGAGTGAACGTGCAGGCACTTTACTGAGGCAAGCATGTGCCAGAAGGCACGTTTGTGTGCTGGTGATGCCCATTGCCCCATCCTAGACAGGCAGGAGCAAAATCAGCTGAGACTGCTACTTCCTGAAGTTTCCTGTTATCTACAACATAGTACAGAGTAGAAAGTTACAACCTTGATCTGTGGAAATGCACATAAACCACTGCTGCATTTTCAGCCCATCTGGAGAGTTGGGCCAAATGAGTATTCCATCTTTATCCTCCCAAGTCCCCAAGAATAACACATCAAAGAGCATGTTTGCATCCCTACAACAGATAACGGCACTGCCATAAGCTTCAGGGTCCACACATGCTACAGATAGAATGAATTAATAATTTCATATATTTATAAAATATAAATTAACCCAAGAAATATATCACTCCAAGTAAAATTCCTGCTTTTTGAAACTGAGCAGAGAAAGACACTTTGATAAATGAAAATCTAGTAAACTTTCATTATATGCATCACCAAAATGGCACTTATCACATGGAAAAAATCATTCCCCTCTGATATACAGGTGTTGACACACCAGAAGCATCAGGTTATGAGGGAGAGGGAGGGGGAATCCAGAAAACTGACTTTTAAAATTACATTTGATGAGTTAGCTATTTTTTTAACAATAGAAAGGAAAGTAATATGATCAGTAAGAATTCTAGAGGCTCTAGTGCATTTATGTAAGCACAGTAAATTATTCATAAAAACCATGGAGCATTTACCTTCGTCTTTGTGTATAATATACCATGTCTGTGTGGAACCCAGTTGCTTTGATGGTAAACAGCTATTCTTTCTGAAACCTGGCCTTATCTTGCTCTGCTCTGTGTCGACAGGTTCCCTTAATAGCCAAACTGGTTTTCCTGGAAGAAGAAGAAAAAGAAAGCAGTGCAAGAAATGTATGTATTAGACTTCTTTCTTTTCCATAATACTGTCATGATAATTTATATTCATATTCAAAGATGTAAGGATCCATAAACCAGCTTTGAAGAGAAGTGGTAAAAAATGTAAAACAGCATCCTATATTAAATGTACCATGGCAAAGAAAAAAAATTGTCAGTCTATTCTACAAAAATACAATACACTAAAAATCAACCTTTTCCATTCTCATGTCCCTGACCCTGAAATAGAATGGTGTGTATGTCTGCAAGAATGCTGTAGGCATGTGGATTATTTATTACTGGGTTTAGGGATTATTTTATTGTTGGATAGGCTTGAGGGAGGGTATGTATTATCTATGAGATATTTCCAAACCTTTTTAAAAACGTCATTAGAGATGAGAGCAACTCAGGAACATAAGGCTCTGTTTGTCCCATAAAGAATTTTCTATTCAGCACCTGAAATAATTCTATAGCTTGAAAATTTTCTATATATCTATATATCTCTCTACATAGATATATATTGTGTAGGATTTCATCTCTAAGATAGAGAAAAATAAGATTAAGTAAAGAAGAAATCATTAGCATCACCCCTAGGTAAAGAAATACGTGAGCTGAGATGGAAGGCCTGTATATGTAAAGCTAGGAAACCCTTATTTCCATATTGCAAAATGTGTCAAGTTTTGTAGAGATAATAGTATTGACTAAAGAATGTTAATGACAATAAATCTCTCAGAAATACCCAGAACTGGAATCTCTCCATCTAGCTCAGGATGGTCTGTGGAACAGACCAAGGAGCTCACCTTTGCCCCCTTCTATTCTGTGGCATTTTCCATATGTTTCCAGGTAAACTAGAAAATCTCCCTCTAGCAACATAACCTGGAAGTGGCACACAGAAGGACCCAAAGTTACCCTTAGTGGAAGCTCTTTAAGAGCCCCCACAGCTGCAGCCACAGAACAGACAGCAGGAGATTCTCCCAGAATCAGGCCTGTGAACTGTGCCCAGCCCAGGCCACCCGGCCTCTTGGCAAGACCCACCTGGGCAGACACTCAAGGGCTGCAACCACACTCAGGGCCACCTGAGAGAAGGGAAGTGATTCTTTCTGCTCCACACTCTTCCACCCCACTGGGTTTTATTAGGAATTTCTATTGTATAAAGATTCTGCATAAATCATATGTATCTGAGCCAATTCCATCCTTCCCACCAGCACACCAGGGAAAACATTCAGTACTGAGTAAAAGAGCAGCACACAGAAAAAGGAGAAGCTGGAGTAGTGTGTGGTCTCTGTACTTGACCATATTATCCAAACTTCTTCCCAGACCTGTTCTTTCACGGCATAAAAATCACACTGATAATTTCCAAGCAGTGGGCCTGGGTAATATGCTGGATATAAACCTTATTCAAGAAGAGGAATAGTGGGTGATGCCAGTGTATAAAAACTACATTTTATTCAGAATTTCTATTGTATAAGAAATCTGCATAAATCATCTCTGGAAGTTTCTATTATTATTCCATTCTACAGGAGACAAAACTGAAGCTCAGAGACATTAAGGAATTTGCCCAAGATTACATAGCTGGTCAGTATATGAGCTAGGATTTGAACACAGATTTTTAAGACTGCATGCTCTTTTTTAACCACTGAACCAAATCATACTATTTATTTTTGTAGATCAGGCAAATGTGGAGAGTATGAAAACAAGTAATGGTTTCATCAAAATATGCATGTCAACTTTATCCATAGTATTTGAATGAGGGACATTACAAGGCACTAAAAGTGTTGATTTGTCATATACATATACATACACACACACGCACACTTAGGCTAAACTAATGGAACAGTGCAAACACAGGAAGGCATATGTAGGACAGAAAGGCTGTATCATGAGATCAGATGATCTGATTCTGTGGCCATAAAGAGTTTCCTCCAGCCTTATGAGTAAAGGCCTATATGGATAACCCCAGACACTGCAAAGTATTAGGTTGCTGCCTCCCTCTTCAGACTAATCAAATAGAAATACTACTGAAAGCAATGTGGTATCCTGGTTGGATCCTGGAACAGAAAAATGACATGAATGGAAAAATTAATGAAACCTGAAAAAAGTTTAGAGTTTAGTTAATAGTAATGTACCAACATTAATTTCTCAGTTTTGACAGATACACCATAGTTATGTAAAATATAAACAGTAGGGCAAACTGGGTGGAAGGAACACAGGAATATTGTACTATATTTTTTATTTTTGAGGCAGGGTCTCGTTCTGTTGCCCAGGCTGGAGTGCAGTGGTGTGATCACAGCTCACTGCAGCCTCAGTCTTCCTGGCTCAAACAATCCTCCTGCCTCGGCCTCCTGAGTAGCTGGAACTACAAGCATGCACTAATACACTCGGCTAATTTTTTAATTTTTGTAGAGACGAGGTCTCACTATATTGTCCAGGCTGGTCTTGAGCTCCTGAGCTCAAACAATTCTCCTGCCTTGGCTTCCTAAAATGTTGGGATTACAGGCATGAGCCACAGTGCCCAGCCTGTACTATCTTTAGAACTTTTCTGTAAATCTAAAATTATTCCAATATACAAACATTTTGTTTTAAACATTAAGTAAAATATAAATATAAATATAAGAGAGAGGGAGGGGGAAAGCAAGAGCACAGTCCTAGAGGCCAGAAAATCATCTTGCTAGCCTCTTAAATCCATAAAGCAAAATCATGCAGGATAATTTTGTAAATGCTTTTATATGTTACTGATATGGTATACAGGTGTAAAAAAAAAAAAGAGCAGAAAAACAATTCTCAAAGATTAGAATCGGCCGGGCACGGTGGCTCAAGCCTGTAATTCCAGCACTTTGGGAGGCTGAGGCGGGTGGACCACGAGGTCAGGAGATCAAGACCATCCTGGCCAATATGGTGAAACCCTGTCTCTACTAAATATTCAAAAAAATTATCCAGGTGTGGTGGCGGGCGCCTGTAGTCCCGGCTACTCAGGAGGCTGAGGCAGGAGAATGGCCTGAATCCGGGAGGCAGAGCTTGCAGTGAGCAGAGATCACACCACTGCACTCTAGCCTGGGTGTCAGAGCGGGACTCCGTCTCAAAAAAAAAAAAAAAAAAAAGATTAGAATCATACAGAAGTTAGACTAAAATCTTGCTTTGTCAAAATGGCTCTCCAGGAAGCTTACCCTCTTGTGAGCACTTCATTAGCAGGGATTCCTTTTGCTAGGGATGGGAATGAGAAGAATCTGCTGCCAGACACAAAAGAAGAATTGAAAAAAAAAAAGGCAAAAAATACCATGTTATTAGAAAAAGACTCAACATCCTTACATGTCAATTTTCCCTAAATAAATCTGTAAATTTATTAACAACATGTTTCCAACAGAAAGGCTGAAATAATTTTTTAGGGGAACTCAGCAAGCTGATTTTAATATTCATAAACAGTCTTGAGGCAAATGGGCGGTGATATGGAAAATATCACTAAGTTGTTTTGTTTGTTTGTTTGAGACAAAGTTTCGCTTTGTCACCCGGGCTGGAGTGCAATGGCATGATCTCGGCTCACTGCAAACTCCACCTCCCGGGTTCGAGCAGTTCTCCTGTTTCAGCCTCCCGAGTAGCTGGGATTACAGGTGCACGCCACCACGCCCAGCTAGTTTTTGTATTTTTAGTAGAGACAGAGTTTCAACGTGTTGGCCAGGCTGGTCTCAAACTCCTGACCTCAAGTGATCCACCCATTTCAGCCTTCCAAAGTGCAGAGATTACAGGCATGAGCCACCGCACCCAGCCCCAAAGCTGTTTTTTTACATTATATGTCCCACTAAAATAAATTCCAGATGTATTAAATATACATTCATATACAAAGTAGGTAAAAACATAGAAAGATGTTTTTAAAAATCTATTTTGGGAAAAGCCTCTTTAAGTATAACATAAAAATCTTAAGTCAGAAAAGATAAGAAATGGATATCTGACTACATAAAAATTAAAACTTTCTGAATAAAAATAAAAAGTTTTCGTATTTTACTTTATTTTACTTTTTGTATTTTACTTTGTAATATTCACAAAGTAATATTACAAACATATTTACCAGTTTGCTGTTTATATTTTACTTTACTATACAGAGAAAAATACAAACAGTAAACTGGTAAATATGTTTGTAACTCATATCCCGGAAAAAAAGTACTAACATTATCAATACATAAAGAGCAATAACAAATCAATAAGGAAAGAATAACAAACCAATAGAGAAGTGAGCAAAGGATATGAACATACAGTTCAGCAGAATAGGAAATACATACTCAGGAGGCTAAGGCAGGAGGAGCACTTGAGGCCCAGAGTTTGAGGTTGCAGTGAACTATGGTTGCACTCCAGCCTGGGCAACAGAGCATGACCCCTATCTCAAAAAAAAAAAAGGGAAATATAAAGAGCTCTTTAAACTTACGCAGAGATGTTCATCCTTACTTGTATAAAAAGTACACATTAAAATACATTGAGGCAATATTTTCACCTTATGGACTGGCAAAGACAGAGAAATTTGATCAGTGTGAGGAAACAGGCACTCGCATATATTTGTAGTGGATGTATAAATTGGTATGATCTTTATGGAAAGCAATATGGCAACACAATTTCTATCCAAGCCACAAATGCTCATACCTTCTCACCTAGTAATTTCAATTCTAATAGTTTGCACTTCATGCACATTCTCACAATTGGCATGATCTCGGCTCACTGCAAACTCCACCTCCTCACACAAACACAAGAATATTAATTACCACATTGTTGGTGCTAGCAAAAGATTAAATACTACCTAAATATCCATCAATAAACGACAGGTAAAATAAACCAGAAAACATCCATATAATAGAATACTATGTTATAGATAAAAAGATTGAAGCAGCTCTAGAGAGACTGAGAGTAAAAGGCTTCCAGAATATGTTAAGTTAAAAAGGCAAATAATGAAACAATGAATGGTATGCTATCATTTGTGGGAGTGGGAGGGCAGGGGGAGGTGTATATATATTTAGAAATGGATATAAAATCTGAGTTTTGGTGATGGAACTTCACAAGTTTTCTCTTTTGTCCTAATTTTTTAAATAATGAACAGTAATTCCATTTTAAATAAGAAAAATAAACAAAGTTAATTTTTTAAGGAACTCAATCAAATGCCCTATAACTACCCAAACTCGTTTCTGGAAAGAGAAGAAAGTGAAAACAAATAAAACCACCTGGTTCTTTAGGTCTCTCTCCCTGATCCTAAGCAGTCCCCATCCTCTCCCTGGGAAAACAATGCAGTGTTAAACCCTCAAAGCCTCCCAGCTCAGTTGTTAAGGTAATTGTGTTTACTCTTTTCCAAACAAAGTAATTTGAATCAGAAAAGTAAATGTGCTCTGTCTTCAGGTTCTTTGATGTCATCTTCCTCCTTGCTCCAGAGTGTATGATGCCTGCCTGCTGCCCAGAGCATTACACACAGATTCTCTAAGCATTGCCATAGCTACACCATTCTGCTTGGGATAATGATGTAAAACAAATAAAACATAAGTAAAATCGAATTTGAAATAAAACAATAGGCCCTAAAAAACATAAGCTGTGTATGTTTTTTTCTTCCCTTTGAACACTTATGCTGATTATGAAACTTTGGAGTATTTTGAAATTTCAGAACAATTTTTAGTGTGCTAAAGCCCCAGAGGCATGACTATTTTCTTTCCTGAAAATAACATCTGATCAAGGCCAATGGTATGTTTGAAACATTAAGAGCCAGTGTTTGTACCTCTTAAGCCTATCAGATGATTTCCCTCTAGATGACCCTTGTTAAACATCACATCAGCTCTAAATGTGATTTTAGGATTTTAGGTTCTTAAGACTCTGAAGCTGGTAGCTGTTCAGTCATCCAGGCCGGATCTATGCAGGCAAAGGACGGAGTGGTTCATGCTGTATTAGATGAATTATCTGAGTTAGCCAAATAAAATCCTCTGGGCTGTGGGCTACCTACTGTCTCCACTGTCCCAAACCACCCCACAGTCACTTCATTCTTACTCTGGGATGTCCTGGGTCTACTTGCCTGGAGCTTCAGCTTCTTTTTCCTGTTTTCCTCTTTTTAAGACTCCTTTGCTCTGCCTTTTTTTTTTGTAACAACACATTTGGAGTTGGAAGTTACTTTAAGAAGACAAGAAAGTTAGGAAAATATTTAAAATAAATCTGCTAGAACGTCCCTTGCTCATTTAACACCCAGGAGTTAAGCTTCTATAATGGCATTTAAATCCTTGGGTTTTTCCTTTTTTTTTTTTCATTACTTTATGTACTTGCAATAAAAACATTCCTTTAGACTTTAGAAATTCTAAATAAAACAAGAACAAAAGAATGTTCCTTCTTTTCAACTCTCCACCCAAATGTTACCATTGTAAATCAAGGTAGCAAAGTAAATTAACTACTGGCATTTAAATGTTTGCTGTCCCAAATATTTATTCCTTCCCACTCCCCCAATTTGTTTTATACAAAACAATGCTCATAAAAACAATAAATACTCATTCTTTGTCTACTAAAATTTTAGATCAAAGTACTGTGTGGTCCAAATCCTGAATTGTAAAAAGTAATGTTTGTTCAGCAGGAAGCCTTCAACTTCCCAACAGCAATCTGACCAAATTTGGTTTCCAATTTTCTCTAAGCACTGAAGTGCTAGGTGTAGACATAATAATATGATTCACTCCACATTTGCATAATATACTTTACATCTGGAGTTTCATTTACCCCTTAACTGCATGATGTGCTAGAATCGGACGTATTTTGGTGTCAAGAAAGACCTGAATGTGCTGTCACTTGACGCTCTTATGCAGCTACAATTCAGTTTTGTCATGGGTAACAACAAGAGGGTATGTATGCCTACTTCTCTGGGATGCTGTGATGATTGGGTGAAATAACACATCCGTGGCTACTGCCCCACGGTGGGCCTGCCCACTGTTGCACATGCCATACCATGTTGTTTTTCTGTGTTTGTATATTAGCATCCCACCACTAGAATGTCTACTCCTCTGGGAAAGAACTAGGACCCCCTCTCCACCTCCTTCTGCAGCCTCAGGGTAGCTTCCATGTACATTCTTAAAAACTGATTTAAGCATACTGATTTTTGAATTCTTTTCTTGGGCTCACAAAAATTACTATACCCCATACCACTGCTCCCGAGCAAAAGGGCACTAGAGCCTTATTTCCCCTGCCACATTCCTACTTCTGGAGCCCTATTCAGGCTGAACATTTACAGGAGCTGTGAGAACCTCTGGTTCCCCCAGCCTCTAGCCCTGAACCAAGCTAGGTTGGCACAAACTATCCCCACCTTTGCCAGCCCCAAACTGCCCAGTGCCTCACTGTCCTTCATTCACTGCGCTTCAGCCCCAGCCCCACCCCCGCATGAACACATGCACATCACTCCCAGGCGTAGAATGCCAGGCAGTCCATAGCTTTCCATCCAGGCTCTTCCACAGCACTCACCACTCACACTTTTCTGCTGGCCTGATTCCCTCTGCCCAGAGGGTGAGAACAGCTCTATGTTTCCCTGAGGTGGAAGCCCTACCCCAGAGCTTTTGTGTGTGCCTTGTTCAGTGACAAAGTTGTCCCTGGGGACATGCTCTTGAGTAACGAACTTGACAAACAACTTTAAAATGACTACCAACAATCCACTCTAGGGCAGATTATCCCAGGGTAGATACACACTGCCCACCCCCTGCAAACTCTTTTGTGGTCCTATAATTGCCCTTGGGCTCATCTTTCAGAGAGTATGAGGAGAAATGACTGAGGCTCTTTCATAGTCTGGGTAAGTGGTTTTTGGTGAGGTGGACTACTCTCCTTCTAAATTATTCAGGAACGCATACTGATTGAAGCACTATTGAGCAACCAGTTGTGCTAGTTGCTACAAGGGAGATAATTATAAGACACAGCCCCTGCCTTCAGCAGCATTATTAGAGGCAGTATAGGGCACAGGTTCCAAATCCCAGCTCTGCCACAAACTATCTGCATGACCCTTAGCCTAGCTCTGAGTGTCAGTTTTCATATCTGTGAAATGGAGATACTCTACAGATTGTTTCCAGGACTAGAAATCACATGTGTGATACGCAGGGCAAGCAGTGAATAGGGTGTAAATGACAGGTGTTTGTTTCTGTTTTGTTTCATTGTTTTCTGAATGCTTGTTGAGAGGTGCAGTCCATGCTCTCAGGAGACCTACGGACACAGCAAGGAAGAGGAGGCAAACACATCACCTAGTACTAGAGTAGACTTCTCCACAGGGTAAAGTTCTAGGGTGGGGCCAAAGGAAGCTGCAGTCATGTCTCCCTGGGGTGGGGAAGTCCTTCATAGAAGAGATGACACAAGCTAGACCATGAAGGATGTTTAAGCACAGCACAAGCGGTGAAGACTGGAAGGGCATTTCAGATGCAGGGAAAGCCTGAGAAAAGGCCTAGAAAACTGCACGGAGTTGAACACCTGGAGCCTATGGTGAAAGCCTGGGCCCTGTGGTATGACTTGTGTGGGAGAGGACTGAGGGAGAATCAGAGGCAGAGCACAAAGTGATTTCTTGTAAGCAACTGAGGCAGGCAGTTGCTATTGAGCATGTTTTTCTTTTGATGATCTTTATGTATTTTAATTGTAAAAACAACATATGCTCATTGTTAAAGAAAAATTACATAGTAAAGAAGTACAGAGAATAAAAAGCAAATGATCCTGCCCCATTCCCTACAGGTAAGAGTTTAATGTTTACCCTTCTGGATCTTTCATTAGAGAGTATTTTAGGCAGGAATAGGCAATGACCAGATTTGTATTTAAAAAAAAATCACTTTGGGACCGGGCACAGTGGCTCACGCCTGTAATCCTAGCACTTTGGGAGGCCGAGGCAGGTGGATTGCCTGAGCTCAGGAGTTCAAGACCAGCCTGGGCAACATGGAGAAACCCTGTCTCTACTAAAAATACAAAAAATTAGCCGGGCATGGTGTTGCGTGCCTATAATCGCAGCTACTCAGGAGGCTGAGGCACAAGAATCGCTTGAACCCGAGAGGCGGAGGTTGCAATGAGTCGAGATCATGCCATTGCACTCCCACCTGGGCGACAGAGTGAGACTCTGTCTCAAAAAAAGAAAAAAAAATCACTTTGGGTAGAAGGTAGTGGACGGGGTGACTGAAACCAGGGAGACTCCCCAAGTCATGGGGCAGTTCTTTCAGAGAGACAGTGAGAGTCTGTATGTACTGAGGCAGCGCTGGGGGCGCTTGGTTCCTCACCCATCATGCAGGTGAGGGAGTGAGAGGAATTATAAATGACACCCTGGTTTTGGCTTATATGAATGAAATTAAATGTATAGAAGAACCAGAGGTTTGCAGGGGGAAATTATGAGGATAGTTTTGGGCATGATGAGTTTCATGTGGCCATCAGACAGGCAGAAAAGTATGTCCAAGGTCTGGGGCTTAGGAGAGAAATGTGGCTTAAAGAAGCAGATGTGGAATACTTTTCATGAGGGGGAGCTCACTGAGGGAGAACCAGGGGAAGGCCTATATTTAAGAAGCAAGAAGAAACAAGAGACCTTTCCAGGGAGACGGAGAAGGAGCAGACAGAGGAGGAGAAAGAGGAGAACAGTGTGATGGCGAATAGGAGAGAACTTCAGGAAGGATCGGGGCATCAAATGCTGTTCAGGGAACAAGGAGTCCGACGGAAGTGAGGGCCAGCTTTGCTCGTAGCAGTCATCAAGGAAGGGGCTGACAGTGGAGCAGGTTCAGTGCTTTGTTTATATTATCAGAAAAAGGCAGGGAGGAAATACGACACAATGTCCGCGAGTGTTACTTCTAGGTGTTCAGATGACGATGATTGCTATTTTCTTCTGTCCCCAGTAAAAGGGTGAGGGAGGAAGATGAAAGTACCACATTCCAAAAGAAAACCCTTTAAAATTACACAGATGAAGCAAGTTTATTCAACCTGCTTAAGCATTTAAAGTCTTAAGAGAAGATACCAGCTTTATGAGGAATATGGCATAAAACAATACAGTTGTTACGTATTACTGCTTGCCATTTTGTACAGGCCGCACATGAAGCACAGTGTGAAACTTTCTGGTTCTTCCAAAGATCCTCCAGAGCTAGCTCAGGAACTCACAGCAGGTTTTTCCCCAAGCTTCAGCCATGTGTGTCTATGATTTTTGCCATATCTCTTTACCACCAGTCTTATTATAAGCATTTTATTTAAACCAATTGGTTTAAATAAAGTAGTTCTTACATGAATCCAGTTATATCACAATAGTAAATGGAAAATCTAATATCACAATAAATAGTAGGCAATTAAAAAATAAATATAATGAAGGGGAAAAAAACCCTCTTAGTATAAATTCTAGCAAGATTCTCTCAACAACTCGAGGTTTCTAGCCTGAGACCTGATCTAGCTCTCTGGTAAAAAGGGAAATAAACAGGCACTAGAAATGGTTAAAGATTTGCAGGTACTGTAGTTCAAGTTTTCCCAGAAGCAAACCTGTGACTAGAATTCAGTTGCAATTAGTTTACTTGCGAGGTGAAGGAAATGTGGAAACACAATGAAGGAGGTGGGAAGTGAGGCAGAAAAGAGAAGGAAGCAATTGAATAACATATTATCAAGCCAGCTCTCACTGTGGACAACTAGAGCTTCATCCCTCTGAGGAAACTCAGGGAGCCAGTGTAAAACACACCTCAGAATTCGCCTACACAAAGAATGAGAGAGACGGGGTATTTATACACCAACTGCTATTAGTCACTTGTTGAAGGTCAATCCCTAGGACATTAATTCCCCAGCATTCCTGGGTTGCCTTGTGGGCAGCAAAGCAGGTCTCATAGTCAAGAGAAGGCCTTGGGCAAAGAATATAAGGGCTGTAGGTGTAACTCTGGCAGGCATACACCCACTTGATAAAGGTGAAAAGGTATGGGCCAGGTTCCAACAGAGGCTGCTACAGGTACTAGACTGATAGAGAATAGAAAAGGAAATAGTTTTCTCATGATTTGAGTGAAAATAATTTATTGCTAGTCCTGTAAATCACTCAAAATCATCTCCCATACCACCAAGCCAAGGCTCCCCAACCCCTGGAAACCTTCAAATACTCTTGTAAGGCCTGAAACAGCTCAGCAAGGATAAAGCCTGGCCCAACAACTGTCCTGAGGGGCCTGGTGGAATTCCATCCAGGCCACTGAAAAACAGAACTTTTCAGATATTTTGTTTACTCTTCTCCCTATCAATTAGAAATAGCTTCATAATACCTGCCTGCTCAATAGAGCATTCCAAAAGAGTTGTCTCTAGAGAAGCAGGTCACATTGACAACACAGACAAATTAGAGTATGACTGTTTACTTTTAAATGGAACTTTTACCTTTAAAAAAGGGCCATCAAATGCCTTCTAATAACAGCTTCCCTGATTTGTTTAAAATATGATTTATTGTTTATATGTATATTAAGCTATATCCATTTAGGAGATCACAACAATAACAAGAGGTAAAGTATATAGGTACTATGTGCTACGATACTTTTGTGTATGTATTTTTGTAGATATTCTTTCATTCAACAAACATTTATTGGATTCTATCTGCAAGTCAGGAACTGTTCTAGGTGCCTAGATTTATAGCAATGAAGGAAACAGACAAAAATCCCTTCCCTCCAGGGAATTACATTCTACTAGGGAAGACAGTCAAAAAATAAAAATAAATGAATAAAATACATAGGATGTCAGCTGGTAATAAGTACTACAAATATAGTGAGAGACGAGGATAAAGAGTACCAACAGCTAGGGGAGGAGTTATAATTTTAAATAGGGTGATCAGGGAAGACCTTACTGACAAGGGATATTTGGAAAGACCTGCAGGAGGTGAGGGAGTGAGCCATGTGAAGATCTGGGGAAACATTACTACGAAGAAAGGAAATAGCCTCTGCAAAGATGCTGGGGTAAGAACATGCCCAAGATTTGAGAAAGCAAATAAACTCAAGTGGCCAATGCACAGAAAGCAAGGGGAACAGTGAGAGATGAGATCAGAAAAGTAAGAGGTGGGTGTAGATCACACAGGATCCTGCAGAACATTGGGAAATGGTAAGCTGCTGGGGCATTCTGAGCAGAGGAGGGACATAAACTGACCTAAGTTTGTAAACCAAAAAAATGCCAAGCCCCCCAACTGACTGTATGGACCCCCTCTGTGCCAAGGGGATCCCAGAGAAACACGAAAAACTGAATTCCCAGCCATAAGAGGAAGGGACGTCAGGCATGCCTGGTTATACCCCTCCCTTCTAGAGTTTAGGACAACTGACCAGCATTAACACTGAAATAGAGATCATAAGACTGACAGAAACAGACTCTTTGTGGCAATAAGTTACCAAATTCCAACCTGATTCTGATATAGCATCACATGAGATAGAAGACTCTGAAGGAAATAAAGTGATTTTACCCTAAAATATATTTCTTTGACATATTTTGAAATGGCCCTAGAAAGCCCTCTCTCGGGGAAATTTGCATCTCTAGAAAATCTCCTTCCCTTTCTAGTTTTTCCTGGATCTAAAAGGGACTAAAGGAGAGTTTTGTTTCGAAAAGTTTTGAAAAGAGACATTTACCATCTATTCTAAGGCTGTTACCTGGAGGTTTAATCTAAATAACAAGAACCTTGGATTTCACAATCCTCCCCGCATCTTGACTCTAGCGTGTCTTTGTACTGACTTCAAGTCTAGACAAAGCTTAACTTTTTCAACCAATTGTCAATCCGAAAATCTTTGAATCCGCCTGTGACCTATAAGTAACCCCCTCATACTATGACGTGTCCTGCCTTTTGGGGCCAAACCAATGTATACCTTGCATGTATTGATCTATGTCTTTGTTGATATCTTCTGTCTCCCTAAAATGTATAAAACCTAACTGCAGCCAGACATGCAGCTCACACCTGTAATTCCAAAACTTTGGGAGGCCAAGGCAAACGGATCACTTGAGCCCAGGAGTTTGAGGCCAGGCTGGGCAACATGGCGAGACCTCGTCTCTACAAAAAATACAAACATTGGCCGGGCGCGGTGGCT
Source organism: Homo sapiens (assembly GCF_000001405.40). Lineage (NCBI taxonomy): Eukaryota > Metazoa > Chordata > Mammalia > Primates > Hominidae > Homo > Homo sapiens. The sequence goes on along the minus strand of NC_000004.12, from coordinate 108,186,802 downwards.
CACGCCTGTAATCCCAGCACTTTGGGAGGCCGAGGCGGGCGGATCACGAGGTCAGGAGATCGAGACCACGGTGAAACCCCGTCTCTACTAAAAATACAAAAAATTAGCCGGGCGCAGTGGCGGGCGCCTGTGGTCCCAGCTACTCGGGAGGCTGAGGCAGGAGAATGGCGTGAACCCGGAAGGCGGAGCTTGCAGTGAGCGGAGATCGCGCCACAGCACTCCCGCCTGGGCGACAGAACGAGACTCCGTCTCAAAAAAAAAAAAAAAAAAAAAATACAAACATTAGCCAGGCATGGTGGTGTGTGCCTGTAGTCCCAGCTACTCAGGAAATTGAGGTGGGCAGATCACTTGAGCCCACAAGGTGGAGGATTTAGTAAGCCATGATCGTGCCACTGCACTCCAAAAAATTGTAACCCAACCACGTGGACATACTTTCTCAGGACCTCTTAATACTGTTCCCCAGGCCTGGGTCACTCATATTGGCTAAGAATAAACCTCTTTAAATATTTTACAGAATTTGGCTTGTCATCAATAGTTTTAAGATCACTCTGTGAGCTTTGCAGACAATAGCAGGTACAGCATGGTAGAAACAGGGAGACCTGTTAGGAGGCTATGATAAATATCTAGATGAAAAATGATTGCAGCTTGAACTAGGCTGGTGAGAAGTAGCTGGTTCTGGTTATATTTCACAGGGAAATAATTTGTAGATAAGGCTGGGGGCAGTGGCTCAGGCCTATAATCCCAGCACTTTCGGAGGCCAAGGCGGGTGGATCACCTGCGGTCAGGAGTTCAAGACCAGCCTGGTCAACATGGTAAAACCCTATCTCTACTAAAAATACAAAATAAAAAATTAGCTGGGTGTGGTGGTGCACGCCTGTAATCCCAGCTACTCAGGAGGCTGAGGCAGGAGAATCGCTTGAACCCGGGAGGCAGAGGTTGCAGTGAGCAGAGATTGTACCACTGCACTCCAGCCTGGACGACAGAGCAAGACTCTGTCTCAAAAACAATAACAACAACAAAAGAATTTGTAGATAGATTGGATGTGGGGAGTGAGAGAAAGAGAAGGGTGAGGATGGCTCTAAAGCTTTTGGCATGAGCAACTGAAATAATAGATCTGCCATTTCCTGAGACAGAGAAGACTATGAAGGAACAGATTTGGGGAAAGATCATAAGTTGGGTTTTGGACATGCTGAATTTCACATACCTATTAGACATCAAATAGAGGTTTGTAGGCAGCTGTATATGTAAGTCTGTAAATCTGGGGCTAGGTCTAGGCCAAAGATGTAACTCAATGTTGTTAGCATTTATAATATATTCAGAGGCATGAGACTGGATGAGGTCATCAGGAAATGAATTAGATAGAAAAGAGAAGGGGGTGAGAGACTGAGCTGTAGGGGCACTCCACCAAATACATAGAGGTCAGGAAGACAAAACAAGCAAAGGAGACTAACGAAGAGCCAAGGAGATCCGGAAAGAACCAGAAGCTGATGGCATCCTGGAAGTAAGGGAAGAAAGCGTTTGAAGAAAGTGTAATCAACTGTGTCAAATGCTGATGATGGGTCAAATAAGGGGGACGAGAATTGACCATCAGATTTAGCAGTTTTGGTGGAGAGCTGGGGCAAAAAGCATGCCTGGAATGTGGTCCAAAGAGAAGGCAGAGGAGGAATGTATGTTCATTTGCTACCCACTTTGTGCCTATGATTTCAGTACTGCTTGGAACCTAAAGAAATGTCTAATTATTTCCTTGACAAAATAAAGCACGATTGAATATTAGCTCTTTTTGAATTAATTAATTTGGGTTTAAATAAAGTTTTTCTTCAACAGTGTTTTACCTAAGTTATTTAAATGATTGGTGTAATTCTCTACTTTTCACATGAACAAAATATTGGCTACATACTACAGTATGTGGGGTAGATGTGATGGATATTCTGCATATGTAGTCTCTATGGTAAGTTAATGAATGTTTTATGTAAGTCAGTAAGTCTCTCCTCTGTTCTCTTCTGGTGAGGCACCAATAATCTGGAACATGAGAAAAAGGAGACAGTAGAAAGAAAAGAGGAGTAAGCAATACTTCTGAATTTTCTCCAACCTGAATGATGGAGTTAGTTCTATTTTAATCCAGTGTCAACATAATAGATGGACACAAAGTCAATTCATCAGTGTTCACAGTGAGGCTTGCAGCATAATTACTGAGTCATGGCACAATGTAAATTGAGTTACCAAAATAAAAAAAAGAAATTGTCCCCTTTTTCCTTTTAAATTAAATCTTGTGTCATGTTCCTGGTCAGATCTGGATACAATTCTGAGTTTTTAACTATATAAATTAGTTGTAATGTCTGCAATACCACTCTTATTTGATTGCAAATTCCTCTTTCATCTCACCAAGACTAGAGGAAACTATAAAGAAATAGGATATCACTCATCTTCTGATTAACTGAAAGTGAGGGCAGAGTTTTATTCAAAGGATCATATTTCTGGGCTAGAAATATAATTATTATTGCTTTATTTCTTTTTCTTTTCTTTTTCTTCTTTTTTTTTCTTCAATAAAAAAGGAGCAGAAAGAGACATTACAGCTGAAATAGAGTTACTTCCATGAAATGTTTCTTCCACAGTGCTGGGAGCCCTAAGATAACAGCCTTGTATTCAAATGTGAGAGGCAGAAAATGTAATTCACTTGAAGCATTAAGTGAAACAGAATAGTTTTTTTTTAAATCATCCACAGTAAGTGAAATATTCTTAGTAAATAATGTACAATGTCCATTTGATTTTCAATATTTTTTCAATTTGCAACCAAGAAATAAATAGACATAATGACAATGATTTTCATTTAAAGCTCATTGTTGCTATTATTGGAATAATGAATATAATTAATCATAGAGCATTAACTCTTATATAGAAAACAAACAGGCTTATCTTGGTTTACAAGTGAGTGAAAGAGATAAAAGTAAATATTTAGTTATTAAGTAAACTCTCTCTCCTGCTTTACTTCTTAGATTGTACCTTATCTAATTGCTGTCTGTCCAACTGATATTCTCATAGAAATTAACCTTTTTTACTTTAATTTTCAGCTCACTTATTTCTAACTTACGTAGCCACCAGGCAAAGGCATTTCTTACTCAGGTGACCTTCTGGCACCAATTCACCACTTTGGGCACCAAATCATCCCTCCTATCAATTCTAATTCCCTTCATTTTCAGGGGTCAAACTATGAAATTCTCATAGCAAACCAGTGGAAACAGTTTCTCAAGTGATTTCACACCCCACATGCTGTAGGGTTGACGAAGAGAGCAGGAGGGATGAAACGCACAGGGGCGCAACAGCAAGCAGCTCAAGAGTGTTTTGTGGGCCATACTTGGAGTAGATCCTTAACGTTGTTTTCGCATTATTGTTTTTATTTCCCTCACAGCATGCAATGTCTTTTTGGACTACCAGGCTAGTAATCCCAGAAGTCATCTGACCTGAACCATGTTGCAATCCATTCCATAGTCCTCTTTAGGACAATTTTAACCTATGTATTGATCACATTGTTTTGGCATGGACCTTTGAGCCCATATTTAAGTTAATTAAATTTTTCCCTTCCTGGAAGTTGAGGTTTATCTTCACCTTAGAAACAGAGAGGAAAGAGAAAGAGAAAAAGAGAGAGAGAGAAAGAGAGATGAACTTCAGCTATTTCACAGTAAGGGGGAAAAAAATACATCCTATCTGTATTTTTTAACACTTCCCACAAAAGAAATTCAGGAAATGCTATCTTTTTTACAGTAAGTACAATATTGTGCCACAGCCAAAAGATGTTCCTGTTTGCTGTGTTCAACCACATGTTGAACCGACAGAGGCCAGAGGAATGCTAAGCCTAGAAGGTATGTGCAGGGGGCATGCACAAATCCACGTTGCTCTCCTGCGCTTCTGCACCCACCAAAGAGCCTCATGTTCCCAAGTCTCTGGCACACAGCTGCCTCTGGAAATCACCCCATCAGGTCCTTAGTCACTTGCTCCCCTAATACCCTTCCCCAAACATCCATGTCTGGAGCAAACCAAGACCTCTTCCGACTGTCAGTCGTTAAGACAACAGACATTTCACTTACTACAATGAAAAACAGTTTATAATACAAATTATTTCATGCAATTTACTTGGTCAGTGTTTCAATTCAGCACTTTGATAGCCAATCCAATAACCTGAGTTCCATTTCTCTCCTTCCTATTAAGTACATTACAGTATTAGCATGTTTTCTAGAAAGGGATACTCTAAGGTGACAAGTTGTTCAGATAGAGAAAATAAATTACAGAGTTAAGGAATATATCCGAAGCAACCAGCAAGAAAACCACAAACTACCAACAAATGTCATTTCACCAAAAATGTAGCTTAAGAAGTTGCTTTGAAATAAGTTCATCCCATAGGGGAAATTTCTGGGATGACTGAAATGTTCTATATCATGATGGAGTGATAGTTTCACAGGTGTATATATTAATCAAAACACTCTGGGGAGTCTTTCAGAATCACCTGTGACTCTCAGAGCTGCCCGATTTAAAACACACACACACGTGTGTATTTGTATACTTTGTACACTTAAGACCTACACATTTCATTGTGTTTAAATTATTACCTTAAAAAAAAACAGCCCATCTTTCTGATCATTATAAACCAGGGGTGTCCAATCTTTTGGCTTCCCTGGGCCACAGTGGAAGAAGAATTGTCTTGGGCCACACATACAATATACTAACAATAGCCGATGAGCTAAAAAATAAAATAAATCATAATGTTTTAAGAAAGTTTACGAATTCATATTCAGCTGCATTCAAAGTTGTCCTGGGCCATATGTGGGCTGTGGGCCATGGGTTGGACAAGCTTGCTATAAACTGTCAGAGCCCTTTTATATTGACCTCTGCATGACCAGCAGGTGGCCCTGAAATTGTGTCTGCTATAATGCAGTGGCTCCAATACTGCCCCCAGTTCCTGATACTCTTCTTCTGTGATTTACTAATTTTTGTTGTCAAAATTACCCAAGATCAGCTCTTTCACTTTTTAAGATATTTTTATCACATAACATTTAAAATTATATTTTATTACTTTAAAAATGTTGGTTCATTGCATATAAAATTTTCCAAATGCAGCCAGGTGCGGTGTCTCATGCCTGTAATCCCAGCATTTTGGGAGGCTGAGGCGGGTGGATCACCTGAGGTCAGGAGTTTGATACTAGCCTGGCCAACATGGTGAAACACCGTCTCTACTAAAAATACAAAAATTGGCCGGGCATGGTGGCGCACGTCTGTAATCCCAGCTACTCAGGAGGCTGAGGCAGGAGAATCGCTTGAACCTGGGAGGCAGAAGTTGCAGTGAGCCGAGATTGTGCCACTGCACTCCAGCCTGGGTGACAGAGTAAGACTCTGTCTCAAAGAAAAAAAAAAGAAATTTCTAAAAGCACAAACAATAAAAAACTCAATAAAAAATCTCCACTATTCAGAGAAAACTACTATTAGTATCTTACTGTCTGTCCTTCCAGATATAGTCAACAGATATTGACTAAGTGCCTACTTTGTGCCAGGAATTGTTCTAGACATCAGATATACTGAGGTAAACAAAACAGTGCCCCTGCTCATAGAGTTTACATTCTAATAAATGATCTGTAAACATAAACTTTTTAAAATGAGGTATGATTGCATTTATTCTCTTATAACTTTATTTTTTAACTTAGCAATGTATCACTAATATCTTCATGTGAATAAAAATAATTGAGCATCATTATCAAAGCTGTGTGGTATTTCACCATCAAGCTATATTAGAATTTCACAAATCCACAGCTAGACCTTTCCAAGTTTTTCAAAGTTATAAACGCTTCTTTTTCTTCCTCCTCGTCTTCTTCTTCCTCTTCTCCTCTTCCTTTCTTCTTTTTCTCCTTCTTCCTTCTCTTCCCTGCTCCTCGTTTTCTTCTCCTTCTTCCTCTTCTCCTCTTACTCCTTCTCTTCCTCTTCTCTTCCTCTTTCTTCTTTCTCTTTTTCTCCTTCTTCCTTCTCTTCCCTCTTCTTTTCCTCTTCCTCTTCATCTCCTCTTCCTCTTTCTCTACTTTTCTCCTTCTTCTTCCTTCTCTTCCCTCCTCCTCCTTTCTTTTTCTCTTTTCCTCTTCCTTTTTCTTCTTCCTCTTCTCCTCTTCCTTTTCTCCTTATTCTTTCTCTTCCTCCTTGTTTTCTTCTCCTTCTTCTTCCTCTTCTCCTCTTACTCCTCCTCTTCCTCTTCTCTTCCATTTTTTTCTCCTTCTTCCTTCTCTTCCTTCCTCCTCTTCATCTCCTTTTCTTCCCCTTCTCTTCCTTTCTTCTCTTTTTCTCCTTCTTTCTCTTCCCTCTTCTTTTTGCTTCCTCTTCTCCTCTTCCTCTTTCTTTTTCTCCTTCTTCTTCCTTCTCTTCCTTCCTCCTCCTCCAATTCTTTCTTCTTGTTCCTCTTCTCCTCCTCTTCTTCTTCCTCTTCTCTTCCTCCTTCTTTTCTTCTCCTTCTTTCTTCTTTTTTTTTTTTTTTTGAGGTGGGATCTCACTCTGATGCCCAGGCAAGAGTGCAGTGGCATGATCATAGCTCACTGAAGCCTCAAACTCCTGGGCTCAAGTGCTCTTCTTGCCTTAGCCTCCTGACTAGCTGGAACTACTGGCGCACACAACCACATCCAGCTAATTTATTTTATTTTTAGAGATGGGGTCTTGCTATGTTGACCAGGCTGGTCTTGAATTCCTGGCTTCAAGCAATCCTCTTGCCTTGATTCCAAACTGCTGGAATTACAGGTGTGAGCCACTGTGCCCAGCCTACTCTCTGTACTTCACTGAAAATCTATGGTTCACTTTTATTTTTATTTTTTTTCTTGAGATGGAGTTTCGCTCTTGTCACCCAGGCTGCAGTGCAAGGGCATGATCTCAGCTCACTGCAACCTCCTCCTCCTGGGTTCAAGCAATTCTCCTGCCTCAGCCTCCTGAGTAGCTGAGATTACAGGCGCTTGACACCACGACCAGCTAATTTTTGTACTTTCAGTAGAGACAGGGTTTCATCATATGGGCCAGGCTGGTCTCGAACTCCTGACCTCAGGTGATCCTCCTGCCTTGGCCTCCCAAAAGTGCTGGGATTACAGGTGTGAGCCACCGTGCCTGGCCTATGGGTCATTTTTAGTCACAGTAAGGATAGTATGTTTATGTAATACTTCTCTACCATAAAAGCATATCAAGGCTTTAGAGGTACATCTCTCAACAAACAGTCTTTACCCATTTCTTCCAGAAAATGACCCTGCTCTTTTGTTCATCTTCCTCCTCTTATTGCATCAGGTTTAAATCTCTGAAATGGAGGGGAATGACTTTTGCAACTAAAAGAATTTGCTAGGCCTAAGGCTAATGCCTTATTAAAGCATTTTAGTGAAAACTCAAGGCATAGGACAGAATAGACTTACTATTATATCTGGCCCATGTGTACCAAGAAGCAGTTCAGGAATTGTACCTGAAAATGAAATCTGTAGTGGGAGTAGGCACTCTCCATGGTATATATTTCTGGAGAAACTTTTGATCCTGGATGACTCTTATAGAAGTGCAGGTTTGGCAGTTTTACAGGGAGGAGAAAGTTATTCTAGAGAATATGATACAGAAAACCTTCAACTTATGTATTTCCTAAAGTTCAATGGTAAATCTATTATTTACAATGTAGAAAAGTACTCAACTCAGCAACACACGAGAACCACAACTATTCATTGCACACCTCTCTTATGGGCAAAGCACTGTTATAATACACTTAAAATGATTATAATCTCAAGTTACTTCACCAAGACTTATTTCACCCTCCAATAAGTTGAAAGTCTGAATTTGCCATGAAAAATAGTATATAACAATATATTGTTATGATATTCTTTGATACATTTTTGATCAACTACTGTTTTGAGGGAAATGTGTAAGGCAATATGGGGGTTACAAAGATGAATCTGACAAAAACTTGTCATTAAACAGTTGACTGACTGCATACAGTAGCCTCTAGCCACACTCAAGCACTCAAAAGGTGGCCAGTTAGAACTGAATCGTGCTGTAAGTTGCTGGGCGCGGTGGCTCACGCCTGTAATCCCAGCACTTTGGGAGGCCGAGGCAGGCAGATCACGAGGTCAGGAGATCGAGACCATCCTGGCTAACATGGTGAAACCCCATCTCTATTAAAAATACAACAACAACAACAACAAAAAAGCCGGGCGTGGTGGCGGGCGCCTGTAGTCCCAGCTACTCGGGAGGCTGAGGCAGGAAAATGGCGTGAACCCAGGAGGTGGAGCTTGCAGTGAGCCGAGATCGTGCCACTGCACTCCAGCCTGGGCACAGAGCAAGACTCCGTCTCAAAAGACAAAAAAGAAAAAAAAAAGAACTGAATCTTGCTGTAAGTAAACTGCACTGAATTTCAAAGACTTAATATGAAAAAAGAATGTAAAATCTTTCATTAGTAAGTTTTCATAATGATTATATATTAAAATGGTAATAATTTCAACATTTGGGTTAAATAAAATGTATTATTAAAATTAATTTAATCTGTTTCTAGCTTTTTAAAATTACATATGTGACTTGCATTATATTTCATTTGGCAGTGCTGATCTGCATAATTACAGTTATCACCTACTGAGTGTATCTACTGTATGCCAGGTAATTTTATAACAATTATTTGTAATCTTCCATAAGGGAAGTATTCCAGATAAGAAACCTGAGGTTGTCAAAGGCATGTTAATTTATTCTTCTACACACCTTGCTAGTATATTTTCTATGCACCAAGAGCTGCCACAGGAAGTAAGGATAAAACAAAGCAAAGTCCCTACCCTCATGGAACTTATGAACCAGTGGGAAAGAAAGCTAATTAGTAAGTAAGTATAAAAAATAGGCCAAGCAGTGACAGTAAAAGAAGATGAAGTCCATAAAAAAAATGGAGAGTGACCGGAATTGGAGTGAAGGCAGAAGGTTTGGGGGGATGGCTATTTTTTAAGATAACAAGCTCTAAGGAGGGACTATCTGAGCAGAACCTGAATGAAGTCAGGGAGTGAGCCCTGTGAACATCTACCTGGCCAGGAGCTTCTGGGCAGAGGCAACAAGGACTGAGGTGTATAGTGTGTGTGTGTGTGTGTGCATGTGTGTGTGTGTGTGTGTGTGTGTACACGTGCGTGCATGTGCTTTGCACTCTGAAGGAACAGCTGGAGAGCCAGTGGTGCTAGAGAGCAGTGAGCAAGAGGAAGCCAGGTAACAGCTCACATAGGGACTTGGAAGCCACAAGTAGGAAATGTTAAAGGATGACTTTGGCTGCTCTATGAGGCATGGACTATTGTGGGGCATGCATGGAACCCAGCAAGAACGGATGCCAGAGCACTTTGAGAGGTCAAGGTGGGTGGATTGCTTGAGGTCAGGAGTTCAAGACCAGCCTGGCCAACACAGCAAAACCCTGTCTCTACTAAAAATACAAAAAGCCAACTGTGGTGGTGCACACCTGTAGTTCCAACTACTTGGGAGGCTGAGGCACGAGAATCACTTGAACCTGGGAGCCGAGTTCACACCACTGCACTCCAGCCTGGGCGATAGTGGGAGACTGTCTCGGAAAAAAAAAAGAATGAAAGCCAGAGACTCATTAGGAGGCAACTGCAAAGGTGCAGGACAGGGAGGGCTAACAGTGAGAGAGTTAGAGCTTCAACAAGGTCTGTCTTACTCAGCCACTGTGAGATACAAAGCAAAACAATGTAAAAAATTATCCTAGTAATTTGAACTGCAAAAATCAAATATCTCGGTAATTCAAATGAATCTCAAAATATATTTGGGAGTCTGGGGTTATCAGAACTGGCAGTCAAAAATTACCGTCTAACCTCATAGGATAGTAGTTTATCTCTGTCCTTTGCTTTCTGCCAATTTAACCTAAGGGAAGTGGACTTGAGATCTGTTAATTGGCAGAGCGGGACTGCAGGACCTTTAAGTCAAATTCAGATGAGGCAAATTAGCTTTATTTTGGCCAAAGAAAAGTGTTTGGTGGAGCCAGATGACAATTTTGTAGCCTAAACTATTTGCACTGGCTGTCTCTACCATCTGAATTCACTCCCATCGTTGTTAATTCTGAGTTTAAGCGTAGCCATACAAGCAAGACAAAGCTAAGGAAGGAACTAGAAATTGGCTGTGTCTTGGATAAATGTATATATGAGTACAGGTAACCTCACTCAAGGAGTCTGTTTTTATGGACAGAAGTGCTTTAAAACAGAAAGCATCCTCAAGGTCAAATGTCATACAGGCCAAGTTCTTCCTCTGAGAGGTAAATAAGGATTTAAAGCAGTTACCCAGTTTCAAATGAAAACAAATACAAACCATTCCCAAGGACACTCAAAAGTCATGTCATGAGAAAAAGGAGGCTCAATCCTGATGCTCTAGGTTGGTTTATTTACTTTGATGGAACTCACTGGAAAATTCTTCAACTCCACGCTTCACTGTGCCTGTGTAGGATGTGTTTTCTGGGCATTGGATGTAGATCTTGTCAATCAGGTACTTTCCTGGAGCACTAAAATGTACAGATTACACACATCAAAGGCAGGCTGCAACCACTGTAGCTGAAATTTACACAAAATCTATGCGGCTAGTAACTGGATAAACAATGAGACTAACGACCTTGTTCTGCATTAATCTCCCTATGGCTCAGTTGGTACTGCAAGAAGGTTGTGGCTTTGGCTTCTAGCCTCAAACCAGGCATTACGTGCTTGCCCAATGCCAACAGAGCCCAGGAAGCCTGAGAATATAGCCCCAGTCCATCCATTTTATGAGGTACATTTACCACAATTCAAGAAACACATCCATTACCATATCCACCCAGGAAAGAGATTTATAAAAATAAGTAAATTCCTTGGCCCTGCCTCCCCTTTCAGGGAGTTTATTTTCTTATAGAAGGCCTCAGGTTTTCCTTAAGTGTTTTCAGGGTTTCTCCATTGCCCCCCAAAAGCAAGATAGAATCCTTGAACTATCTTCCTCTTTTGGCCAAGAATAAATTTCAAAAAGGCTGCATCTGTAAAGAAAAGAGAAAGGAAGAATTGAAGTTGACCAGTGAACTTGATCAGCATCCACTTTTAATTTAGGACATTTGGGAAAAGGTACATTGAAAATAGAAGGTGCTTGGCCGGGCGCGGTGGCTCACACCTGTAATCCCAGCACTTTGGGAGGCCGAGGTGGGCGGATCACCTGAGGTTTGAAATTTGAGACCAGCCTGGCCAATACGGCGAAACCCCGTCTCTACTAAAATTACAAAAATTAGCCGGGCATGGTGGCAAGTGCCTATAATCCCAGCTACTTGGGAGGCTGAGGCAGGAGAATCGCTTGAACCTGGAAGGTGGTGGTTGCAGTGAGCCCAGATCATGCCACTGCACTCCCGCCTGGGCGACAAAGTGAGACTCCTTCTCAAAAAAAAAAAAAAAAGAAAAAAGAAAATAGAAGGTGCTTTCTAAGTGCCAATTAAAATTGCTATAGAGTCCCTTCCATACAATTGGCAAAGGCTGAGGGTTGCTTCTGGCAGGAGGCAGCTGAAGGAGATGGAGCATCTCAGGAGGAGTCTGCACCCTGGGCAGCCTTGGGCCATGCCAAAGGGACCTAGGAACCCTGGAACCCCACCCATCTCCCAGCCCTGCTGCTTTCATAACTTTGTATACAGGTCACACTGAAAAGCTTATATTGGAAAATGGCTCCCAATGAGCCCAGGAAATGGCTCCCTTGGTGGGGTTACCTTAGGTTAGAAAGGATCACACTGAGGTACATTCAGCTAAATGCCCTATGCACTACACCTGTGGTACTCCTGTCACTTCCCAGCCAGCCCTAGCAATAATCTTTACTGCATTGTAAACTTGAGATACCTCTGTCTGGGATACATAATCACAGTCTATTCTAAAACATAGATTTTTGTGGCACTCACACAGTCCCAAGAAACAACTCTTATATACCTTTCTAGTCACTCTCCCCACCTGTGAGTCCTTACAACTGTTGTTGGGGGTATTTTATCCACATAAACATTACTGCTTTCTCAAGCCATTATACTAAGACTGTTTTCAGAGCTGCTGTAATGTGTGTTAAATGTCTCACAAGAAGATATTGTTTTCAGTGTTATTTTCTTCATTCATTTATGAATTCATTAAGAGCCCAACATAAACACGAGTTAAGGCACATTCACCCTGTTCTGAAAATGTTCTCTCATCACACTCACTTGGGGGTAACAACTGCTTCAGTGATTTTGGTGGCCTTTGTAACACAACTGATGGAGGCGTGGAGATGGTCATAGCATGGACGCGAGAGCGTAACACTGTCCCCATTTGCTCCTGTGGTAAGGGTTTCTAGAGCTTCAGAAGTTTTTGGTTTTGCAACTTAACAGGTCCCCTTAAAAGGATCGTCTTTGCTTCATGGACTAATAATACCTCACATTTGTACATACTTTCATATGCATTATCTCACTTAATAGTACGGTATTATTATATCCATTTTTTCAGAGAGGAAACAGACTCTGGGAGAGGTTAAAATGGCTTGCCTAAGGTTACCAATGGCATGAGAGGGAGTGGCAGGGCCCATCTCCAACCCAGGATTTCTGACTCTTCGTATCACAGTATTTCAAAGCTGTCTCTTTCTTTTAGTTACTTCCATTAACAACAGAAGTGAAGGGACCTACAGTTTTTTAACCATAAAAACACAAAGGTTTCTGACTGGTGAGTGGCCTCTAGGAAAAGATCTCTGCAGTCTATCGACGAGAGGGTTTCAAATCACAGAGATCAACTGTGACAGTAAGTACTTTGATAAAAATACTAACATTGGTTTTCCAGAATCTAACTTCTGTGAAAGAAAACTATACGGTGCACCATATCATGTGTAGAAAAAAAGGACCACTATACACAACGAACATATCCACACGTGTTGTGTCAACGTTCTCTTCCCAAATGTGGCCGCAGAAGAAAGTGCGAAGCATGCTGAAATAAGACAGTATTTACGGCTAAGGAAATTCGGCTTCACATACCGGTAATTATGAACAAGATATTTTCCCTAATAAAATTACTCCAAAACGAAATATAGAGAAACTGTTTCCCTATGTTCTCTTTATTTTATACCATGTGCTCAAGAATGGTCACAGAAAAGAGTCAAAGGGAGCAGAGAGAGAAAGAAAGAGAGCTATATAGAGAGCCGGCCTCTGCTGAGGGTTGGTTTTGCTTTAGAAACTGGAATGTGTCCAGGCTTGATTTTTATTTTCAATTCACATTTCAGATCCAGCTCCCCAAACTCTTTGATCTTTCTCCCTGTCTCCTTACCCGGAAGAGAACCCTTGGCCTTCTCAGCTGGGAGCTGGGAGCACACGTGGAAAGACTGGCTCAGATCCATATTCTTGCCAAATTTAGTCACACAAAGGGGCCTGCGAGGGAAAAAAGAAAGGATGAAAGCGGCAGCCGCCGCGACTTCAAAGGCCGCGCCGCCGCGCGGGGCCGTGCGCAGGCGCCTCCCTCAGCCGATATAAGGCACGGCTCGAGCGCGCGAGCGGCCTTTCCGCGCGCGTCCCCGACCCGGGGGGCGGGCCGAGGGACGCGGAGGGCCGGTGGGAAGGAGGGCGAAGGGTTGGATACCGCGGCCGTGCTACCCGCCGGCTTTTCGAGGCCGGTCCCCATGCCAAGTTCAGGCGCCTGAGAAAAGTTTTTCAGAAAGGAGGGACAAGAATGTCACGTCCTGCCCACGAAATGAGCAGTCCTGTGGCCCGCAAAATGACTCCAGCTCCCACCTCCATTCTAGCTCCGTTCTAGGCATTCCCCGTGCGTGGGAGCCTGGGTTCCCGTCACGGAGCGCAGCCGAGCGAGGAGGGCGCGTGGCCGGGCCCTGTCTGGCTCCTTCGGCTCCCCTGTGCCCGCCTTGCGTTCCTGGTTCCCGTGCGCTCTCCTACCGGCGCGATTCCTCTCCCCCTTGGGCAGCCTTAGGACGTGTGCCCTCGCCTCCCAGCTGGCAGAAGGGCGGCCTGCAGAGCGGGGTGGGATGCGCCCCTTCCCCGCGGGCCGCAGGAGGAGGCGGCCCTGTGGACAGCCGCGCCCCGGACCCCCACCCAGCGAGGCAGGGACGCAGGGCTCGGCCTGCACTGGCCCAGCGCTGGGAAAGCCGCAGGAGGGCGCGAGGGGTGGCGGACCCCGCTCGCTGGAGCCCCGCGTGGCTGCGCCGAGCTACAGACGCCAACGGGCGCCGGCCCCGCGGAAGTCCGACGTCCGCAGGCGGCCGGATTTGGGAACGACTTTTTCACGGTCCCACGAGTTCCCTGATACCCCGGAGGGTGGGGGGTTGAGTTTGTTTGTCTTTAGGAGGCGGCAAGAAGAAGGGGAAGAACCCCTGGGACACAAACTGCCATTTCCCTCGCCCCCCTTCTCTCCTTTTCCGCGAAGTCCGTTAAACTGAAGATGCCCACAGCTTTCGTCTCCGGGTGAAGCCGGGGTGGGAAATAGAGGGGGTCGGGGTTCCGCCTCTGGAGTCACATTATTCGTTTTCTAGCCCTTCTCCCTGGCTCCTGGGTATCCTCTTCCGTAGGCCCCGCCACCTCCTTCCTTTTGGATCCCACCAAAGTCGTAGCTGGGAGAGAGTCCAGGCCACACAAAGGGGAAGACCTGGAGCCTGGGCGGGGGTTAGGACCGAGGGGGCGGAGAGGACTCGAGGGGCACCGTGCTTTTCTCTCGTCCTTGTAATTAAGGACTCACTGGACTGTCTGTAGCCGACTCGAGTTGGCAGCAAAATCGCCGGGGGGAGGGGTTTTCTGGTGTGAGTGGGGGTCACTACCCTGTCTCTCCTGCCCGCTCCCGAGCGGGGCTGGGCTCCGCTTACCCAGTGAGCAGCGAGGCCGTCTCTTCTCCCCCGCTCCTCTGTTCTTGTGCGGGGTGGGCGCCTCGCCCCCCACGCGCAGTTGAGGCGACGGCGCCCGATGTAGAAGGAAGTGTTGATATAAAACAAGTTTGTTCCCAAACTAAACCCAAACCAAGCAAAGCCACCAGGAGGGGAAAAACCAACAGCAATCCAGCCAGCCCCTAGCAATTGTTTTCACGGTCGGAATTAAATCACATCAAAACGCCCCCTGAAACCCACATCCTGAAGGAGTGAACCTACAACAGCCAACCTCCAGTCGTTCGCTCGAGTTCACACGAACAACTTGCCTCTAACATCCGAGTGAAGGGGGCGGCGGGTGCCTCTCCCGCACCGCACCCACCACATCCCGGACCTGGGATCCCACTCGCACCCGAAGAGGCGGCTGCTTATGTTAATATCAGCCCCCACACGAATTAGAAAAGACCGCCCGGTGACAGAATTGCTTATGCCAGGAACTACACTGAATCCGTAAGGGAGGGGGAAGAACGTCTTCCCGGGGTTACTTCGCCCCTCCTGCGTCCTCCTGCTGTTTCCAAAAGACAGACTTCATGTGCAAATGTCAACCTCTCTCCCAAACGAAGCTTTAGAAATTTGGGGCGCATGGTTTTTACTAAAGCCCCTTCTAAGTGCTGCTCATCAGAAGATTTACAACAATCCTAAAGACAATCAGCTAACACAAGTTACACCACTGTAAGGAAAACAGCCACGCAAATAGAGCAAGGTGCTGGGTGATTTCGTTAGAAACAATGTTTTCAATGGACGGGGTCTCAGTAAAATACCAAACGCAGCCCCCTACCCTTGGCCCTTCAAGTAAACAGTTTCCCCTAGTTATTGTTCTAAAAATTCCCATCTTCTTGAGCTTCTAATCTTCAGGAAACCTGGAGCATAGGCTCCAAATTACTCGGGGAATCCAGAGTTAACATGAAGGAGAAAGTGGGATCTGAATTAGTTTCAGCACTTAAACAGCGGGGGGGATGTAAGAGTCATCATTTAATCTCTCTTCGGCTTCCAGAAAGTACCCCCTGGCCATTCTGTGTTCTCCCCTCCCCCTCCTGAGGGTTTGATGAAAAGGAACCTCTACTCTGCTTTGGTGAAACTGCATTTTCCACTTGTTTTCCTATTGGTCAAATTGGTGCAGTTATGGGAGGACTTTTGACTGTTTTCCCATGTGTCTTTTAAGAATGGGGCTATAAATGTCTGACACAGCTACACGTTCACCTCTCTGGGACACTACTCACACTGGTGCCTAACTTTAAGGGAAGTGACATACCACCATCATCCAAAAACAAAAATTGGGTTTCTCACACACTGTAGCAGAATATACTCTTTTTCTTCTCTTGAGGCATAGCATTGTCAGCTATTAAAAATGGATTTAATGTTTTAATTTTCCTGGATTCCTTCACCAACCCCTTAATTTCACCCCAATCTTCCAGATAGAATTTACATGTGACTACTGGCCATGTTGTAGGGACCAATTGGATCCTTTGTAAAGTTTTAAAAATTGCTTCCTAGTAAATTCTTATTCCCAAGAAGTAGTCGTTATTAGTAGGTGAAGTCATTAGTGCTCACTTAGATACAGCATTGTAAAAATCTTTACCCATTCAATGTTCAGCAGCCTGAAATTTCACCTTTAGGAAAAAAAGAGGGATCTTTGCCAGACAATTCCTATATAATGGAGCAAAATCTGATTCTGTAGTGTTTTGCTTGTTTTCGATTTAAGGGAGATGAAGATACATTTCTTTATGTCCTTTGTTTACTGTTCTGAAGTTTTACAGATGGTTACTGTATTGGATATAATAATTTTGCCTAGATTTTTAACTGAGGGGGTTTGAGAACCAAGGGACAAAATGTAATGTGTTTTCAAACTTCAGCTTCCCTTCTGCTGTAACTTTCACAAAGTATCTCCTGAAAACTCCTGTCTTTGTACAAAATTCATCAAAGAGACAGTGGAGACTGGGGAATTTTTGAGGTTGTATTCGGATTGGTGTCTTCAAGGGTCCCTTTCAGTTCGCAGTCCAAGGTGCCAGGGACTACCCCGTCCTCCCTCCCTCTTCTGGCTTTGCTCTCCTGAGTCCTTTTGCCTTCTCTTCCCCCTTCTTGGATTATCTTTTCATTCTCGATGAGGTTCCCACACACTGCGGTGTGTGTCTCTGAAAACCCACTGGAGACCTAGCACAACTCTCCGTACATCCCGTGGTGAGAACAGAATGAAAGATATATTGTTTAAAAAGCAATAATTAAAATCTAGTCTTCAGTTCCTTCTTCCTCGTCATATTTTTTCTCCGTAAGCCTAGAGATTTTATTTTCACTAGTGTGTTCCCTTGTCTCCAAAGAGCGTGTGTGTGATATTATATTCGGGAAAGCTACAACTCTCTTTTCCTTGTCCTTCTGTTCTCTCTTAATAGTTGAGCAATGTCTGTTATATTTTCCCCTTTTCCTTTTTTTCTCAGTCCCAGATTCCCGCCTCTCCCCACTGTCAGAGCATCTATCAATGTGGTGTCCATCACAGCGGCAGCGGCTTTCTCTTTCATCTTCCTCCCTCTGCCAGAGCCAGGGAGGGAGAGTGGGAGGCGTCAAGGAGGTAGGGGAGAGACTGGCAGAGGAAAAGGAGTGGGTGGGTGGGGGCCAAGTAAATAGATACTTAGATGATGAAGTCAAGCCACTGCGGCAATGTTTCTTGTCAGTTTCACGCGGGCAAAGCGTGCCTTTCGGTGGGTTATAAGCAGCGCCCGGTCCTTCCTTCTCTCGCCAAGTTGCCTGATCCTTCCCTCCAGGCGCGCGCGCACACACCACACTCACACACCCCAAAACCAAGACTCGTCCTACAGGATCTGGGAAAAGAAAAAGAAAAAAAAGCCCTCAATCACCACCTCCTTCTCGCCGACTCCCCCTCACCCCCCGCCTCCCCTCCAGCGGGCAGCCAAGGAGAGCTAGAGGCGGGGGAGGGGAGAGGGAGGAGAAGCGACGCAAGTGGGTAGCTTTTCAGCGCCGGCGAGGCGCGGGAGGAGGAGAAGCAGTGGGGAGGCGCAGCCGCTCACCTGCGGGGCAGGGCGCGGAGGAGGGACCCGGGCTGCGCGCTCTCGGGCCGAGGAACCAGGACGCGCCCGGAGCCTCGCACGCGGCCAAGCTCGGGGCGTCCCCTCCCCTCGGCCGGGCGAACTCAAGGGGCGCAGCTCTTTGCTTTGACAGAGCTGGCCGGCGGAGGCGTGCAGAGCGGCGAGCCGGCGAGCCAGGCTGAGAAACTCGAGCCGGGAACAAAGAGGGGTCGGACTGAGTGTGTGTGTCGGCTCGAGCTCCGGGCAGAGGCATTTGGGCCCGAGGCCCCCGCTGTGACTCCCCGAGACTCCGCAGTGCCCTCCACTGCGGAGTCCCCGCGCTTGCCGGCAAAAACTTTATTCTTGGCAAACTTCTCTTTCTCTTCCCCTCCTCCTCGGCCCCCATCTTCTGCTCCTCCTCCTTCTCTAGCAGATTAAATGAGCCTCGAGAAGAAAAACCGAAGCGAAAGGGAAGAAAATAAGAAGATCTAAAACGGACATCTCCAGCGTGGGTGGCTCCTTTTTCTTTTTCTTTTTTTCCCACCCTTCAGGAAGTGGACGTTTCGTTATCTTCTGATCCTTGCACCTTCTTTTGGGGCAAACGGGGCCCTTCTGCCCAGATCCCCTCTCTTTTCTCGGAAAACAAACTACTAAGTCGGCATCCGGGGTAACTACAGTGGAGAGGGTTTCCGCGGAGACGCGCCGCCGGACCCTCCTCTGCACTTTGGGGAGGCGTGCTCCCTCCAGAACCGGCGTTCTCCGCGCGCAAATCCCGGCGACGCGGGGTCGCGGGGTGGCCGCCGGGGCAGCCTCGTCTAGCGCGCGCCGCGCAGACGCCCCCGGAGTCGCCAGCTACCGCAGCCCTCGCCGCCCAGTGCCCTTCGGCCTCGGGGGCGGGCGCCTGCGTCGGTCTCCGCGAAGCGGGAAAGCGCGGCGGCCGCCGGGATTCGGGCGCCGCGGCAGCTGCTCCGGCTGCCGGCCGGCGGCCCCGCGCTCGCCCGCCCCGCTTCCGCCCGCTGTCCTGCTGCACGAACCCTTCCAACTCTCCTTTCCTCCCCCACCCTTGAGTTACCCCTCTGTCTTTCCTGCTGTTGCGCGGGTGCTCCCACAGCGGAGCGGAGATTACAGAGCCGCCGGGATGCCCCAACTCTCCGGAGGAGGTGGCGGCGGCGGGGGGGACCCGGAACTCTGCGCCACGGACGAGATGATCCCCTTCAAGGACGAGGGCGATCCTCAGAAGGAAAAGATCTTCGCCGAGATCAGTCATCCCGAAGAGGAAGGCGATTTAGCTGACATCAAGTCTTCCTTGGTGAACGAGTCTGAAATCATCCCGGCCAGCAACGGACACGAGGTGAGCGGGCCGCTGCCCCAGTTCCGAGAGGCGTGGCGGGTCCCTGGGAAACTCAGAGAGGGAGGAAGGGAACGAAGGCGCCCGGCCGCCCGGCTGAGGGTCCCGAGTAGATCCCTCGTTTGTTTTGGGGTGTGTGCGTAGCTGGGCCCCCGGTCCGCAGTGTGTGTGTGTGTGTGTGTGTGTGTGTGTGTGTGTGTGTGTGTAGGATGGGAGGTAGAGGGGCAGGGTAACTTATTCCAAATGGATCAGTTTAGGGGGTTCGGTGGCTGAACGGTTGGTTCGCGGGCAGGAACCCACAATGTTTCGCCTTCGGTCTTTTTGTTGGGCTGAGGGGTGCCGTGCTTTAAAGCGAGTAGGGCTGAATAACGCTACTGATAAATTCTTCCGTGGGACGGAAAACAAAGTGCACACGCTATCTCTTGGTAGATGTCTCTGCAAAAGTGCGTTAAACCACCAAAGGCTTAGGTGGAGACGAGCAGAGCCACAGGCGGGAGGAAGGGGAGGCGGGCGTGGGCTGGGGCAGGCGGGGCCGTCCCTACCACCGGTGAGCCGGGCCGCGGGGAGCAGGCCGGCCGATGGGGCGCGCACCCGGGCTGCGGGGGCGGTGCGGGGTTCAGTCCCTGCGGCCCCAGCGCCTGGGCTAGCAGCTGGGAGCTGTGGGTGCGCCGAGCCGACCCACCGCAAGGGTACACCCTGGCTGTACCGCCCCCAACTCTAGTTTTCTCCAACCGCCATCACTTGGAAACAAACCCACAACTTTTATTTGGGGTTTGGGACCGGATCAGGCCTTAAATCTACGCAGAAGAAAGGCGGAGAAGCAGCGGAAGCCGGGCACTAGTCCTGCAGGGTGGAAGGCGCTTTATCGGGTCTTCTGGCCCGCTGCGGGCGATAGAGCTGGTAACCTGAGTAGAGTAAATAGAGACACGTGGGTGCTGGCTAGAGAAAGCGCGGAGCAGGGCCGCGCTGGAGGGCTGTTTGAAGCCTAGTCCAGAGCTGGTCTAGGGGGCGGATGGACCCTGATACCCGACACTCCACTGGTCACCCTTGTTCCACAACTGGGAAACCCTCTGGAGGAAATCCGGTAGAAAAGTCCTGACACCCGAATGATTTAACCAACGCCTTTTCCCTCCAAAGAAACTTGGAGGATATACCTTTTTTTCCTTAAATGGCATCTTTCTACCCCCAAAAAGAAAGTGTGTGGTTTTGAGGGCGGGGACATTTTGGGTTTTAAACAGCGCGTTTAAGAACACCTCAGATCTGCCTTCTCTATCCCAATGGCAGAGGTGAGTACGAATTTTGAAAGGCTGGGGGCCTGCGTTCAGAGAACAGAATGGTGTTCTTTACCCGTTGAATCCAGTTTGAGCGGGCTGGGGGCGGGGGTAGGGTGCACCTAACCCCGCGTAAAAGATTTGTGACTACTGTGTGCTGGGAAAAGGAGGTCAAAGGGAGGACACACGTCCAGAGAACCGAATAACATCCAAAACACAGGCTTTTTGCCAAACTCTCCTATTTGTAGAGCAGCCTCTCTTTCTACCCATTTTGCTAGTCCTGCCTTAGTCCATAAATAATTTTGCCACCCACTTCATATTCTCCACAATTTTCTGGTCCGGGTGAAGGACACTGCGTTCGAATCCGAGAGCACTCGGGTGTTAAGTGGGCATGAGGAGGCCTGAGGGTGAAGGAGTAATACCACTGATTTGCACGTGTTTGAGGCTGTCTGGGTGGATGGTGATTACCAAAACTGATATCAACTGGGCTACCTTTTAGATGTCTATAACCTGACTCTCTAATTTTCCTCCCTTTAACCACAGAATCGTTCTACTTTTGTAAGCCTGCACTCAGCCAGCCATAGTAGGTTATAAGCTCGAGTGGAGCTTCTGCTGTAACTGCGCTCAGGGCAGTTGCCTTAAGACCGCATCTGAGTGGTTGGCTTGTTTATGTTTAAATGCCATTTTCAGTTGCAAAATGATATTTCAGCCTTCTTTTAATCAGATCTGATTGAAGTGAACAGTGGTTGAAGAGGCTATCGAAACCATCAACCCCATTAACTCCTACTCCTGTAATATTAGGCATCCAAGGAGCCTTGATATGGTTTAATAAACAGCAGTCAGAACAGCATGTGGATCATTCCCAAATTTAACTATATTTTTATTGGTTTTGTTATTATTTATACGTTTTTGGTCCCGGGTGGATAATAATCACTCAAAAATACATGTTGACAAGAAAAGGATTATGCAGTACTAAACACTAGCGTATGTCTCTCAGAGTATAAAACAGAGTTGCCCCTAAACCTCTTCCTTTGAATTACCAGCGCACACACATTTGTACCATTATTGTCACAAACTCTAAGGTGATTTTCTTTCTTTTGGGTGTGGGGATTCATGATGTTAGGTGGCCAGACAAGCACAAACCTCTCAGGAGCCCTACCACGACAAGGCCAGAGAACACCCCGATGACGGTAAGACACCCATTCTACTTCTTCTGACTTTAGCAGATAAGGGGTGCAATTTGTATAAATAGGTGTGTTTTGTTACTTTTGAGTTCAAGAAACTGGGACTAGGTCAGACTATGCCCACTATTTTAATGGTAAAGAAAACGCAGGAAACTTATGGCTTACCTCTAATATATATTACATAATTTAAAAACTGTTTTTGAATGAGTTAGGGACCCTTGGATTTCAGGTGGGTTCCAGATTCTTTGGGAAGAGGGAATGTCTACAATGAGTTTTTCTCTTCCTCATCTTACCTTAAATCCTAATTAGCTTAGATCTTTAGTATTTTTAATATATTATTAAGAAGAACGACAGTATATATCGATTTATTTTCCAACCAGAATAGTTTTGAGTGGATTTTCACTTGCAAAATTGCTGTTTCTTGTTCCTTATTACAGTGAAAAGGCCGGCAGTAAATGAGCAGAGCAGAATCTAACTTGTAAAAATATAAAACTTATAATTAGGAATGTGCATATCAGAAATGATACCCTTTCTCCCTATTTCTGATTCTTGCTAAAAACTTTAAAATTACATACATATGTATTTAGACTTAAGGAGAATTCTTTGTGACTTTAAAAGAATCAAGTAACCTTAGGGATTTCTTGTCAGCCTATCTGTTTTCCATTAATTACTTAACAATTGGCCTAACTGAAATGAAGTGTTTTTACATACAATATGTCAACCAGGAGCAGGGAAGAGAATTATATATTAGGCTTCTTCCTCAGCTACAAGATAGTTACACAGATTAACAAGAAGAAATACACATATCGAACAGAAATTTTTTGGCAAAATGATCTAAGTGTAGCACATAAAATTAAGCCTCCCAGAGTTAATCCTTTATAAATTTAGATAGTTGCCTATATACTAGATAACAACTCTTTCAGTAGAATCTAGAAATTTTTCTAGAAATCTGCAAGCACAGGTAGAATCTTTGAGTTTGTCTACAAGGCAAAACATAATTTCAAGTGTATAAATCTCTGTGTTTGTGTGTAGCTAGATGGCCTAATATATTTATATTACATTTTTAAAGTTGTGTGTGTTCTGTATATTTTAGTCCAGTTTGTTAGTATTAGAACAAATTAAGTTAGATGGATAACACTTATTTTTGTAAAAACATCAGTCAGTAGTGGAAGAACTGTTTGAACTACATGTTTTTAAAACATCTGGTTTGCTGCTAAGCTATTTAAGAGAATAAATACTGTCAATCTAAAATAGAGCATAATAATCCAGTTACAGTATTTTGTAAACAAATCTTTTATGTAGGGTCTGATTTATCTTAGAACTATTAGATTTTCAGATGAAAAATACAGTAATATAAAAGGGAAGTCAGTGCATCATTGATTGTTCTTTGGATCTTCCCAGGAAAGCATCCAGATGGAGGCCTCTACAACAAGGGACCCTCCTACTCGAGTTATTCCGGGTACATAATGATGCCAAATATGAATAACGACCCATACATGTCAAATGGATCTCTTTCTCCACCCATCCCGAGAACAGTAAGTAACATGCTGATGTTGCAAATTATGTTCAGAAGTGCAAATTGATTTGTATTTTGGCAGAATGTTTATTTTTCCAAACTCATTGGTAATGCTTTCATTATATATAACTAGTCGTTGCTAAATAAGAGCTGTTATGAGGAATGGCCACCTTAAAACAGTGCTACCTTTGATGTCTTGCCTTTGAAATTTTAGCTTTTGGCTTATTGATTAAAATAAATATGTAACAGATCATAAGTTATAAAATCAAGTGAAGTTACATCAACAAATCCCTGATTTTATGAGTATTGTGCATTCTATGCTGATGAGAGGAAAAAATTGATTTACTTTTTCAGCTAAGTAAGGACTGTATAGCTTTTAATGCCCACAAGCTTTCTAGAATCAGAGCTACTTTAGCTCATTTGGAGCTGAATGTTTGTTATGTTACTTTGGCTTTTCAAATGGTGTCTTGTTTTATTGTATCGGCCAATGTTTCCTTAGGATCGGTTTGGCGGGGATGAGTTATTTTTGCTTTATTGTCAATTGTTGAGAAAGCATCACTCAAAGATAACCCTAATGAAAGTTGTTCCTTTTTTTTTTAATCTTGTGGTTTAGTTAACTTTTAAAATTCTAAAAATGCAGTGGTATTATAACTGCATTATGCAAATGCATAACATTATAAAGAATTTCAGGTTTATTTGATGATATTTCTCTTAGGAAGTGGAAACCTCATTTAAGTGAGAAAATACCTAAATGGTAACTTGTGTAGTATGTAGATGTAAAATGTGCTGGTGATGGAGTTCTCTCTTAGAATTAGCCCACCAGCGTTGGTGACGGACTTTTTACTGACCCATCAATATATTTACCTTCTCTCCAGCCCCACTCTCCCTTTATCACCTAACCCCCAATGAAAAACACATGTCTATGGGTCTCGGGGATTAGGGTTCCAGTCTCACTGACAGCCCTGGAGGTCAAATCTCAGATTGTAAAATGGAACCTATAGTGTTTGACTTACTTGCCCAGTGTTTCTACCAACTGAAAAAAATCAGTCACAAACATCTGGGAAGAGTAACGTTGTTAATACCTTAGTGAACAAAATCTGGGAGTGAGAAGATTCACTAGCAGAGAATAGTGGCTCAAAATCAACAGTTATCAACAAGAGTATTTGTGGTTATCATTACACATAATCTTCAGTTGTTGAAATGATACTTATATCAAATATGATCACTTTGAGCACTGCAATTTAGATGTTATTGTAATTATTTTCCAATAAATTGCTAAAGGATATTTGATCTCTCAGCTAAGGAATAAGCTTTTTCTAATTTTTATATAGTAGTTAAAGTGGAGATCTTGGGGTTCTAATCTTGAGGGAGATCTTGTGATGGTTGCTGTAAGAAATAGGTATTTCATATTTTATTTTAAGGCTTTTCAAGTATTTAATGATAAAGATGTCTGTGTGATGAGGATGAATCTCCTACTTAAAAAGTAATTTAAAAAAGCAAAAATAGTTTAATATTTAGAGGCCCCTCAAATAAATGCTTGAGTTTTAAAAGTTGTAGGAGACTTTAAATTTTTGAACAAAACATACAAATATATAGATATCTCTTTAATATTTGGGCAGGTTTTTTTGCTGTTTTTGGAGGGGGTGGAGAAGGGAAGGAGAATATGTTTTAGATAAGGAATATTTGAAGATTCCTGTTAAATCATTTTCAGAATAACAAATAATCTTTCCAAATCAAAGTAGTGTTGGTGACAATAGAAAATAGCCACAAAACAGCCTTACGTTTTTCAGCTGTGAGTATACAGCATTTGTGGAATTTATTTCTTAAAAAGATCAGCTACTTCTCCTTTCAAAATGGTAATTTTAAAAAATCAATATAATGAAAATTTATTGGTATTTATAAGCAATCCCTAAGAATATTGAAAATTAAGCTGATCTTCCTCTTTATGCCAGCATTCTGCCTTGTGTTTCCACAGTCTTTTCTCCCAATCTACCAGTATACTAGTCATTTTGAAATTTTGATAGAAAATATCTTTTGATAGAAGGTATTTATTGTTAGTGTATGTATTAAAATTTTGAGGTCAGTGAATCAAACAGTCATTCATTGTTTAGGAAAGATTTGTGGCCAGAATAAATGTTGGTCTGGGTAAAGTGTAGGAAAGAGGTGTGGTCAGGAAACAGTTACCTTACCCTGTTATCTGTTGCTTTGCTTTATTCTGTTAAATATTAGGATGTATTTATTTTAGGCATGTTTTCTTGAGATATTCTGCAGTTTGCACAATTCCAGAAGCTTTTCAGCTGTAACCACAAGACTATGTAAATTTTTTTTTTAGGGTCCAACCGAAGTGAGTTACAATCTTTGGTTTTTAATACCTAACAGCTGTTTTTAATGTGTCGGAGATCAAAAACACTAACCGGAAGACAGCCTCTCTTCTTCACCCCTAACCACACTTCTGCCTTCTTGCTCTTTAACTCTGTCCTTAGCAGGGCTGAGTGTTTGTGTCACTAACATCCACAGTGATAGATTTTCATCTAGGGTGTCAGGAGCATGGTGACCATTTGTGTTTGGGCTTAGGATGGGAGCATCCCCTTGGCATCCTGCTTCTTGAATTTCCATTACAAACAATTGCTTGTTTACTGCATCTGCTTCCCAAAAGTGTTAGGACTGGAAAAACACCTGGGGTGGGGGAGGGACCTGACCACTCCTTCCCTAAACAGTCTTCTGTTTGTATCTAACTGCAGACAATCCAGAGGATACCAGCTATGGCCAACTGGCATGCAGAGAAATGTTTCTGCTGGAATCTAATTATAAAAAGTGCATATGCTTTTGCTTATTTTTTAGACAAATGCTACTGTGTGTATCCTGGAACAGATTTTACCTATGACCAATATACAGTATTACCTGTTCAGGAGCACCACTTTCACCTACTCAGCTTTTTTTCTTCTCAAGGGGAATTTTAATTGGCAAATTACATCCTTCTAGAACTGGAATCCTTAGGGGTGTGAATGTGTCTATACCAGAAATCTTATGAATGGGTCTCTCACAGAATTTTAAATAAGAATTCTTAGTTCAGATAAATTGGGTCTAAGAAGAAAGCACCTATCATGACATATTTGGTGTCAGCGTGAGTTCTTAGGGCATAGTAAACTTTGGCTTGAGTTGGTCTTCTTCACAGAGAGTGAAGAGAAGATGCAGAAGCCTGTTAAATATTTTAGAGCCAGGACCCTGGAGAGTTTATTAAAAGCATACTCCCAAACCTTTCGTTCTCTGAACTTTATTTATGAAAATCCCTGTAGGCCAATGGTAAAGTATTAAAAGAAAAAAATAGTTCTTTACATCCCTAGTTTGGCTCTGGCAGTTGTGTGCCTGAACACCGTGTGAATGGTGAGCTTGGCCAGCTTTAATGTAGTGAAAGTTCCCACTGGCCTAATGCACTGTGGTTATTCATCTTAGGCGTCAATCTTCCATTTGTCCCGCATGCAACCCAAATGTTTAACACCTTAGAAAAGAAACATCTCATTTCTCTTCAGATGCTTGGGGAGGGAAAAGCAACACAGTGCAGGAAGCTGCAGCAAACGTTGCAGCTCAGTCACATCAAACCACAATAACACCTGGTCAGTGTAGCGCTGCAAACTTCATTGTTTTTGGTTCTTTGTGATCTTTCTAAGAGTCAATTTTTAGGTGGGAAAGGAAAGATATGGGTGTTCTCATTTCAGCTATCTTTTAAAATGTTTATTTTTTTAAAGTAGAAATTGCTATGAAAATGTTCCATGAGTTCTTTTCTAATTACCTTGTATAACTTAGTTCTGTTGTGACTTTTACCTTAAGGGAATCAACACTTTGGTTTCTATTAAACAGAATTATACCTATTATAACTTTGTCTTACCTACCCTGCATATTTGTACTTGCTTATAAACAGCTAAAATCTGATTTTGTCATTGTTCACATCTGGAATTAAGGAACTAAGTTGGACTTGTCTAATCAGTAAGCTTCTGAATGTACCACTGTACGTGACATTGTTGGATACCTTTGAAAATAATCACATAAATAATATTCAAGGATAGATGGAGACTAAGGCTTATATCTCATGCAAGATTTTTAAGGTAGAGTATCTTTTCACTTTATTGCAAGAAGCTATTGAATTTGACTTAACCTATAAATAATTTTCACTTTTCTATTTTAAGTTGTGCACTTTTTGAAGCTAAACACATTGAGTTTTCCCCTTCAAGTGGAGAATAAGTTTTAGAAAGTGTATTATTCTAACTCAAATGTATATATAGATGTCAGGAGAATGTGTGGGAAAATTCCTCAGAGCCCCCAAAGTTTCCTGTTTGATCCCTCCTTCATGGCATTGCTACAATTTGGGACAGGATCATAGTCAGAATAATTGGAAGCGCTTGCCATTCCCCCATCAAATACCTTA
The DNA here is from genome assembly GCF_000001405.40 of Homo sapiens. Lineage (NCBI taxonomy): Eukaryota > Metazoa > Chordata > Mammalia > Primates > Hominidae > Homo > Homo sapiens. Next base: position 108,159,163 of record NC_000004.12, on the reverse strand, counting down.
TGGCCAGTTTGCTTATTTAAGTGTGCCAGGAAGCCATACTACATGTAACCCTTGCAGAGCTAATATTGCATTTACATGCCTGGTTCTTACTCAGATAGTTTTTTTGAAATGACCCTAGTAGTTTCTTCTTCATTGATAAAGACATGAGAACAACCCAAAAGATAGTCTTAAAAAAAAAAGACCACACACTAAAAAAAAGACCATTGAGCCAATCCGCAAAAATCTTGCTTTTGAAGTATTTTTTCCACTCCCATACAGGTCTTAGATTTGCTCTCATCAACCTCATTATTTTGATCGAGTCTTCCCTGTGGTCCGAGACCCTTATGTGATTTAACAGAGCAGAGGTAGGGTCTCACAAATGGGACTCTCTGGACTTGAATTTGTAGACTCACAAGCACTTGCTATAATATCAATTTTGTAGCGGATGAGTTTTTTTTTTTTAATGTTCTTTAGACAGAACCATTTGGGTTTATGTGATTGAATTTTTTTTTGAGCAATCAAAACACTTCATTTTTGACTCCTTTTGTTCCTCATTTATGTATCATAGACATGACTGGAATTTTATAAAGCTGATTTCCTTTTGATTTTGGTAAAAGACTTGGAATTTAAAGAGAAAACATGCCAGCACTGTCTGTAGCAAGCAGAAAAACATATATGTTTTATTCCCAGGTAAAAGTAGAGCTCAGCATTATGTAGGTGCTGCTGTCCTGGGACTAAAGGTTGCGCGCTCTCTCTCTCTCTCTCTTTTTTTAAGGGAATGTTCATTTAAAACTTGTCCTCTTTGAAGCTGTTGCTTAAGTGTTTGTGCTGAGCTGAGCCAATCTGTAGGAAGCTAATACTGTAGTAATCAAGACACTTAGTACTCTTCTGTGCTATCCTTACATGTCCTTACTTATTTAGAAAAGGCAGCCATTGGATTTTATTCAGATAATTTAAAAATTATACTTTAGGTTCATGATTACTTTTTAAATATTATGATCTTGAATTACCTGCCTAGGAACTGTGGACTCTGCTATAAACTCTTTTAGGGATATAAATCATCCAGTATCTCAGATAGAGAAGATGAAAGCCTTAAAATATCCTAGAGAACAACAACAAAGACTGGGGGTGGAGGTGGGGGGAGTTGGGAGTTAATCTGTACCAAAGTGAAGAGCGGGGAGTTGAGCAGAGGACTGGACAGGGAGCAGGAGGCATTGCTAACTCAGAAATTCTGATAATCTAGCTGGGACTATTTGCAGACTGTTAGCAGAGGCTGTGTAGAGGATTATAAAGTCTCTGTAAAAGAGTGCATTTGTATAATACCCACTGTAGCTAAACCTGTAAACCTGCTGCAATTATCCACTTGTTATCTCTAGATCACTTACAAAGCTCACTGAGCGATGGTACTCACATGCCTTCAATCTGTATAGGGAAAATTGCAAGGGCAGTGCAGAGCAAGCAAGAGTTTTGTTGCCAACCCCATTTTTCCATTTGTAGGAGAAATAGGACTAGCAGAGAAGGTTGCATCACAGAGTGTCTAGAAATACAGTTTATTTTTGCAGCTAGCTAGGGACAAGTAGAATCTTTAAAAAGCTGGATTTGTTGACCGTTGTGTCTACCTATGCTCACACATAACCCTATGTGGAACTTGATGACAGTTTTGCAGATGAAATTTTGATCTTCATCATAGTAATTTATTGTCATTGTTATGTTCACCTGTAAAAAGTTGCCTATTGCTCGAGGCAGGTGGATCACCTGAGGTCAGGAGTTTGAGACCAGCCTGACCAACATGGTGAAACCCCATCTCTACTAAAAAATACAAAAATTAGCTGGGCTTGGTGGCAGGTGCCAAGCTACTCAGGAGGCTGAGGCAGGAGAATCTCTTGAACCCAGGAGTCTGAGGTTGCAGTGAGCCCAGATCGCACCATTGCATCCAGCCTGGGCGAAAGAGCTATATGTGTGTTTGTGTGTGTGTGTGTGTGTGTGTGTGTGTGTGTGTGTGTGTATATATATATAGAGAGAGAGAGAGAGAGAGAATGAAGAGGTAGATATAAGTTAGGGTCTCTAAAAAGGAGAGTGGTTCTAGGGTAGCTTAATTTTCTTTTATTATTGTTGTCAGCTTCTGAATGAAACAGTAACCAAAGCAAAATTTTAAAATTTGACCTACTAAGATATATTTCTTTTATTTGTATAAGTTTATGGAGTACAAGTGTAATTTTGTTACATACATAGATTGCATAGTGGTGAAGTCAGGGCTTTTATAGTATCCATCATCCAGATAACATATCCATTAAGAAATTTCTCATCATCACCCCCCTCCTACCCCCTCACCCTTCTGAGTCTCTACTGTCTATCGTTTGACACTCTATGTCCACATTATTTAGCTCACACTTACAAGCAATAACATGATATTTGCGTTTTTACTAAGATATTTTTATAAATCTTTTTTAATCCTGGAAACCTTACAATAAAAATTATAAAAAATGTTGATGATAGTTAATCATCTAGTAATCAGTTACCATCATAAAGTAACTGGGGGACTATCATCAGCAGTCCTCCAGTTTAAACTCAGGGACTGCTGATGAATTATGTTAGTTACAGTCAGCCTAGCACAGAGTAGAAACCTCAGTAAATGTGCTGAGTTAATAAAGAATGTAGAAGAAATTTTGCATGTGTGTTTTCTGGATATTTCCAAATGATCTGTCTTTATGAAACCAAATGCTACGTGAAAAGTAAAACTTGAAAGTGTTTACTAAGTAATCCTTAGTATTTGATTATTTTACTTTTTCTCTTATTTTTTGCATTGGTGAATAAAGTAGCATTAGACCAGTGTTTTTAATGAGGAAGTCAAAACTACTCCTTATAGAATATAGAGTTTCCAGATAACTCCTGAAAACAGTCAGCCGGGGGAGTGCACTACTGGAATAAATAAAGAATGGACTAGACCCTCATATGAGGATTTATCTTAGGAAGTACTTATCTGTTAGTTAGGTCCTAGAAACCTAATTGAAGAAATGGAGATGATAAAACTGCTTTTTTCAGAAGGATTCTTGAGATGGAAACACAATACTAGTAAAAAGAAAACCATCTTCAAGTATGTTTCAGAATCATGTGGTTAATGCTTTTCAATTCATTTTTATTCTCTTGGCAATAGAAGGAACTTTTTTTTCAGTATCACGAGGTATTTTCAGCTATTAAAAAGTTCTGTCCTTTTCAAATACACATGGCAGCCTCAGTGCTGACTTTTCTAGGCCATTGTGTTTTGTAAATTGATTCTATCCTTTTGCAATGTGGTGAACAAAATTTTTGAGCCTTAATTAGGGAGAGATAGGTAGGCAGTGCCCTATGATGGCTAAACATAGAGAAGGGAAGGACTAGGCTAGATGTTAAAAGACCTGAGATCTAATGTCGGGTCTCCATCATCTTCTTCTGAAAACTTTGGGAAGGTTAAATGGCATATTAATATCGGGCTTGTCTACCTGATCTGATTGATGAGAAGTTCATATGGCACAAAGCCTGCAAAAGCGCTGTTTTCTAGCTGTGGCCGCAGAGCAGGAGTCTAAGATGGTGTAAGTCAGTGCCTTGGGCCCCACCTGGTGGGATTTCTGCAGCTATAAGAAGTGCTTGACTCTACCCGGGAAACTCCAGAGAAAGGGAAGAAACTTTCGGTTCCTATTGTGCCATCATGCTGACTCAGAATTTGGATACTGGGTGAAGGCCTTACACAAACCTTTAGAAAATGTTTGCATAAATAAAAATTCAGGGGAATGTCATCGTATTTTTACAGATCTGATTTTCCTCTCTTGGGCTCGCTTTCCTTGTGATTGTTAGGAGAGCAGCAGATTTTCTTCTTTAGCACCGTAATCCACCATGAAAGGGAATGAGACGTATGAGGGAACAGATTTCTAAATTTCAGGTTTGTTAGCCGAAAGTCTCATATCCTTCTAATATTTGATATGAAATTGCCAGATAACTCTTAACTACTTGAATGGAGTTGAATTGAGGTAAGAATATGTTTTTGGTTAGGAGATTTTTTTTTCCCCCTTAATCCCATAGGAGCTGGGGTTTTCTCTCTACTGCAAAAATTATAGAGAAAGGATATCCAGGAGCCGTATGAAGGACAATGGGCAAGTTATTTTTTTTTGCCCTTCGAATTTCCTTCTGGCTTAAATTTTTCTAGCTTTCTTGTCACCGAAAAGGATCACGTCCAAAGGGATGTGTTGGCTGAACAGCAAGGAGAAATCAATGTTTTTCTAGCCTCCTGGGAAATTCCAGCTTCTTTCCTTTCAGGACTTTTCTTTTTCTTTCAGTAAAATCCCATGAATGTTAAATATTTATATATTGGATGCAGCTTTCTTTGTACAGGATCCCTCAATTTTGAACACTATAAATGGTACCTTAAAATAATTATGGTCATATCATCTTTGTATACTGGTTAAAATGACCTGGATCGAGGGAAAAAGGTGCTGAAATCTTATCTCAAATATATTAGACTTTGTTTTGGCATCTTAAAGTCTGTAACAAAACCAAAATATGAAGTAAATAATATTTACTGTTTATTACAGTTGGGCTGACCAGTCAGCTGTCTGGCAGTGTTAGGAAAATAATCATTGCTTGAATTATTTTTTTTTCTTATTTGTATTCATACATTAGAATTTTAAGTTAAAACTCAAGTTTTTTGGTTTTTTTTTGCTTGAAAAAGAAGGGAAAGCAACTGATTTTTTTTTTTTTTTTTTTTTTTGCTACTACCTTGTGCTACATACTGTGCGAGGCACCTTACAGGGTTGTCATATTTAATTTAATCCTAATGTGAAAACTGGGGTGAGTGTTATACTCCCGGTGTTAAAGACAAGGATCCATCGTCAGCGACAGCAGTAACCTGCCCCAATTTAATACGGTTCCTTAAGGTCTAAAGACTTGTTTGTTTTCATTTAAAATAGCCATATTTACCTTTAAGAATACAAAGTACTTATTAAATTCATCATAATATTGATTAAAATTGAAAGCAGAAGAGAAATTGTTACAATTTTCTTGAAAATTTCAAAAATGCTTAACCATTTTTATTAAAATAAAAAGAAATTTAAAAAGCAATACATGTTCACTGGAAAAATTAGAAAATTCAAATAAGCAAAAATAATACCAAATATTAAATTCCCAGGATCACATTGTTAAAGACGATCACTTTTTCTGTGTGGCCTTTTAGACTTCTTTCTGTGCACACATATAAATGTAGGTAAACAAACACAAATACTTGTTATATATTCATGGCAATAGGAACATAAGGTATCATTTTGCAACTTGCTTTTTTGCCACCAACTTATTATGTATATCTTTTTCTATTAATAAATAATCTTCTGTAACATCATTTTTAATAGATTGCCTAATTTATTTAACCAGTATTTTATTGGTAGACATTTAGATTGTATCACCTTTTTCCCCACCTTATGCAGTACTGTGATGAAGTGCATATATTCTAACTAAAAGTTTGCACAGATTCTGAATTGTTTCTTTGGAACAAATTGCCAGAATTGCAGTCAAAGGCAATGCACCTTTTTAGGTAGGAGTTACCTGCACTGCAATTTAATCTTAAAAACATGTTTATAAAGTTAATATTTAAAAATATGTACTTGTTTACATTCAACTTTCGTTGTGGTTAGTGTTTTGAGGCTGATAATTTTCATGCCTCTTCAAGTCAATAATTAGTCCAGCAAAGTCAGACAGAGGGAAAGTGTAATATCAGCTTTATTATTAATAAGGCCAGACAGTATCAGGCAGTATAATACCAACTGTATTATCAATAAGGCTACATTGGAGAACGTGACTTGAACTGTGATACAAACCATGGACTTCCTTTGATTTTCCTAAATTGAACACAACACCAAGCCACATGCCTCTTTTGCAGAGGCAGGGTGCTCACATCCTGTAGAACTGGAGATGAGACCAAACCCATGTTTGGGCAAGCTGGCCTGACAGAGAGAACAAAGGGTCAGTCTGTCCTTGCTCAGTTCCTGCTTCTAGGTTGCCAAAGAGATGAGTGTCCTTCCTTGTAGAGAGTGCATGAGGTGCTGGGGAGGGAAAAGGGCTACAGCCACTGCTGAGAGGGCAGCAGTTCCTACTTTAGTGACCAAGCTAGGGAGGAAGGGAAAAGGGTGAGGTGATTGTCTCTTTAGTCATGACTTGCAGTCAGTGAGACTAGGGTCCAACCAAGATAATGGTAAAATAAATGAGTAAATAAAAGAGAGCAGCAGCAAAGCACTGCTGTTGGAGTCCATATACCTAGATGCTACCACTCTGCTACTGACTAGATGTGTGTTCACACTCTTTGACCCTTGGTCTCCTCATCTGGCATTGGTGGTGGTATGGCTGGAAGGTGGCCAGTGGCCTCTGAATTACAGGTGTTTCTGTTAAAAAGGCAGATTACTGGCCCCGTCTGCAAATGTCCTGAATCACACACTACAGGCAGGTCATGTAGATGCGCTTTTAACAAACTCTCCATTGATTCTTCTATAAAATAAGTTTTGGAAAAACATTGGCACAGTAGATGCTCAGTAATTTAACTGAGGTTCAGATAATGTAAATGACTTTCCAGAGGTCTCACACCCAGAAAGCAGTGGAGCTGGGACTCCAAGTGTGGCCCTTTGGCCCCAAGCTTACTTTCTCTTCACTCAACCATATTGGGCCCTAATTGAGACCACTGGCACTGTTCACCTCTCGTCAGATCTCATGAGGTTTTCTCCCCGAGTGCCTTGCCCCACTGGCTGTGGGATTAAATCACATTTTGGGGCATTATTTTTAAAAGCTTTCCACACCCTGGAACCATCTCCCTTTCAAGTCTTACCTCCTCACCACTCTGCCTTGCAGCTTATGATTCAGTTACACTCCCAGACCTGCATCCTAAACCCTTTTCCAAAACCCTGTCTTTGGATTCTTATAGCTTGCTCTCGCTGAAATGCCCTGTTCTCTATTCCCTGCCAGCAGGGTCTTGTCCATCCTTAAAGGTCTGGGGTAAGTGCTGCCTCCTCAATGAAGTTCCTCCGGATCCCACCGTCAGTCAAGAGTGACTACTCTCTCTTTCGGGTCCTCATAAGTCCTCCCTCAGAGCTCTGTAGCCATGTTTTCCAATAGCTTTTTGTCTTTGTGTTTGTATTTCTCATTGATTGTTAGTTTCTTTAGGATAGGGAGCATGTCTTATTCATCTTTGTTGCCCAGAACCTGTTATATTACTTGCCACAGAGCAGGTTACTCACCAGATGTTTGTGGAATAAACAGAACAGAAATTTTAAAACTTCAAGAATGTAACGCAACAACACCAGGTATCAATCCGTATTTAAATGGAATCTCTTAAAAATATATAAATTTGTATGGAATCGCAAAGCCAAAATGGAGCTTAGAAATTATTTGAGCATTTCATATAGAATCCATGGACTAGACGTTAGTTATTAGTTTTGAGTACTTAGCACATGCCAGGAACTGTTCTAAACCCCTTCTGTGCGTTAGCCCATTTAATCCTCATAGTAACTCAGTGCTATCTCTGATATCCCTGTGTTACAGTTGAGGGAACTGAAGTATAGAGAAGGTTGAGCAATGGCATGCAGGGCATAGAGAAGGGTAAGGACGACTGTAAACAGGTCAAGAAGTGGAAGGTCAGATAATTTACCCTGATTGCACAACTGGTAAGTAGTGGTACCAGATTGAGGCTCAAGTCTTCACTCTCACAGCAGGGTACTTTCTGCAACTTCAGTTTCTTATTACCATTTCTGCCACTAGCATGCAGAAGACGCTAGATGATTATTGAATCAGTGAGTTTCTCATAGGTAAGATGGAAATGATTCTTAGTAGGGTTTTGTGAGAATAAAATTGGAAATTGTACATTTCTTTAACATATTTTGGGTAGTAATAGCTATTATGATGCTAGTGGATAACACAAGAGTTCAAAGGTGACCAGTTAGATGTGGAGGAGGGAAAGAGTTGTGTAAAAGATGATGAGTGTTCTAGCCTGATGGTGAGAGGACAGTATTAATGGAAATAATTAATTTGGAAAGAGAAGCCAGTTTGAAGACAGGCATTCATGAGTTTAGCTTAGGAATCATTGTTTTCAGTTTTATGCTAAGAAAACAAAATTAACCAAGATCTGGAACCAAACCATTTTACATTATGGGCATCTTTTTGGTCCATACTTTATTTGATGTAAGTCAACAATGCCTCACAAAATCACTTCACTTACCTATGAAGCTTCCTGGACCTTGACCAGAAACCTCCATGTGATTATGAGAAATAAGTATTTTGTCCAAGGGTGAAGAGAGTACTGGTATTAATAATATACTAGCATGTAATATTTAATGATGTACTTTACATGCATTTTTCTTATTAAATCTTTACTAAACAGTATGAAGTGAATGCTACTAATATGCCTATGTTTCCAGTGAAGAAACTGAGGCACAGAGAAGTTACTTGAATGTCCATAGTCCCAACCAGAGTTTAATAAGTGGTAGGGAATTTGGATTCAAAGTCAGGTATTTTCAGGAGCTGGGGCCCAATTCATAAATCAGTTCATCTCTCAGAAGTGTTAAGAGTAATCCTTAGTCAATAAACTACTTTGAGGATTAAAGGTATCTGTTATACTTTTATTAAATAATGTAAATGGCTTAAATAAAAGGTTCTAAGAATACTTGGAAATTGTCTTCTGGTTCATTCAACACATAACCATGTGATTGCTCAATGTATTCTTGAAAATTCCCAGGAAATATTGCTTCCTGGGGTATATCAGACATAGTTTGATAAGTGTCTGATTTTTATGGGAATCTCTATTCCTCACTTCTAGAGGCCCAGTGTCCCCAAGTCTTAGGGACTAAACAGATTAATCAAATAGCTGTATGACCAAAGGTTTCATTATTCTTAGAATCTTTTTGGCAAATGATGTTGCCTCCTTATTACATAAGAACTGAGCATTTACAGGCAAAAGTCTGCCAAAGAGCATTCTTTGCACAGCAAGCAATTAAAATGTGGTATGTGCTTCATTTTTAGGAGCAGTTAGTGGTGATTTTTGTGGTATCATGATGTTGGTTTAAATAAGAGAAATTAGTTTAGAATTAACTGGAATTGTGATCATTCCTGAGAAGTTGCAACAGTGAGTTTCCTTTAAAAAGTGAAGAAACTTTTCTTTCTAAGGAGACATTAGGAACAGTCTTTTCTTCTTTTTCTCAAAAGGAAATATCTTTTTTTTTTTTTGGTTAACAGTAATATATAAAAACGGGGGAAAACCCATGAAAGAACAGAAAAAATAAATAAAAAGTACCTATATTTCTGTCATTCTGATATAATGGTTTCATTTTGATGAATTGTTTCATTTCAGACATTCTTTCTGTATCTATACCTGTAATACAAACGTTTTTGTAAATGAGCTTATAAGATTATTATTCTATTATAATCTTTTGTCATTAAAAATGTATTACGTGTGCTCATCTTTATGTGAATGTAGGTCTGTGTCATCAGTTGTAATGGCTGGATAGTATCCAGTTATATATATATATACACATGTACATATATGTACATATATATACACATGTATATATATGTACATATATACACACAAATATATACACACTTTAATTTATTGGATTTATCCTCAGTTATGGATGTTAAAGTTTTTTTGTTGTTATTTTAAATACCACTACAATGAAACCGTGTTAAAAATATATTTATAATCTATTTTTTTTTTTTTTTTTTGAGACGGAGTCTCGCTCTGTCGCCCAGGCTGGAGTGCAGTGGCACGACCTCGGCTCACTGCAAGCTCCGCCTCCCGGGTTCACGCCATTCTCCTGCCTCAGCCTCCCGAGTAGCCGGGACCACAGGCGCCCGCCACCACGCCCGGCTAATTTTTTGTATTTTTAGTAGAGGCGGGGTTTCACCGCGTTAGCCAGGATGGTCTCGATCTCCTGACCTCATGATCCGCCCGCCTCTGCCTCCCAAAGTGCTGGGATTACAGGCGTGAGCCACCGCGCCCGGCCAATCTATTTGTTTATGTTACTTGCTGGTTCATAGCTTTCTTGATTTAAGATAACTTTTTACATAGTAAGCATGTAAACAGTTTTGACAAACTATTCATGAAATAATGGTTCAAAACTATTTTACACCAACATCATGTATCTGTTTCTTTACTCCTGCACAATTAAGATCTGCTTGCAAGTTAATATGTAAAGAACTTGCTACTTAATATAAGAAAATTCATAGTAACTCAGTGCTATCTTTGATATCCGTGCAGCATTAGTTTGGTTCATTATTTATATTTAATTTCAGGAGTGAAGATGCTAATACAGCTCTTTTGACCCTCATAGGATGGTGCAATAACCAGAAAGCACATCTTATTGCAGTTCACTAATTATATGTTGTTATAGGAGTTTCTGAACTAATCCTAAAGTTTAAGGATAAACAAGTTTCCTGGTAGAATGAAGATAAATCCTAAAGAATGTTTTCAGGAATGATTTATCATTCATTCCGTAAATATTCATTGAAGATACTTATTTTGACAGTCAGTGTGCTGAGCCCCATTGTGGATACATGATGATAAAAGCAGAGTCACCACCCTCTAGAAGCTTACAGATTAGTGAGGGAGAGACACTTGTGCAAACATCCACAGCTGAGCAGAGTGAGGCAGGCATGACATCACTACTACAACCCAGGGATACAGGTGTGAACAGAGCCTAGCCTGCTCACCCTGGAGTGTTGCAGCCTAGTAGAGCAGTTCCAGAGGACTGTCTTTATATGTACTATTCATTCTTTACCTGCTTTCAGTTCCATGTGGCCCATTTGAAGCATGGTGGGGAATATTTGGTTTACTTGTTTAAAAAGGGTTGTGTAGACACCTCTGGGCTGGGCCAGGAAAGTTGCTTGATAAATTTTTTTTTTTTTATTAAAAGAGCATTCATGTTAAGTAACCTAAGACTATTTAAGAATAGAACTCAGAAACTCAGAACTATTTATAGAGCATTTGAAATGAACAAGTTTATAAACATTGCTGCCAAGTTAACTGATGGTTGGTAAGAGTGGAGGCCAGGACTTAGACCCTCTTCTGTTTTATGCTGTTGGTACTGTGTCACTGTTTATTTAGTACCACCACCAGAAACCTTTACCTTGTGTGAGGCACTTGCTTTTTGTACTATTTAACCACATTTTAAATCGTTGTTGTTAAATTTGACTACAATTTGAATTGGGCAAACAATATTATGAAGGTAGATAAGTTTTCATTTATTTACATATGTCATGTAGTGGCTGAGAACACATGCTCTGCATCTTAAGTGCCTGAGCCCAAATCCAGGATTAGCCACTTACTACAGGTGGGAAAATTGCTTTACCTTTTTGTTTCTGTTTCTTTACTCACAAGTACTTTAAAAAAATTTCTGGCATCCTAACGGTAAGTTGGAAAGAGTAGGAAATGACTGTTTCAAAAATATTATTTAGTTACCACATATAGGAAATACGTGGTCTGAATTCATTGCAGGGAATCACTGTACTGCTAGGAATAAGGTGTCAACATAGGACTGTGAATTGCAGGCTTGAGGATATTAGATCCCATTTAGTGAATAATGTGAAGCCAACAAAAAGTTACATAATACAGGATTATATGTACTAGATTTTATGAGGGCTTCTTATGTATCTATAGAGGAAAATGGAGATTAAATTTTTCAAAAAGAAATATTTCCTCCTAAGATGGCTGGGTATAAGGAAAAAACAGAGGCCTCTGTGTAGTGGTGAGAGAAATGTGACATTTAAGCTACAAATGAAAAAACCGTTCATAATTCAGGGCTATCTGAGATGTTTGTTTTTGTTCTTATTTGTTATTTTAATCTTGAGTTAATTCAATAATGTCTATGCAAATTTGAAAATATTGGCTACCTGAGAAAAACCTTTTAAAGACTTTTTTTTTTTAGGCTTCTATTGTTGCTAATCTCGTGGTAGAGGAAAAAATACTGACATGGAGTTAGGCAAGTCATTGACTAGCCATGTATCCCTGAACAGACTAGTCCCTAACTTCTTCAAGCCTGTTTCCTTCTCTCCCTCCCTCCCGGGCCTCTCTCTGTAACCCAGGCTGGAGTGCAATGGTGTAATCAAAGCTCACTGCAGCCTCAACCTCCTAGGCTCAAGTGCTCCTCCTGCACTTCCCAAAGATTCAGGTATGAGCCACCGCACCCCACTGAGCCTCAGTTTTCTTATCTGAAGCTCTAACAAAGGACTGTTGTGTAGACTAAGGGAAACACGGTTGTGTCAGTATGCTTCCCGTGCTTAAAAGCTCCTGGACTTCTTATGGTACCAGACTTTAGAGCTCACTCAAAGAAAACACACTTGCATTTCTCTTGAGTTGTTTTATCGATACAGGTTGAGTAACCCTAATCCAATATGTGAAGTGCTTCAAAATCTGAAACTCTTTGAACACTAACATGAAGATCAAAAAACAAAAACAAAAAACTTGTCGGAGTTTTTAGGATATTGATTTTCCCATCAGACATACTGAACCAATAGGTATATAATGCAGATACTCCAAATCTGAAATGAAATCTGAAATGCCTCTGGACCTAAGAATTTTGAATAAAGTATACTCAACCTGTACTGAAAGCATCAGAATTTACGTCAGTGCTTTTTAAGAAAGGAGGTTTTTTCTGCTCTAGAGGTGAAGCAAGGTCTGATGCTATGAGAAAGGTAGAAGATTGACTCAATACTTCTTTTTGCCTGGTTCTGGGAGGACATCTCATATGTTAATAACTTATTAGGGGCACCACAAGTGCATACCTATTATACCAAATCAGATCTGGACATCTAACGTGAATAATTCCACTGGTATATAATGCTTACCATTAAAGGTCTGCCTTTGGAACACCAAGCCATACCTACTTTCTGCTCATCCTCTGCTCACTCTCTCATAGAATCCTGAATTCCTTGACCCCAGTCATCATCCAGATACTCCTTTTCATGAGCAAACATTTAGTGTTTTAAAGTCACAAGGTCGCTACGTGGACAAAGACTAAGCAACACAGTTGTTTTTACTCATGGAGAACATGTCCAGGAGAGCTTTTCCTCTGGCTTTTGTTTAATTGGGATAGGAGGAATTCATTCACTTATTCATTCAGCAAATGTTTTTTCAGTGGTCACTTATTTTTAAAATAGTTTCATTTTTATTGAGATATAATTCACATAGCATACATTTTACCCACTTTGAGTGTACAGTGTAGTGGTTTTTAGTATATTCACATAGTTAGTGCAGCCATCATCACAGTCAGTTTTAGGACATTTTCATCACCTCGGAAAGTAACCCCAGAGCCTTTAGCTATTATCCCCTTATCTCTCATTCCCTCAGTGCTCACCCCAGGCCCAAGCAACTACTAACCTATTTTGTCTCAACATATTTCCCTATTTGAGACATTTCATAAGAATAGAATCATAGGCACATATAGGGTGTAGTCCTTTGTGACTGGCTTCTTTCACTGAGTGTAATGTATTCAGGGTTCATTCATGTCACAGTGAGTATCACAGCTTCATTTCTTTTCCACTCTGGCTTCCATGGCTCCATCTTGCTTCCAGAAGGTTAGATCAGTACAGTGAGGAAAGGAGCTGATTTAATCCATATTGAGAGGAAGAAAAGTGAAATCAATTGATATTTCAGATATCTAAATCCATGGTGAGATTTATTTTACTGCAAGCCCTCATCAATTAAAAATTTTGGCCACTGTATAATTATTTATGAATTATATACCTGAACTATATAATTATCTGATGGCTGTTATTTCAAATAAAATTGATAATTTCTCGTTATTTTGGTCAGCTTCTTGACAAGTCTTGTCCAGTGTCATTACAGATTTTAGCTTTAATGCAAGCTCTTAAAGGGTTGATATTAGAGGTAGAACTGTTGGCTTTGCCATTTTCTTGCTGTTTTTTGTGCTTACATTATTACTGTTATCTTCAGTCCACTTGGCATTCTTGACCGTCTGGCATACAGAGCAAACGGGGGCCCCAGTGGCAATTTGTATGTTAAATATTTCTGGTAAAACTTAAAATTTTTCATATAGAAATATGTATTGACATTGTAGTATTTTCTTCCTGCTGCACCCCAGTGGATAATGCTATGTATTCTTTGTATGATGTGGGATAACCAACTATTCTAGATTGATGGCTGGGGAAAGTAAACGGGAACCCTATTCCTATTTGTTCCGATAAGATACTTCTGAAAGTGTGGCTGTTGAGTGTTTCATATGAAAGTTTTTTATGAAACCTGCAGATTATGCAGTATTCATGAGGATACTCTTCTTTTTTTTTTTTTTTTTTTTTTTTGGCTGGTTGGGTCAATTCTTTGCTGTACAGATTACTTGCAGATTGCTCAGAATCACCTGGGTTTGCTGCACACTGAGCTGTGGGCTGAGGCTGTGTTTCACCCTCGTGTGGCCCAGCTAAATGACATCATTTGAGGTCGTGCTTCATGGTGACCTTGTGGCATCTCCTGTTCACCCCTCCTGTGGCCCTGCCCTCCAGCAGCTGTGTGGGAATTCTGCTCCCTTCCTTCTCTCTAGATTAGATGTCTGCACTAGGGCACTTGCTATTTTAAACCAAAGATGTACTGTGTGTGCAAGTGATGAAACCGCTTGAAAAGAAGGCTCTGTGCTATCTGAGACAGTTCTCAGTCTTTCATGAGCATGTTGAAAATTGGGCACCATCCAATTATTGACATATGATTGTAGATCTTGATGGCAGAACTCTGCCAATTCCCAGGGGGATCTGCTTGATAAGCTGTTCATTTGACTTGGGGAAGACAGGAGAGCAGTTTAAACCCAGCTCCAAATATAAGAACTGTTTCTTTAGCATGTGCCTGGGGCCAGCTTTGTTCTTCACTGAAGGAATAACCAAAGGAAATGGACTTAAATTGTTGAAAGAATTTAGGTTGGGAGAATTACTTCAGAGGGAGAGATTAATAAACATTGGAATGGTTTATCAAAGGAAAGCATGGAATCTGGTTATTTAAAGGTTTTTAAGAGTAAATTTGTATTTGTGTGAAGCGATTGGAATGCCTCATCTAGAGGGGTCCCAGACTTTGGGCAGTACCTATTAACTCCTGCTCCTCAACCGGCTTGCTTCCCCCACTCCTCACCTCTGAGGCAGTTTTCTTTTCTTTTCAGTAAGGAGCATAAGGACCCTCCAGGTTCTTCAAGAGATTATTTTTCCCTTCCTGAAGGGAAAAATAAATAGGCCAGCACATAGATTATGCTATATAACGAGTCTCCTGTGTATCATTACAGTGTTGTCACCTCCATTCTCAATGATGGCAATTTTTGCTGAGGGCAGTCTGAGAAATGTGTGGAGCCCACAGCTCCGGGGGCTACTGAGATTCCATATGCTTTTAGTTTGTCTCTGCTTAGCCACTGGAGTGCCTCTCTCAAGGTTGGTGGCTGAGCAAGTGGTGCTGTGTTCTCTCACATGCTGTTCAGGTGACTAAAATTCTAAGTACAGGTTTCTCTGAGGAGGGCCTTGAAGAAGGCGGGGGCAGGGGATTGAGGGGGCGCCGTATATTGACTTTTTCCTTTGGTTTGAATGGGAAGCCTGGGATGCTTCCAGTGACTGTTTTGCTTGTTACTTTGCAAGAGAAGGCTAATGATAGAATCACAAAAGAAATGTTTTTTTGCCTGATAATCTGAAATTAGAAGGGGGCCTTGGGATATGGAAAATGTGATAAGCTTATTAAGAATGCAACCTACAGAAAAATATTTGATAACACTGGAACTTATTTCCGGCATTTTCCGAAAATGGTAAAATTAAGGAAAGATGGCACTTTTCCAAGAGAAAAATATACAGATTTTGAGATGTTATTATTCAGGTTTTCTTGCTGATTTTGCTTTTGCAATTCTGAATTCATGTAGTTTGTACCCTTTCCTCTAAAGCAAAACAAACCCCAAATGAAACAAACATAAAAACTGTAACCCAGTAAACTGA
This sequence comes from Homo sapiens, assembly GCF_000001405.40. Lineage (NCBI taxonomy): Eukaryota > Metazoa > Chordata > Mammalia > Primates > Hominidae > Homo > Homo sapiens. Next base: position 108,143,215 of record NC_000004.12, on the reverse strand, counting down.
AGTAGGCAGGTTGTTAAAAGAAAGAGTTTTCCAGTTCTGCACAGTTACAGACAAATTTTCAAAGAAAATTTACAGTTGGGTACCTTACAGCCAGGTCTGTTGATTCAAAATCCTTTCAAACAAAGATGGCTTTTGTTCGCCAATTACTTGGTGTTTCAGAACTAAGAAGTTTTGTGCAGAATGAAAGGAAGCAGTTATTTCATAGTCATTTCTCCTATGTCAATAAGTTTTAGAACTTTGTAGACTTGGAAAAGTTAAAGACTGATGGTTCATTGACTACTATCTACATAAACAATATTAAATCTTTGTGAAAAGGGGACTTTGTTAAACGAGATGCATTTTATTTTATAAATTCTCTTAAGATTCTACTTTCCTGCTCTCTCCATCCATAATCTTGTCATTTCAATGTGAATGTAAATTCAGAGTTTCTCTGTAGAGCTATGTAATATTGATTAGGGCAGACATTTTCAAAGGCAGCAATTAAAAATTAGAATTGGAATAACGGAAGGTTTTCTTACTAGGGAGTGATTACTGGACATATGTAACACTATATGTAGCACCAGAGACATAGTATAGTGATTTATGGTCGCCCTGCTTGCTTTTTATGTTGATTTTAAATGTAATAATGGATGAATTACACAATGTATTTAATCATAAGTCCAAAATGTCTTAATTATTTTTAAAAAATTAGAAATAGCTTTACTTTTAATTTCCATTTTAAGAAATAGGATACTAGTGTTGATGTATTTTGGTTATTATGTTCTTAGGAATTTTTCTGCCTCTTTTGGTGGCATTAGGTTTTGATTCACTTGTCAAGACGTGATCCTGTCATACTGATTTGTGTCTCTGTATCTGGAGCCAGAATTGAAAACCACCTTTGACTTTCCTGTTCTTCCTCTTCTGTTAATGGAATCATGCATTTACAACTTCCCAAATAAACCTGTGATTCTTACAAATGCAAGTATCTGCTCTGCTTAGTTGATTAAAAAGGGCTAAGGAGGAGCAGGTAAGGGCGCGGGACAGGTCTTTAGCAGCTGCACCCGTTCACCTTGCATCAGGTGTCTGCAAAGTCTTCAGACCAAATACATGTTAGAGTCCCTTTCCCAATTGGAATCACTTACCCCATCATTTTTATTTTACCCTTTAGGCTTGAAAAAGTGTGTATTTAGCCATCAGTTCATTTTGTGTGGTCTGAGTTATAAAATGCCCCTGCTGGTTTTTCCATATGAAAAACATGGTTTTCATTTGTGGAAACTTACATAATTTTTTTTCTGGGCCTTTTGTGCTGCTTTAAATTAAAAGCAAATGTATTTCCCTCCCCTTCATTCTTGCTTCCCCACCCCCATCTTTGCATGTTCCAATTACAGAGTTGTGAAAATAAGTCATCCTTCGGCTTTTGTTACTTTAAAACAGCTATCGGTGATGTCAGAGTCAATACTAAAAGCATTAAGAATGCTGGCAGAATGTAATGCAGCTGCAATCCAACATGATGCTGGAAATGGGGTTGAGAGCATAAAGGCTTTCCATATTCCCAGGGCGCACAACTGCTTGCGGCCTTGGCTTTGATCTCTTCAAAGGCTGCTGCCTCCTCCTAGATGGAGAGACTTGGCTGCCACTCGCTTGCATTGAAAAAAGGCAGAGGTCTCTATTCAGGCAGAAATCAATCACTGTGCAGAAACAATTATGTGTAATTCAACCATCATGAAAACAGGACGAGATTACGGGTTTGTTACCTGAGTGACTGTGTGAAGACGGGGAGCAGAGAACACTGGAGTCCCGCTGACATGCCACATCTCGATGACAATTATAGACATATGAATGATGTGGCGGGGGGGGAGGCACAATGACAAATACTGGTCACGCTGTCCAGCAGAGCAGAAAATGAGGTTACAATTGGGAGATAATGTTTGCATATGTAACCATATTTCAGCAAGCTGAACAACTTCAGGGAACAGACCCTCAAAACTCTTGTGAATATTTGTATGTACAGAGACTAACATATGAATTTGATATTGGCTGAATTAGGACAAAAATAATCCTAATAATTTGAGGATTATACTGAAAGAGAGAAGGAAAGTGAATTTAACTTTGGTTTATTACACTTGCTGATTTGGAGTACATACTACTGCTAACACCAAACTCTGAAAACACAACTAACTTTCTAACCTAATATATATGGATCTCTCTTTAAACATCTTCTGGTTCAAGAATAACATTTTTATTTTGAGTCTGTAAACTTGTCTCAAAAAAGCATTATGTTTTTTCACCTTGATTGAGGCTTTTTGGGGAAATGATTTTTGTCAGTTGTACCATCTTCCCTTGTTTTCAGATTTAATTTTTGAAAAGCAACTTTCTCAAATGTGTTGAAGTTTCCTTTCACTGAGAAGAAAAGCAAGGCATTTTTCTAGGTAGGAAATAACTTTTTGCTTTAAGTACAAGTATGCTTAATCTTGAAGCCCTGGCATGCAAAGCTATCGAGGTATTTATTTTTATTTTAACTTGCTTCTTGTCACCTAACAAAGGCGTAGGAGTAACCTCGCACTTTGCTAGCTAACCTGACTCCGGGTGAGGGGAAAGTCAAAATAAGATGAAAACCTAGATGGCTGATTATAAAATGGTATTGCTTCTGCTCAGTTTGATACCCAGGCCTGGGTTTACCTTTTATGCTGCTCCAGCTTAGACATCAGAGGCGTGAGAGCTGCTTTGAGTTACAGATCTTCAAACAATAAGTCAAAACAAAAAATCAATCCCCTCCGGTCCCTGGGTGCAGTTATCGAAAGATAAAAGAGAAAAATAAAGTTATGCTAAAGTAGATAGAGGAAAGGAGCAGATATGCCAAGGAAACACGGAGGACAAGTGCAGAGTTGAAGTGGGCCTCATATGAGCCAACATCAATGAATTTTTATCTTATCAAAAAGTTTTAGGGTTGCCAGTTCTTTTCAAACTGGATCCAGTCTGCTCCAGGGCTGCCTGGAGCGTTGGCTTCAATGAAGTTGCTTTTCCCCCCTCCCTCTAAAATATAACCACATAGGAATTAGACTGCATTTCACTCAAGGTATAAAACTTGCCACAGACTTCGACGGCAAATTAGGGGTTTTGATAATCCCTTGATATTTTGAATATAAATTGAGGGGAGTGTGTGTGTGTGTATTTTTATGTTTATTGAAAGCTGAGATTTACATGAAAAGTAAGGCAAATCTCTATAGTGTGTTTTTGCTTCAAGCCAAATTTCTAAGGAGAGCTAGAAAGTCCCCATGAATTCTTTTTGAGGTAAGAAATCTGTGTTTTTCCTCTGTTTCTTGTGGGTAATGTCAGATATTTTTGGATATTAATTATAACTATCTGAACCATTTTAGATGGTATTTTAACATATGAGCCAGTATATATTTTTATGAATCCAAGTTATAGTTTGAAAAAAAAGCCTTACATTTTTACATATTTTTAGAAAACAATAAACTAGTTTACTCAATTGTTTTACAGCTGTAAATGTTTGTGAGATGATCCTAGTTCCTCTATTAACGTCCCTAAAGGTCTCTCACAAAATGGCAGCACATATTTCATTCTTGTCCTTCCCTTTGCTTCCTCTTTGTTTTCCTTACCGAGAGAGTCATGTTCCTGAGCTAATGCCAGCAGGGCCAGCAGGGCCAGGGTGGAGGTCCAGGCTCTGCATCCACCTCCCTAACCACTGTGGAGCCCGGCCTGCACCTTGCCCTGTGATCTGTGCTGGACATAGTCACATTTAACAGCCCTTCAAGTTTCCAGGTTTTAAGGGAGAAAAGGATAGTTAGCTTGGCATTGTAGATGTAGATGCCATGCTATTTAAAGATGCATGTTCTATATATAAACTCTAGTTAATCATTTGACTAAAACCATCATAACTTTCCTTTGCATAGTTCAGATGATTCATTGTTTTGAAAACTATGTAAACTCAAATGGAAAACAACCACGCACTGATGGTTGCAACTTATATTTCCCAGTATAGAGTTAATGAGCAGAAAAATGGCAGAGCCGCTTCCACACATCTAAGGCTGAACATTTCTTGGAACTATTAATGAATGTACTTTACTGTAAACATTGAAGCTTAGCAGTATGTTCTATAGGCCCTGAGAAGAGGGGAATGAAGATTCTTTCTAGTTTCTTACAATTATACCATGGCAGGGAATCTCAGTCTGTATTTTTAGGTATTTGTCCTCCAACTCTCCTTCAGGCCTGGTTCAGCTAGCATTTCCAGTCCAGTCTCTACCATTTCCTATCCGTAATCCATCCTTGTTATCCTTCCAGGCTACTTAGAGGATGTTGCTACGAGTGGCTTCATGTTTACATGCAAGGAAGGGAAGGCAGAGGAGGAAAATGGGGCATGGTGGCACATGTAGGTCACATAGGCATCATGCGTCAGCAAGCTCCGTTCTGTCCCCCATGGAAGCATCTTTGAATTCCTGATGTTCTCAGCCCTAAATTCTCAGCTCTTCTATTCTCATATAGGCAGTGGCAACTTCAAGGCGTTTGGAGGAGTTGGGGCTAGCCCCCATAATCTCCAGCAATACCCTTCACCACCCCAAATAAACACCTTTGCTAAGTAAAAATATTCTTCAGATACAGCATTTACTTCAATCTTGCAACCAGATTGCTGTTCCTAAGCCCCCTTTGTGTAGAAATGTATATGCTAGGTAAGCTGTCAGGCATACTCGTGTGTGTGTGTGTGTGTGTGTATACACACACATACACACCTGTACATATAATGCAGTGTTTAAAGCTCATGAGTCAGATTGCCTGTGCTTGAATTTCACTGCCATGCAAGTTCCTAAAGCATTATAATGCTCACTTTCCTTATCTGTATAATGGGAGTAATCATAGTAGCGACCCATAGGCTTGTGTAAAGGCAATGCAAATACAGAGCATACTTGATACCTCTTTTTGTTGTTGGAAAATAACAATTCCATTCCATACATCATGAAAACATTATTTGCATTTCATTACTGACCTTTTGAGATGTACTCTTTCATCTATTTATTTTATACATATTTGATATTCGAAATTCCACATTTGACCAGCTCCCCGAGTAGAGGCCATGGGTGGAGGAAAGAACTGAGTCCAACAAGTCTCATCTAAACCTGTATTTCTGTTGAAGAAGCAAAAATAGGAGATTTTGTTGGGGTCATCCTAAAGGCTGCATAATCATGAGAGAAAATTATGTGGTTAATAATTTGTTAACCTCTTAGGTTTCAGTAATTTGGAATTTAGGAAAGCAAAATCATAGTTCACATTTTTCCCTAGTCTTTTTAATGTTAATATACTAAAGGAAATTATATATCTCTTTCAAAGGAAAAATGTTTTAAAATTAGGTGAATGTTATATTTTGGCATGTTATATTGGGTTGATATATTCTATAGGACAATATTAAGTTTTTATTACAGAGTCTATGAGTGTGCAATTCATTAGCATTTGGAATGGTAACAGGAAAACCATATTCAAATATTTTGAATCACAAAATATAAATTAGGATCTAAAATTTATAATATTCAGGGATATGATGGGTGAGATGAGCAAGATTCAAGTTAATAGATTATTATAGTCTTCTGAATAGTACCAGACTCTGGACAGCAAAGTAACCAATACCGTTCCTTCCTACATTCAGACTTTGCTCTTCTTCCCCCCAGCACACACAGCCTCTAATCCTCATGCCAACAAATCAGTGCCACTTTCCTCTTTTCCTATCTTTGAGGGCATTTTTATCACATAAAAACTCCACATTGAAAAATCTAAGTTGTAGTATGAAGATAGCTTTATGATGTTTAAAATATTACTTGGACTTTCTGTTTTAATTGCTTTTTTGATTGCATGAATCAGTTTTTTTAGTGGTGATTTCTGAGATTTTGTTGTATCCATCACCAGAGCAGTGTACACTGCACCCAGTGTGGAGTCTTTTATCCCTCACCCCACTCCCACCCTTTCCCCTGAGTCCCCAAAGTCCATTGTATTATTCTTACGCCTTTGCAATAGACTTTCTGTTTTAATAGGAAATTGCTAGCTTTGATGATTTGTGATGTTTTGTAAAAAATGTTGAAAATAACTATTTAAAAAACTATTCTTCGTAGCTTCAAAATTCTGTACTGTTTGAAGAATAATTACAATACTTATTTAGGGAGAGGCACCAAATACATATTTTAACTAACATTAAAGTCAATTTTAAAGTACTTACAATAAAGAAAAAGTTGACTTTTTAATAAGCCAGAAGAAACTTAGTCTGGGTTAAATAGCTTTATCCTTAGCAAAAATGACCAGACAACCTCTCAGAATTTTAAAGGAAGACTTAGAGCCCTTATTGGTAGCTATTTAGTTTTCAATGACTACATACTTATATAATTTCATAAAAATTATTGGAAGTTATTTCCCTTTTTACCCTTGGATATTTTGAGTTAGAACATTATTTTTAAAATCTTATAAGCACAGTAGGGTAAATAATCACAAACATTTATGTTTTTTAAAGAAAAAGACACCTTACTGAAGGGCAAATGACCCTATATTATTAGATTTAACTATTCAGTCACCGTAAGAATTACAATAGCATGTTTTATACAATGTGTGAATCGTAACTCTAGGTCTGCAGTTATAAGACCCCTGAAAGGCAAACTTCTGGCATTTGATCATATGTATTGCTGAACTTTCCAGATCTGGGTGGGGTATCCAAACCTGGAATTGTTATAATACTATGCAGCATAAGCATCTAAAGTTTAAAAAAAAAAAAAAAAAGGAAATTTAAGGAGATGAGAAGTATTTGAACTGGCAATATGCTATATAACTGTACATGTTTTTATAAAGATTAATCCTTTGATTTTAGAATACTTGGTCAAATAGCCAGTAGAATTTAAGTTTTGAAGGTTTTGGGGGGAATACGCATATAGTAGAAGGACAAAGCAGAAATGGTTAAGAAAGATACGAATTTTATAGCATGCTAAACCAACACCACGTGAAATTTTATAGGTGCAGGTTCTTTATGGAACTTCTAATGTTTGCACATTTATTTTAGAAAAAATGAACTATGCTTCTGAAAGTTATTTTACATTTAAGTTCAGAGTTATTTCCTGTTTTCTTCTCTTGTCTACCATAACTTGTTTTGTTTTTTTCTACCTGAATTTTAACCCTTGAAAGATTTCATTATTTTCACATCACATCATCACCTTCCCCTGAGCAGCTGAGACCAGTTTTTGCTCATTCAACCTGTTTGTGTAGTAATTTTGTGACTGATTTTCTTCATGTATGGGCAAGGAAGAAGTCATACTGTTTGTACAGTTCACATTTGGGCAGGATTGGGGGAAAGGGGGATGAAGCCAAAAAGAAAAAGTTCTTGGAGCCAGCCCATGGGGTGCGTGGGAGGAGAGCAGAAGGAATTGCAGGCTCCAAGCAGGTTAGCTTGAAGGACTCACAGTGGATAATTACCTACACTATATGGCTGGAGGAGGGCTACAAGTCTCCACTTGCCTAAAAACAACTCCCCCGCTGGCAGGCCATTGAAGTGTCACTCAGCCAGCTTCCTTACCCCCAGTTCCCACTGCTAGAGGCTCTCCATAGACAAAGCAGGGCGTTGTTGCCTAGAGGCCCCTGTTCTTGCCGGCTAGCAGACACAGCACTGTACCTCTCCTGGGGCATGCCAGTCCCCCAGTGGGAATAACTCCCTCCACCTTCACTCTCGCCATCCTGAGCCTCCACTGGAAGGGATGCTTGCATTTCAGGGCCATCACCAGAAATAGATGGAAGCACATCTCCATCTGTATTTGAGCCTGCTGTCATTTGCCTCCTCCTACCCTTTATCACTCTTCCAGGCTAAACAGTCTTAATTCTCCGTGCCTGCTGGTTTCAGAACGTTTGCTGTTGTGGCCCCACTCCTAGTTACATTCTTTGTTTTGGCCCAATAAAAGTTTGGGTTTTGAAGTACACTCAGTGCTTCAGATTGAGCTGGCCCCCCACAGGATAGGAGTGGTCTGTAGCTTCCCTCATTCTGGATGTTTGAGTTCCATTAATGCGCTGCAGGTTTTAGAGTCTTAATAGCGTCTTGACACCTGGGCTCAAAGTAGATTTTAGGCAGCTAAAACTCCTGTCTTCCTCTAACAAGTTTGGTTTATGGACCCATCAACTTGCAATGTTTTATTGTAATCTATATTAGCACCCCCCTTCTCAATTCACTTGGTCACTTTAGTCATTTGGGGTCTTTTTGGACCTAGTGATGTAGTGTTTTTTATTCCTTCCATTTTCTTGTCATATGGGAATTTGAAAGGCAGGCATCTGTATCCCTTTTAAAGTCATTGATTAAAATGTATGAAGAAGCAGGGATGCTGGGTGGGTTATCATTACCCTTTGAGTATATGAAAGGGTTCTGCTTCAACTTGGGAATCAGATAAGAATCCTGGATCTCCCTTTGGCTTGCTATGTGACCTTGAGCCATTTACTTTAACTTCTCAGGGTTTTAATTTCCTCATGTATAAAACGATGTTACCTCCTACTTCATAGAGCAGAGTGAGGAATGGAGAGTATGCATGCAAACCATCAGATGTGCCTAGCACATTGTAATGGGCAATACGTGCTCTTTTTTATCCTGTTTTGGAATCACATTGATAAGAGTTTAATCCTTCATCTGTATGTCTTGATGTATTTGGAATAACTCTGTGTGGCCCATCAGCTTCTCCAGTCTCCTCTTTTCTAGGATGGAGTGCCAGTGCTGTAGCCTGCTCCTCCAGTGCCCTGTATTATTCTACATTTGAACTTTAAATAAAGAAAGAAAGCTGCTCTGGATGAGCAGTAGAGCCCTATTCTAGCCCTCTTTGATTACACTAGGTTAATTTGTCAGTTGATAATTTAGAAGTATGACGTGTGGAGGCACAGTGGATAAGGGAGAAGTGTAAGAGCTGTCTTCCAATAGTGGAAGGACTGCTAGCATGGAAGAGGAAGTGGACTTACTTGTGTATTCACTGAGGACAAAATAATATATGTCCACAGTTCTTTATTTGTAAATTTGGAATTGAAAGATATGTGAAAGTTGATTTTTTTTTTTTTTGGTAAATTTGGTGGCAAAATCCAACTTTAATTAATGTGAAGTTATTTATATATACTCGTTAGCCCACTAATTGTGAATATTTATATGCTTCACTGCGAAAATACAAATGTGTTTGATGATGGAGTGCTTCCCTGGACCCCACTGGGGAGAGTATAAAACACACAGTATGTGTGCCCTATCTAAAACCTGAAAAATTAAGTTGTAAGACGTGCAGCCCCAAGGATTTCAGATAAGAGATTAGGGGCCTGTACCAATGAGTAGATAGAAGTCTTGGCAAATAGAACCAAGTTTAAGGAAGACATCCTCACATATATGACAATAAAATGAGATTATTTTCTGATGTAATGAATCTCAGACACAGATCATTCATGGTGGAGGTGAGGGTTGCCATGAAACCATCTATTAAGGATGTTATCAAAGGAGTTTATTGAGTAGGAAACTGGACCTCTAAAGTCCGTCCCAACCCCGCATTTATTGATTTAAAAGACACAGTTTTGCCAGTGCAGTGGGCACATGCCTGTAGTCTCAGAGGCAGGAGAATCACTTGAGCCCAGGAGTTCGAGTCCAGTTTGGACAACACAGCAAGACCCCATTTCCTTAAAGAAATTTTTTTTTAAAGGACATAGTTTTAGTCCTAGGTGGATGAGCTCCAACAGAGGTTTCTCTGATAGACTGAGCTTACAGCCCTGGCCCATTCTGAGAATTAGGCCATAAACTGAACATGGGACACTATGCTGGAGAGTACAGGCACCTAATGAAGGACGAGTCTGTAATTGCTTAACATGTATTACTTGTATTCCATGATTACATAGTCACTGTCACATTTAAATAAAAGTTACATGATAAACTCTCATTTAATAAGGTTGATCTAACCCAGTGGTTTTCAAAGTGTGGTCTCCAGATCAGCCACATCGGCATCACCTGGGAACTTGTTGCAGATGCTGGGGCGGGCGGATCACGAGGTCATGAGTTTGAGACCAGCCTGACCAACATGGTGAAACCCTGTCTCCACTAAAAATCCAAAAATTAGCCAGGCATGGTGGTGTGTGGCTGTAATCCCAGCTACTCGGGAGGCTGAGGCAGGAGAAGCGCTTGAACCTGGGAGGTGGAGGTTGCAGTGAGCCGAGACTGCACCACTGCACTCCAGCCTGGGCGACAGAGCGAGACTCCATTTCAAAAAAAGAAAAAAAAGAAATGCAGATTTCAGGCTGGATGCATCTGTAATCCCAACACTTTGGGAGGTAGGGGCAGGCAGATTGCTTGAACCCAGGGGTTGGAGACAAGCCTGGGCAACATGGGGAAACCCCATCTCTATTAAAAAATACAAAAAATTAGGTGGGTGTTGTGGTACATGCCTATAGTTCTAGCTACTCAGGAGGCTGAGCGGGGAGGATGGTTGGAGCCTGGGGAAGTGGAGGTTGCAGTGAGCTGAGATTGTGCCATTGCACTCTAGCCTGGGTGACAGAGCAAGACCCTGCCTCAAAAAAAAAAAAAAAAAAAAAAAAAAGGCAGATTTTCGCTCTCATCCCATATCTATTGAGAATGCTGTAGTTGAGGGTTGTTAGAAAACTGCATTTTATTAAAATCCCTCCAGGTGATTCTGATGCAGGCTAGTTCAGTAAACAATATCAACTAGTTTTCATAAAGAAAACCTCTGGAGGGCCCATAGTGCCTGCACTCCAGGTCTCAAAGTATACTTTGAGATCTAGGTTATCTGCCAAGGTGCTATCCTGAAAGGACTCTAAATGAGACTCGAGTTGCAAAAACAGAATAGAAGAGGAAAAAGGGATTCTAATTGGGATGCCAAGACAAAGCTTTCTGGGAAGTATGTGCTTTAAGACATGGGTAAGATTTTGAGGGGGTACAGAATGGGATAGTATTCCTTGCTGAAGGAAGAGAACAGTAAAACCTCTTCATTGGCTGGGGAACAGAATCGTCTCCAGAATGTCAGTGGGAATACAATACTAACAAGGGAGAGCTCCTATCAGCCGGACTAGTTAATTATGTTTTTTACATAATGTGAATATGAAATAAATTCTTTTTGGACCCAAATACCTGCCTTTATCCTTATTAAGGGTAGGCACATCAGTCTAGTCCTGTGATACATTTTGGATTCCTGAAGCTGTAGCCCCATTGCCTAATTAGATCCTCATCCAAATTGTCAATAAAAACGTTTACCTTGAATTTGAAATTTCCTTCCAGGTTGACCTAAATCCTAATACTGCTTCAGTGCATTTTGTTGCACTAGAAAGAAATAACCCTGATTTCATATGTGGTTTTATACAACCAGTATTTCATTGAACTCACTGTTATATCATCATACCCTATACAACGCACCTTAGTTTTTTTTACTGGGAGTTTTTACATTTTAAGCTTTTTATGAGATATGTTTGATACAATAAGCTGCATAAAGGCAGGGTTTTATCTAGGACTCTTAGCATGTCAGAAACTAAAAAAAAGTTATGTTTCCAAAGAGCCCATGTCTCATAGAAGCCATAATTGTGCCTAGTAGCTTATATCAGCTTGTGTACTACTCAAAAACACAGGCATTTGGTGGGTATTCAGCAACCTTGTTTTTCAGACTATGTAGGCAATTTGTGGAGATTGGCTTTGATGCTGTTGCTTGAGTTTAGAGTGTTTCCAAATGTCTTTCAGCCAAAATTATGTCCAGTGATATATGGAAGTGTGTTTTTGTGGTGGTCTTTTGCATAGCTGTGTAGGCATTGTGTAGATACTCTTGAGTAGATTTTTATTTAAAACATTTTTTTTTTTTTTTTTAGAGATAGGGTCTTGCTCTGTCACCTCACCCAGGCTGGAGTGCAGTGCCACCATGATAGCTCACTGCAGCTTGGACCTCCAAGTTAAATGCCTAGCTAATTTTTAAAACATTTTTAAATAGAAACGGGTCCTTGCTATGTTGCTCAGGCTGGTCTCAAACTCCTGGCCTGAAGTGATCCTCCTACCTTGGCCTTCCAGAGCACTGGGATTACAGGCATGAGCCACTGCTTGAGTAGTTTAAATTAAAATAAGCTGGATGTAGTGGCGCCACCTGTAGTCCCAGCTGCTCTGGCGGCTGAGGCGGAGGATCACTTGAGTCCAGGAGTTTGAATTCAGCCTGGAAAATACACTGAGACTCCTAAAAAAAAAGATAAATAAAAAATAACCTGGGAGGAAAGATACAGTAGTTTGGTGAAAAGCTTCCTAGGTGATTTAAATTAAAGAAAATATTTCTCTTTAGCACCTTACTACCACCACCACCAAAATGCAGTAGTTTAATATTGTTCAAGAAAAAAAATTTTGTATGCCTCATTAATTTTCTTTCTTCACTTGTTAGTGGAGTGTTTAAGTTCTAAGAAGCAACTTGGGAAGGGCAAGGAAGGGAATGTGTTATTTTACATTTAGTAGCAATTTAACTGGAAAGTCTTTTTTTTTTTTTTGAGTCGGAGTCTCACTTTGTTGCCCAGGCTGGAGTGCAGTGGCATGATCTTCGCTCACTGCAACCTCTGCCTCCTGGGTTCAAAGGATTCTCCCACCTCAGCCTCCCTAGTACCTGGGATTACAGGTGCACACCACCACACCTTGCCATTTTTTTTTTTTTTTTTGTATTTTTAGTAGAGACAGGGTTTCACCAATTGACTAGGCTGGTCTTGAACTCCTGACCTCAAGTGATTTGCCTGCCTTAGCCTCACAAAGTGCTAGGATTGCAGGCATGAGCCACCACGCCTGGCCTGGAAGGTCTTTTGATGAGCCATAAACAGTTAATAATATCATCTTAGGCTGATAGTGCAGCATCATAGGACTGGCAAGTAACATAAGAGAGCATTCTTGTGCCTTTAAGGATCTCATCAAAATTATCCAGGTAGATAGTTATCTGTCAAACTCTTAATGGTCTCATTTAAGGAGAATCATATAAGCAGTCTTAAATAACTGGTTCTGGTCACCAGTGTTATCATCTGTCCTCCTCTTTTTTTAGCCTTAATTCCAATTGCTGCTCTGCATGTCCTTGTATGAAGGGAGTGATTTGAAGGGCTATTTTAGCTCACCCTAAAACTCAAAGGGAAGTATATGAAGTAGTATTTTCCTCTAGGTGATTATTGGAATTGATCTTATGGAAGAAAAGAAATGAAAAATGGGATCACTATTGAATACCTTGGTTGTCATTCACCCTGTAAATAGTATCGTTACTCATAACACAGCTTAAGAGGACCATGTTTCTTTCCTAAATAGACACCATTTGTTATTGGTACTTGAGAAACACTAAGAAAATTGTTCAAAGCATACACAGTGTGATTCCTATGTGTAATCACAATGTGATTATACCCTACTAAGTACCCAAATTTGTATCACATTTTTTGTGCCTAGGATTTGCAGCCACCTTTTACTAACATAAACTAAGCATGTTTCTAACTTTATTCAACAATTAGAATGCCAAGGTATGACCTTTTTATTAATGAGGAATATTTTGTTATTGAAAAGACTTACAGAGAATGAGCAGAACAACCTTAGTTTCGTTGTTTATGAAGTGGAACATGCTGGCAAGGTTTTTGTTCTCTATCTGGAATTTTCTCAGAATCCAGAAAAGTGTTGTTTTACTTGGATTGTTCTCTCTCTCCTTTGCTTCTCCATTATTCATGAAGGACCATGTTTTTATAGAACAAAGCATTCAAAATTTATGCAATCCATACATGTTTTGAGTTTCTAACTATTACAGGAAAAATTATTACCCTGAGGCTTAGAGAAACCATGATTCAGTGATATTTTTTCTTCCTAAAATTATAATTTGCTTTGGAATTCCAGTGCTCTTGGAATGCTAGAGGTAAAGAAAGCATTCTAATTGGCCACTGGTTCTTGGGAATGGAAAGGGTTTGTGTTTTTTGACCTCCTTCTAGTGATTTGGTTGACTAATCTACATTTTATGGTAGAAACAATGTGGAGTTGACCAGAGCTCCATATACTCAGAAGGACTTTGAAGTGACCCCAGTCCTGCAGAGGTGTTAAAAGGAACTTTCTGCTGTGTATTCCCATAGAAGCAGCAGATTCAGTAATGAGAGGAGTTTGAGGAAGAATAGAAGCAGAAGGGATGTCCTGATTCAGCTTTGAGTGGTTGGAAAGGAGGAACTGATGAAGCTGGTGCCCAGTGGACCCTCTCCGGGATTTTTCCTGGCCTGATTTTTTAAAGTAAAAATGTTAGCCTGTAATTTGGTAAATATTCTTTCATCTGTAATAATATTTATTTGATTGTTAGAGACAACCACTTATGATGGACATTTTTATGGGTTTCTTCTCTTCTTCTTTGTCTTTTAATCTCTATTAAACCAACAACAAAGGAAATATATTTAACTGTACTGCCCTGATAGAGAACTCTTCTCATGATTTACAATTTTTTCTAGTCCTGCCCATATACATAGGTATTGTGTACATTTTTTAGTCTTACCTGATTAGGATTATAATAATCAATAGGTTCATACCGATTATCTTTTCAATAGGTATGGCTTCTGTATCTTTATGTATTTGTTTGCTAGCTCAAATGAACATATTTTACATGTTAGAAAAGAGCTCCTTTAGAATCAGCCTTAAAATAAGTAATGTCTTTCCAAAGGGCAAAAGAAAGTCTAAATCATAACTTCAGTCATCAGTTTATCGTAGAAAAAAAAAAAAGCCCTTCCTCAGTCTGCTTTTTTCCCTTGAGAATTTTAATCCCACCTTGTTTTTCTGCCAGTGACTTACTGATATCTTGCCAAGCTTTTATGAAGTTTTTTTAATGATAAATAATTTTGTTTATGTTGTAATCATTGACATTTAGGAGCTCTTGTTCCACTTTGTTCATCTTTTTGTTGTTTTTCTTAAACCCATAACCGGTGTTTAGAGGGCAGGACTGAAGATTCTTGTGAAGGTCCTGACTTGATTGCTGGACTCTGCTGCCACTAGTAAAATTTCCTTGGTGAGAACTCTGCTCCCTCCCAAATAGGTGAATACTCTCACTTTCATAATAGAGTTTGCATGTGTATTTATTTTGAGACTCTGCCATTCTCTCCTGAGAATGGTACATAATGGTACATATTTATTATGTCTTTGAACTAATGCACTGAACTTACTGGTATTCACTGTATTTATCAATTCAAATTATGCAGTGAATACCATTATTTGACACAATAAATATAACACATAAGCAAACCTCCAGTGGTTGGAGAGTTAAGGAAGTAGAGCCTGTAGGGCTGAAATGGTCAGGACAGACCCTACAGAGAGGATTCAGGGCCATGTGGAAACTCCAGAAAAAGGGATGCAAGGACAAACACCCAATCCCTGACCTCATTCTTTTTGCCTAGTCCCAAACCCTTCAGATCTTAAATTTCTGTTTCCCATAATCCAGACTTTTTGTCTTGTACAAGCTACATACCCCCCTGTTGCATCTCTAAGTTCTCTTGACTGTAATTTTCCTGCTATTTATATTCCTAAAATCTTTGGTTTCCTACAGTCACGATAATTTATTTTCCGCTTAAATAAGTGAGAAATGGCTAGATACTCTGCCAAAGTAAGTGAGATGAGCTATGAAACCTGTTCAGAATACTAGCAGTAGTCCCACTGAGGTGGTTTTCAAGTAGAAAGGGAGAAGGAGAGAGAACATAACATTTATGTCAACACGATTGTAATTGTACATAATTTGTCATGAGTGAATCCCTGGGTTTGCTTTTTTCTTGCCACTTCTTTCTCCAGTTCTCTCTTTAGCCTATCCCTGGAGAGTCACATGAGATTCAGCTTCAGTGATATATATAGCAGCATTCAGGCAGTAAACATTTCCGTAGATGCACAACTTTATAAATAACATAAGTAATTTGTAGATATTTTTATTCCTTTAGCAGTCTCCTAGATTAAAGGGTTTTGACATGACATGAGGAGCCTTCCCAAAAAAGAACCCAAAGAATTAACTTGTCAAATGAGAAGTCCCACGTCTGATCACTGAGCCTCTCCCCAGTTTTAGCATTCTGTTCTTGGCCTCTGGGCCTTCACCTGCACTGTTTTTTTCTGCCAAAATGAGCCCCCATTACACATGAAAAACTCCTACTTCCAGCTCCTATGTCTCCTGAGAAGCATTCTTCTAGCCCCTCATTGGCCATATAATTACCCCTGTAGTATTTAGTCGATGACTCACATACAGCATTTTCCACATTGTATCGAACGTTGTTCATTTACATCTCATCCCCCTCATTAGATTACATACAGATTCTTAAGGACAGAGATCATGTTTGTATGACTAGCCCCTAAAATAGAGCTACACACACACACACACACACACACATATCAGTAAATAATAGAGTAAATGAATGACATTTTCCACCTATTCTTTTTTTTTTTTTTTTTTTTGAGAGAAAGTCTCCCTTTGTCACCCAGACTGGACTATATTGGCGCGATCATGGCTGACTGCAAACTCTGCTTCCCGGGTTCAAGCAATTCTCATGCCTCAGTCTCCTGAGTGGCTGAAAACTACAGGCATGCACCATCATGCCCGGCTAATTTTTGTATTTTTTAGTAGAGACGGTGTTTCACCGTGTTGGCCAGGCTGGTCTCGAACTCCTGTCCTCAAGTGATTCGCCCTCCTTGGCCACCCAAGGTGCTGGGATTACAGGCCTGAGCCACCATACCTGGCTGCTTTTTCCACCTAATTTTTATTAAAAAAGAATAAAAAAATCAGGAAATGAGTATTTTGAGAAACTATTAAGTTATAATTTATCCTAATTTATGATTATTCCAATTGCATTTTATCCTGGTTCTTTTAACCACTTTTCTTCATTCCTATCACACCCTAATGTACATACCAAAGACACAAGAAGATCAAATTCTGTAATCAGTTTAAGTCCTAGTTGGGGACTTAGATGAAAAATTTTCAGTGGAGAGATTGCTAAAACTGACTAAAATGACTTCTAAAGACTTATAAAAATATCCATGAAATCTCTGGTTTTTTTTATTACTGTCAAAAATCTAGAATTGGCTTCTTATTCATGTGTATTTTGCAATTAAAGAAACTTATAACTGGAGCTTTAAGTCCTTAGTGGAAAATGGAAGAGAGTTTCAGAACATAGTTATGACCACTAGACTCAGGAATAGGACTATTTCCTGAAATAAACAACAAAAGTAAAAAAATTCCCTATTCCAGTAAAGTTGTTTCATGTACATCTAAGTACTTAAACATTGTAATTGGCAGGTTATGGTTAGTTTTGTGAATTTTGTGAAAAATCTGATTGGTGTTAACACTGTTATGATTAGTAACTTTTCGAACTTAGAGTTTTAAGTAAAACAACATTTACTTTTTAGGATCCATAATACACCTAGGATTACCTTATACATGAATCACTGCACAGTCACACTGCTGTACTTAAACTGTTGTGGGTCAGTTGTTTCCAAAATTTGACTACTAAACTGTTTTCCCAATATGCGTGCTAAAAAAAAAAAAAAATCCCAAGGTGTGTTATGTACCAAGCAAGTGATTTTTCTAGAACTTAAAGTTGTAAAAATCCCTGTAATATCATAAAAACTATCAGCAATATGTACATATCTGCTGAACTTTCACAAATTTTCATTAATTTATTCAGTAAATTCTCAAACACTAGATATTTTACCTGTAATAGTGGAAAACTGGAAAATGATAGCATGTGGAAGGATATAGTTAAAAGAGCTCGAGTCATACTACTGTAAATAATATTGATACGGCCGGGTATGGTGGCTCATGCCTGTAGTCCGAGCTCTTTGGGAGGCTAAGGTGGGCGGATCACCTGAGGTCAGGGGTTTTAGATGAGCCTGGCCAACATGGCAAAACCCCATCTCTACTAAAAATACAAAATTAACCAGGCGTGGCGGTGGGTGCCTATAATCCCAGCTACTCAGGATGCTGAGGCAGGAAAATTGCTTGAACCTGGGAGGCAGAGATTGTAGTGAGCTGAGATTGCGCCACTGCACTCCAGCCTGGGCGATAGAGCAAGACTCTGCCTCAAAAATAAATAAATAAAAATAAATAAATAAATAAAGGTACACAGATGACAAAATTATATTGAATTGATAAATGCAGTGAATACCAGTAAGTTCAGTGCATTAGTTCAGAGACATAATTACTGGCCTATCATGGGAAAATATGTTGGTATGTTAGAATTCTAAGTCAGAATGAGCTAAACTCTATATGATTAGCCTTTTAGTAGAGAGGTCATTTCAGATATAACCAGTCAAGAATAATGACTCCCACGGGTTGGTAACAGCTATGCCCCATCCAAGTGTATGGAACAAACCTAGTGATACCTAGAAAGGAGTGTTAGAAAATCTGTTTTAGTCCTAGGTCCAAGTTGACCTTTGGACAAATTACTTGAAGACAAAAGAATGTGGAAATCTGCAAAAGCTCTGCAATCTTAAAGTGTTTTCATAACTTTTATGTGGTGGCCCAAACTGACCAAAATTAAGACTTTTTATAGCCTTGTCTTTCCTACTTGGATGTTTCGCTAAAGCAATGTTCATGTTCCGGGCGCGGTGACTCATGCCTGTAATCCCAGCACTTTGGGAGGCCGAGGCAGGTGGATCACAAGGTCAGGGGTTTGAGACCAGCCTGGCCAACATGGTGAAACCCTGCCTCTATTAAAAATACAAAAATTAGCCGGGTGTGGTGGCGTACACCTGTAGTTCCAGCTACTTGGGAGGCTGAGGCAGGAGAATCACTTGAACTCAGGAGGCGGAGGTTGCAGTGAGCCTAGACTGCACCATTGCACTCCAGCCTGGGGGACAGAGCAAGATTCCATCTCAAAAAAAAAAAAATGTTCATGTATCTGTTTAAGGGGTATATACTCCCCACACTTTGCTGGGGGTGTTACATAATATATAATGTGCATTCTGTATTTTCATATATGTGAATATTTTGGAAACTGAAAAAATATCTGGCTTTGTGGGTTTCATCTAACACATATGGACCAAAATATCAGTTATCTCATGTAAATTAGAATAATAATACCATACAATCTTGCTAAGAGAAAAGTTTTTTGTTTTTAATTTTTTAAGGTAGAGTCTCTCTGTTCCACAGGCTGGAGTGCAATCATAGCTCACTGAAGCCTCAACCTCCTGGGCTCAAGCTATCCTCCCACATCAGCCTCTGGAGTAGCAGGGGCTACAGGGGCATGCCATCACACATGGCTATTTTTAGTTTTTATTTTTTTGTAGAGATGGGGGTTTCTCTATGTTGTCCAAGCTGGTCTTGAACTCCTGGCCTCAGGTGATCCTCCTGTCTCAGCCTCCCAAATTGCTGGGATTTACAGGCATGAGCCACTGCACCTGGCCCAGAAAAGTTTTTGATATCAGATTATAGATTGTTAATTTTAGATTTAAAGCTGATATTAGGCATCTTAAAAATTGGTGTTCTGGCATTATGGTAGATGTGATACCCTAAGCAACATCTGCTGAAGTAAACTAAAAATATGGAGATACATTTTACTCACACACACACACAAATATCACATATACATAATACATACTCACAAACATGCATACACATATCCAATCTGTAAAGTTTTTTCCCCAAAATATACATTTTGAATGCATCCATGAGCGGACTGAAAGTTAAGGGTACTCAGAAAGCAGTAAATGGACCATTAAAGCTGGCTGTTGTAGAATGTGATGAACCAGGCTTCAGATTCTATCTTGTAGGGTACGCAGGATAAAAAGTAGACTAATAGGTTTAAAAAAAAAAAAAAAAAAAAAAAAAAACCAACCCTAGCAGAAAGCTGGGGTCCCAAAGGCTATATCTTTAGAGTAAAGGCAAACTAGAAATAAACCTACCTTCCCAGGGAACTGCAGTGAAAATTTCTTGTCTCAAGTGCTGTCACTGACTAGAAGAAGAAAAATGCTGTCCTGAGAATTATAACTGCAGCTGGCTTTCATGCAGGTTTGCAGTCTTAGTTCATATTATCAAGGGTGACCGAAGGACCCCAAGCTGAGAATTTCCTCAACAGAGATCTGGTTTTGTAATGCTCCACAGCATATGGCAGAAGTGAAGACAGATTCATTCTGGAAGCACATACTATATAGGCCTCAAGTAATTTCTGCAGATAAACTTAAAAGAAATGGACACTTACAGTAAAGAAAAAGAAAAAAGAATAGAAAATCACAACACACAGGAAACATGGCCCCATGAGCCAAAGTCAACATATGCAGTTGAGTCAGACAAAAATCTTTAAATCTGTGTTGTCGTAAGTGTTATCCAACATGGTAGTTACTACATGCATGTGACTGTTGAGCACTTAATTAGTGTAACTGAGAAACTGAATATTTACTTTTATTTAATATTAAGTTAAATAGCTACATAGCTGATGACTATTCCATTGGGCAGTGCAGCTTTAGAAAATAGAATTATTGGCTGGGCATGGTGGCTCACACCTTTATTCTCAGCACTTTAGGAGGCCAAGGTCGGAGGATTGCTTGAGTCCAGGATTTCGAGACCAGCCTGGGCAACATAGTGGGACCCCATGTCTACAAAAAATAAAAATAAAAATAAATTAGCTGGGCATGGTGGTGCACGCTTGTAGTCCCAGCTACTCAAGAGGCTGAGGTAGAAGGATCACTTGAGCCCAAGAGGTCGAGGCTGCAGTGAGGCTGCAGTGAACCACTGCACTCCAGCCTGGGTGACAAAGTGAGACTCTGTCTCAAAAACAAAAACAAAAATGAATGGGTGGTAACAGCAGATTAGACCTGACTAAATTAATGAAACGAGGGATCTGAAGAAATTATGCAGAATTATAGAGACCAAAAGGAAAATTATGAAAGGTATGAAAAAAATACGCCATGATCAACCCAGAATAAGCTGATGGAACTATGATAATAACAGATAAAGGAAGATATAATTCTGAATCATTATGCATATAATAATGTAACTTTAAGATCTATAAAGGAAAAATGGACCAGAACCACAAAGACAAATCTACTTTCTAGTAAGAGATTTCAACTTATCTCTATCAGTAGTTAGTAAATCAGCAGGAGCCCCCTACCACCTTAAAAAAGTAAATAGGCTATAAAAGATTTGAACAACCATTAAGATTGATCAAATGGGTTATATGAGCTGCTATATCCAACAACTCTAGAATATAAAATATTGGGCCATGAATAGTGTGTTAAAAAACTTCAAAGGATTAGTTGTGACACAGACCATATTCTCTGCTCAGAAAACCATTAATTTAGAAGGAAACAACTAGAAAAACCCTTATTTATCAATAAGGAAAACTCTTCAAAGGTCAAAGAAAAGATTTCAGGACTGAATGGTAATAAAAAGTTTACATATCAAAACCAGTGATGTGCAGCCAACAGGTACTTAGAGGAAAGTTATGGCATTAAGTAGTTATACCAGCAAATAAAGACTAAAAGGTGCAGTAAAAATGTGGTGGATCAAAGAGAATGAATGAGGCATGAAGAATGATTGTAGCACAGTGCAGGCAGGGACTAGTGGCCTTTGCTGCTAGCAGTCCTTTGGCCCCTGTATTTTTGGAGAGTGCTCATTGACATTGTTAGGTGTGAGTTTTTTAAGATCTTGGCCAGAAAATGTTATCCAAGTTATTGGCAATAACTGGTCTAGCAAGTAAGAACATGAAAGTGACAACTCTGTAATGCCCGAAATACTGAGGTGTAATTGGCTTGTGCATTGGTATCTGTATTTTTCCTCAAGAGTTAAAAAATTCAGCTCCTTTTGTTGAGTATATCAGTAGCAGCAGCATTGGTTTAGTAGGTAGATTCTCAGAGTGTAGTGTCTGTACCTCTGGGGTCCCTGAGACATTTTTAGGGGGTCCATGAGATCAAAACTCTTTTCACAATAATACTGTTATTTTTTGCCATTTTCACTGTGTAGACATTTGCACTTGTATGAAAACAATGCTGGGAAAACTGCTCATCACTTAGCACAAATCATGGCCTGGCACCAACTGTAGTAGAAGTTCTTTAGTTACTATATTCATCACCATGGACTCTCAGTTAAAAAATGCTAGTGTCACTTAATAAAGCAGTAGAAGTTATTAATTTTGTTAAACCTAGGCCCTTAAGCACATGTGTCTTTTTAATATTCTAGTGATGAGATGGGAAGTACATATAAAGCACTTTTACAATGTGGCAAAGTGCCATGGTTGTCTCGAAAACACCAGTATGATTGAGTTTTTACTTTGCAGAATGATTGACAGGTCAGCTGTGGCTCTTCAGACTTGGTTATTTGGTAGACTTGGTTATCAAAAGTAAGTGAAATGAGCCTATTGTTTTAAGGAAAACAGTTATCAAGTACAAAATTCAAGCTTTCAAATACAAATTAGAATTTTGGAAATCTTGTATTCCGCAACATAAGCTTGACAGCTTTCCTATCCTTTAATGTCTCTTCTGATGAGTTCAGTGGTGATATTGACAAATGTGATTGTGGTATTATATAATGAAACAGGTAAACATTGGGAAAATCTACATGACTCAGTAACCCAACATTTTTCAGATGATCAGTGTTTGTTGCAAAATCACATGTGGATGAGAGATTCAAAGTGTAGGACTTTGATAGATTAATGGATTTCAATGTAACAGAGTAGGAAAAGTTCACTGATGGTTTCAGATTCCACATTGCAGCTGACCTTTAAAAAATTACTGCTTTGTCCATTGTATCAAAGAAGAATATTCATAATTATCTTAAAAAGCTATTAAAATAATTCTTTCCTTTCCAGTTATATATCTGTGTGAGGCTAGAATTTCTACATATACTTCACAGCAAATTTTATGCAGAAGCAGACATGAAAATTTAGTTGTCTTCTATTAAGCCAGATGTTAAAGAGGTTTTCAAAAACATAAAATGGTGGCTGGACACAGTAGCTCATGCACATAATCCTAGTACTTTGGGAGGCTGAGGCAGGAGGACTGCTTGAGTCCAGGAGTTTGAGACCAGCCTGGGCAACAAAGCGAGACCCCATCTCTACAAAATATAAAGAATTATCTGGGGGTGGTGGCACATACCTGTAGTCCCAGCTTCTTGGGAGGTTGAGGCAGGAGGGTTCCTTGAGCCCAGGAGTTCAAGGCTACATTGAGCCGTGATCACACCACTGCACTCCAGCCTGGGTGTCAGAGTGAGACCCTTCTTTTAAATATATACATACATACACACACACACACACACACACACACACACACACACACATATATAAAATATACACATATAATGGTACAACTTCCTATAAAAATATTTATGTTCACATGTAACAATTTAAACAGATTGTTTTTTAAGCAAATTAATAAATATTTTTTAATTTTCTCAGTTTCAGTTTCCAATATGATAAATATTGATAGATATAATCCATATAAACAAAAGCTCCCTGGGTGTCCTCAGTAATTTTCAAGATTATAAATGGATGCTGAAACCAAAAGTTGGAGAACCACCAGTTTACTAAGTCAAACTTTTAGGCCGCCTTATAGGAAAGACTTGAGGCTACCAAATGCACAGGTACATATGTGTTTCTTTTTGTAATGAAGGCTATCGTGATGGGGCAGATCATTCAACATACTCCCAAACAGGCCACATCCTGAAACTGGCAAAGACCTTCACACCTTTTATTGAGGGTTTTTTATTTTAATCTTTTGCCTTACAGTGGGACTTCCTGAAAAGTGTGGTGATTCTCAGTATTTCATTTTGTACATTACCATAATACTCTTACATGACATTTTGAGCATCATAAATCTGAACTCTATTATTAGGTTCAATATGTAATATGGACTCAGAAATTTCTTGAATGAAAATTTATGATGAGAATTAGTCATATCCCTAGGGTTTAGTCAGTGAAAACAAAACCTCAGTGTGTGCATTTAAAGGTGATCAGGAATAGAAATTATCTATTCTAAATGAAAGGAAAAAAGATAGAAAATTTCCCCATTTTAACAGAAAACAAAGACAAATGATTTAGAACCCAAGGACTGACTTTTCTCCTCAATATGTGATTTTCCATCACCTGATGTTGAACTTTTATCTCGTATGTGGGAGTTAGCTTTCAGTTCTACACTTATAATCTGTATAGCTGACCTGCTTGAAAGGCAAAGAAATTGAAAAAAAATGTTTTTTAAAAAATCTTATTTTCATGTGTTTTTCTTTGGTGTAAGTTGCTTGACTGTATTTCATCACAAATCATGTACTGTGCGGTATAGTTCCCTCACAAGGATGCATGATGTTGAATATACACAAAAAAATCTTTGTTTGAAAAAAAAATAGTTAGAAAGTTGGTGCTTTAACCAAAAAGAAGCTCAAGAATAGATTAGACCGTAACAACAAATTATGTAAAACAAAACCCAGAAAACAGGTCTGGTGGACGTTGTGTGTTATACTGTCTCATTAAAGAAAATGAGTCAAGATTGATCTAATTAACCACACAGGTTCAGTACATTTTACCTACTCGAGCAGGCTGCAGTGGCCATCTCCTGCCACAGCTGTTTGTTTAAATTGTTCACATGAGTCATACTGAGAAAGAGCCTTTAAAAAAAATAGGTAAACAAACTATTTGAAATCTCTGTCTTCTACCTGACAATCATCTAAGAGAAGCATTGTAATTATGTACTTGGGAGAGTCCCTGGCCTAAGGCCTTTCTAAACCTGAGGTGGCCTTACATAGATATTTAGAAGTAATGTCTTTTCACATGTCATTCATTGGGTGTATAGTGTTTTATGCAGTCTTTTACCTTCATGTTAGTTTAACTATAGCATGACAATTCACAGTTCGCATTAAGCCTAAGTTTCGCACTCAAAATCATTTTTGTATAAAATGTATGGAACTTGACTGTTGACAAATCGATCTGTTGAGTATTTTTATGTCACTGTTTAGCAAATGCAGAAATGTAGATTTGTGAAAAGATGACTAGAGATGAAAGCATGAATTCTTTGCCACCTTCCAAGTTAGCAGTAAGTATTAATAAGCTCATCTTTTAGAAAACAATGCAATGGAAATAAAAATAATTATTTGTTCTTGTGGTATGCTTAAAAGGATCATGGACTTTGGTGAAAGATCTGGATTTGACTCCTACCTCTACTACTTGTTAGCTGTGGGATCTTATGCAACTCATTTAGTCTAAGCCTCGTCACTCCCCACTCCCTACTCCCTAAAATGGAAATAATGATAGCAATCTCACAGAGTAGTCATTGGGACTGAACATTTATTTAGCATAGTACTTGGCTCATAATGACTGCCCCAAATGCTAGTAATAGTAATTGTGGCTGTTATCACTGCTAATATTAAGTTATATTTCACAAGTGCTAATTAAGTCCTGTTATCTTCCTGAGCCTTGGTTTTCTTATCTCTAAAATGGGGACTTGGGAGGTGATCTCTAAGATTCTTCCAGTCAGACCTTTCCAGTCACCCTGCAGAGGCTGGCGAGCTGCCCATTGCTGGGACCCTTCACGCCCACCCTGATCCCCTCCCTGCTCTTCCTCCCCCTCCCCGCAAAGCTTCTCTCTGGCCAGTTCTGCTCAGCAGGAGGTCGTTTGATCAAAGCCCTGGGAAAGGTCAGACATTCCTGGAGTGGTGACACTCAGCCGGCTGCAAGAGCTGCCCTTACAGAACCTTGTACTGCAGAAGCTGTAGCTCAAATGGAGAGGCTTTTCTAGGAGCCATTTTCTGAGCACTGTGGCGTAGCCCAGCTGGGAAGAAAGTTACTGAAGAACACCTGTTTGGGGGTGGCTGTCAAAAGCTTTGTTATGCTTTCATTTTCTTTTGGGATGTGCAAATGGTGGGAATAGAAAGGTGGAGGTTGAATCTTGTCATAAAGATGCTAACAAGTGGTAAATTACACTATAGTTAAACCGTGCAACCATTAAAAATTCTGTTAAAATATTTAATCACGGTAAAATATTTACAACATGTCGAGTAAATTAGATTATAAAATAATATCAGGGTTTTTTTTAAAAAATGTTTATATGTGAAGGTATAATGGAGAAAAATTAGGAAGAAATTTATCTCTAAGTTTTTTTCTGGGTGGCAGTATTAGGTAATTTTTGTTTAGATTTTCTAAATGTTTTACATGGGTTGATTCTAATGAGGAGAAACAAAAGAAATAAAATCAAAGAAAGAACCTTAATTGCTTATCAGATGAAAAGGCTAACCTCTTCACAGAAAAGAGGATGTGTGAATGTGAATTGTGTACAGTGATGTCTCACAGTGAGGGCACTCTGTGTCACACGTTGCCACCTTTGGCATCTTGTGGGCTTGAAGCTATAGAATGTGACCAGTCTCTTTACTTGTGGGCACTTACACAGTGCTTATGATGTGCCCAGCACTGTTCTTGGCACTCTAATACTAACTTATTGAATCCTCTCCACAACTTGCTGAAGCAGATCCTATTATCCTTACCTTACAGGAAACTGAGAGACAGGGATGTGAAAACACACAGGGCACACAGCCAGTGAGAAGCAAAGCCAAGATTCACACCCAGGTTCACCAGGCCCCAGAATCCAGGCTCCCACCACATACTGTTCCACTTTGCCCTGAAGTAAGACTCTTGACAGCCCTCAGGGCAAACAGCTCTCAAGTTGGATTTTATGTGTGTGGCCATCATGAGGGTTAATTGGGGTGTACTGTACTCTAGTGTGGTTCAGAAGTGGACTCGGAGGGCTCTTTGGTCCCTTCTTTTTGTTTGAGACAGTCTTGCTCTGTTGCCTAGGTTGGGGTACAGTGGTGCAATCACAGCTTGCTGCAGCCTCTACCTCCTGGGCGCAAGCAGTCCTCCCACCCCAGCCTGTCAAGTAGCTGGGACCACAGGCATGTGCCACCACGCCCAGCTAACTTTTCTATTTTTTTGTAGAGATGGAGTTTCACCGTGTTGCCCAGGCTGGTCTTGAACTCCTGGGTTCAAGCAGTCCTCTCACCTCGGCCTCCCAAAGTGCTGGGATTACAGGTGTGAGCCACTGTGCCTGGCCTGCACCCTTTTTTCTTGCTTACTGTTTCTCTTTCCTGTCAGCTGAGTCCAGCTCATGTCCCCCTGCCCTTTTCACTGTTTGAGTTCCAAGCCAACTCCCACACAGCTACCTTGATCAGATTTGACTCTCTTATTTTACCTCAGAGTCAAAATCTTGCCTGGGCGGGAGCACAGCAGTGAGCCTATAGCTTAACTTGGAATTGAAACCACCATTTATTTTCCTTCTGTCATTGTCAGGGACCTCAATTGTCTCTACAAAAATAGCTTTCCATAACTGCTCCTCAGTAGAGGGAAGAAAGCAGTAAAGAGGAAGGGGCACTGCAGCCTTCAGACCGCAGGCCTGCCTTACAGCCGTGTGTGTGTGTGTGTGTGTGTGTGTGTGTGTGTGTGTGTATGTGTTACATTATAGGCAGACCTTTTAACCTCTCTGGGCCTCAGTTTCCTTATTGGTAAAATGCAAGGATTGAAGTAAATGAATTTCAAGGTCTCACTGCTCTGATGTTTTGAAAAGCTTCAGTGTATCTTTCAACATTTTCCATTACAGATTCTTTTTTCTCATGCTGTAAATGCCAGAAGCAGAGAGAGGTTAGTCTTATCTATTTCTACAGCAGCAGCTACACAACTATCTTATTCTTTCTCTCTTTAACCTCTTCCAGTCTGATTAGGACTCAGCTTCATCCTACTGTTTTGATAGCAATTATCTATTCTGTGGCATCAGCTACTATTTATTTTTGAGATAGAGCTCAGAGTTACCAATTCTTGGGTTATTAGCACACTTGTATTTAGCAAGACCAATAATGTGAACCATCTTAAAATTAACACTTAAAAAGAAATTTTCTCAAGGTTACATAGCAGAAGAATGACATGGACTCACCATAGCCACTGAGAGAGCGGGTAGCTTCCCAGTATTAAACCGAATTATATCTGAGTAACTTCTCTTGATCAAGTCTCACCACTGTTTCTACTTACTACTACTGTTCTTGCCCTCATATTCATTCAGTTGTGTCTATTGATCTCTGATCTATTTGGATAGCTCATTTCCAATATATAAATTTGGATACTTGCATTGTCAGTAGATACTTTTTGTCCCTAACAGATAGTATAGGTGTGCGCATGGAATTATATGTGGACATAGATCTTTATTTGAAGCCTTACAACCTAAAATGGATTATAAATTGCTTCTTTAAATTTAGCCTCCTGGATTTAGGTTGTCCACAGCAGGCCAGTGGGAGCACAATTCGGATGCTCGTCTCCTCCTGTCCCATCCCATCCCATTCCGTTCCTTTTAGGCAGCAGCTCCCTGCCCTCCTCGAGCCCCATAAGTGCTGCTCGGGATAATTCCATCCTGGGCAAATGCAGGGCAGTGGTCTCTGGAGTTTCTGTTCACAGAGGAAGCCGGCTGTTCCATTTATAACAAGGAAGGGTAGTTCTCTCAGACATTGCACATACACTTCAACGTGATGTAACCTGATAGCCCCTGACGGAAGTCCTAAGGCTCTCTCTTTAAACCCTTTTCCAGAAGGCAAGGTGTTTTCCTTGCTCTTTGGCTGCTGCTCACAGTATTTTCGTGTTATCTCCTCAGACATTAAGTCCCATATCTTTAGCTCGCAGAGTTTGTCTGCTCATATGCACCACACTTAAACGTCCACATCTAGAAAACACTCTTGTTTTCACATCACTTGGGGCTGTTTCCCCAAACTGCTTACCTTTTCACCATGGCTTTGCTGTTTTCCTCATTTTGACCTTTTCTTGTTAACATAAGATGCTTGTGTGTTGTTTCTGCAATAACCACTTTCTGGAAGGGCCTAGTTGACATTTCTTATCCTGCTGTTTTGACTGTGATGATGATGATCATTATCATCATATATATGATTCTTTGCATACAAAGTGCTTTTACAAACCCTTTATCGTTTAGGCCAAGCTTGGTCCTCCTCCCTGGCTTCTTGTTACAGATTCCTTTACTTGACTCTGATAATACTTTTTAAATTAGTTTGCTTACCAAGTGGGTTAACAATAAAGAAGAGAGAAAATCTCTGAAGGACACTTTTCCTTTATGTTTGTTTGCCTAAATGCTAAATAACTGGCCTATTACAGTCACAGAGTATGACTGTAACTACTGACTTAAATATGCTGATTTTCTGCAATGAAAAGAATAGCTTTTGATAAATGTTAATAAATAGCTCAAAATTTTTGAGTAATCATAACTTCTTGAATTTTCTATAACATACTTGCCTTAAAAAAAACTCCAGATTGCTTTAAACTTATGTGTTTATTTTTTATTCTTTGTCTTCATATAGTGGTTTTTTAAATGAGTTTAGGGTCTAGAACTAAATCTTTTACAGCTGAAAGCAGAACAAAGCAACTTTCAATTGGATCCGTCTTTTCTTTTATTCAAAATGATTATTCTAAGCACTTGTGACAGTGGGTAGCTGAGTAGTAGAAATAGCCACATAGTGCTTCATCCTCCTTGCCTCTCTTACTTTTCTCTCGACATGCATACCTGCAATTTATCCATGGTCCCACCCTCCCAACACATTACTGCTGTTTTGCATTTGCCCATCCTCCCATTTGAAGGAGTGCCAGGGAGGTCCTGTTGAATTCTTCGAAGAGCAGATTTGTAGTTGTTGTATGTTTTGGTATTTTGACAGCACTAGATGCAGACTTGGGTTTAGGGTGCTGTGATCTGCGGCAAAAACAGGATGTTTTAGGTGAGCCTGACTGTACAGGCAGTGGGCTTGTGGCAGGGTGGGTACTCCCTAACTTTGGTCCCCGTTTCCCTCCCACCCCCACAACAATTTCTTTGTGTGTGGGTTTGTTTCAGGACTTGTCAAAAGACAGTCGTTCAGTAGGTGTTCCCTTCTCCCCTGTAACACAGCTGCGGAGATCTGCACTTCCCCCACCCAAACTCAGCTGGCTCTCCTCCCTGACACATGCCCCTGGCAGCAACTAGTGCTCTGGAGCTCTTCTACCTTTTTTCTGCCGTTCTCAAAATGCTATCTGGTTCCATGTAGCTTTCTTTCTGATTTCCAGATTGAAAAATCTGAATAGATTTACTGGCAAAATGTATTTCTTCCTCTTTAGTGAACTGTATGGCACTAAACAAAGAGAATGGTTTCCATCATTGTATTAATTAAAAAACACACCCTGTCTGTTTCACTATAAGAACATCTCACCTCGGATAGCATTCCACAGCTCAGAGATGTGGCAGCATCAGGCTTCCATTCCTGGGCTTCTGCCATTCTAATGTTGTTTTTCCTCCAACAGGGTGGTTTCTGACAGTGCTTTGATGACATTGTCTAATGGTGTACTTAATGGGTAGCTGGGGGATGTCTTAGAGACAGATAATATTTTACTTTGTAGAGTTAGACTCTGGTTTGACTCTGCCTTTTCTGAGAAGGCTGTTTCTCTACAAGGGTATAGGATTAAAATCAGGAGCATATACTAATTATGTGAAACTATTTGTACTAATCCCACTTGCAGGTAATGACATTTGTTTACTGTGCAGCTGATGCTGATTTATCTTTACATTTTATCTAGTTAACAAACATACTTATATATCATTACGAGCCAGAAATCATTCTAAGAACTTAACTAATAGCAGCTCACTTAATCCTTAACAACCCTATGAAATAGGTACTGTCATCATGATCCTTATTTTCCAATGAGGAAAAATCAAGGCACAGAAAGAATAAGTAACATGCCCAAGGTTGTACAATAAGTGTCAGAGTTGAGATTCAGCCCCTGGCAGTCTGGCTTCAGGCGTCATCCTCTTACTGCCTCATGGCTGTGTGCCCATGGGTGGGTGGGACTGGCCATCACACAGTCCTGAATGGCATTGCAAGGGACATTTTTCTCATTGCCTGGAGAAACCAGGATCAGAACACTCTACCCCAGGCATGGGGCATGCAGCGAAAAACTGACTCTCAAGCCTAGGAGCTATTTGTATTGGCTTTGGTCCTTGGACCTCTGCTTACAGAAGCAGAGACCTCACAGCCTTCATCTGACCACACGAAAACCATCATAAGCTCATAGGACAGGGTTCCAGAGATGGAAGCTTCTAATGCCCCAGCAGCCACACAGTGTGTATCAATGCCTGACCTCCCAACATCCTAGCACCATTGAACTCCCAACAGGTCATTACCACTGTTTTTTGCCTGTTTCCAACAGCCGAGCTCTTTGCATACTCAGATCACTAGCTGCTGAGCCTTGTAGGGGAATTAGGGCAGGGTCGATTTCACAGATGAGAAGATACAGTGTCAATAGTCCACCATAAGACTAGGACCTAAATCCTGCTGCCACTTTTTTTGTATGTCAGTACTTTTACTTTTTAACCTGAGACAGGTTCTCAGTCTGTCACCCAGGCTAGAGTACAGTGGCGCAATCACAGCTCACTGGAGCTCCCAAGCTTAGGTGATCGCCCACCTCAACCTTCTGAGTAGCTGGACTGGAAGGGTGCACCACCATGCCCTGCTAATTTTTTTGTATTTTTTTGTAGAGACAGAGTTTCGCCATGTTGCCCAGGCTGGTTTCGAACTCCTGAGCTCAAGCAATTCACCTGCCTTGGCCTCCCAAAGTGCTAGGATTACAGGCGTGAGCCACCACGCCTGGCCTGTATGCCAGCACCTTTCTTGCCTCCCTCTACCTCATTTTTTCTTTACTCTTCCTCCTCTGATTAAATAAGGTAAATGGTAATAAATGACAGTTAGGGCTGGAAATATATATGGTGGCTACAAAAGATAAAGAATCACTTTTTGCAGGCATCTCCTGTTTTCCCCTCCTTTCCTCCCTTCAGGCAGGAGTTGTGTGGCCTGCAAGATGGCCTGGTTGCTGGAAGGTGACTTAGTCAATGATGCAGTTCATTGGCTGGGTCCCCAGGTACACTCAGCAGGTGGTGCTTTCAAAGATTAGCTACAGGCCAATGTGCTGAGAATCAGGATAATAATGCATCTCTTGTGCAGTCATCACAGCTTTAGATACATTCAGGAAAAAAGCCAGTGGGAATGGAAGGAAGGCAGAGACTGTCACAACCACCTGGGCACATCTTGCATTTCTTCATTTGTCCTTACAGGGGCTCTGTTTGCATCATTAACATGAATAATTCTTTCTTCCTTTTCATTATGTGTTCTTTCATTTGGTGTATCCTATGGAAATATTGGGGGTAGTTATTGATTAGCACTATATTTTGCCTTGGAAGAACTTAGAGAAAATTACTGATCCAATTTTACCCAATTGTTAGGTCATCTTTCTATATACTAGTTTACCTATCTTTCATCCAATTTAGTAAGTGTTCATCTTCATTGAAATGCCATAAAATGAGTTGTAACCTAGAGTCTGGACAGATTTCAGAGATATTATGGTTCTAGGACCTACTCAAAGTTTGAAATAATAGGAAAGATTGCAGTGTGCTTACTAAGCAGCCATGAAGGGCTGTGAATTCTGCATATTTTCTGTAATTCTTACTACAAAACTGTAAGGTGGATATTATCTTCATTTTACAGCTGAGGAAGCAGCGGTTAAGTCACTCAACGAGGATGATGGAAGGGAGCAGGGTCGAGGTTTGAGGCCAGGTCTGTCAGTCTTGTCGCATACCTAGGAGACCCGCATGATGTGCCCATTGCAGGGGGTGGGGCACAGATCAGCTGTGGTGATTTCCTGAGAGAAGCAGTGATACCATTCTTAGGAGAGTAAAGAAAGAAAGAACATTGATATGTCTGTCTCTTTAGTGGGGAAAAAAGCTCCATTGTGTTTTTTTGCTTTAAAATATCCATAAAAATTCAATCTCAAAGACAATTGCAATCATCCTATTAGCAACCTTCTAGGCAACAGACAAGCAGTAGTTTCACTAGGGGCGTAGTAAGGCTATTAAGTTGTAGAGATAGTAAATGCCTGCAATGTATCATGTTTGAGAAAAATTCTGACTTCAGAGAAACAAGAATAGTGAAACTTGTTAATTTTAGAAAGTGAAAACATGCTCTATAAGGAAATGGTTTATAATACTTAGTGACCCCTGCTGCTGTACTCAAAATAGGAAAGGCAGAAACATTTAACAGTTAAGTATTGTTTGGAGAATGTTAATTTTCTACTTGGAAAACTGTTTGCCAACAATGCCACCTGCCATTCTTCTGCATCTCCCCTCCTACTGGAGGCTTCGTGCTCTTGCTGAAGAGAACAGTTCTAATACAAATCCTCATTACTTTCCCTTTCACACCTTTCCCCCACTAGACTTTAAAAGTGATAATTGCTTGAAATACTGGGAGAAACTAATTTGTATTGGTAAAGCTCCCGTGAACTTCAAACAAATCTGTGTTCTCTAATGGTGACTTCTTTTTAATTATGAGGCTGGGCAGGTGTGTATTTTGTAGACCTGCTGTGCCTGCCCCCCTTCCCCAAGAGCCTCCCATCTCAGCCTGGGACACTTGATGATGGAAAATAACTTCTCTGGATTAAAAAAACCATCTCTATGTATACAGTAAGAGGCCATAGTTTAGAACCTGAGGGAATGTCTTATTCAGTACCCTGAATGTTTTGCCTTCTGTTTTCTAGATTAAAACTTACATTAGATGGGAGTGGTAATATCTAGTGCCTATTGGTCACCATTCTAAGCACTTCACATGTTTTGTTTTAACACTTACATAGTACTTGCTATGTGCCAGATGCTGTTCTAAGTGGTTTGCAAATATTAATGCATGTCCTGCTCATACAGTCCTTCAAGGGTCACTCTGTTCTTAATACCATTTTACAAATGAGGAAAAACTAGGCACATGGAGATGGAGAGACTTACCAAAGATCACCCAGTTGGTAAGTGACAGAAGTGATATTCAAACCCAGGCAGTCTGTCTCTGGAGTTCATGCTTAATCACCTTCCATACTGGAAAACAACTTGTCCCTTTTTCATTTTTAGAGGCCTTTCTAGGTGATTACAGCCTCCAGCAAGTCAACAGCGTTTAGCTTCTGTCTGTTAATAATTGAAATGAATTGAGCGCCGAGGAAGTGCTCAGGCTAAAAACACTGAGACGTAATAGTTGATGGCCTTACAAGGAGTGGATTTCTCTTCTTTCCTCCAATTTAATTAGTTCTGCACAGGGGCTAACTGAAATATGCCTAAAGATTGCATGCCCACAGCAGATAAGTAGCTTCTAGCAGATTTAACAAATTACCCTTTGTCTGCCAAGCTCCTTTGTTATCAAAACTACATCCCTAGGTAGAAATGTTAAGTTTTTGCACATCAAAGTTTGCATGCTAAGCTGGGGACACTGGAGAGACCTATTGAATTTGATCCTTGGTCTGGTTCCAATCCTGTATTCCTGGTTGCAGATACAAAATGAAATACACACATAAGTCAACTCTATTTGTACGATCTTCAGTCCAGATCTTTTTAATGTAATTAAGAGGGTAAGAGTATGAAGGAGGAGAGAGAAACTTGCAGCTCAACAGGAAGAGCTCGTTTGCTTGTTTTCTGTTTATTTTTTATCCTAATATTTAACTGCTAATCCTAACGCAGTGCATGTGTATCTTATAAATAAAGAAACTGAGAAGTTAGTGATTTGTATTGGTTTCTTGAGTGATCCTGTTTACCACATGGAAAAGTCTGGTGAGATGAACAAGTGGGACTGCAGCACTTGCATGTTTCTCCTGACAGTGTGGCTGCTCTTATTTTGATGGAAGTATCCCCAGTTCCAAGACCACTGGACATCTCCCACATTTTAATATAATTTATTTTATACATACAGAAGGAGAACAGCATCTTTATGTCATGCTTTAGGTTGGATAGGAAAAATCAAGTCCAGAAAAATATTATTAGCGCTGCATCTCTTAACCAGGTCAGGTTGCAAGGAGAAAGGGTATACTACGAGTGAGTCAAATCTAGAAGAAGCTGAAAGTAAGAAAGAGGTGCTATGACAAACTGATTGCAGATAAGATGATGATAATCTAAGACCTTTTTTTATTACCAGCACAATGTTAGGCTTGTTACAAAACAGTCATCTCTTGCAAAGCACCTGAAGGTTGATGTGGAAAGTCTGAGCAACTGGAAAGGAAACCTCAAAGTCGAAGCACACTGTTAAAAGCTGTGTATCAAGGTTGAGGTCCTTTGTAACTATACACTTTCCAGAGTGATTGAATAGATGGTTGGGTCTCATCGAAACTTGCATCTCTCTCTTGAATTAAAGCGAAGACCAGCCTCACTTTGTAGCTTGCTTTGCTTTTCCCTGTCCCTGCCCAGGAGACCTGTCCCTTTCTAGCCCGCTTTAGCACTGTGGATGTCTGACTCTGAATTGAATTGTGAGAGCTGTGCTTTCTGGGGATCTCCTAGCTGTAAGCATCTAGAAGATCAGTATAAGCATCTTCATGTGGTAATTGTCCTTTTGAGTTATGTGCCTGTAGTAGGTTTTCTGTCTGTTGTTCTTTCTCTTATCAGTAACGGGGAAAATGGCAGTGAGAAGCAGCATGTTGGGGGGCGGGGGTGAAGAGTGAAATTGGACTGTTAGACTCCATGATAGTCAAAGGACATAACATCCTATTTTACTGTCCTTCAGAAGAGCTAAAATGTTCTCAGAGAGTGACAAAAAGATGATAGTTACTTCCTTGACAGCAACATAGGGAGAAACTTTATGAAAAGCTAGAAAATTTATATGCATCTGACTTCAGTGACTATCCAAAATAAATTTCAAAGTATACAATTTTTTTTTTTACAAGACAGCTCAAGTAGCACCACCATTTCCCTTTAAAAAAAATAAAATAAGCCTTTTCCCTGATTGTAAGGATTATGCACAATATTCTAGATAAAAATTTTGGAAAGCATAAGAGACGAAAATTACCTATAGTCTCACAAGTTAATATTGTGGTTTACATTTCAGTGCATATACTTCTGGTCTTTTTTTCTCTTTGTAGACTTTCTACGAAATTTCATATTTTTCCCAGAAGTCAGGCTGCTAGATCTGTGTGATCTTTACCAAAAAAAGAAAAAAAAAAAAACACCTTTCTCTGTCTCTCTGCTTATAAATTCTATCAAGTTTGCCTGCAAAGGTCATTGACCTCAGCTCTTCTTCCGAGGCATGGGTCCATATATTCGTGCAGAATAAAACCAATAAAAGTCATAATGAGGGGCAGAGAGAGTGGATTGTTTAAAGGCTCACTCCTTTCGAGCAAGATCAATGAGTCTTTTTATCTTAAGAGGCATGTGAGATGTGGGGTTTTTTTGTATTTTCCAATCATGCACAAGTGACCAGCCAGCTGTTGGACTCTGGGTGACAATGCTTGTATCTGACCTGCTGTCTGATTTTTTCTCATTCTTCTGTCACTACCCATTTTTCAACCTGTGTCCGCCTCCATGCAGATGGGTTTCCTCTCTCTGTGCACTCACAGAAGTAGAAAAGGAATGTAAATATGTGTAAACTCCCCTTCATTGGTGAGTGTTTTTAGATGACCATGTAATGTCACTTTTTCTTGCATATTTTTGACCAACTTGACTGGGTTTTGGAAAAATAATTTGTATTTCTCCCACTGATCTTTGCAACTCATCCAGGATAGGTAGTCTTCTGGAGCTATGGGATGGCTCGGAACCAGAAGTTGAGCTTTAGAGTCTAGTGCTGGCTCTACCACTTTGCAGCCCGATGACCTCATACAAGTCACTTTATAACTTGTGTTGCATGAAACGACAACAAAAGTACCCTAATGTGTGTACATCAGTGCACCATATTGTCGCTGGCTTGCTTCCACTGGACACTGAAAATGAAGCCCATCATCTTTCCTCATCCTGCCTGCCTGCCCCATCCTAGTCCGTAAAGGCAGCCTCAATCTTGAAAACCTGGAAGCCTCTTTCTCCTGGCCTTTCCCCTTCACCCGGCACACCCAGGCTGTTACTGTCTTCTTCCCTTCCTTATTACCTCCTGCCTGGAGTTTCATCTCCTAATGGCTGGTTTTGTTCTTAACATTACACATTATAGGTGTTTGCATATATGTCTTACCTCCTTGAGTAGATACTAAGTTTCTTGGGAATAGTGATGAGATTTTACTTATCTTTGTCTCCTTGTCATGCTTCCTTGGGATAGCACCTTAACATGGTAGGCATTTATTTACTTAAGTACTTTTTGAGTTGGATAGGTGAAATTGACTGATCAGACCGTTGATCTCCCTGAGCCATATCTGGGCTCACCTCTGAGCATTTGTGACTGGGTCTGGTAGTAGCTTTGTATCCCAGGTGGGGCACTGGATTCGGGGTGGCAACATTTGGAGCCCGACTGCAGACCCAGCTGCCTGACTTGTCTGAATATCACTTTCGTCATTGACTGACTGAGGGTGGTTAGAATTTATTGAACGCTTAGGCTCCTTCAGCTCTGGAATTCTACATTAATAAACTGCTTTGCACTTGATTACTTTGAAGTGGAAGTTTCCCCCCTTTCTTTATAAGGTAAATGAATATTTCATCTCAAGCCCAGGAGTCACTTTGCACATATCCTGTGATGGGAGGCTAATGAAAGCTTTGATAGAGACCTTAAATTGGGAGAGATGGGATCATATCCATTGCTCTATCATAAGAATTTCACCAGGTCTATAGAGAAACGAGATAGAAGACTTAAAATTTTCATTCATAGCTGTACAACTCATGATTTGAAACATTATTAAAATTAATTTTGAAAACACTTGGGAAAATGGAGATGTTTGAGGTAAAAACAATTTTTGAAATTCAAAGAGTGGCTTTTAACCTTTTCATTAGAACCCTAGTAGTCTTCTTAAGGAGTGGATATTAAAAGCGGGTTCAGGCTGGGCGTGGAGGCTCACACCTGTAATCCCATCACTTTGAGAGGCTGAGGCGGGCAGATCACCTGCTGTCAGGAGTTCGAGACCAGCCTGGCCAACATAGTGAAACTCCGTCTCTACTAAAAATACAAAAATTAGCCGGGTGTGGTGGCACACGTCTGTAGTCCCAGCTACTCAGGAGGCTGAGGCAGGAGAATTGCTGGAACCCGGGAGGCAGAGGTTGTGGTGAGCCAAGATTGTGCCACTGCACTCCAGCCTGGGCAACAGAGCAAGACTCCATCTCAAAAAAAAAAAAAAAAAGTGGATTCTTCATGCAATTTTAAGTTTAAAAAAAGCAGTGTTTTTAAATGTAGGAAAAACGTAAACCCATAGTATTAAGCTCTGAGGGTTAAATATGTATCGTTTCCAGGTTATTGATGAAGACTAACTGGGCCTGATGACAGAGACTTTTGCTCATGCCTGTGATTTTAGAGTCTGCACGTTCTCTTCAGCTCCCGTGTCACATGCCTATCTCTCACCTGGCAGCTGAGAACAAGCCTAGAAGACAGTGCGGACTCCCAGGAGGCTTGCACATTCCCTAATTGTCCTCTGGCAGTTTGGAGGATACCTGAAAAGGCACACCTCCAACTCCTAGCTGTCAGTTCACCGGCATGCCCCCAGAGAGTCAGATTGATGCCATTTATGGAACTCCAGAGAGAGCCCTGGAAGGGGAGGGGCAAGGAAAACTAATAACAGCCCTTTTGCCATCATGGGGAGATAGGCCCAGGAATTGAGGGCGGGGAGTGGGAAAGAGCATTCATAGGTATGTCCTTCATACGATAGTTTGGGTGTCACCTGTCTGCCTAAACATATACAATATGTCGTACTTTGCTGTGGGTTGGACACTGGTTATATAGCATCCCAATTTTAGCTTGCTGGAATTCCCCTGTCATCACTACATGTGAAATTACAATGTTCAGAGATATAATATGTATATTATTATTATATAATAATTTATATATATATTTTATATATATAATTTATATATAATATTTATTGTATTTTTATATATATATAAATTTCACTTGGTAAAATTTCACTTGGATTTGCCTTCTGTATAAAGTAAAATTAGCCTTCAATCAGTGGTTTTTGGTATATTCACTATGTTGTACAACTATCACCACTGTCTAATTCCATCACTCCAAACAGAAACCCGGTATCTGTTAGCAGTCATTCTCAATTACTGCCTCCACTTAGCCCCTGGCAACCCCTCATCTACTTTGTTACTATGACTTTGCCTGGTCCGGACATTTCATATACATATACATATACATATCATATAATATGTGGCCTTTCTGTTTATGGTTTATTCACTTAACAGAATGTTTTCAGAGTTCATCCATTGAATGTCAGTACTTTCTTCTTTTTCATAGATGAATAATATTACATTGCATTATATGTACCACAATTTGTTTATCCATTCATCAGTTGATGGACATTTTGAGTTGTTTTCAGTTTTTAACATTGTTAACATTTGTATATGTGTATTCATGTGAATATATGATTTCAATTCTTTCAGAAGGAGTGGCATCACTGGGTCGTATGGTAGTTCTATGTTTACCTTTTTGAGGAACTGCAAAACTGTTTTCTATTTCTTTTGAATATCTTTAAACCTCAAAACATCAACTACTTAGAATTTTTTAAGAGGAAGAGGGAGTTAAATTAACACTTTTCTTTAGAGAAAACAACTGAATTAGTAGTAAGAGGAGAAGGAAAAATTCAGGTTATGTTAAGCAAAAGAAAACATTATTTACATTGACTTACAGTGTCTCCACATTTACACATTGAAATGATTAAATAGGGTGTGTGGAGAAAATGAATTCCCACAGATCTTTTAATAGATATATCCAAATTCCGGTGAAATCAGTTGTAATTATGGTCAAGAATTAGATGTAACAAGGTAGAGAAGATATCTTGAGCATTTCTAGTTAGCTGGAAGAATTGAGAGCGTGAAGAAATTTGTAGCGTAAACTGGAAAATTAAGGGGAAGGTGAAAAACATAGGCACATAAATTCATTCCTTAAAATGGATGTTTCTTTGTTCTGTGGATGGGATTTTTCTGAATATGCAAGAATAGCTTACATTCTTTCTTGACATCCCATTTATCAGCTTGTCCTGGGAATCACAAGGCTTGTGAATAATATACTGATTGATTGTACTGTTCATTAGCACATTCACATGATATTACATAAACATTTCTAAAACATAAACACAGATGATGACAGCATTTTAGGAGGAAGGCGAAGGTTCCATAGTGATGCTTTGTTGTTTGGCTGCGTGTTTGCAGCTTGACAATTCTCACTCTTGCCTCTGAGGCCTAGTGGCCCACTCTAGGTCAACTTTTGAGACCCACGTAGTGACGGGAGCTGCGTGCTCTTAGAGAACCAGAAAATGGGCTGCATCATGGTTTGGTGAAAGAAAACAGGATTGAGTTCTACTGCTTTTGGACTTTGCTGAGCTTTCTTGTCCTTCTCTGAAACATGGGATATTTATTAATACCTTTCTTGCAGGGTGATAATGAGATCCAAATGAGATAAGGGTCATGGAAGCACTTTGTAAGCTAATGTAAATGTGATGGTTTTCATTATTGTTTAATTATAGCTTTCTCCCTCAAGACATCACCCTTTTGTTGGAGGAGCTCATTCATAGCTATACCACACTGCCAAAGATGTGTCCTCTTTGAAATAAAGTACTTACTGGAGACTTAGAATCCAGACCACTGGAATAAGACAGGACTCTTATTCCATATTTGCTGTATGTAAGACCCTAGCTCTGTAATCATACAAGGCATAGAACTTAGAACCACTGAACATCATGTCCCTGTATCAGCTGGAGTCTTTGCACTGACTTTATGTCTATGCAACTGACTCTAGGTGCCTCCTATCTCCTTCCCTTCTTCTGAGACTGAGGAATGCCACTTTCCTCATCACAGACTTGTCCAACTGAGTTTTTCTGTGAAGGTTAATTTAGTGGTAGAGATTCGAGGCAGGTCAAAGGCACAGGAGTACAGAGTGGTGCCTTTGCTGAAGAGAAAGGGCATAGCCCTTTGTGGAATTTTGGCAGGATGACCACGTCTCATCTGTAGGTTGTAATGATTAGCACAGCCTTACAGGTCCCTACGCTGGAAGAAATCAGGTTAGTAATAATTTTAATGAGAATTGAAGTAATGTAATGACAGAATGCTCCTGCTCTGTGTCTTAAATCTGTTCTGTAAGCTTTATTGATGTTCTTCAAATTACCATTTATGTTCTTTCAGATTCCCAGTGCACGTTGCCATTAAACCAGTGCCTACCATCAGCAATGTGGCATTGATCCATTTTAAAACTGATTCTTAAAATGTTCAGTAAATAAGTCCGTCCTTTCTTTTTTTTTTTTTTTTGAGACCGGGTTTCACTCTTGTTGCCCAGGCTGGAGTGCAATGGTGTGCTATCTTGGCTCACTTGCAAGCTCTGCCTCATGGGTTCAAGTGATTCTCCTGCCTCAGCCTTCCAAGTAGCTGGGACTACAGGCGCATGCCACCATGTCTGGCTAATTTTGTCTTTTTAGCAGAGATGGGGTTTCTCCATGTTGGTCAGGCTGGTCTCAAACTCCTGACCTCAGGTGATCCACCTACCTCGGCTTCCATATGCAGTTCTTTCTTTTGCTTTCCTGACTTTTTTCCATAGCTGCTTTTAGCCATAGTGTCAGAACTACAAAATATTAGAGTGTTGAAATTCAAAGCTTTAGAATTTCATTTATCATTTGTGGATAGCAGGAATCCAGTGCTCACACTTTATCATTTCTTGATAGCAGGAATCCAATACTCATGGGTCGCAAACTCCAAGTTGTTGTACACAGGAACTTGCCTACCCACTCCTCTCACTTCTGTTTACCATTCTTGCTACATGCAAGAGTAGACTGTCTTGAGAACATTCTTCAATAAGCCCTTAAATTATTTTTACTTCTTTACCCCTCTTCCTGAGATTCACAATGGTTTTCAGAAATCCCTAAGCTGATTTTCATATTCTCTAGAAAGAATTTGTTTCTTGAGTGAACCTGCTGCAAAGACAAAAGTGTCTCATCTTTCTCTATTTTAATACTGTATTTAGCCCAATGTCAGCTTCTGTGCATTTGGCCTGGACAACTGCGCTCTGATACACTGCCTCATGTCGAAAGCTGCATTAATTATTCTTTAATGCACTTGTGAAAGTCTCAATTATTTGCTTTTTTTGTGTCTTATGGATAACTTTCTAAAATAATCACATCAAACGTTTTACATTATGCCTTACATTAACACTTTCCTTGAGAAGTAAAAGGAAGAAAATACCTGTGAATCTTCTACAAATCTCTTCTCATTGCTGTGCAGTAAAGTTCCTCCTTGTATCCAGTGACTCAAACCCAATGCTGTCTAGACCCAAGGCAAGGAACCAGACAGAGTAATTAGGGACAAATGCCTACACATCCCTCCAGTGTTAGCAGGAAGTGGGTCATGAAGCAGGTCACCCCAGACCATGTTAAATGATAATCTTTGAAATTTTTCATCTGAAATAGTTTCAGACAGAGATCAAGATTATGATCCTCTTGTTTGTCAAAGAAATAAATAAGAGTTTTTCACCTAGTAATTTAGGAAGGGATTCAGTGTTTGCCAGTGGGGTGCTGTTATATGTGA
Source organism: Homo sapiens (assembly GCF_000001405.40). Lineage (NCBI taxonomy): Eukaryota > Metazoa > Chordata > Mammalia > Primates > Hominidae > Homo > Homo sapiens. The sequence continues at coordinate 108,100,794 of NC_000004.12, read as the reverse complement.
AACAATTAGCTCAAGGGAGAGGGGACTTTTCACATGTGCCAATTTCCATGGTATAAATAATCCTACCATGACCAATTTCAGGCTACCAACATGATAACAGGCTCTCAAAATTCCTGAAAATTTAGCCATCAGGTCTCTGAGCTAGAACAAGCCGGCTCCTGGACACTACTGTAAATTCAGGGTAATGTAGATTGCTCTCGGGAAAGATACATAGGTTAGGCATTCAGTATCTGTCTTGAATTCTTCAGCATGTTCCCCTAAAAGAGATGGAAATGAAAATAAACTTCAGGAGGAAAATTTTCTATTTTTAATACATGGAACAAAGTGGAGTTTATCTTTGATTTTATATTCACAGAAATGCCCTTTTTCACTAGCAGAGAATAGCTGTTGTCTTTGCTACTACAGTTTTCCATGGGTTATAGAATATTTCCTTTTTATAATTTATTAATAGAATTGAAAGTCTTTTAAAAGGTCTTTAAATTTTGCTTCCTCTTTTTTGAAATAAATGTTTTCAGGGAAAATGTTCTCTTCTGGCTTGACTTATTTGAGAGCTTTAAGATGAAGCAAAGTTACATAGAACCCAGTTTACGTAATCTGCTTTCTTTCTCATTTAAGTTTTCAGACTCAATTCCAACTCATTTCAGGTTTTGTTTTTAAGTCTATAACAAAAGGTTATTTTTTTCTTGACTCATATAAATATATCCTGTGAATAGTGTTGTCTGCAGCATCATTTTTCACTCAAGATAAGCTCTGCTTTTTCTTCCTAGATAATGTGCTATGATGTGAAATGGAAAAGATGGTTACTTGTCAAGGAATGAGTTCATCAGTAACTTGTAATGAATCTGAAAATGTGTGTTAGGTATTTGTAAAAGTTATCTGAGTTGACTGGCAAGTTGAAGAAGTTACATATAACTGCTTCAAGACACACAATTTAATCATAAGGATCATTCTACCCTGCTTTTAGTAATTTTTTTTACACCATAAAATGAAAGGTTATAGTTCTGTACTAGTTGTCATATAAATATTTGGTTTTAAATATATTGACTTTAGCATTTGGAGAAATACCTAATGTAGATGATATAGGTTGATGGGTGCGGCAAACCACCAGGGCACGTGTATACCTATGTAACAAACCTGCATGTTCTGCACACGTACCCCATAATTTCAAGTATTATTTATATATATATATATATATATATATATATATATATATATATATATATACACACACACACACATACACACACACACATATACACATATATATATATATATACATACACATATATATATACATACATGTGTATAGACTTGACTCTCAGTATGGGATATTGAAATGTAATGTTAAATTACCAGCTCTGCCACTTACCTTCTCTGATTTTCAGTTTTTTTACCCATAAGAGTTCTTTTCCATACAAGGAAGCTTTGTTTCAAAAACGCCAATTTTTTTGTTTAAGTCAAATTGGAGTACGAGACAGAAAGGGGGCAGTCCCACCTACAAATTTTTAAACTGTAAGCAGAACTGCCTGATAGAAATGTAGTGCAGATCACAAATGCAAGTCATATATGTAATTTTATGTTTTCTTAAGCTACATCAAAAGGTAAAGACAGGTAAAATTAATTTTAGTAATAAATTTATTGAACATAATATGTCAAAAATGTTATTTGAGCATGTAATCAATATAAACATACTGAGATCATTTACATTATTTTCACACACAGTATTTGAATTCTAGTATGTATTTTACACTTATGGCATGTCTCAACTTGGACTAGCCACCTTTCAAGGGCTCGACCTAATGCCTAATGGCTACCATATTGGACAGCACAACTCTACAACGCTATAGAATAGCTTTAATGCTGATCTTACAGTGTAAATATCAAATTTACATGTTCATAGAAAATGATTTGAGTTTTCCAATAACTTTACCTCTCAATTATTCATACTTTTAGTCCCAATCTGACTGATAGTAGCTGAACCCAAGTAACTTGTTGTATTTTCCCCATTTGATTTCTGAAAGGCACTTCAGAAGTTCTATAGAAAAATGAGGACCCCTGTAGACATAAATGTTATCTTTTCACTTACTAAAACACCCAATTTTAAGTAGAGAATACTGTATATATATGGCACTTATTAAAATCAGAGAAGGCTCGGTGGGACAAAATTGTACACATAAGTATTTCTGTTACTGTCCTGTAAATCCTTCACACCTGATCTTAAAGAATCAGTTTTACTTAAACTAAAATAAGGCAAATGCTTTTCCTAGAAACTTAAGTGTGAAAGCCCCCCCTTTGAATATGAAATAATTAGATTTAAGTCTGTTGGCTTCGCTTATGGAATTTTGCACCCTCCATTTGCAGTCTGAACATTTAAACAGACCATCTGCACTTCGTATCTGGGTAACTGTGGGACTTCTCTGACCTTGACCTTGGGCAGACTGTAGCTTGCCGAACCCCACCCCCACAACCCCGCCACAGGAGATCTAGAGTCCATTTCTCAGGCCCAACCATTCATTGTTTCCTGCTGGACATTCTGAGTGCCAAGGAGAGCCCTTCCACCCTCTAAACTGCATAATAGAGAGGTGTGGCTGTGGTGGCAGTGGGAAGTCCCTCCCTCTGAATATGCCATCCCTGGGCAGTGGAGGAGAGAGGCTTTTCAACCAACATGTCCCCAGACCAGCACCAGAAAACCTTGTTGAGCCTATTCAGGATTGATGGCTGATGAGGTTCTGAGGAAATCTTTCTGGAATTTGTCCCCCCTGAACCAACCCGCCCCAAACAGTGCCCTCCCTCTCTGGTTCTGGAGTCCCTGGGGTTGCCTCATGTCGCCTCCGGTCTGAGCTCTCTGGATGGTAGACAGAGAAAGCTTTTGCTCCTGACTTCTCACTCACTTTAATTGATTTGTTTACCTTCCATTATTTTCCACTGACCTGCACAAATACTACTTTCATCAAGCTGACTACACTTCAGCTTATTAATCATAATAAGTTATTATGCAGTGATTGGATTGGTAAAATACTTCTCTCAGAATAAGGCAGCAGATATTAAAAAATGTCTAGGTTTTAATCATTATGGGTACATAATAGGTATGTATATTTATGGGGTACATGTGATGTTTTGATATAGGCATACAAGGTGTAGTAATCATGTCCAGGTAATTGGGGTATCCATCTCCTCAAGCATCTATCATTTCATTGTGTTAGGAACATTCCAATTCCACTCTTTTAGTTATTTTAAAACTTACGATAAATTATTGTTGACTATAGTCACGCTGTTGTGCTAGCTATCAAAACTAGATCTTATCCTAACTATATTTTTGCACTCATTAACCATCCCCACTCACCCAACCCCCATTCCAAGCTGCTGGTAACCATCATTCTACTCTGTATCTCCGTGAGTTCAACTGTTTTAATTTTTAGCTCTCACAAATGAGTGAGAATGTGGTTATTTGTTTCTCTGTGCCTGGCTTATTTCACATAACATAATGTCATCCAGTTCCATCCATGTTGTTGCAAATGCAAAGATGTCACTCTGTTTTGTGGCTGAATAATATTTCATTGGGTATATACCACATTTTCTCTATCCATTCATCCATTAATGGACACTGAGGTTGATTCCAAATCTTAGCTATTGTGAATAGTGCTGCAGTAAATATGGGAATGCAGATAGCTCTTTAATATACTGATTTCCTTTCTTTTGAGTATACCGAGCAGTGGGATTGTTAGATAATAAGGTGATAATATTTTTAGATTTTGAGGCAACTCCACACTGTTCTCCATAGTCATCATATTAATTTACATTTCCACCAGCAGTGTACAAAGTTTCCCTTTTCTTTATACCCACGCCACCATTCGTTATTACCTGTCCTTTGGATAAAAACCATTTTAACTGGGGTGAGATGATGTCACGTGGTAGTTTTGATTTGCATTTCTCTGATGATTAATGATGTTGAGCACCTTTTCATATACCTGTTTGCCATTTGTGTGTCTTCTTTTGAGAAATGTCTATTCACACCATTTGCCCATTTTACAAAGGGATTATTTCACTTTTTCCTATAGAGTTGTTTGAGCTCCTTACATATTCTAGTTATTAATCCCTTGTCAGATGGGTAGTTTGCAAATATTTTTCCCCATGCTGTGGGTTGTCTCCTCACATCGTTGACTATTTCCTTTGCTCTCCAGAAGCTTTTTAACTTAACGTGATCCCATTTGTCCATTTGCTTTGGTAAGGCAGCAGCTTTAAATCTAGGGATCATGGGCCACTTCTTTCCCTGTCCTCCCCTGTGCATACTGCAACTCCTCTGCCCCAACCCACTGATGTGTGATTGTATTTGTGTATAAAAACATTTAAACACAGCTTTCATCTTATTTTTCATGTCTGTGATCCAGAAAAGATGAACCATTGGATTCTCGCTCTGCCCCACGTCCTTCCACTGCAAAGTTTTCCATACCCCATAGAATCCTTGCACCACTACAGCTAGTGGTCCAGGCAGGCAGCTGCTACTGCTGCTGCTCTTCCTCCTCCTCCTGTTTCTCCTTCTCCTCCTCTTCCTCTTGCCTCCTTAGAATCTGGTGAGAATCTGGTGGTCCTTTCTTTTACTTATGCCCCATCCCTCTATTTGACCTCTGAATCAACCACTGTAATGCCTTACTTGTACTATTTTACCACTAAATAGTACAAGTAAGTAAGTTGCAAATGTTTTAGTTTGTTTTTTTGGCTCATTTATCTGGAATGACTCCAGTTCCTTCTCTTAATTTTCAAAGTATTTTCTTCAACATGAAAAATTAATGGAGTACTTAGATGATTAGGGGTATGGTGAGGGTGTTGTGAAATCAATCAAATAATAGGATGTTGCAACTTTACATAATTAGATGTCATTTTTCCTTTACCCTGATCTTTCCTCAGCCTCTAACCTTAACCCCAGTCCCTCTATTTACAGGCTCCAGTTACTGAAAACAATGGGTCTCCTTTTGGCTCCCAGAATGAATTATTCCCAGAGCCTTGTTTCCTTCTCGATAAAACAGAAATCTTAACACCTAACTTAGGTATGGCTTTAGGATTAAATGACGTAATGTTTGGAATTCACCACCTTACAGAGAACTTGGAGAATAGTGGGTTTTCCATGCGTTTTAAAAGGGAGCCCTTCCAGCATTCTGTTGTAGTCTGATTGCCTCTGGTAATATCAGTTTTCTCCAAGTGGTCCACTGTTCCTCTCTAGATGCTTCATTACAGTTGAGGCCACAGCAGGCCACATTCACTTGGTTGGGGGGTAGTTTGGAATAGAGATGGAGAGAGGAGCTGAGCACCAAACAGTGTGGGGCAGGAAGAGCAGGGACTTTGGTATCAAACAAATGCCGGCACAGATCCTCTCTCCACTAATTATTACTTAGCTCTGTGTTCAAAAAGACTCAGCCTTCTCATCTATAAATATGGGGGTAATAATACCCACTTACATGGACGAGTGCCAGAGTATATAAAAGCGCTACTGTAATGACTGGTACTTACTAACTGTGCAACCCATGTTAATTCCTTTCCCTGTGATATGTTCCTTCCCCTCTTAAGAAAACATTTCAGTTGTCTGATGATGGTGCAGGTCTCTAGACCATCCCTTTTCCTCCAGAGTTGGGCTCATGGACCGTTTGAATCTTAAGATCCTGGGGCCTCGTTCTTATCTGAAAAATGCAGCTGCATCACCACCAGTAGGGGGTCTTACATTTGAAAGCCACATCAGACCTGAAGCAGGTGTTTGGCTTTGGTGGATCTTAGGAAATATTTCCAGTACCTTGTTTCTGAGGTCTAGATGCAAGAATCAATGTATCCTTTTGGAGTAAATCTGCCTCTCTTTCTGGGAAGGCTTGAGAAGCTCAGATTCTCAGAAAAGGAGGGAAAGGCGCAGCATGAAGTTACATGGCTTTATGTCACGAGTACCAGACTTCTGAAGTGTTTAATGAAAAGCAAAAATGCCACCATAACAATCAAGGCCAGATGAAATTCCTCATCTCAATAAGTTGATGAAGTGTTAAAATTCCCCTGGATTCAGTTATTACCAGAAGATTATTGATTAAATGCACAGCCAGTTGAAACTCCAGACCTTTATGCACAGCCAGATCCCGCACTTTGGGTTTAGTTTAGTTAGAACCTGGAGATGTGGAAAATGAGGACTAGCTACCAGGACAGCAGGTTTCTCCCCCAGTTACTCCTCTATCCAGGAGGCCCCAGGCCTTAGCCAGTAGGGAGTTGAACCACCTTTTTAGTTCTTCCCAGAACCACATCCTCTGAGGCTAACAGCTTTCATGACACCTTCAATTCCTGCCAGTGGTGAGTGGGTCATTTCTGGGAATGCTGCTTTGGGGGTGGCTCTCAGGATCCCTAAGTGGCACCCACTTCGTGTCCACAGGAGGTATGGGTTTTATTGGCTGTGATGCCAAAGAGGTCCTTACCTGCAGGGACCAGCCTGGGTGGCAGCCAACCAAGCTTCCTTGGCATGTTTTCCAGTCCTGGAGAGAAAGGCTGCAGTTGAGTCTCCGTAGCTTTACCCACTTCTGCTGAGGTGCTTCTTTGTCTCAAGTGATTCCTGTGCCTGGGACAGAGACCACACAGCCATTTCATAGATGTCACATGCTCTCAGGTGTGGCCCAAATGGTCACCTCAGTGTCCAAGATTTTATGAACTTGGCTTTCAGGAAGGCCACATGATGTACAGGTAATGAGCTTGGCCTCTAGAGCCAGACTTCTGCATTTGAATCCTGGCTTGGCTGCTTGCTAGAGCACATACCCTTCAAGAATATTTTCTTCTCCATGCCTGTTTCCTCATCTGTAAAAGGGGGATAATAATAGTACCTGCCTCAAAGCTGTTGTGAGGATAAAGTGCTTAGCACACAGTAAGCAGTTGGTAAGTGTTAATTGCTGTAATTACTATGTATTATGTGGGTAGGTTGGCCTGATGGTGATTTGCAAATTTAAGAAAGGGTTTCAAGCTTCTCCCTAAACAGCCATCCTTGATATTTTCTCCCTTTTCTTTCTTTCTTTTTTTTCTTTTTTAAGTATCTACTCTTTTTGTCTTTTCCTTTGCTCACCCACCAATCACCTGCCTGAGATTAAAGAATGTGCAGTTGGAATCAGAAACCAAGGGTTTTGGCCTAACTCTTACTGCCTTGTGAGCTTAAACAAGTCACTGAACCTCTGACCAGAAGTGGAGAATTTGGGGTGACAGGGCTGCCAGGTATCTCGTAAAGCTGGAGTAACTGTGCATCCTGTGACCCTGGGATAATGAAACAGAGCACATATTGGGACTACCTGGTGATTCTCAACTGGAAGCTAAGACTTACCTGATTGTATCTGTGAATCAAAAAGCAGGTGATTTTTACCCTCTCTCCCTCCTTCCCTCCCTTACAGCGAGATGTGTAGTAGGAAAAGCACCCGAGTAGGAATCAGGAGACTTGGGTTCTATTAAGTGAGGTACTTACTATGTGTACAGTAGCCAGCACAGAGTAAGAGCCAAAAGGATCGAACTTTTCTACTGCTGATTCCACTGTATTGGGCAGCCCAGGGGGTTCATTCCCATTGTATTCAGTGTCCCTGCGTTACTGGAGTTGTGTAGTGAGCAGGACTGTACTATTTTATACAGTAGTCCTGGCTTGACCTACCCATTCCCTGGTGACCTCTGTTTCTCGGCTTCCAGTCTGTAAAATTAAAATAAGGAACTAAAATAAGCTACTAAATATACTTTAGGTTTCTTAGAGCTTAAACATAATAAAAAGGCATATACTTAGATACACACTTTCTCCTATCACCAGGTTCATTTTCTTCATAGTACTTGATGCTGCCTTTTCAGATTTTGCTTGTCTTTTTTTTTTTTTTTTTTTTTTTTTTTTTTTTACATATTCATTGTTTCCAATACCCACCCCCTGCTGCCTGACGCCACTTCCAGAGCCCCAGAAAGTAAGCTGCGAGAATTAGAGACCTTATCTGTGTGTTGGTCATTGGTGCTAGAATAGTGCTTGAAACATTTTAGGTGCTTAATAAATACACACATATGCACACGGGCATGTATAACTCTGCATGTGATGTAGCCACTTAATTTGTCTACAAACACTTAGATAGTTGGTTGATTATTCTTCCGCTTACCTACTCCCCACAAGAAAATATATACCACATTTTATTAGGAGATTAAATGAATGGAATTAAGAATGGTTTTACTGGCTGTCTTAAAACTTAACCAAAGTAGCAGTGCCAGGGTTCTCACTTTGTGTGTGCACATAGTGTCAAGGGGCAGTAACTTGTGAAATCAGAGGAAGCCTGCAGATTTTTGGGCTGAGGAATCTTGACTGTGATGATGATGTGCCACATATCCGCAGTGTAAGTTGGAATCCACTTTGTTCTGTTTATATACATAGTGGAGATGGTTGGCAGGAAGCAAACCATAACCCTTGGAATTCTGCTCACACATGCTATTGAAATTTCATATTACTTTTATTATTTGGCCACAAAAATGGACATAATCCTTGTTGGCTTTAACACACCTACTAGTACTGCTTTCGCTATCCATCTTGCAAAATATAAGACAAGGCCAGGCTTAAATTAAAATCCTCGGCTTCTTATCTCTTTCCCACAGGAAAGCAAATCTGTGTTGAAAACCGTAAAATTAAGAGGAGAGCAAGGATAGCATAATTTAGCAAAAATTCATGGCACCAGATTCTGAGCTATATGACTGGAGGGATAGGTCAGACATTAAGAAGATGCTGCCTGCTAATGCAAGTTCCTTAAGGTGGTGCTCTGGAAAGAAAGAATATATCCAGAAGATTTCCACAGTGTTTACTCTTTATAAGTACCCTAAGAAAATATCTTTGTAGATTGTTTGGCAATTATGCTTATTTATGAGACTTTTAAAATGAAACTGAAAGCCATTATTCTAAAGTATATTTGAAATCTATCGATTTTAACATTTGGGCGTTGAGATTTGTGTTTCCATTTTCAAAAGAGTTCATAATAAACTCCTCCTATCCTCACATCTACCCACCCCCACTTCTAGCATTCTAAATTCCATGTATTTAAGAAGCTTATTCTGTTATTTGGAAAACTGTGTCATTAACACTCGAAAAGCATTAGAAGATTTGTTTAACCTTTTACACATTTATATGCATAGATGTTTGTGCTGAGGTGTGTAGAGAAAAATTGTGTGGCTATGATAATGGCACTCTATTTAATATACGCCAAAAAAGCTATATGAGCTATGCAAGTTTTGCCATTAAAGAAGAGCTGATAATTATAAAATAGGGAAAATCTAGTATGGAAATTATATCATTTTCCAAAAAAAGTGTGATTTTTTTTTCCTTTTTTTTCCCCCCCCCGTAAGTTTCTTTTGGATGGAGGTTGTAATGATAGGGTATAAGAAGAATTACTAATTTTTCTTATAAGATAGGGTATAAGAATTCTAATTTTTCTAAGGGGAGTCCTTCTCATTGGAGCCACATATTTTTTATGGCTAATTTGTAAAAAATATTAAGTTCAAAATTAGTGTATGTCGTAGGTACAGCCACCATACACAAGTGTGTTTTGGGGGCCCTCTTTAACCATTCAGATATGGACTTACATTTTAAGCAGTTCACATTGTGCAGTTTTAGGCACTTCCTCAAATTTTTAAAAAATATGAATATTTGCTTCAGGAGAAAACTGATTTCACATGCATTTTAGTCAATAATATAGTAAGATCTTACTAATTCAAACTAATTATGATGAAGACATGTCTGAACTAGTGAATTGAGCATAATGATATGCTCAATTTTCTCTTAAATTCATGTTACCCATTACTATAGTGTTTTTAAGTAGAGATTTTCCTGCAACTGCTTTAATTATTAGATTAGTTTAAAATCAGAAACAAACACCTTTAACAGGTATATAATTGTGTTGAGTCCCTTTTTCTTTGGTGAAGGGTTTATTGAGTCTCTTTAAAATGATTCCCCTAGAGAAGTTGTTAATGGGTATAAAAATACGGTTAGATAGAAGGAATAAGTTGTAGTATGTACAGTAGAGAAACTGTAGCTAACAATAGATTATTTAATAGCTAGAAGGGAAGAATTTTAATGTTCACAACACAAAGGAAAGATAATGTTTGAGGTGATGGATATCCCAGTTATCCTAACTTGATCATTCCACCTTTTATACAGGTATCAGAATATCACATATACCACAAAATTTCTACAGCTATGCCATATCAATAAAAAATAAATAATAAATAAATAAGTGATTTTACTAATTAGGTTAAACCTACTTAAGTCTTCTTTATATTTTTTAATTACTTAGTAAGCACTTTTGGGTTGGGGGGAACAACCTTAACTTTGTAACCAAAGTAATCACAGATTTCAAATTGATGAAGTCCAATTAGATAACTTGAATTAAAAAGTGTGACTGTTGACTTCCAAATTAAATAATAAAATGTCTGTAAACAAGTATAAGACATATAAAGTGTGTTAAAATATACAATTTTAACAATTAAAAATATTATTAAAGCAGTATTTCAGCTGGACACGGTGGCTCATGCCTATAATCCCAGCACTTTGGGAGGCCAAAGTGGGCAGATCACAAAGTCAGGAGTTCAAAACCAGCCTGGCCAATATAGTGAAACCCTGTCTTTACTAAAAATACAAAAAAAATTAGCTGAATGTGGTGGCGGGTGCCTGTAGTCCTACTTGGGAGGCTGAGGCAGGAGAATCACTTGAACCCGGAAGGTGGAGGTTGCAGTGAGCCAAGATCACACCACTGCACTCCAGCCTGGGCGACACAGTGAAACTCCATCTCAAAAAAAAAAGACAGTATTTCATATTATGCAGTTCAACTCAAGATTGGAAATTCCTTTTTATCAATTAATGTTTATGGAAACTAGAGAAGCAGAAGATGAACTGAGGAGGGCCAAAGCATAATGGCTAGTCTTGTTTGATTGACAAAGCTATAAAACTCGAAAGAATGGTGTACCATGGTTCTTAAAGATGTACAACATAGAGTTATGAACTCTGTAAGCTGAGGGGATATCAGTATAGGAAATTTATATTTATTGGGTTTAAAAATTTATCCTTTGAATTGGCAATATTTATTCATTTATTTGCTCATTGGACAGTTTTTTGCTTTTTGTGCCAGACATATGTAGTGAATACAAATGTTGTAAAACATTCATAAATTTTGCTGTAATTCGCTCTTTATTGACTTAACCTGAGGAAATAATCTAAAAGAGAGTATAAATATATATGTACAGAAATTCATGCCATATGGAAGAGTAGTGATCAACCTAAATCCCTGAAGAGTCACTGGTGAAATAACTGATAACTCATGAATATCAGTGACATATTCATATATTTGAGAAGTATTTACCATGGAAAAATTCAGAAAAATTCTAAAAGAGACATTTCCACCTGTCCAGGTCTGAAGGTGATTCTTGGGTTATGTTGATGACTGGTTACTGCTGCTGTGTGAATTTTTTTCTTTGGGAGAAAAGACTGGAGCTGGGCATCCATATTAACTATTGACCTTGTGGTTACTTTGCAGTCAAATAAAGTGCCCGTGGTGCAGCCATCCCATGCGGTCCATCCTCTCACCCCCCTCATCACTTACAGTGACGAGCACTTTTCTCCAGGATCACACCCGTCACACATCCCATCAGATGTCAACTCCAAACAAGGTGAGAGTCCCTGTCTTTCCAGGCCCTTTTTTTTTGCCAAATGAAGAGCCAAATCTCATCAGCCTGAGTGACCTTCCAGATGCCAGTGCTCCATGTCACTGGGTGGATCAGAATGTGTTTTTACAAGACAAGAGTAATTCATTTGATAGCAATTCTTTGGAAACACACAAGAATCTGTTACATTTATTATGCATTATTAAAAAGCAGAAGAAAAGCATAGCAGGGCCACAATGAATGAAAATCTTTCATTCACAATGTAAACCAATAGATTGTGCAAATATACTAAAAAGTCAGTACTCTACAATATTCATTTATTTCAGCATGTACAAGATATTGATGCTGGTAATTTTAAAATAGGAATGGGGAAAGTAGGAGATTTATTCTTTTGAATCTCTTTTGGTTATTCCATTATATCCCTATGGTGTTTCATCTTTTGTTATTTACCAGCACTAGGTTACATATTCTACATAATCATTGATGTATAAAACCTCTATTTAAAGTCCAAGAATCGTGAATCTTATTTTACGCCTCTGCATTAATATTTGCTTCTACTTTGTTTATAGAAAAAATATATAGTGCAAGAGGTCTGAAAAATTAAAACATCCTGTTTCTGCCTGATGTGTACGGGTACGAGTTGGGAGTAGGACAGAGAGCTCTGGTGCACCAAGCCTTCTGGTCCCATCACTCAGGGCGCAAACCTCAAGGATGGATTTGCTCTCAGGGTGGCTCGTTCCTCTTTGCATGCACATGCGCACTTGGACTTCAACAGGGTCTTTGAAAGTTCAAAATAAAAGATTTTAAAAAATGTGAAGGCAGAGAACGTAAAGGGGTAAAATTTGCCACTGCCTACATTTTACCCCTTTGTCCATCCCTTTCTGGGACTTACAATGGACAACAAAATTTAATGACTGTGTGAAAAAGAGTGGCATAGAGGCTGGGTGTTCTTTCCACTACTGGTGAACACTTCTAGGTTAAATACTTAACGCTTTCATTTCCCTTCCTTGTTAAAACAGAATGCTTATTTAAAGACTTAGTTACTAGTGCACTAGACTTGAATAGAGTCTGAGTACTTTGAAAAGTTGAGAATCACCGATGCAGACATTTCTAGGTTTGCTTCTGTTTTATTTTTTAATCCTCTGTCCTTCCTCCACCCTGCTTCCTTTAATCAAGAGCCTCCAACAAATTAGGAATGTTCAAGAGTCAGGTCTATGGCTGTATAGTGAGAAAGGGAATTAAGATAGGGGTCTCAGGAAGCAGGCTGAGTTTGAGAGGGAGGACCAGTCTTGGTCGTGGTGAATTTGAAGTGTCTGTGAGATACCCAAGGGGAGACAGGAGGTAGGCCACTGAAACCTGTGGGTCACAATCTCAGACCAGCATCCGAGCAGGAGGTGCACATCTGGGAACCTATTTAGTTGTTAATTATTTCTTTATTTAACAATTAAATAGTGCTTACCCTGTCCTAGGTCCTATTTGAAACTCTTCGAAACATTAACTCTTTAAAAAGAATAAGAAATCAATCATAGTTCAGTAGTTTTTCTCTCAAGAATAATAGGACAGTTCAATTTTTTAATAGTTAAGTTTATAACTGGCTCTCAGTTACGCTTATAGTTTCTCTTCTGTTTCCATCTCCTACTGCCACCCTACCTTGTTTTGCATAATTGTTAAGTTATATCATTGCTTCTCAAACTTTTTTTAAAAAAAAACTCTCCAAAACTACCGAGAAGGGACTAATGGTCATCACCAGAAGTTGTCTGCTTGCAGTTTCTTCGGTCTTTATTTTGTTCTAAAGATTGATGTGATTTTTGTATTCTGGTCCAGACACTATTTGTGCTTGTTTTAAAAAAAGATCCTGTTTTATCCCAGGCCTTGTGTTCCTTATCATCGTGTACTTCTGGAGATATATAAACTCCAATTTGAAAAAAGCACTCACTTCCATGATACTGAGTTTGTATCATTCCAGTTGGGCACTTTTGTTGCGAAGAAAATAAGCTTACTAGATCTCTTCCTTTTAATTCTTTTTCTCTCCTGCCTTAGGGCATGATGGTACTGAGGCCAGAGCTGCTGGTTTCAAAGATCCTAATAGACTAGTTAGCTGTATCTTCCCCCAACCCCTCCGCCTCAGCCAGAAAAAAACAACCGAAGATCATCATATTCACACTTTAACCCTAGATAGAACTATTCCATAAATATAAAATGTTTGCCAGCAGAGCTCATTCTCATTTGTGGAAAAACAACTCCAGGTTAATTTCCTATTAGGGAGCACATTAGTTTTCACGTGTGTGTGTGTGTGTGTGTAAGTGTGTGTGTGTAAGGGACAGTACATTAATGTCAATTTTCTCATTATGTGTCTGGTAAAAATATCAAAAGGAAAGCGCTTTTAGGAAATCCTAGGTTTAGATGTCTGTTTTTATCTATGTGTTACCCATTTTATCCTTACAGATGACAACAAATACTTATACTTTTGCTCCAGGCATTTTCCGTAGTACATATATTAATGCATTTATTCTTCACAACAGTCCTATTCTTATTTTATAAAACAGTAGCAATTACATAACTTCCTCAAAAATGCATAGCTAGTGAGCTGTATATCCATATAGTCTGACTCCAGTATTATTTCACCTATGTCTATAGAAGTTACCTATACAAGTTTAAAAATCTTAAAGGCTACGCTCAGTATATCCTCCAGCACATAGTAAGTGTTCAATAAATACTAGTTGAATAAATGATGTGAAATGTGCTGGGCACAATGTGGTTCATGCCTGTAATCCCAGCTACTCAGGAGGCTGACGCAAGGATCGCTTGAGGCCACGAGTTTGAGGCCAGCCTGGGCAACAGAGTGAGACCCCCTCAGCTCTAAAAAAATTAAATAAATAAAAAATAAACTTAAAAAAAAATGATGTGAAATGTGTCTTCAGTGGCATAGTAGTTGGTGGAGAGACACACACTTCTGAGAATCTTTGGAAATAGGATTTTTAAAGGACAGTGACCTATTTAGAATACTCAGATCCACTTTCTGCTCACATAATGACCTAAGCCACATCATGTATTTGCATGTACATGCCAAGTGGTTGATAATATTGACCCAGCATATGGAATGGGTCTGTTTTAACACTTCTGACTTCACTTGTTTGTTTGTTCAATTGGTCAGAAATATTAACTAAGAGGCTCCTCTGCAGAAAACCATGGTTAGATACATAAATTGGTAAAATGTGATCTTTTTCTCCAAGCAGTATATAAGCTCATGCAGGAAATCATTTGCACAGACTAACTATAAAACAAAATGAAGAGCATCCCAAGTACCACATTAAAAGTACAAATAAAAAAACTTGTAGATTCAAAGGAGAAAGATTTCTCAGAGCTGTAAGTTAGAGAAAATTGCCTATGAGAGGAACATTTGAAAGAAGAGTAGAATTTCTATAGAGTCAAACGCCTAGCATAGGACCTGTCCTCTAGTTCCTTCCTTCTTCCTTCTAGCAGAAGAGTGACATCCAACTAGTTGGTATTTTTTGTTCTGTTGAATCACTTCTGAACAGTATCACTACTGCTGTGTTCTAAGCATGCTTAGAACATGGAGTAGTACGGAGAGTAAGAGTTTAAGCTTAAAGACATGTGACTGCAAGCAAGTTACCTCTCCATGTCCCAGTGACAAAAGTTCAGGACAGAAAACAGATGCCTTAACAGTCACTTGGTCCCTCTAGACCTCAATTTCCACACCTGTGAAATAGAGGAATTAAAGTAGATAATTCAGGGCTGTGGTTCATGCCTGTAATCCCAGCACTTTGGGAGGACGAGGCGGGCGGATCACCTGAGGTCAGGAGTTCAAGATCAGCCTGGCCAACATGGCGAAGCCCTGTCTCTACTAAAAATATAAAATTGGGCATGGTGGCACGCGCCTATATACCTGGCTACTCAGGAGGCTGAGGCTGGAGAATCGCTTGAACCCGGAAGGCAGAGGTTGTGGTGAGCTGAAATTGTGCCACTGCACTCCAGCCTGGGTGACAGAGGGAGACTGTCTCAAAAATAAAACAAAATAAAATAAAATAAAATAGATAATTCAGATAGTCTGTGACCGCTACGATTTTCAAGTTAATAGAATAAAACATTGAAATTTTCACTACATTTCTGATGTTTTTCAGGGTTGGTCAAATTGTATTGCTTTTATTTTATTTTGTTTATCCCCGCGACTGAGCCATCCCCTTACAGACCGTGAGATTTGGGGAGGTATCTGGATCTCAGAGTTAAGGGGGCAGCAAGTTGAAAAACCTCCTCAATGATTCTGATATGTTAAGAATCACCACTGCAAACTCCCCCACCCCAAAAAAATCCTAGGGTAAAAAATTTATGTTCTGCTGTAACCAAAAGAGTCAGTATTTCTAACAAAAACAATTTTTTTGAATAAAGGAGATTTGAAACCATTATTTTAAAAACAGCAAAACATGAGATGATTTAAGGTAAGCCCTCTGTTGAGAAATTAAAGAACTTTTTTCTTTCCCACCTACTTTCTGTAAGAATTGAGAAATAGTTCGTTCTAACTTCAAAGTTGAATTAACACCAACTTTCAAGACAGCACTTCTTGTCATTCCCAATGTGAAGGCTTTCAGTATCTTTAAGATACAAATGAAATTCCTAGGCACTTTAAATAGTAAAAAGCAGAATATTTAAGAAACATCTTCCATGTACTCATCTAATTCCACATATTAGCCAGTATATAATATTTACAGTCACTAAACGTATAATCTGGGTGTTAAACCTTGGAATATGTGCTTGTATATGGAAGTGGTCTTTTAAAGCCATCATTAGCTATGTGAAGACACATCTGTGGCTTTTTTTCTATTCTGAATCACTTTCCCCCAAACACATTGAATCTAAGTTGTTATATTTTACATTTTATGCATTTGTCTTGTCATTTTTTTCTTCTGTACCTAGGGTAAGGTATAAAGGGATGTCACTTGGGACTGGGATTACATATAATCTTTAGGTGGTTTTCACAGTTACAGGGCAGTGTACTCCAGGGACTGTGAGCTCAAGAAACAATTTGGTGGCACTTTCATTTTCTGTGGAATTCAGCTAATCCAGAACAGCTTGACCTTGCAGCCCAGAGGACTCAACTTGATGAAGAGCTTAGACAGAGACCAAATGAATCATATCAAATGTGACCATTATGGGGCTGAAGATGATTCCTAATTAATCTTTGATCCTCTGAGGTGTCACATTTCCCAAATCTATATGTCCATAAGGGAACCAATGAAAATATGAAAATGGCAATTTACCTAATCCTTGAACTTTGTGGCAAGCCATCTACTTACGAAGGGCTGTCATTTTCCATTCTACAAAAAAACATTCTCATTCTATATAAAACAATTGTCTACCATTTTCTTAAATAATGTGAAATATTGAGGGCAAAACAAATAATTTAAAAGTCTATTTTGATGATTGTATTACTAGCAGCATCTTTACTCCTGTAGGAGTTCCTTAAGATAATACTCTCTGAAGGCCCAGTTTTCCCAGATGTTGAAATCTTGAGAAAAGCTAACAAATGGACTCCTGTTCCTTGGATCTGGTGAATAAATATTGTTTCATTCTGAACCTTAAGTATGAATGGTATAAAACATGTAGTTGCATTTCTGGTTAAATATCCTGTGAATCTGTAAATGATACCTCTCTGTTCTGTTTAACAGGCATGTCCAGACATCCTCCAGCTCCTGATATCCCTACTTTTTATCCCTTGTCTCCGGGTGGTGTTGGACAGATCACCCCACCTCTTGGCTGGTAAGAACCTTGCTGCACCCTTCAGCCAGGCATTTGAACACATGTTCCTCCACTTTCCATTCATGGAAATTAGATTTATGAATGGTAACACTTGTGGAGTTGAAGAAATTTCACATCAACAAGCAAGGTGCTAACTTTATTCATTTCAATTTAAAAGATTAAAAAACATACAGACTTTGAAATGGATTGATCCGTTTGCTAATATGGGTAGAAAATGACTGTAGCATTTGCTTTGAAGCTTATAGTTTTATGGATTCCCTTTGTGGCTTTGGGCATTTGCTATGCCTGTACAAAGTTAGTGCTCAGTGTGGTTCTTCTTTTCTAGGTTTTTTAATGAACAACTTATATTTTTCAAAAATGAATTTAGACGCATTGAATATCTACCTTTACTTGTAAGTGGGCAAGTGAGGTAAATGACAAAAATAACTAGAGAGAAATTCAACAATATAAGAGCATTTTTTGGATGTTAATGAAGTAAGCATCCAATTTGAGTTCAGAGTAGTAAAAAACTGATTTGGGGGCCTTCTTTTTTTCTGAATATGAACGCTAGTGCTCTTTATTTTGTTGTTTATTTCTAAAAATATGCTTACTGCTGCCTCCAAAATCTTTTCAATTATGAAGGTGAAGGAAATATATTTTGGGAAGAAAGAATAACATGGTATAGCCTATTTTTATTATTTTATGATTAACCCACAACATTTCCTCCTCCCACTCCCATGCTCTCTCCACTCTTCCCTCTCCAATTCTCCCTCCATAGAAATAATTCTCAACTCAAGCAATTGTTTCTCTCCTTTTTCCACTTGACTCTCTATGTCACAGCCCCCATGTCATTGTACCCCATCTCCCTACCTGGACATCCTTGCATTATCCTTCTTCAGCTAGGAAGGGTCATCCTGCCATGGACAATCCAGCTTTCTCTCTTTTTCTCTCTCTCTCTCCCTAGCATTACATCTCTTAGTCAGTAACTGCTTGAACTTAATTGATTATGCATACATTTTCAAACCTAGATCAATTATTCTGTCTGAACTTAGTGACTTAGGGGCAATAGTCCTGTGCTGAATCGTACCACTGGCAGCTGGAAATAAAGTCTGTGTAAATGAAAAATGAGAGATGTAGAGAGAACAGAGGGAAAAAATGGACTTCTCAGGGTGGAGAGAAAATAATTCCAGTGAATTAATCTTTTATTTCTTGACTTTAACATGTATATGGGGGAAATGGTACAGTGTTTTTAAAATGTTTATTTTTATATGAATATACAGTTTTATTTTCTTCTTTCTTCCCTTGCCTGAAATTCTCAAAGATTCTGATAAAGAAGTCACTCAGCTCCTTCTCTGAAGGGAATATTTCACTATTCTCAGGGTTATGTTATATTCAATAAACATTTAAGTGCTTACTTTGTTCAAAGCATTAATGGGGTTGGGAGAGGGGATGGGATAAAAGAGATGTAATTCATGGATGGTTTGTTTCAAAGTTGAGGGTGGGAGATTTCTTTCAAGGCAAATGACACTTTGATTGGGTGGAGGGTAAGGAAGGGGAACGGTTACGTTTCTGAAACAATCCCGGGGTCTGTAATACTTCCACAAGATTCTGTTTGAATATCTCCCTCTTCTCCCCTCATCCAACTCTTACTACTGGTTGGTAACTGGTGTTTTGTCATTGATGGGTTCCTTTCTTCTGTGACCTCAGGCAAGGTCAGCCTGTATATCCCATCACGGGTGGATTCAGGCAACCCTACCCATCCTCACTGTCAGTCGACACTTCCATGTCCAGGTAGGTGGAGGTGGAAACTGGGGCGCTCGAGGACAAGTTGCTCTTCTCGTGCTTGCATCCTGTGCGCCTCTGCTTGCCTTTTGGTTGGCTAGGAGGGTGCATACCTCAGCCATGTGTCTGTCTGTGCAGTGTGCCTGGCTCCCACACTAGGTGTCAGAGAGAGTCCCGGGTAGGAGCTCTGCGCTGTGCCCCGGCCGGACCAGCCACACCATCGGGCGATGGACTCAGCCTCCTTGGAAAGCGTTGCCTCCAAACAAATTCATGGCCGCCTGACTGTGGGATGGGAACTGTCCGGAAAGCGGACATTACAAGAAGAGTTTGTTTGATTCAAAATATGCCGGGGGTGGGGTAAGGGAGGAGGATAAAACTGGTTTGGTCTCAGCTCTATAATTTGCTTCCTTTGTGGAAAGTTGTATCAGTTTGATGCGGCAGTGTTTGAAAATGCCCAGATAGTCTAGAGCCTTCCTGGATGGAGGCTGTCAGAAGAGACAGAACAGTGCGGACAGGCTGGCAGGCCATACAGGGTGTGCGTCCTAGTGTGTGAATCAGGCCCTGTGTGGACATGGTCATGCCAGCGGAGCTCGGGAGGCCTGCCGCGCCGCACCGAGAAGCTGCTGTGTGTGATGCTTTTGCTTCTGGAGAGGATGGCACTGTGCCCTGTGCTTGATGTACACACACATTTGGGGTGCATCATCTGTGTGTTCGATGTGGCTTTGTCAAGGGAGCTAGCATTATTGTGCCGGAAGTCAAACTGGTGGGTTATTAACTGGTTGTGAATATGTCTTTTTTATATGGGTATAGTATTCAAAGTTTCTGTGGTGAATTACAGCTTTAAAAAAACTTTTTTTTTCAGTGAGTTGTAAATGTAGCTGATTGTGGGAGGAGGTGGAATTAATATCCTTCCCCTTAAAACATATTTTTATACTTTTTAACATTGTAAGAACTATCTGATGATAGAACTCTCACAGGCAAATAACTATCATCATGTATTTTTGCAAGTAATACATTTAGCAAAGCATCATTATTTGGTCAAATATTTGTATTTTTACCATGCTTCCTTCATATTTTAAAATTTGTTTTTGAAAAATATATATCCTAGCAGAGTTCCTTTCAAGAAAAGGAAATTAATTGTGTAGGCTGTGATGAAAGACCTGAGAATGTTGTTCTTGCTGAATTAAATGTTTACTTTAAAAAGTTTGAAAAGCAAAAATTTCTAAAACATATCCAAATTTATCTAGAGAGCTTATTGAAAATACTGTCTTTATTTTATTTTTCTTGCCTGGCAGTTTCCCTCCTTTGTGTTGGCTGGTGGTGGATATTTTAAGATTTTTTTTAATGCTGTTCAAGCGTACTTGGGAAAAAGCCTTTGGCAAGTGTAGTTTTTAACCTTGATGCAGAACTTTATCCTTCCTTTAAATTCTTCTCCTTATTTCTGTTACCAGTTTTCCATAAGATGAGATCTCTGAAACATTAGTGTATTTCTGCACAGAAAATCATTTTGGATGATGTTAATGGAAACCTTATTAAATGGGAGACTGATTCCTATCCGTTTTCTCAGTTGTTCCCTCCTAATATGGATGAGGAAGCCAATAATATGAGAAAATTCCCATTGTGATGGTTTGCTTAGGAATATAGGCAGAGATTTTAAAACATGATGTGTTTTGCTTTCATTTAAAAATCATTTAAAAAGTCAAGTCTTAAATAAAGTGTTATATTTCCAATAATTACTTTTCGTGAAATTCCTATTTCAAAATTGCTTTGCAAGAAAAATGATTCACTTTTTTTTTTCCACCCGAATATAGAAAGAAAAAAATAATTATCGGCCCACTCTAATTTATAGTTAATGCTTCTGTGCGTAAAGATGTGTTTTTACTCTTAGCCAGTAGCAGTTAGTGGATTGCTTTGAAATTCCATCTAGCTTTTGCTGCAACAGCCAGTAGTACATTGTTTTCTTCTCTTTCCTCCTTTCAGGTTTTCCCATCATATGATTCCCGGTCCTCCTGGTCCCCACACAACTGGCATCCCTCATCCAGCTATTGTAACACCTCAGGTCAAACAGGAACATCCCCACACTGACAGTGACCTAATGCACGTGTAAGTATCCACCCGGGCTCTGCTGTGATTGCCTTAGGATACTGAGGATTTCTACACTGTTGCTCCTTTGCAACAGTGATCCTTCACCCCTTTGTGTTGCTGTGAAACTCAATGCACCTCTGCCTTGAAAACTCTGTCCCTGAGGACATTAAGCAGCTTCATTCCTACTGTGCTGATTTTGATTCTGAGGTTGCAAAGGAGCACGGACCCTAAAAGATCATGGGAACCTCACCAAAATGGAAGAATCTTCAGAACATAGGCATTCGAGACTCTTCAGCTGTTTAGCCATTTACCACTGAATTTTCATTTGGTTCAGATTATTGGGGAGAACCTGTTCCTACCTGAGTGAAGTAGATTGGAGGGTTTAATGCACTTTCTTCTGGAAGTGCAGTTACCCTGGCTCCAAGCTTCAACAGCACAGAATTCAAGGGAAAGGAACAAATAAAGCCCAGGATTCCCTGTTGGGCCAGGGTTGTCTCAGACTGTGAGTGCAGGCCTAAATTAATTTACTCTGAAGAGATGAGTAATTAGTTTCTTAATCTAGGTTTTGTGGATGGGAGGGTGGGGGTGAGAGGCAGCATGTGATGGTCCATAAAGCCCTTGCGAATGTATGCAAAGGCAACATGCATTTGTTTGGGGGAAAAGGTCTAAAGATTTATTAGCTTCTCAAAGTGCTCCTTAACCCCCTGCAAAAGTTAAGAACCTCTATTCTGAAAGAGGAATGATCACCTGTGCTGTGTGTTCAGCTTCTTCTGAGGGGACCAGAGAAGTCCTCAGCCTCAGAGCCCATCTGGAGCATCTTCACAATGCCAAGTCCATTTCTACTTGGTGTTCATAGTTCTATAATGACAGGTCCACTTTCTCAAACCAAAGGGTTTTATTCTCAGTCACTGAGTAGATAGGAAGCCCTATTGGATGGGTTGTTTGCCTCTCAGTGTTTTGTCAAATGAGTCAATAACTGCTCTTCCAAGTTGGTGGTGGTCTGGGGTGAGAGGGTTGTCGCCATCCTGAGTGTAGCCATGTGAGCAGGTGCTCTGCTTTTCTCCTCCCCCATCCCTTCCTCATTCCTTCAACCCCTTCCCCTAACCACCACCACCACCACCTTTTAGGAAGCCTCAGCATGAACAGAGAAAGGAGCAGGAGCCAAAAAGACCTCACATTAAGAAGCCTCTGAATGCTTTTATGTTATACATGAAAGAAATGAGAGCGAATGTCGTTGCTGAGTGTACTCTAAAAGAAAGTGCAGCTATCAACCAGATTCTTGGCAGAAGGGTAAGTAGCCGAGTCATGTGTAAATGTTCATGGTAGCCATGGAACTGCTTCATGAAAATCTGCCCCAATTTAATCCCATATCAGGTGGTCATAGAATGTGTTTGCACTTCAAGATATGATATGATGCATTTTAAAGAATTTTGATAACTGTTTTTACTGTTATTCTTTTTTTTTGAGACAGCGTCTCACTCTGTTGCCCAAGCTGGACTGGAGTACAGTGGTATGATCATAGTTCACTGCAGCCTTGACCTCCTGGGTTCAGGCGATCCTCCCACCTCAACCTCCCGAATAGCTGGGACTGTAGTCGTTGTGCCACCATGCCTGGCTAATTTTTTTTTTCCAATTTAAAACTTTTAATTAAAAAGTAAACTTTAATGTTGAAAATGCAAACTTGGGGAGGGCAGGAAGATCACACACAAGGCTGTCACTTCACACTTGGAGGGTTGCACAGAGGCCGGGCAGAGGCGCCCCTCACTTCCCAGATGGGGCAGCAGCCGGGCAGAGGCGCCCCTCACTTCCCAGATGGGGCGGCAGCTGCGCAGAAGCGCCCCTCACTTCCCAGACGGGGCGGCAGCCGGGCAGAGGCGCCCCTCACTTCCCAGACGGGGCGGCAGCCGGGCAGAGGCGCCCCTCACTTCCCAGACGGGGCGGCAGCCGGGCAGAGGCGCCCCTCACTTCCCAGACGGGGCGGCAGCCGGGCAGAGGCGCCCCTCACTTCCCAGACGGGGCGGCAGCCGGGCAGAGGCGCCCCTCACTTCCCAGACTGGGCGGCAGCCGGGCAGAGGTGCCCCTCACTTCCCAGACGGGGCGGCAGCCGGGCAGAGGTGCCCCTCACCTCCCAGACAGGGCGGCAGCCGGGCAGAGGCGCTTCTCTCTTACCAGTCAGTTGGGTGGCCGGGCAGAAGGGTTCCTCACTTCCCAGTCAGTTGGGCGGCCAGGCAGAGGCACTCCTCACTTCCCAGATGGGGCAGCCAGGCAGAGGGGCTCCTCACTTGCTAGACGGGACAGTGGCCAATGCCTGGCTAATTAAAAAAAAAAAATTTTGTAGAGATGTGGTATTGCTATGCTGCCCAGGCTGGTCTCAAACTCCTGGGCTCAAGCAAACCTCCCACCTTGGCCTCCCAAAGTGCTGGGTGAATAAGTGGGAGCCACCGTTTCTGGCCCTGTTATCATTCTTTTTTTTTTTTTTTTTTTGAGATGAGTCTTGCTCTGTCACCCAGGTTGGAGTACAGTGGCATGATCCTGGCTCACTGCAAACTCTGCCTCCCAGCTTCAAGTGATTCTCCTGCCTCCGCTTCCTGAGGAGCTGGAATTATAGTTGCCTACCACCACACCTGGCTAATTTTTGTATTTTTTTTTTCAGTAGAGACAGGGTTTCACTGTGTTGGCCAGGTTGATCTTGAACTCCAGACCTCAAGTCATCCACCCACCTCGACCTCCTAAAGCCCCATTATCATTCTTTAAACAGATATTTATTATCCTTTTGGGTCAGGCATGATGCCTGGAGATTAGGTAATAATTGCTGAATAAAGTAGATGCAGCCACTGGGCACGGTGGCTCATGCCTGTAATCTCAGCACTTTGAGAGGCCGAGGCAGGCAGATCACCTGAGGTCAGGAGTTCAAGACCAGCCTGGCTGACATGGTGACACCCCATCTCTACCAAAAATACAAAAATTAGCTGAGTGTGTGGTGGTGGATGCCTATAATCTCAGCTACTCGGGAGGCTGAGGCAGGAGGCAGGAGAATCACTTGAACCTGGGAGGCGGAGGTTGCAGTGAGCCGAGATTGTGCCACTGCTCTCTAGCCTGGGCAACAGAAAGAGACTCTGTCTCAAAAAATTAAATAAATATCCACCTAGAATTTACAGATCTATAAATCATTGTTAGGGCCTCTATTAGCCAAAATAGGTACAGCCCCTTTCTGGAGCTTCAAGTTTTATGACAGAATACAGACATTAGACAAATAAATAGCCAATAAATATGTAATAAAAATTATGATAAATACTGTGAATGTAGGGAATAAGATTCAGTGAGAAAGAACAGTAGGGGCTTGGGCAGGCCCCTCTGAGGAAACTGTATTTAAGCTGAGATGTGAGAGTAAGTAGAGACGAATGGGGAGAGGTAGACTCCCCCACATGCAGATGGAGTAGCATGTGTGTGCCGCCTCTGAAACAGGAAAGCGTTTAGCTCTTTAGGGAGCTACAGCAAGGCCTTTGGGGGACCGTCCTGGCAAACAGAGGTGGCCACTCCTTCCAGGACAGAAGCAGAGCTGTTCTACCATGAGGCTTTACATGGAAGAATGTATATGATCCTGAGGAGTCTTGATTCTAGAAAGACTGTTCTCCAAATCTCCAAGTGTACACCTGCCAGGTTTCTGGGTTGCCCTTTTCTTTTCATTCATTCTTTCACCAATGCTATGATATTTTTCTGAGCCCCTGTTATGTACCAGGCAGCAGGCTACAACTAGGATAGACACTCTAAGATTGTTTATCCAACTGTCAGCCAAAAGACATACATAGTCAGTCCTTCCAAGTACTTTGTATGGGATTGAAGTGATTTCAGTTAGATGGCTGAAGAGTGGTAAGAAAAGTTTGAGTTTCTCTAATTTAAATTACATTTTCACCATAGTCACGTTATCATTATAATTTTAGAAATGTTTCATCTTAATTTGTTGATGCTCTTCATATCTGTGTGGTAGCCTCTTAATTTGTGACCCTGTGTTTGTTTTTGCAACCTCTCAAGAAATTCATGATTGGCAAATGAACATTCAGTTGAGGAGGATCTAACAACCCTTGTGAAACATAGAGGATCATGTGTTAGCTATTGTCGATGATAATTTTACCAGGTCTGTTCTGAACCTAATAAATTTGAGCATTTATAACAGAAAACATTTAGGAGATTTCCAGTCCATGTGAACAGGAGGGAAGCAGGCCCTCTTACATTATCGATTCCCATTGGATAGCCTCAAAATGCAGCTATTTCCAATCTGCAAGTCACCAGGGTTTCCAGGGGAGGATGTGGTGATAGATTATAGCTTTTTTGGTGTCCTGTGTACAATGCCCTATCTCCCTGTGGATTCTTAGACACTTAATAACAATAATTACAATGCTTTCCCAAGCCAGATCATGGCAGATGAGTGATTCCCATCATCTTGGAAGAACTCCGCCTTAAAAACTGATGATCATTTTCCCTGACTCTTTAAAAGAAGAAATCAGAGGAAAAGAAGGGCTGATGTTTTTATTTCAGCTTGTATGCAACTCTTAGTTTTTTCTTTTTTCTTTTTTGAGTTAAGGGCCCCCTGGCCCTCCAGTGGGAATTACTTTCCTGCTGAATACAGAGAGTGAGGATATGATATGAAGGTATGCTTCCTATTCTTAATGCACATTTCCAACAATTGCTACTTTCTCAGCTCCCTTAACAATCCCCAGATCCGAGCATGTGTCCTAAAGGATGGTTCTTATTTGGGGTCTCTGTCTGTCTCTGATTTAGACACCTGTTTCTATTTATAGGTCTCTGAGATCTTTGATTAAGATCAGGTTTTCTATCCTTTCATAACTCCCCTCTGGCAGGGCAGCCCTTGCTAGCTCTTTAAAGTCTCTGGCATCAAAATCATGACGTTTTACACTGGGATAATTTGAGTTCTTAAAAGTGGATCTTAAATCCATCCCAGAACATTTTATCTTTTGATTTTTATTCATCTTTACTATATCTCTAAAATAGTGTTCATATGAATTAATCAAAGTTTTATTTTTAATCCATATTATAAATAATAATATCACAAATTTTATTTTAAAATAAGCCTTTTCTCTTCAGACCTTCCTGGCTATTAAAGGAAATCCATTTATCACAAATTTGTCATGAGAATGTTTTATCTTGGAACTGTACAAGTTTATTCAAATTAAATGGATATTTTCCCCACAACTTGGTGAAATCTTGACAATGAGATTTGATTTTTAAAAAGTTTGACTCTTTATTTTGCAGTAAATAGAGATAGAGAAGCATTTTTAGTCAATTGTGTTTCAGAAATTCCTGTAAAGAAAGACCATCTTTCAGGTCTGTACTAGACTTTGTTTTTGTTTTCAATGCAAAACTTTAATTACATCATTTTATCTACTGTTCATTTTGGTAAGTGATCTTCTATTTGTGAGTCATTTTTGTACATTAGAAATATCAGAGAACTTCCTGGCTAACACGGTGAAACCCCATATCTACTAAAAATACAAAAAAGTAGCCGGGCGTGGTGGGACGCACCTGTCGTCCCAGCTACTAGGGAGGCTGAGGCAGGAGAATCACTTGAACCTGGGAGGCGGAGCTTGCAGTGAGCCGAGATCGCGCCACTGCACTCCAGCCTGGGCAACAGAGCGAGACTCTGTCTCAAAAAAAAAAGGGGGGGGGGTTATCAGAGGACTTAAAGCAATGGAACATGTAAATAAATAGTTTAGTTTATGCCTACTTTGCCTCCTTGCCTTTTATTCAGTTTCGTTAGCTTGGGTCTTTTTGTCAACCTGTTTCTTGTTTTAACTGAAAAATACCTCGTTGTTTGGGTAGAAGACCCAAACTTGATACCTATTTTGGGAGTTAATTTGTATTTATGATTCCAGGTTTTCTCAGCTACTGTAAGTTACGTAAAACTATACTGATACAGTAATAAAAGGTGTTGTATATAGGGGAATGATAGTTGTCAAATAGTAAATTTAAAATGGAAGACTTCCTGTCTTCTTTTATTTTTTTTGTCCCTAATTTTTTTCCTTATTGGTAAAACTTTGCCTCTTGCCAATCATCCTTATTTAGCACTAAAGCTAATTGTGTAAATATCAGTTTTCTTTTTTCTTGTTGAGACAGAGTCTTGCTCTATCACCCAGGCTGGAGTGCAGTGGTGCAATCTTGGCTCACTGCAACCTCCACCTCCTGGGTTCAAGCAATTCTCATGCCTCAGCCTCCTGAGTAGCTGGGATTACAGGCATGCACTGCTACGCCTGGCTAATTTTTGTATTTTAATAGAAACAGGATTTTGCCATGTTTGCCAGGCTGGTCCTGAACCACTGGCCTCCAGTGATCTGTGTGCCTCAGCCTCCCAAAGTGCTGGGATTATAGGCATGAGCCACTGCACCCTACCATAAATATTGCTTTTCTTTTACAAAATCAAGGATTAGCCAGGCCTGGTAATGTATTCCTGTAATCCTAGCTCAGTGCTGCGGTGGGAAGATTGCTGGAGCCCAGGAGTTCGAGGCTGCGGTGAGCCATGATCACACCACTGTACTCCAGCAACACAGCGAAACCCTGTCTCTTAAAAACAACAACAACAACAACAACAACAAAAAACGATGATGTTTCCTTTTGTATCCAGTTTGGTTTTTCTCCCTGTGAAGGTCTGTAATACTAGGTCAGTGTTCCAGGTTTAAAAAGCTGTCAGTTGCTAGCAGCAGTGTGACTTTTCCATCCCAATTTAAACCACTGCTGCTGCCCCAGACACAGATTCTTCTCAGGCTCGATTTGTCTAATGTTTATTCTACTAGTACAAAGAACTGTACTTAAGGTAACTGTTTCCAGGGTTGTTTTGTTTTGTTTTCCTGGCACCTCCCTCTAATTTTTTTTTTAAACAAAAGCACATCACCTGATTTGCTTTAGGCTCAGGGCAAGCCCTGCTGTGTGTCATGCTTTTTAACCTCACGCTCTGCACTTCTAAAGCAATTAAACAATAAATCATCTATCCTCTTCAGCACAGACTGCCTGACTTTTAAGGGGCTTTCAAAGGAAACGGACTCTGTTACCCTTCTGGTGGGAACTGCTGCTTCTCGCACTGGTGGTTGGAACTGGAGGTGGGGTGTGGCCGGAAGGTGCTGTCATGTCTCATGAAATCAGCTTCATGTACTGTTGTCAAACAAGAGCAGCAGGTGTTTGTTTTCTTAGCTACACTTTAGGGGCTGAGCCCAAGTTGATGAGGACTTAGACATAGCCTCCTCTAGGAGAAGTTTTTCTCTCTCATCAACCTCTCTCACTCTATCCTTCCTCCAACCCACCCATTCCCTTCTTATTTAAAAATCATTTTAAAAAACATGAACAGGGAGATCAAAATTAATATGCAGGGCAGCCATGAATGGGAAAGAATCTCATAGCCTGCAATGGGAAGGAAGCAAAATGGGAAGCTCCACACCTGAGAGTTGGGGGAGAGCAGGAGCAGGGAGGCTCCCAGCTGACAGATTGTGTGTGCACACAGGTGAGCACATGCGGGTACAAAAGTGAGCGTGTGTGGTGTGCACATAGTTTATGTGCACAGAGGAGCATGTGTGTTATGCATGTGGATGTGGGTATATGTGCTCAGGTGAGCATGTGAGTGGGGTGTGTGTGTGTTTTGCATGTGTATGTGCTCAGGTGAGCATGTATGTTTGCGTAGTGTGGGCTCTGGTCTCATCCTTGTATAGCTACCATCGCCTCTGTGTCATACCCTCATGGACAGTGGTTCTCCCAAATCCCAGATGGTTCTCCCTGGAAAGTTCTGCTGGCAGATCCTGGCATTGGGGAAGTTGGGAAAATACATGAACACTGTCTGCTGGGGACTGGGGTGAGTCATGTGCAGATGTATGCAAAGCAGTGTGCAAATGTAAACCCCTTAAAATCCCAGATACCTTTCCTACATAAATGACTTTGTTATATGTGCTATATAATCAGTTATGTAAAAAGGAGACAAAAAGTTTGAAGGATATTAGCAGCTACATTCTTCATATTAGAAATTACAGTCTCAAATTCTAGATGGCAAAACAAACTTAAATAATGCCCCGTGCTGTCCATCAGAAGGAGGCTAAAAGCCATAGCCATAAATGCTTGTGTGACTGGACAGTGTCATCAGTGTTGTCCCTATAGACAGCGTCTATATGAGTGTGAGGAGACAATGAAGAGATGGAGATACACAGGCTGACTTTTCATGTCCTTCTTTATAGATAATCATATGATTAAGGTTTCAGGCTCTTCATATGACAAAATGGGAAAGTGTTCATATGAGGAGAGGGTATATCTGTTTTAAAAGACATCTGGAAATTATCACGTTTTGCATAAATAAAAAGTACTTGGGCTCAGATATCAGAATATGCTAGTAACTGTGAAAAACAGTGAAGTTGGGTGTTGAGGTTCACCAGTGAAAGTTCTTTTTAATTTATATTGGAAAAGAGAAAGGGTGGGTGACAGAGATCATTTTACTTTGAACACTTTGATTGACTTTGATGTGTTTCATGTGATATCAGAGAACAGGATAGAGAAACCAAAGTTTGAGTTTCACTGTAGCCACTAGACTCCAAGGAGATTTCTACGGCACTTGGCACTTGGTCTTCTGCAATTTAAAAATAAATCAAAGTTTAAATGCTTAATATTTTCATTTTTTGATTTTTGAAACATAAAATATGCTATTGCTATTTTGCTTACTTTTGTTTTTTTCTTCCTTCCTCTCTGTTTTAGTGGCATGCCCTCTCCCGTGAAGAGCAGGCTAAATATTATGAATTAGCACGGAAAGAAAGACAGCTACATATGCAGCTTTATCCAGGCTGGTCTGCAAGAGACAATTATGTAAGCCCCTCCTCCATACCAGTGGCTCTCCACTCTCACTCATTCGCTCTTTTGCGTTCAAGAAGGAAATGTGTTTTAGGTGTATATAATGCTGGTACTACTTATTTTTTGGAAGTTAATGAACTTTGTAATAAGGATTTCATGGATATATTGCATTATGAAAGCTTCGAGCTATCTTTTTTTTTTTGCTATGGGTGCTAATGAATGCTTTTAAATAAAATTTTTGAAATAAACTAATACCTTATTATTAAAATTTGATAAAAGAAACATTAAAAAAAGACCATAATCTTACTATGTAAAGGCAACATTAGTAATAACTACTTATATTACTTTCTAATATTTTTTCTATGCGTGGTTTTTTTTTACTTGTATATTTGTGTGCGTGGGTGTATATATATACATGTTTGTTGCATACTTCTCGATCTTATATATAAAAAGCATTTATCTGTTATGGCACAGTGTTTATGTCTATCAATATTCCATTAAGTGAATTTCACAATTTATTTAATCTTATTTTTTCCTGCTTTTAGACATTTAAGTTGCTTCCTATTGTTTTTCTTACAAATGTAAATATTCCTTCAATGAATATGTCTATACATAACAGTTTTTTTCTGTATTTAGGGCTATTATTTATGTTGAATAGATTCATTGTGGAGGTAAAGGATATAAATGTTTTAAAGTTATTTTGCGTTTTTTTTTTTTTTTGAGACAGAATCTCACTCTGTCGCCCAGGCTGGAGTGCGGTGGCATGATCTTGGCTCACTGCAACCTCTGCCTCCTGGGTTCAAGCGATTCTTCTGCCTCAGCCTCTCAAGCAGTTGGGATTACAGGCATGCACCCCCACACATGGCTAATTTTTTGTATTTTTAGTAGAGACAGGGTTTCACCATGTTGGCCAGGCTGGTCTTGAATGCCTGACCTCAGCTGATCTGTCTGCTTCTGCCTCCCAAAGTGCTGGGATTACAGGCATGAGCCACTGCCCCGGCTATTTTAAATTTCTTCATACATATTGTCACATTGCTTTCCAAAGGACTGTATTATTTTACACTTCTTATAAACAGTGTATTCAGGTGACTGTTTTGCCACAGACTACTTAAAACTGGGTAAAAAAATCTTTTTTCATGTTATCGTACCCCAGCATCTATCACATATTCTATTCAGTGTAGGTATATCATGTTTAAGTCATACTAATTTTATCAGCAGGAAATACCTCACTTATAGTGCCAATTGTTTTATTACTGTAGAATTTGAGCATCTCACTTATGTAGTCTTGATAGGGCAAAGACTTTTATTTTATAGAGGGGAATAATTTTCACTATTTAAGCTCTTAAGTTAATTTAATATTTTGCAGTTATTATGTCTGAGTTCATGCAGCCTGCTATAATAAAATACCATGGACATGGTGAGTTATAAACAACAGGTTTATTTCTCACACTTCTGGAGCCTGTGAAGTCCAGGATTAAGGTGCAGGCAGGTTTGGTGTCTGGTGAGGGCCTGGTCCCAGTCTTCTGGCTGTATCTTTGCAAGGTAGAAGAAGGGGGAAGAGAGTGCTCTGGGGTCTCTTTTATAAGGACATTAATCCCCTTCATGAGAGCTCCTTGCTTAGGCTATGATCACCTCCCAAAGACTCTCCCTCATTATACCATCACATTGGGGGTTAGAATTTCAGCATATGTATTTGGGAGAACACAACATTCAGTCTATAGTAATTCTCAGGGTCTACGTGAGACAAGCATTAGAAATGCCAGCCAGGTCAGTCTTAATAAAAGTGAAATTATTTCTTTTTAAAAGAGCAAGAGTGAAGCCGTTAATTAATATACAATTTAATATGTAGCCATTGCTTTAGGTGCTGCTGTGGGGCTCAAGTTCTCACAAGAGATGATGACAAGGATGCATATCTGAGGTCATGCACACATGGAAACTTATTTCTGGAAATGGGTTGCACAATTTATTTCCTATAATATGCTCCACAGAAAAAGTCACTTTACTGGTCAAGGTTTGGAGCTCAGACATTGGATATAAGTTTGACACAGGAAGTAAGAGTCTGTCTGTTACTTATGGGAAACAGCATAGTCAGCTCTTCTGAGTTATTTTGGTTGCCTTAATAACTACCATATGCTGATGGTTAGGAACTGTCTTAAATTCTTGACAGCAACCCAGTGGTGGAATGAATACTATTACATGAATATTATTACTCCATTTTTCAGGTGAGGAAATTGAGAGGCTGAAGAGTTTAGGTAATTTATGCAAGGCCTTGTAGTAGGTGGCTAAGCTGAAGTTTTCACCCAGGTCACTCTGACTTCAAAATCTACGTGGTTTTCCTCCTCCTGAGTGGATTAGCTCAGTCTTCCAGTACCTTCTTTTTGTTTTGTTTTGTTTTGTTTTGTTTTGTTTTGAGACAGAGATTCGCTCTTGTTGCCCAGGCTGGAATGCAATGGCATGATCTCGGCTCACCACAACCTCTGTCTCCCAGGTTTAAGCGATTCTCCAGCCTCAGCCTTCCGAGTAACTGGGATTACAGGCATGCACCACCACACCCAGCTAATTTTGTATTTTTAGTAGAGACGGGGTTTCTCCATGTTGGTCAGGCTGGTCTCGAACTCCTGACCTGAGGTGATCCGCCTGCCTCAGCCTCTCAAAGTGCTAGGATTATAAGCGTGAGCCACCACGCCCGGCCCGGTGCCTTCTTAAGACTGCTGTAGTTGAAGAATTTTCACCCCTGAGCCAGGCTTCTGTTTTCTGAGCAGCAATTACCATCTCTATATAGAGCTCCTGCCATGCCCTGTAAGTAGGAAGATCAGTGTTCACCCAGAGGGTTTCAAAAGTGTCTTCTGGCCAGCCATGGTGGCTCACGCCTGTGATCCTAGCACTTTGGAAGGCTGAGGCAGGCAGATAACTTGAGGTCAGGCATTCGAGACCAGGCTGACCAACATGGTGAAATCCTGTATCTACTAAAAGTACAAAAATTAGCTGGGCATGGTGGTGTGCGCCTGTAATCCCAGCTACTCGGGAGGCTGAGGCAGAAGAATTGCTTGAACCCGAGAGGAAGAGGTTGCAATGAGCCCAGATCGCACCACTGCACTCCAGTCTAGGTGACAAGTGCGAAACTGTCTCCAAAAAAAAAAAAAAAGGATCTTCTAATCCTGCCTTAGGTGTCTTTTGGGTGTAGTTTGTCTAAAGGGGGAGAGCTAATCTTCCTCATATGACCTTTGTAAACTTCATTGTGCTGTGAATTTTATTCAGCATTGCTTCTTGAATGCCTTTAAATTTGTTTTTCTAATTCTTAAGTAATGAGTTTTAACTTTTAAAAAGACATGAAACAAACACCTACATATTCTATCTCTTTCTCTATCTGCTCTCTCTTCTCCATGTTGATGGGTGGGAAGAAAGTAGTTTTAAAGAAAGCTACTGTAATGTGATTTATCTTTAAAGATTTCCCTCTGCACAACTTTTAAAGGAAATTGTTTTGCATATTCCTTGAATGAAGGGAAAGCCCAGCTTCGTTCATAGTGTTTTCATCATAATCAAAATAAGTCATTCAATTACTGAGGCAAACAGAAGCTGATCAATGATAGTACTTTATCTAAAGATACTGTTCTTTAAATAACAGTACTGTACAGGGATAGAATAAAGGTAAAATTAAGGCATTTAGTGCCAGAATGGTATCCTGATCCTCAGTGAGATCGTGTGAAATATATATCTCAATTATTCAGTATTAAAATACCCTATTACATGACATAGATTTATAATTTGAACTTGTTTTTTTAACTTTGGCTAATAACAGGCTAATTAATAGTGCACAAATTTTCTTGGGTGAGATTAGCCAAATATTTATAATGTTAGAACTTTTCAATTTAGTTTTTAATGCTTTCCAATATTATACAGTCCGTATAATTTTAACAAAAAAAATTTTTTGTTTTTACCATACATGAATTTTGGTTTTTGTATAACTTGACATTAATACATCCAAACTACTTAGTTCTCTTTGCCTATCATAAATGTAGATTCTCTTGAAGAACTGGTTGATATCCTAGAAGGTAACAGGTTATTTGATTTAGCGGTAGAAGCGTAACGGTGCAGGCTCAGTTGGTCACTGTGTGCTGGCTATGTTCTAGACATGTGTGAGTGGGGGAGCGTGGTGCTGAGACCCAGGTGGTGCTCTGGGGACAGAGCCCATTATAGCACCTGTGAGGCATTCAGTCATGCAGTGAGCTCAGGGTCATAGGGAGCGAGGAAGAAGAGCCCCAGCTCTGCCTGAGGGATGGACCAACAAGGTGTGGAGCAGAGAAGGTTCATGGAATAGATAACACTTGAGACACGGGTTGAAGGGTTGGGAAAGAAGAAAGTGTGAAATAAAGTTCCAGACACATGAAACAACCTTGTAGCAACTTCTGAACCTTGCAGTAATTACATTGAAAGGACCGTTGTGGATACTTGAAAGAAGCGTGCACTCCCTCTCTACTCCCTGTCCCCAGAGCACCTTTAATAATCTTGAAAGAAGCCCCACTTATAGGGGCGGATTACTTGAGGTCAGGAGTTCAAGGCCAGCCTGGCCAACGTGGTGAAACTCCGTATTTACCAAAAATACAAAATTTAGCCAGGCATGGTAGCATGCGCCTATAATCCCAGCTACTTGGGAGGCTGAGGCAGGAACATCGCTTGAACCTGGGAGGTGGAGGTTGCAGTAAGCCAAGATCACGCCACTGCACTCCAGCCTGGGCAACAAAGACTCCGTCTCAAATAAAAACAATAATAATTATTATTGTTATGAGAGCAAGACCCTGTCTCAAAATAATAATTATTTTAATAGCGTATAGCCATGGTCCGCTTATAGTAAATGACCAACCTGCATCAGGTATTTTCAAATAACTAAAATGGAACACATATCATATCCAATATCTCTAGCTTATGTCTGCTGTAATAATCAAATTAACAAATAATTTTTTTAAAGGCTATAAGATTGTACCATATATATTTTGTGGCTCTATAAAAGTGCATATTTCTGCACCTCAAGATAGTTCTTCATGTCACTTGGCCATTGAGGCTTTACAGCTTCAGAAGGGTGACTGAAATCATCCTCCCCAACACTGAGGCAAAGAGCAGATATCAGTGACCCTGAGAAACGGCACATCAAAAATAATGGAGTCTTCTTTCAAGATTGTTATTATTTTTTGAGATGGAGTCTCACTCTGTGGCCCAGGCTCACTCTGTGGCCCAGTGGAGCAATCCTGGCTCACTGCAACCTCTGCCTCCGGGTTCAAGTGATTCTCCTGCTTCAGCCTCCCCAGTAGCTGAGATTACAGGCGCACGCCACCACGCCTGGCTAATTTTTGTATCTTTAGTAGAGACAGGGTTTCACCATGTTGGTCAGGCTAGTCTTGAACTCCTGACCTCGTGATCTGCTCACCTCGGCTTCCTGAAGTGCCGGGATTACAGGTGTGAGCCACCACACCCAGCCTAAAATTATTTTTGAGGACAAAGTAGTTATGAAGGAAAAGGGAAAATTAGACCACTGTAAGTGGGATCTAAGCTTTTTAATTTGGCATTGAGATGTTTTGAAATGTATTTAAAATGGTGTGCATATCCATGTTATTTTGTCTGTTTTGGGAAGCAAGGTCCTTAATTGCTAGAAATAAGTCTTTGAGATATCTTCAGTTTTCTCAGGTTCTCTCACTCTCTTCTCCCTTTCTCCTTGGTTTTGTCGTTTCTGTGCCACAGGGCCTGTGGGTACTCAATTAACACCAGGGAACTTTTAATCAGACAATGGAATTCACAGTAAGGTTTATCTTAAGCACTACCAGAAGTGGGTTCTAAGTATGTTGGTTAGTAAGAAAAGGAATGGCTCATTAAGCTGGCTTTCCTTGAAGAGGGTCCTATGGCCACAGCTCTAGGACATCATTATCCGTGTGTGTGTATGTGTGAGAGAGAGAGAGAGAGAAGGCTCTATGGCCACAGCTCTAAGACATCATTGTGTGTGTGTGTGTGTGTGTGTGTGTGTGTGTGTGTGAGTGAGAGAGAGAGAGAGAGACAAAGTGTCTACCCACGGTGTCAATATTGATGATGTTAAATATGAAGCTATAGAGACAAAGGTCACCAGGTCACTATTTTCTCCCGTTCTCTTGCTTTCTGACTTTGTTTCTAGATAGAGATGGTGAAGAGGGAGAGAGAATGAGTCATCTTTACCTCTTTGTTGACCACCTGCCTGTACTTCCACATCACATTCATCTGTGTGTTCATGGTACAATCTGTGACATGACAGTATACCTCTCTTCTTCCAGGGTAAGAAAAAGAAGAGGAAGAGAGAGAAACTACAGGAATCTGCATCAGGTAGGCACCATGAGACTTTCCAGTCAATCCTCAGGCTTCTGACAAACACCTTTTAAGGCAGTTTGCATCTCTCTACACACTGCTTTCTTCTGTGACTGTAACTTATGATGCTTTAACTCTGCTTTTTCTTCCTGAAATTCTTTTAAAAATTTAAAAGACCCTTCTTTTAAATGTGACTGTGGGAAGGTACATGTAAAAACTGTTTCCCAAACCCTGTCACCTGGAATCCTGGTTGTAAACTGTGGGATTTTGTTTGTTTGTTTGTTTTATTTTTGCTTCTGTTGTCTGTGTTTACTTTGCTTTAACACTCTTGCCTTTTTACTATGTTATATAACTCCTTAAAGATACAATATTTTATGTTGATTAAATGATGTTACCTGGTGTTCCCTTGAGAATCTCTTTTGTGATTTGGGTTTTTTAAAAATTTAAAACATAATGATAGGGTTTGTCTTTCTTGTACATTAATTCAAGACATCAGTGAGGTCCCATTTATTTTCCTTTTTTCTTTCATTAAAAATAAGGCCACTACTTGTACTGCACAAATAAAAATGGCTGGTATAAGAACCATGAAAAGTAAAGCAAACAAGTTCACATGATATTGTAGCTACTACGTATTTGGAATGTACAAAAACCTCTTCAATAAAAATTTGTTAAAGACACAATTTTCTGCAGGTACAGGTCCAAGAATGACAGCTGCCTACATCTGAAACATGGTAAGAACGACTCTCTGGTCCTACTGCTGACGTTAGTTGTTATAAAAAGAGGCACTTGCTTGTGAATCTTCTTGCTCATAATGAGTTCATTCGACATTGCTCCTTAAAGAGGAGAACTCAGCAAAATCAAATTAGTGCTTTAAAAAATCTGATGGTTTTTATACCGGCTATGTATTTGCAATATAGTATGCTTTTATCTTTTCTCTTCTATCCTCTTTGGCACATTTATTCTTCCTCCATTTCCTTTCCCCTAACTCTTTCTTCTAAACCATTTCTTACTGATCAGTGGCAAATCGGCCTGCTTAAAAAAAGAACAAACAACAACAAACAGTAAGCAAAATGCCATCTTACTCAGCAAATCCAGGGTGGGTTTGAGGAGCACCATTTTAGCCCAGAACTCCCAAGCTTTTGCTCAGTAGAGACTTTTTCTCAATTGAAATCACATGTAGTCACTCAAAAGTAATGTATTTGTTTCTAGTCAGAAAGCTATATATGCTTTATATTTTTTCTATTATTTAATATGGCATGGGCACTTATTTAACTGTGTTTCTTCTATCAAGTATTTCTCTTTATTGGTAACTATTGCTAGATTTTGCTCTAGTATTTATAAGTAATATTTATTTTATTTCTTTTTACTATAATTTTTTATTTATTTCCACATGACCACTAGCCCAAGGAACCTGACATTGTAAATTAAGGCTTGGTCTTTATTAAGCTTTAAATTAGCAGGGTGTGTACCTCTTCTCCTGGTAACAGTTCTCAAAGGAGCTGCCTTTGGTTATCCTCTCTAAGAACCCACATCCAGTCAATCACCAATCCCTGTCTTTGGGGTCTGTCTTGAGCCTTTTCTCTCACACTTACCACTGCCATAGCCCTAGTTCAGGTGCTCAGACTTTCCATCTGGAGTACTGTAATACACGTTAATAATTTTTCTGCCTCCAGGCTTTCTTTCTACCAGTTCATCCTTCACGTTGCTCCTGGAGGGATTTCCTACAACTCAGATTGTGCATCACTTCCCGACCTGGAAACTTAGCCAGTACTTCCCGTTGGCTAAAAGATAAAGCACCCGCCACTGAGTGTGTGGGTCTGCCCAGTCCTGCCCTTGTAGCTTTGCCCCCAGTCACTCTTGCTCTCTGCCTCCCCTCACTTTCACCCTAGCCCTTCTGAGTCCTATGATCAGTCCAAACAAAATTATTAGCAGTTCCCCACATGGCAAGAGGGCACCGCACATGCTGTCCCTGGGCTTCGAAAGCCCATTTCCTCTACAGAGGACTGGATAGACGTGTGCAGTGTTTCTTAGGAGAAGAGTGTTTACTGCAGCTCATTTGGCTTTTGACTAAACCAGGTGGCCCTTACCTAAACTTTTAGAACTTAATTTTGGTGCTGAGGTTTCAAACAACTTGCCCAAAAGGGGCCAGCAGAGATTTTGGTACCAAATAGATCTGAATTTTAAATCAGTTGATTCCCTGAGCAATCTACTTCAGCTTTTTAATCTTCATTTTCCTTACCTGGAAAAGGGGAATATCGATACCTACCCCCTGTGGTGGTTGATGTGCAGGATCTGCCCAGCGGCCAGCACACAGTTGGAGCTCAGACTCACTCCTTCCTCCTACTGAGACCTAAGTCAATTGCCCTCTCCTCTGTGAAACTTTCTTCATCTTTATTCAGATTCCCCAGGTTTTTCCAAATCCCATCACTGTAGTTTTATGATATCAAAATTCTTCTAAACTAATACTGAGTGGCAAGCTTTCCTCCAGGTGAAAGGAGGACCATCCCTTCATATAAGATCAAAAAATAATATACTCATTTTAACTCAGTGGCTATTAATCGAGAACCTCTTCTGAGCCAGCCACCTGGCTCCATTATTAGAAGCACAGATAGGATGTAAGCATGGCTGATGACACCCACCCCAGTAGCTCATGGCTTCACAATAGAAGTAAATCTAGTCAAAATCACAAGCCTTGTAATTTTTTTTTTTTTGAAAAAAAAAATTGTTTTAATTACTGAACACTTAGGAATGGCCAAAAGTTTTTTCATGTTCTGCCTGTAAACAGAAAGCCCTCAGAATGGCAGTGTGCCAAGGGCTGGCACTCGATTTACCTCACTTCTGTTTGCACCAAAATCTGTAAAGCTAACTATTTATATTAAAAAGCATGGAAAAATGTATTTCTGTATTTCAGAGTTTGGTAGTCGATTTGGTGTTCTTCAAGATGAGCATCCTATGGTATTTTAGATGTAAAAGATGGCTATTTTTGTCCTAAAGTGTATCCCAAACATCTTTTTCTAGCAAGTCACAGCTGTCATTGTGCTTTCTTGTCACTTATTTATATTTTCTTAAGGTTAAGATGTTCTCTCTATCCTGCGCAAGAAAAACAAAAATAACCCTCTCTCTCCACCCTACCCCCCTAAAACATTCTCAGGCCATCCCGCCGCTGGTGAGGCTCCAGTTGGTTGAGCTTCCTGTAATCAGAGTCTCTGGTGTTGCCCTCCCTCTCATTCCCGGATCAGTCATGCAGCCTTTGAAGTCACTGCCCTGCACACCATCCGAGTTTGGAGACCAGAACTGGCAGTTATTGGATAAGAATTGTAGAGTAGAGAGGAGCTCAGATCCACCTTCATAAAGATTTCCATAAATTAGACATGATAATTATTTCTGTTGTACCCCCACCCCTTCCTTTGT
The DNA here is from genome assembly GCF_000001405.40 of Homo sapiens. Lineage (NCBI taxonomy): Eukaryota > Metazoa > Chordata > Mammalia > Primates > Hominidae > Homo > Homo sapiens. The sequence continues at coordinate 108,060,942 of NC_000004.12, read as the reverse complement.
TGTAGGAATTCAGAAACATTCTGTTTGTATAGTAGCTGACTTGTTATAGTCATGATTCAGCATTTATTGAGCACCTAAGATAGGCCCTATGGAGACTTGTGTGACCTGGAAATAGAGTGTTGGATGGAGCAAAGAAGGTCCCTATTCTCACAGTGCTTGTTATGTTGCTGTGAGGGTAGTTGATTAAAAAAAACAAACAGGAAAATATAAGTACTATAATAAAAATAAGTTAGGGAGTAACTTAGGGGTCTGCTTTTAGATTGGATTGTCAGGAAAGGCACCTCCGAGGAGGTGGCACTTAGAAATAACCACCGTTATTACAGAAAAATGGAGGGGGTCTTCTGTTCTGGAACAGAGCCCTGGCAAAGAAATGAAAGACAAAGGGAACAGAGCGTCACGTTATGGAAAGAGCAGAGCCCAGGAATGAGGCCACCCAGTCTCCCAGGTTAGCTCTTGTATAAATTTGTGCGGCCTGGGGCAGGTCACCTAAAGCCTCTGGTTTCTCAGTATAAGTGAAGGATTGTGCCCAGCGTCCTCTGAGATCCCTGTCTGTCTCTCCCTCAAGTCCAACTTTCTGGTCTGCTTTGCTTTTGTGTGGTCTGCACTGCCTCCCAGTGTTATTATAGGGACTCAGATCTCTTTTTTTATTTCCTAATTTATAGTCATCATTTTATGTCTGAGTGGCTCTGTATAACTATAAAGCTTCTGCACGACCTTGAAAATGGCTTATACATGATGGGGATGTTCTTCAGTTCCTGTACAGATCATCCCCTGTGTCCCTCCTTCCTCCCCAGGATGGCTACCTTGTGTCCTGGGATATTCGAAGCATTGCCTCTAGTTTGAGGGTTTGATTTTCCACTAATGTAATAATATGGTTCCTTGTTTGCCAGACTACAGTCATACTAGTGCTGACCTCACCTTAGAAATAGTAAAATACTTGATTAGAACCAATCCTCCAGGCTGGGTATGGTAGCTCATTCCTGTAATTCCAGTACTTTGGGAGGTTGAAGTGGGTGAATTGCTTGAGCCCAGGAATTTGAGACCAGTCTGAGCAACATGGCAAGATCCCTTCTCTACAAAAATTAGCTGCGTGCGGTGGTGTGTTCCAGCTACTGGCGAGGCTGAGGTGGTTGGATCTATTGAGCCCGGGATGTCAAGGCTGCAGTGAGCTGAGATTATACCACCGCACTACAGCCTGAGCAACAGAACATGGCTCTGTCTCAAAAAACGCAAAAAACAAACCAGTCTGTCAGAGTGTGATGTGGAATATCACACAGCTGGTTTTCAATTCTGAAGGGAAGTTGACGAGTAAAGGTAAAGCTAGGCTAGAAGCAGTGGCTCATGCTGGTAATCCCAGCACTTTGGGAGGCAGAGGGTATATACCATCACTTGAGGGTAGGAGTTTGAGACCAGCCTGGGCAACATGGCAAAACTATGTCTGTATAAAAAATAAAAAGCATTAACTGGGCATGGTGACACACACCTGTAGTCCCAGCTACTCAGGAAACTGAGATTGAGAATAGCTTGGACCTAGGAGTTCAAGGCTGCAGTGAGCTATGATTGCACCACTGCACTCCAACCTAGGTGATGAAGTAAGAACAAAAAACTTGTATTTTCATTTCTTTAAAGATCCTATGGGTTTCATGGAATGCTTCCCATTTTTTGATGGGCAGCGCCAGCGCAGTGGCCGCATGCAGCCCAGCGGAGAGGCTGGCTCCTGAATCAGTGCTTTATTCACCCGGTTGTGTTCCTGTCTCCCCGTATGTTTCTACTTTTGAGCATTAAAAAATGTTTCACCCTGGTGAAATCAGATTGAAACAAATAAATTACCATTAATGTGGTCTCAACACTGTGGGGAAACTTTTAGGATAATTGGAAATGAGATCCCTAAAAGCCATTCCTCCAGGTTGGAGATGGTGGTCCCCAAGCTGCAGGATCTTTGGGAGAGGCCAGATTCATCTGTTTAGCTTTTCGGACTAGTCATTTGTGGGAATGCTGGGAGCCCAGGGCCTCAGGGGATAAGACTGCACACACTGTCCTTTGTCCAGCTGGAAGACCGGTGTCATGAACACTAATCACTTGTTTACTCACCACGCAAACATTTAGTGAGGACTGCTGTAAGTCACGAATCCTGTTAGGCGGTGGGGGTGTTTGCAAATGAGATCCTATCCCTTCCTGGAGGAGCTTCAAGTTTAAGAAGATATAGACATATTAAGTGGGTAGTTATAAAAGAGTATGTTTTATGCTGTGAAGAAGTGGCATGCTGTGCCTTATATAAAAATAAAGAGAATAAGAAGTATATAAATCGGAGTGAAATCAAGGAAGGCTTCCTGTGGTAGATAGCACTCGAGCTGTCAGGTTGGTGGCGGAATTTGGGGGTTTGATAGCACAGTAATAGAATTGATGTGAGTTTCTGGTGTTTGGGATATGTTTGATTTGGAATACCACCTTAAAATTTGTCAGAAGTTAGAGATTATTATCAAATACTGAACTTTGCTTTCTTCCTGACTTAAGATTTATATGAAATTAAAGAAGTAAAGAATTATAATGTTTGAAGTGCTGGAGAGAATTATGACTCTGAGTTTACTAATTAAACAATTTTCAAAATTGGCTTATTAATATTTACTTTATCAAAACAAATATAAAAAGCCTACCACCTTTAAATTATATAGATTGAAAAGATATTTTTAGATACTTTATTTCTTTTAGTTGTATGACATGAGAGTTAGTTTAAAAGAAGGAACAGGCTACTTTTAAAAGATAAAAAAAGGCTGGGCACAGGGGCTCACACCTGTAATCCCAGCACTTTGGGAGGCAGAGGTGGGCAGATCATGAGGTCAGGAGTTCGAGACCAGCCTGGCCAACGTAGTGAAACCCCGTCTCTAACTAAAAATACAAAAAATTAGCCAGGTGTGGTGGCAGGCGCCTGTAATCCCAGCTGCTCAGGAGGCTGAGGCCGGAGAATCACTTGAACCTGGGAGGCGCAGGTTGCAGTGAGCAGAGATAGCACCATTGCACTCTAGCCCAGGTGACAGTGAGAGACTCCGTCTCGGGGAAAAAAAAAAAAAAAGATAAAAAAAATCATCTGCTTAAACACATTTGGCTAAATAAAAACTTCAGCCTTTATTTCCCTAGGGCCAAGAGATGAGCATGAGAGGTAATTGCTAAGCTCAATATAGTAGTTAATGTTCAGTGCTTGGATTTACATTTTTTAAGAAGATTGTTTCTGGCTTTTCTTTGATGATGATGTTCGAGAGCCTGATGAGGTGGTTAAGGGTTGAGAACTTGGGGCTCCTGGGTCCTGTGAAGCTGTGCTACAGAGCTGACAAGTTGCAGAGTGGGAATAGAAGCACCAGTGAGAGGACTGCAACCCTGAGGGTCTGCCAGGAGCTGTGCCTGGTGTCCAACATTTAGCCCTGTCCTCTTAGAGCAGCCAGGGAGTGTTCTAAATATTTTCAGTGGTCTCAATGAGAAAAATATTTATTTCCTATGATTTTTGAAGCTCACTCTGGTAAGTTTGACACTTTTGCCTAATGTTTGTTCCAAATTCTGTTCCACAATGTAGTCACCAACATTAAATATCAGTGAGCTGCTGGGTTATGTTTAGTTAGAAAACAAAGCCAGATTCTTAAAAATTAATAAAATTGAAAGGAAATTGGAGGCAGCTGAAGAACTCTTAAGTCTTGTCCAAGTCTCAGGGTAAAAATTAAGGCTTCAACAACTAGAAAGTGAAAAAATGACATCCTGTTTTCCATTCTTTATCTTTTGTAACATATTTAGAAAGCACCTCAGCTAGAATTGTTACCAAACAAGCAAAAGACCCCTGGGGGTTCAGAACTCTTGGGAAGGAAGCCTGCATCTAGGGAGGGGAAGGGGGATGTCAAACTGGGGAGAACCAAGTGTCGCACGGCAGCCAGGGCAACACGTGGCTGCGCAGCTACCCTTGGCCACAGGTCGGCACCTCCTGGGAAAACTTCTGCACCCTGCTCAGCACTGTCCCACACTTGGCCTGCAGTGGTTTTTTTTTTTTTTTTTTGAATAGTGGCCTAGCCCAGTTGGGGGTACCTTGTGCTGCCATTTTACCACAGTGGTGAGGTCCTGTGGAAGCGACTGCTGGCGTGCTGTTTATCTTGCATGGATTGCCAGATCGCTGCATAGGAGGTGGAGGTTGTGGTGGCCCGGAGAGGCTCCCATATGTGTCGTTTCTGGGAATGCTCCAGTCTGAGGTGACGGCCTACCTGTGTCTTCCTTCTTTTTATGCTTGTGTTCAGAAATCCCTGTGACACCTGTCACAGACTAACAGGAAATGTGTACAGGATTCACAAGGTGATGACACTTGACTACAGATAATCTCAGGCTTGGTTTCATTGTCTTAAATAGCAATGGCAGCATAATGACAGTGTGGTTAGACTCAGTTATGCGTGGACTGCAGTTTTTCACATCCTGGCCATTGTTCCAGGATCCCTAGGTGCATTCATGGGAGCCTTTTGATGGCAAGTGCCGGAAACAAATGGTGCTCACTTAAGGAGAAAGGGGAAATGTGTTTTAAGGATATAGGAGCATCTTGTGGAATCCAAGGACAGTAGAGCAGTTGGGCCAAAAAGAAAACTGGAAATTGGAAAGCTGTCCAGACACTTTCCCTGCTGCTTCCATCTGTCCCTCCCTGAAAATCACTTCCTCCTTCCCTTCCCAGATTGACTCTCTCAGTTCTCTGAGCCTTATGTTTAGAGCACTCAAGCTATATGTTGTTACAATATCATCTCCCAAAGAGACAATAATTCTTTCAAATTCTGTAGAAGCGACTCTGGTTAGCCCAACTTGGGTCAAACTTCCACCCCAATCTATAATCAGCTGTGGCCAGAGGAGAAGGTCACATTGTACAAAATGGCTGTCAGGAGCTCACTGCTCTAACAGTGTTGGAGTTGGGATAATGGAGAGGAGAGCTGGACAGCAGCCCGACAGATGTCCGCTATAGCTCACTAGGAAGCTGATAGTTGGGGTGGTTTTATCTAGACAGCTCTGTGTTAATAAAGAAATTGGGTTGGGTTCATGGGTACAGTGAAAGCTTTTAAGAATGGGCAGTATCCCTTCCATCAATTATCTTTTCTCTCCTTAATGATCAGAAGAGCTAGAATTGTGTTTAAGTTGCCTTGGGGAGCAGAAATAGAGAAATAGACCCTCAGGTAGCAAGACTGATCTGATGCCATTAAAAAATAATAGCAGAGGGAGAGGAGTATATGAGGTTCATTAAAACCCTCTTGAAATGCTTCATGTTTAGTATTGTTCATGAAAACTTACCAAATGGAATTAAGATCAATGCACTAGAATATAGAATAAAAAAGAAGTATTTTGGATAAATTTTGTTTAATAGAACTGTTTGTTACTGAGTTGTGAGGAACTGTGTGGAAATGAGCCCTTCTGGATAATGGAGTTTTTCAGAGAAGCTATATGGTTTACATCTTTAAGTGTCAAAACATGTAATTTTTCAAAGCACTTTTGGATGCAACTCTGTCTTCTTCAGCAGAGTACATTGAAATTGATTTGAATACGAATACCTCATGCCATTATTTTACAGTGAATATTATATATGCCACAAGGAGTATGGTGATTTGTATAATACTATTCTAAATGACCCCAAATAACATGGAATTTTAAGAAACTGCTTTTTAATAATTCTTTTGTGGCTTCCTTTGCTGTTTGGGACTATACCCTGTACCCACAATAATATGTTTCTTCTGATCTGTGTGGATTTAGGAACCAGGAAAATGAAGCTTAATTGAATAATATGTAAATTAAAAGTAAATGGGGTCTGATTTGGGGTATAGAGAAAGGCTAAAATGTGCTATTTTAAGAAAGGCTAAAATGTGCTATTTTTGCACATAAATTTCATGACATTACTGTGATACCTTGAGATAGTTTTAACGTGTTTTTCCTCAGCAGTGTTCTTCATAAATGAAGCTACCATGTTACTGAGAGCCAGATGAGTGGGAAATCCTGCTGCTCATAGCTGTCTGTGACCTTTAGCAAAGTAACTTTATTCTTTTTGACAGAATGAAAGAAAAATTAAAAGCATTAAAAATTAAACTCACTTTTTGGCATAAGGTTTACATCAATCTCTACACTAAATTTTTCTAACTGCCTATATATCGTTTTTGTGAATCTAACTTTTTTTTTGTATTGGGATTAGTTTTTCTCAGCTAGCATCATGCTTTTAGAAGCATTCTGTTTCATAAGAGATATTTTAATTAATTGGCAGAATACCCTGTTGGTCTTAATTTTCTACCAGAAGTTCTGTAATAGTATGAATCTTGCTTGCTGCCCCGAATGTGTCGTGTGAAGTTGGAACAGCAGAAATGGTCCCAACCTGTATGGACCACCTGCCACATTCCAGAGGCTTTAACAGATGCTTCTGCATGTGTTGCCTCCTCTCGTTCTGTAGCAGCCCCATTGTGGGGTGGAGGGGACAGATTTCAGTTCTGTCTGAAGGATGAGAAAATAATCACTTGTCCAGGGCCATGCAGCTGGCGAGTAGCAGCGCTGCGTCTGCAGAGTGAATTACCATCAGCTCTGAGCCCCAGTTCTCCATCCTCTGCTGTTACTGCACTCACTACGCTGCTTCAGGGCGTCTGCCCTGCACTCGCCCGGCTCTGCACATACGTCTCCCACATCCCGCAGCGCACCTGATGAGGTAGAGCAGCTTCTTATCTTCACTTTACAGATGAGGAAACAGGTTTGGTACGTTCAGAGTGCATGCCCGAGATTTCCAGGTGGTAACCGATGGACCCAGGATCCAAACCCAACCCAGGACTGTCAGTCCTTAGAGCCCACACTCTAACCCATACAAGTTATCACCTCCCTGTGCTTAACCAGATGCACAGGTGCACACACAAATGCTGGCATAACTGTGGAAGGGCTTGGTTTGGGTAAACAAAACAAAAAAAGACCAAAGTGTGCCCTGATCCTGTCACCTCATTTGTAGAAGGTGAACTTAACATCTTTAGTGTGAGAGAACGTCTGTTGAGAGAAATGTGGATTGGATAGCGTTTGGAGGTGAGTAGATGAGGGAGGTCTACCTAGCTAGTTATTACCCTCTGGAAGCACTTCAGCTGACAGAACTACAATGGGCTTTTGAGGCTCTCTCCTTCAAAACTTGCTCAAGACCATTTCTCCCATGTTTCCCGTGGTAGGAAGGATCTAGCGGTCATGACCTGCACCAGGAGGTCTGGCCTACCAATAGGACACATGTCCTCACAGAGGAGACAAACACAGAGGGCTAGGCTGATCAGGAAGAGAAACCAGTAGCTACAGAAAAATTCCCCTGGAGTAATTCATTAACGGTCACAGGCTTGTCTCAAAGTCATCTTGACATTGCCAAAGTCTGGTTGAGCTGATGGTAATTCACTCTGAATAGCCACAGGAGAGGAAGCCTTGCCTTGGTAGAACATGAATCCAGGAGTGGCAATGACCCCTTTCCTCCCACCTCCAGCTTCTGGGAATCTTTTTGCTTTAGAGCTTTGTGGTTAGGGGATTAACTAACTAGTCTTGAATGCTGGGACTAAGGAGTCATTCAGCTGCAGAAATAAAACTCAGTGTTAACCTTCCTAACCACACATTTTCATTTTTCTTTTTTCTCAAATGTTGGGTAATGTTTACTGTCAAGGAGCTGAAGCTGGCTTTTGTAGGTTATATTTCCAGTCTTAGGGACTTAAATTTCAAAGTTAACTTATGCGTTTGTTTCTCTTTATCATCTTTCTTCAAACAGAGCGTGATATCCTGGGGGTGGCTGCACTGTTACAGATGTAGACTGCCTCCACCAGGATACAGGGGTTGTTGCCTGGGGATGGACAGACAGAATGATGGAAGGTAGGAAGGAGAGAAGAAAGTGAATGATAATTTAGTTCCAAGGTATGGTGGAGAGAACACATGTTGAGAGTTCAGAGGCTCATCCTGCTGCCTATTAGTTGGGTGACCTTTGGCAAGTTACTGAACTTCAGGTAGCCTCAGTGTCCTTATCTGTAAGTGGGTGGGAAGATGCAAACTGTAATGATGATAATGTGAAATTCTAAAGTCCATGTCTCAGTGCCTGGCAAATCAGTGCGTAGTGGACAGTGTTTTTGTTCCTTCCCCCTCACCAGCTTCTTGCAGACAAGACCACCTTCAAGTCAACAAGACTGTCACTTTTATGATGCCAGGAGGCCTGGGGAACAGCCCAGCACTGGGACTCTCTAGGGGTCACCATGGGCCAGTCATTTTATGACCATATTCCTAAGTCTCTGCTAAAAAAACAGGATTAGACTAGCTCTGTCACGCTTGCTTCCTGCTGTAGAAGTCTGTACCTCTCTTCCTTCATACACACATGACATTGTGCAGCAGAAGAGTTCACACCCTCAAATCACAGGCTTTTGTCAGTTTTTCCCAAGGTGTAAAAATGGAGACAATTGGCATGAGGTGTGTGGTGTGATGCTGGAATTCCATTTTTGCAATTAAAATCTGTGAATCTGTTTACCTCTCATAAAACCAATCTCTAATATTCTCCCCTCAAATTGCACATCGTTTAAGGCTCCTGCCTCTTGTTAGTAGCATTTGAGAGTGGCGTAAAAGGAAGAGGACGACGAAGAAAGGGTCTTTTATTCCAACTCACTTTTTTTGTATCCTCACCAATTCTGAATAAGGAAGTGATATTACATGATGGGGCAGGGGTGCATTTTGTTCCTGGACACCAGCTTTGCTGCCCTTGCCTTGGCCTGGACAGCTTAAACTGACTGGCCAGTGAGCCCTGAGTGGCACCCTGACAGGGCTGGCCCTTGCCTGCTCCTGACCCTCCACTCCACCACCTCAGAGCTCACCCATAGACTTGTCTCCTTGGCCCTTTCTTCCAGAGGACAGCCTGGGGAGGAACCCCCAGGACATGAGCTGGCCAAGCGCTCTGCTTTTGGTAGGATTTTACATTTATTTGGGCTTAGAGAGAAGGAGTTTCCCCCTTTCCCTTTCTTCACTCCTGAGTCAGGGTCTGTAAAGCCCTATTGGCCCAGGGTCGGTGCTGTTGACCTCCCAGAAACAGGCCCACTCTTGAAATCTTTAGATTCACCTTTATTGCTTGGGCTTTTAGTAAGGAACTCTACCCATTTGGGTTCATGGTTCCATTTGGTTGATGGGATATTTTGTCAAGATTGGAATTTGGTCCAGGAGAGCATCAGGGGGGTTCGGTTATATGGGGTGGGGTGGGGTCTTGTGCCGCCTTTGCATCCCCAGTACAAATGCGTGGTGACTCCTGGTGGAGGGAGCCCAAGTCTGAACATATGTAAGATGGGCCTTGCCTCACTCCCTTTGAAGCCCAGCCGCAGCCGGAGAGCAGTAATTGCTGGCTTTGATTGCGCAGACTTCACTGGTGGGTTGGGCTGTGCCGGGGCTCGCCTGGCCTGGCCCAGCTTCAGCCGCAGCCCCCCAGTGAAGCCTTAGATGTGGGAAAGCTCCAGCCCCTGGAGCCTCATGCCTGTGGTTTCTTGAAAATAATCTGGACTGGACCTGTTTTATATCTGTAAAGCAACACTACAAGGCCCCCGTTTCTCCCACTTGGAAGTAAGACTTGGTCTCCCCTGACATCCCTGTATTTTAAAAGAGCCACCAGGGACAAACTGCCTCATTTCATAGTGAAGGAATTTCTTTGCTCTTTTTTTTTTTTAAGCACTAGTCCCTGAAAGGGATTAGTTGCTTTTTGGTAAGCAACTGTACAGAGGTTCTCTGAAGCCAACTTTCCAGGAGAATTTGCAAGGTGACCCCATGGAATAAGGAAATAACAGGTGGGAAAATGTGAGACTGTGGAAAGAAATGACTTTATTAGGAGATATAGACTCTTTCTTGGCAAGTGACATACTATCCTTTAGGTAAATGGCTATCTCTGGGCACCCATGTTTGTGTTAATCACTATATTATCACTTGTACTCAGCTTAAGAGAGGAGGAGAAGGCACCCTTAGGTAAGGCAGTGAAGGGACAAGAAGACTGGTGGAGCCGGAAGTGCAGGGTGCTCTAGATTGGAGGTGTTAGCCCTGCTTGAGAATGGGGCCACAGCAGGGCCATGGAAGTTGTCTGTACCTCAGTACTTCACAGTTCGCTGTGCCAGGCAGTGGTGGGATGGCCCAACAGAAGGGCAGGTTGTCTCCCTCAGGCGTTCCTGGCTGCCAATGGCGAGTCTATTCTGAGTCCCAGTGCTTGTCTCAGGCGCTAGCCTAGGACTGCAAGGCCAGGCCTCACCAGGAAACTAAATGTTTTCATGTCAGACTGAGAGGAAAACCTTCCCAGGAAGAGCAACCTGGACCAAGCCTTTGAAAATCTGTGATGCAAAATTATAATGTAAATAGGAATCTGTGGGGTGCCCTCTCTCCCACCCCAGGCTCTGCTAGAGCCCTGTTTCTTTCTCCGTAGAAAGGCAGGGTCCTTCGTAGCTCTTTGATCCTCCTGCGTGCAAGATCCATACCTCTGTGGGCCTGGCACAGCGAACTGTGAAGTACTGAGGTACAGACAACTTCCATGGCCCTGCTGTGGCCCCATTCTCAAGCAGGGCTAACACCTCCAATCTAGAGCACCCTGCACTTCCGGCTCCACCAGTCTTCTTGTCCCTTCACTGCCTTACCTAAGGGTGCCTTCTCCTCCTCTCTTAAGCTGAGTACAAGTGATAATATAGTGATTAACACAATGCTGTAGTGTTTTCCTGTTAAACAGGGAATGGTTGATTTTCCAGGAGAATAGAAAATGAAATTGTCATTGGAGGACCTCCTCAGTTGAAATCATTCTGTGGCTGATTTCCTCCTATTTTGTTTTTTGTTGGTTGGTTGGTTTTTGCTTTTTCAGTAGCTACCCAGGTATACAAATAGCTTCTTTGCAGTTCTGATCATCTTTAGGGGCCGCATTGGGCATAATTGGAATAATAATACTAGCTAACCTGCTTGCAGGGCTTGCTCTGTGCTGTGCACTTTGTGAGCACTTTAAATATAGGAGCCAAACCTCTCTTTCCAAAAGCCTGAAGGGCAGGTGTCCTCGCAGTTCCCATTCCATAGATCACCATCCTTCCATGGAAAGTACTCTGTGGACTGTAACTTGCCATCTAGACTTTTGTATTCATTATTAAACTATGTCAAAGTTTCCTTTTATTTCTCTTTTACTTTCTTTTTCCATTGAAATGAAAGTGTACGATAATCCACCATTATTTAGAATGAGTTTCTAAAAGGAAACTTGTGCTTGTAACACGGATAGCACAATCACAAGCACAAAGTGTTGGGATTCATCTGAGGCTGTCAAGGGACCCAGGTTGAGAAGGTGCTTCCAGCATCGCTGCCACCAAAGGAAAGCAGCCTCCCCAAGTTCAAAGCAGCGGAAGCAGGTGCTCTCTGGAGTGAAGGAACGGAACTTTGCCATGCTTTTACTTTCCTTTTGTCTTTGTCTCATCTTGTTACAATGTTACATTTTACTTTTAATCACTTTTTAAAAAATCTCAGATCATTAAAGCTTTGAGGATGTGGGAGTTCTCTTATTTGAAAATCATTATCACCAATATCTGGCAACATTATTTTAACATATTTGCTGAGTGTCCTTTCCGAGGCTATCATTAGAGATCCTTGATGTTAGGAAGGAAAAAAAAATCTTGAAAATTGTAAGATCTTAAGGAAAAAGGGAGCGGTTTGTATCCTCTGGGCTGTGAGTGTGAGCGGACAGAGCACATAGCGTCACGGGAGTTGGCAGTGCGTTGGGTAATGTGATTATGTCTGTCCTATGTAGAATCATACAGTGGCTTCCCACAGTGGACCAAAAACACCAAACACTGCAGAATGACACATCTTTCCCTGATCTGGCTGTTGCCCGCCTTCCCTATTCATGTTTGCCTGTTTCCTACTGGTGTTTTTCAAACTTTTTTTTTGTTCTGTTTACCATGACCCAGAGTATTCACTACACTTCACATCATAACTCTGGGCATACGTATACATGGAACCAAAGTAAAAATGTCACTATATTAACTCTGTAGTGTACTCTCAGGATTTTTGACTGATAGGGCAATTCATTTTAGCCATCCCCAAATTAACAAAATGGATTAATTAAATGCAGAGGTTGTAAGACATATATGGTATGGAATAGAGGTTATAATCTTAAGGCCTACGGCAAATTCATATTAATAGCATTTCATTTGTTCCTTCTTGAGGTGGAAAACGAAGCTCATTCCCAACGTGCAAAGCCAAGGCAGCGACCCCAGGACCTCTTCTGGAGATGGAAGCTTGTTGAAAACCCAGACTGTCTCCACGGCCTGCCCAGTCGACCCCAAAGGAACACTGACATCAATTTTACCCTGAGGTCACTGCTAGAGACGCTGATCCATAAAGACAATCACTGCCAACCCCTCTTTCGTCTACTGCAAGAGCCAAGTTCCAAAATAAAGCATAAAAAGGTTTTTTAAAAGGAAATGTAAAAGCACATGAGAATGCTAGCAGGCTGTGGGGCAGCTGAGCAGCTTTTCTCCCCTCATATCTGCGTGCACTTCCCAGAGCATCTTGCATCCAAACCTGTAACCTTTCGGCAAGGACGGTAACTTGGCTGCATTTGCCTGTCATGCGCAACTGGAGCCAGCAACCAGCACATCCATCAGCACCCCAGTGGAGGAGTTCATGGAAGAGTTCCCTCTTTGTTTCTGCTTCATTTTTCTTTCTTTTCTTTTCTCCTAAAGCTTTTATTTAACAGTGCAAAAGGATCGTTTTTTTTTGCTTTTTTAAACTTGAATTTTTTTAATTTACACTTTTTAGTTTTAATTTTCTTGTATATTTTGCTAGCTATGAGCTTTTAAATAAAATTGAAAGTTCTGGAAAAGTTTGAAATAATGACATAAAAAGAAGCCTTCTTTTTCTGAGACAGCTTGTCTGGTAAGTGGCTTCTCTGTGAATTGCCTGTAACACATAGTGGCTTCTCCGCCCTTGTAAGGTGTTCAGTAGAGCTAAATAAATGTAATAGCCAAACCCACTCTGTTGGTAGCAATTGGCAGCCCTATTTCAGTTTATTTTTTCTTCTGTTTTCTTCTTTTCTTTTTTTAAACAGTAAACCTTAACAGATGCGTTCAGCAGACTGGTTTGCAGTGAATTTTCATTTCTTTCCTTATCACCCCCTTGTTGTAAAAAGCCCAGCACTTGAATTGTTATTACTTTAAATGTTCTGTATTTGTATCTGTTTTTATTAGCCAATTAGTGGGATTTTATGCCAGTTGTTAAAATGAGCATTGATGTACCCATTTTTTAAAAAAGCAAGGCACAGCCTTTGCCCAAAACTGTCATCCTAACGTTTGTCATTCCAGTTTGAGTTAATGTGCTGAGCATTTTTTTAAAAGAAGCTTTGTAATAAAACATTTTTAAAAATTGTCATTTTATTAAGAGTGAAGTTCCTGATAATCTAAAATTGCTAATGAACTGAATCCACAGGCCAGGGCAGAGCTGGTTTGTAGAGAGGAACAGTTTGTGTGAGAGGGGTGCTGCTGGTGCAGCCTTCTCCAGGGACAGGCCAGAACCGGCTGTAAATGGGCACCTTGCCCTGTCTCCTAGACATGCAGTCCTCAAAAGTACTTGTATGGCTTGGGCCTCTCCCTCCTTTTCCAGGTGGTATGAAACAGGGTCAAAGGAAAAAAGAGGGTTGCCAGGATTCAGATGGGAGTGAGTCCTTTCCTGAACACAGATCCTCATGGGCTCCCACCATCTGGTTGTCGTGCTCATTGAAAGTCCACAGGTACCGCCTCTCTTCATAGCTCATTGGTATTCAAACTGGGCTTCCACATTGTGGGGTCCCAGTGGAGAAGGTATGTCTTAACACCCCCACCCATCTCCCCAGTCAACATTTTCTAAGTCCTGAGCTGTATTTCATAATTTTTACCTTACTAGTACATGTTATAAGTTGGTATCTGATTAGGAAAAAGTATATTTAAATTTAAAAGAATATGTCATGGTCTTCCACGATGGTTTTCTATCCCTTGAGCTACTTTGAGAACCACTATCACTGGTCCAACTTAAACCTCTCTGCTGAAATTCTAGCTCGATTTCCCCTTTCTAACCTTCGGTGCAGCTGGGGAACAGCTGGCTACCATACTTATAATAACCCTCCTCATACTGTACTTGAAGATTGCCATTAAATCACCCCTCAAATTTCTCTTCTTCAGGCTAAGTAATCCCAATTCCTTGAAACTTTCATCATCAGTCCTTTAATCATTTTCATTACTATCCTCTGGAACCTTTCCAATTCCTCTTCATTTAGTCCTAAACTTGAACCAGGGAAAAAAAAAAGTATTATGTTTAGGGGGCCTACTTGTTATAAAGGTTTCATATTCAGCCCTGGCCAGAACTTCATTTGAAAATTCTCTCTCTCTGAGTTCTCTTAACATGCATAAACCAAGTAGTTAAAAAACAGTCTAAAGCTGCCACCATGATCTTTTTGAGAGTTAACTAGAAAATCCAACAAAACGGTAAGGGAGGTGACAGTGGAGCATTATGCCAACACATTGATGGGCTCTTCTGGATATAGAGAGAAAGCAATTAATAATAAAAAAGTCTATTCATCAAGGCAACAGGCATAGCTGGATCTATACCTGAGACTTGAGGCTTGGCCAAAGCCTGCTCAACTCTTCTCTCCCTCGGTTCCTCCTCCTCTCAAAAATGCAGAGGCCAAGTCCCGAGTCTCAGGTGTGTATATCCTGCTATGGTCCAAATAATCTATTTGAACTTCACAAAAAATTGGTGAAGTTGAAAGAAACGGGTTGTTTGGACCCTCAGCCAGTTCCTTCCACAAACTTGGTCCCCTCCTAGTTTCCTGTATTTCTTCCACAATAATTTTTCCCAAATAACTTTGATGTCACTGCACAGAGCTCATTCTGGGCTCATTCTGCCCAAATCCTGCTTTCTGTAGGCAGCAGTTCTGGGGGAGAGTCAACAGTCCCCCTAGAGATAGGGATCAAAGCAGGTGTCTGCGGGGAGAGGGACACTCCTCTGGCCACTTCTTCTGTTTGTTTGATCTTGAAGGGATTTGGCCTCCTTCCCTGCAGCGAACTCAGAGCTGAACTGTGTGCCAAGAAGAGGCTAGGTCAGCCTTCTTTCTGGGAGCTGAGCCTTCTCTGAGGTCACAGCTGGCATGCGGGTCTGTATGAAGGGGTGTTTTCCTCCTGGTTCTAGTTTGGTTGCTAGGGCTGCTGGCAACTACCTGTTTAGCTGGAAGGTGACTTTGAACTGTTTCATGACTACAGTTGTCTTAAGTATTTTACACAATAATTTTTTCCTCTAGTTTGGTCTATGGCTGCAACAATATGGAAACTCTAATAAAGGGCTTATGAACAATAACAAGATGTCTGTGTGGCTGTGCTTTTAAAGAAGAAGAGTCATGAGCGAGTAATGTACCGTTCTGACAGAAAAGAGGCCCCTAACATCCGCACGATGTAGTAGTTGTTGAAAAATCGCATTTACCATTTCTGCCACAGAATGTGATCTTCCAGATGTGGAAGATGAGAACTTTAAGAGCTGCCCTGTGAAACCTAACCTCTAAAGATACACACACAAGAAAATGTGGACTGCTTTTTAATAGAAACTGTAAAATTTGATGGCAATTAAGTATCTTAATACTAATAGAAGGATGTGATTCTATACACCGTTTATACTGATTTATTGTGGGAAAAAATAAGATTGGTTTTCTTGGCAATAATTCAGTGGATATCATTCTGGAAGTGGCTCTTCTAAATTTCTTCAACTCTTTTCTGGGAAAACTTTTATTATCTTTACTCTGCAGCCAGGCGTGACTCAGGGAGCGTGTACCAAGGTGACTCAGATACACCTACCTCTACACAGGGTGTACTAACAGCAACTATTTAAAATAAACATTATTAGCACGAATCAAAGTAAACAAACTGTATACATGTTAATTAAAATTAATAATTTATAGTAAAACTTGAGACAAGTGAAAACTACTTGCCTTTATTGAAGAAGCAGTGCTAATATTGTTTATAGCATTGTTCATCAACAGTAAACTGGTGTTAAATAATAGATGCATTCATTCAATACATTTTTACTGAGCACTTTCCAATGGGCTATGCTCAAATAACTGGACACCAGAAAAATGTTTTGTATTGTCTGTCTACTGTAGGCATATAAGAAATGCCTACTGCCCGCATTTGTTACAATGTGCAAGGGTTCTTTTCCCTGGATGGTAATTTGGACTTAAAACAGGTTATATTAGGCAGGAGGTGGCCCAGTGAGGAAAGCCCAGGTTTAGAGTCCACAGAGCTGGACAAAATCTATTCATCCCACTGTTGGGAACGGCACACTAAACCCCTCTGGGCACACTTCCTCATGGGCTAAGGTATCACAGACCTCTGTCAGGGTATGTGAGAGGTAAAGGAGAGAGAAGCCTGACAGGAAGTGACTAGTAAATTTTTAATTTCCCCTTGAATTGTTTTATAATGTGTTAGAAAACATGTTTTGTCCAGTGCAAAAAATATCTTGTTTATATATTGCCTTGTAGCCATAGAACATGTGAGCTTATTTCTGCCTAGGGAAGCAGTGGGTAACAGGACTAAGCACTCTGTTTTGGAGTCAGGACCATGGAAGTACTTGTACAAAAGGTGCAGAGTTTGGATTTATTGGGTCATCTATACTGATGTGTTCATATAAATATTTTTCTTAATACATAATAGCTTGGGATGTTACCAGCTAAATTATTAAATTTTTGATCCCCCACTAAATAAGTGGGAGAAATTGGTAGAAAAATGTATTTGCCAGATGGAATGAGAACACTGCATACAAATAGATGTCACCACACATCATTTTAACGGTTTTCTCTGTAGTCACAGTGGAATTTGTAGACTTGTCATTTTCTCTTCTCCATCTATAACTTGTCTCAGAATCTGAAATCAGTGGAATCACTGAATTATATTCTACACCATAGTGATTTTTTTTTCCCCAACAGGAAGATGTATGAGGCAACCAAAGTAAAACAGATCCCCACAAGCTGGCCTGGTTGTCATTACAGGTCCTTTCAAAGTTAGTTCAGACTCCCACTGCTCAACTGGAGGATGGCAACAATGGCTTTAGAGTCTCGCCTGCCCTCCACGCTCAGCCCTGGTGACAGCCTTCAGCACTGCACAAAGCCAGGGCTGTGCAGTGCTCACTGCAGGGCTCACTAAAGCTCAGAGGTGCTTTGTGAGCAATCTCATCTGCTCGCCACATGCTGGCATCTTGTATAGGCTTTGCCTGCTTTGCTTCTCATGTTCCAATTAGCTGGGGATGATCTTTCCTCAGTGCCTGGCCCTACAGAGTGCAAACCCATTCAGGCAGCCCTTACGAAAACCACCTGGCTTTCAAGAGCTTTCGACTTGAATGAAAGACAATATCATGGCCACTGCAACTTCTTTTATACTCAGATCTGTTTAGATTGTCTCTGTTCTTTCCCAGGCCTCTGCTCCCTAGAACAGCATCTCTCAGACTGGATGATGAGATCTTTAGCTGGCAGGGATGAGGATGTCAAGGAAGTGCAGAGTCTCAAGGAGGCCATGGTTAATTGGGAAGGGGCAGGCACTGCAAACTACAAATCACGTGAATGAGATGAGACGTGCTGTCCTCTCCCAGCATTTGGGATTAACTATTTTAATAAAGGGATGCATTTAATAAAGGGTGTGTGTGAGTGTGCACACATGCACACACATGCACACATACACAAGACTTAAGAAGGGGAGGACAACAGAAAAAAAATCAAGATAAAAGTATTAATACCCTTACATTAGGCCTGTGATTTGTGATAACATTGTGCCAGCTAGTGGCAGAATCCACCATGAGACTCAGTGCTGAAAGGGTAGCTGGTTCTAAGCAATCTGTGTGCGCTGTTCACTCTGACTGCTCTGTGTGTGTGTGTGTGTGTGTGCACGTGCACGCACAAGTTAAAGTCTCTGCCTATCAATAGAAAAAGAGGGAATCCTCCCTAACTCATTTTATGAGGCCAGCATCATCCTGATACCAAAGCCGGGCAGAGACACAACCAAAAAAGAGAATTTTAGACCAATATACTTGATGAACATTGATGCGAAAATCCTCAATAAAATACTGGCAAACCGAATCCAGCAGCACATCAAAAAGCTTATCCACCACGATCAAGTGGGCTTCATCCCTGGGATGCAAGGCTGGTTCAATATACGCAAATCAATAAATGTAATCCAGCATATAAACAAAACCAAAGACAAAAACCACATGATTATCTCAATAGATGCAGAAAAGGCCTTTGACAAAATTCAACAACCCTTCATGCTAAAAACTCTCAATAAATTAGGTATTGATGGGACGTATCTCAAAATAATAAGAGCTATCCATGACAAACCCACAGCCAAAATCATACTGAATGGGCAAAAACTGGAAGCATTCCCTTTGAAAACTGGCACAAGACAGGGATGCCCTCTCTCACCACTCCTATTCAACATAGTGTTGGAAGTTCTGACCAGGGCAATTAGGCAGGAGAAGGAAATAAAGGGTATTCAATTAGGAAAAGAGGAAGTCAAATTGTCCCTGTTTGCAGACGACATGATTGTATATCTAGAAAACCCCATTGTCTCAGCCCCAAATCTCCTTAAGCTATAAGCAACTTCAGCAAAGTCTCAGGATACAAAATCAATGTACAAAAATCATGAGCATTCTTATACACCAATAACAGACAGAGAGCCAAATCGTGAGTGATTCACATGCTTCAAAGAGAATAAAATACCTAGGAATCCACCTTACAAGGGACGTGAAGGACCTCTTCAAGGAGAACTACAAACCACTGCTCAATGAAATAAAAGAGGATACAAACAAATGGAAGAACATTCCATGCTCATGGGTAGGAAGAATCAATATCATGAAAATGGCCATACTGCCCAAGGTAGTTTATAGATTCAATGCCATCCCCATCAAGCTACCAATGACTTTCTTCACAGAATTGGAAAAAACTACTTTAAAGTTCATATGGAACCAAAAAACAGCCCACATCGCCAAGTCAATCCTAAGACAAAAGAACAAAGCTGGAGGCATCATGCTACCTGACTTCAAACTATACTACAAGGCTACAGTAACCAAAACAGCATGGTACTGGTACCAAAACAGAAATATAGATCAATGGAACAGAACAGAGCCCTCAGAAATAATGCCACATATCTACAACTATCTGATCTTTGACAAACCTGAGAAAAACAAGCAATGGGGAAAGGATTCCCTATTTAATAAATGGTGCTGGGAAAACTGGCTAGCCATATGTAGAAAGCTGAAACTGGATCCCTTCCTTACACCTTATACAAAAATCAATTCAAGATGGATTAAAGACTTAAACGTTAGACCTAAAACCATAAAAACCCTAGAAGAAAACCTAGGCATTACCATTCAACACATAGGCACGGGCAAGGACTTCATGTCTAAAACACCAAAAGCAATGGCAACAAAAGCCAAAACTGACAAATGGGATCTAATTAAACTAAAGAGCTTCTGCACAGCAAAAGAAACTACCATCAGAGTGAACAGGCAACCTACAAAATGGGAGAAAATTTTTGCAACCTACTCATCTGACAAAGGGCTAATATCCAGAATCTACAATGAACTCCAACAAATTTACAAGAAAAAAACAAACAACCCCATCAAAAAGTGGGTGAAGGATATGAACAGACACTTCTCAAAAGAAGACATTTATGCAGCCAAAAAACACATGAAAAAATGCTCACCATCACTGGCCATCAGAGAAATGCAAATCAAAACCACAATGAGATATTATCTCACACCAGTTAGAATGGCAATCATTAAAAAGTCAGGAAACAACAGGTGCTGGAGAGGATGTGGAGCAATAGGAACACTTTTACACTGTTGGTGGGACTGTAATCTAGTTCAACCATTGTGGAAGTCAGTGTGGCGATTCCTCAGGGATCTAGAACTAGAAATACCATTGGACCCAGCCATCCCATTACTGGGTATATACCCAAAGGACTATAAATCATGCTGCTATAAAGACACATGCACACGTATGTTGATTGCGGCACTATTCACAATAGCAAAGACTTGGAACCAACCCAAATGTCCAACAATGATAGACTGGATTAAGAAAATGTGGCACATATAGACCAAGGAATACTATGCAGCCATAAAAAATGATGAGTTCATGTCCTTTGTAGGGACATGGATGAAATTGGAAATCATCATTCTCAGTAAACTATCACAAGAACAAAAAACCAAGCACCGCATATTCTCACTCATAGGTGGGAATTGAACAATGAGAACACAGGGACACAAGAAGGGGAACATCACACTCTGGGGACTGTTGTGGGGTGGGGGGAGGGGGGAGGGATAGCACTGGGAGATATACCTAATGCTAGATGACGAGTTAGTGGGTGCAGCGCACCAGGATGTCACATGTATACATATGTAACTAACCAGCACATTGTGCACATATACCCTAAAACTTAAAGTATAATAATAACAAAAATAAATAAATAAATAAAAATAAAGTCTCTGCCTAGATATGGAGATTTTCGGGTTGGACAGAGCTTTTCCATTTCACCCTCCTTGGTCCTACTACAAATTGGTGTGGTGGAAGGATAGATTTCTCTCCACTCCCACCCTTCCCTGCAACTTGAATATTGACGCTAAAGGGCTCCAGAAAACTACCTTCCCAGCAGCATATACCAAAACCTCCACATAGAATGAGGCAGTTGGAAACCACTCAAACTGCCTCAAGTAGGAAATTCAGTTTCAAAAATGCCATCCTCACTCCCTACTAGTTTTGGAGGCATCCCAATTTCCTGTCTTCTACACCTGCAATCTGAGTGGTGAAGTGGCTGTTCAAGAGCAGGTAGCAAGGGTAGAGTTCTTATTCCAGGAGGTTTTCTCTTCTAATACCTGCTTGCCTGAGAACAGACTACATTTTCTCATAGAATATTCCAGTAACTGCATCTGTAGAAGTGAAACTGAGGTGTCTCCATGAAGTTTATTGACATCATGAAGGGCTCCATTGCCACTCTGTCATCCAAAGGGATTCTACCTCGACAGACTAATTTATT
Organism: Homo sapiens; assembly: GCF_000001405.40. NCBI lineage: Eukaryota > Metazoa > Chordata > Mammalia > Primates > Hominidae > Homo > Homo sapiens. The sequence goes on along the minus strand of NC_000004.12, from coordinate 108,039,877 downwards.
TTAGGAGATGGGGTCTCGCTATGTTGCCCAGGCTGGACTCAATCTCCTGGGCTCACACAATCCTCCACCTCAGCCTCCCAAGAAGCTGGTATTACAGGTGTGCACCACCCCACCCAGCTTGACAAACTGATGTTCAAGTTAGCTATGGTATCCTCTCCCCTCCTTGATGATGAATCAAGAGCAGCTTGAATTTGTTTAAACCCTAGGGGCCATCCTATTGCTCCCTTGGCTAAATAATTAATAGACCTAGTAGGGCCTCCCACAATTTTGTTCTGAATAAATCTTTAGGAGTAACCTAATGTCATTTAAAACTACTGGCCACTACAATCCTAGCACTTTGGGAGGCCAAGGCAGGTGGATCACTTGAGGTCAGGAGTTTGAGACCAGCCTGGCCAACATGATGAAACCCCGTCTCTACTAAAAATGAAAAAATTAGCTAGGTGTGCTAGTGAGTGCCTATAATCCCAGCTACTAGGGAGGCTGAGGCAGGAGAATCGCTTGAACCTGGGAGGCAGAGGTTGCAGTGAGCCGAGATCGTGCCACTGTACTCCAGCCTGGGTTACAGAGCAAGACTCTGTCTCAACAAAATAAATAAATAAATAAATAAATAAATAAATAAATAAAAATAAAATTACATTATGATAGAATGAAGCATCATTATGCTCCTGTTCATATGCCACCACTTCTCTAATTACCATGTGTTAGGAGAATCTTGGGAACGTCTCTTCTACACACCTGCTGTTTGTCTGGGGTCTTAAATCATCCAGTCTACTGCTCACACATAACATGTAGCCTACCTGAGTGACAGCAACCCCTTTCTGACTAGCCCCGACCAGCACCTCTCTGAAAGTGTGGGAAGACCTTCCAGAGGAGCTGTGGGGTGGAGTGCAGAGCCCCAGCACTGGTCTTTTTGCCAGGTAGCCCAACTGCTTAATTTCTGAGACTCACTTTTCCAAGACTCAGGCCTGCTCTGAATCTTAAGCCTACTCCCTGCTGCTGTCACATGTTCAGGGCTGTCATCTGTAACCCGATGAACATAGGTTACTGGGGCTTCCTTCACAATTGGCCTATAGATGCTAGGCAGTGTGCTCAACACCTGAAACCTACTTCGCTTGGTCCCCAGCAACCCTATGGCATAGGTTCCATCCTTATGCCCATTCTACCAGATATACCCAGAAAACAAATAACTTCTCTAGGTTACACAGGTAAAGGCAGTGGAACTGAGAACTAGAACCCAAGTTGGTTTAATTGCAAAGCCCATGCTGTCAAGTAGTTGTGCTGGTTAATCCTGTAGCAGCAACTACAGTTGGTGATTTTCACTAAAACATTGAATAACATCAGTATCAATGACAGGGTTCTCTGTCTTTCAGGAGTTAAAGTCTGTTATGCCATGTCAAATGGTAGCAAGAAAAAAAATGCTAAAATAGACATTAAAACTGTGATGATGAAACAGTGAGACCAATTTAAAAAATAGAATTTACACAGCCAAATGGATTCTTTCAAAGTATAGTACTGAAAGCACAGCCATGATTTCATTGTTCAAAGCATTTTTTCGATTACTATTTATGTAGCATCAATGCCTGTTTATAAGAAAATTAGTCTCATAAAATTATAGCCACACCTTATACTTTTGGTAGACTTAATGAGTTACTTAGGTTGAAATGTTAAAGGGATTAAAATCAAGGTGGGGACAAGACAAAAGCTTGTTTCAAATATGTGAACGGTATAACTCACAAAGAAAGCATAATTAGTGTATGTTGTTGTATAAGCTGTGACTAACATAGTGGCTGTAACCTCTCCAATGATGACTAGTTGAATCTCAAATGGGTTTCTGAAAGCTGATGTGTTAGTCAAAACACTTACTATTAACGGAACCCAGTGGAGAGTCATTTTCTTTTTTTTTTTTTTTTTTTCTTATTTTTGAGACAGAGTCTTGCTCTGTTGTCCAGGCTGGAGTGCCATGGTGCCATCTCAGCTCACTGCAACCTCTGCCTCCTGGGTTCAAGCGATTCTCCTGCCTCAGCCTTCTGAGTAGCTGGGATTACAGGTGCCCGCCACAACGCCTGGCTAATTTTTTGTATTTTCAGTAGAGACAGGGTTTCACTATGTTGACCAGGCTGGTCTCAAACTCCTGACCTCATGATCTGCCCCCCTCGGCCTCCCAAAGTGCTGGGATTACAGGCATGAGCCACTGCACCCAGCTGAGAGTATTTTCTAACACCGGATTTGTTCATAGTAGTTTCCGAGTTCCAAGACATGGTTCCACCTACCCCCACGCTGTGTCATTGAAGTTCCCAAAGTGGAAATACGCTTTACAATTGATGTCAGAAAAAGTTAACCATTTTCCCCAGAAAAACTACTATTAACAGTGAATCTTAAGAACATGAAAGGGCCATGATTTTCATTTTACAAAGATATCTTGAGTTAAAACGATCCTTCAGAGAACTCCATTTTACTAAACAGAATTGAAGTCTAGGTGATGGCTATCAGAGGCTCACCATCTTTTTCAGCAAGTCATCTCATAAGTTGCCTGGTTTTCTTCTTAATCTCAAACTTTCACTTGTATTATAGGTAAATAAAAATATCACTGGCCGGGTGCAGTAGCCCACGCCTGTAATCCCAGCACTTCAGGAGGCTGAGGTGGGTGGGTCACGAGGTCAGGAGTTTGAGACCAGCCTGACCAACGTGGTGAAACCCCGTCTCTACTAAAAATATAAAAATTAGCTGGGCGTGGTGATGTATGCCTGTAATCTCAGCTACTCGGGAGGCTGAGGCAGGAGAATCGCTTGAACTCAGGAGGCGGAGGTTGCAGTGAGCTGAGATTGCGCCACTGCACTTCAGCCTAGGCGACAGAGCGAGACTCCGTCTCAAAAAACAAATAAATAAATAAAAATATCACTAAGGGGAAGCATAGGAGAGAGGAAAAAAAGTGGCCAAGTACGGTGGCTCACGCCTGTAATCCCAGCACTTTGGGAGGCTGAGGCAGGCAAATCATGAGGTCAGGAGTTCAAGACCAAACTGGCCAGCAATGGTGAAACCCCGTCTCTATTAAAACTATAAAAAATTAGCCAGGCATGATGGCACACGCCTGTAGTCCCACCTATTCGGGAGGCTGAGGCAGGAGAATTGCTTGAACCTGGCAGGTGGAGGTTGCAGTGAGCCAAGATTGTAACACTGCACTCCAGACTGGGCGACAGAGCAAGACTCCATCTCAAAAAAAAAAAAAAGTATCCTCTTGACCTAAAACTTGGTCTTTACTTTCAAGTGTCATAAAAGATTCATGACGGTTAGGAGGCAAGTTTGGGGAGGTGAGGAGAACCAAGAGCAGTGACACCAGGCCCAGCAGCACTGCCAGGACCCACCCTCCCTCTTGAACAAGTGCTGCCAAAACACAGTGGAGGATGATGCAAGGCACCTGGGGCTCTCACTGAGGCTCAGTTCTTAACCACAGACTGAAGCAAACAGCAGCAGCGGGCCTATATTTGGAAGCAGAGAACCTGACTGACATGACCTTCCCTCCCCCCGCCCCAAGAGCTCTCCGTGGCAAGCAGCTACGTTCACCTGAGAACGCAGAGACATGGAGTTGGGAAAGAAAAAGCTACTCCCTCACCTCCCATGTCTAAAGGAAGGATGTTCAAAATTCCTTCCTGGTCCCAAACACGGTGCATGGAAAATATTTTTTGAAAACGATAAAAGGATATTGAGAGGCTAGGCCTTTTGACTATTTGGTAGGCTTAAAGTGTATTTTAAAATGCCAGCCAGAAAGACTGCTGCAGCCCCTACCTTCTCATCCCGGCAGTCTGATAGTTGCATTGCTGAGTTACATCTTTCCTGGAATTCAGTGGTCAAGAAAGAACCCTGCCATTTCCAGGACAAGGGCCTGCATCCTATGGGGACTCTGGTGAGACAGTAAGGAAGTGAAGCCCCCACTTAGGCCCAGGGCTCATGCCAAAGGTCAAGAGCCAGCCTGAGAGAGCAGGGAGCTGTCAGACCACAAGGGTAACCTTTAGCGATGGAAATGCGGGTGGCCTCACAGGTGCTTCCTTTGGTTCGTTAGGCAGCATTTTATAAGAATAACCTAAAAGTGTCCTACCCAGGTTCTATGTGCGGTACAAATGCACCGATGTATTTATTTTCCCACTATGTTATAGATTCAAAATTTTTAAAATTAATAAGCTCCCTTTTATCAGTCATAAAATGAAGAAAAAAAATCTCTTGACTATTAGACCTATGACCCAGAACACCAAACAAGGATGCCCATTTTAGGGAGAGTCCTGTCTGAAATTTTGGATCGGAGATTTTCAAATGGGCTATTTTGTACTTAATTTTATCAAAACCTAGTTCTAGTCTAGGCTATGTGACAAAATATCTAGTGACTTTGGGCACATCCCTTAAGCTTTCTGCTAATGAGGCTATTGGACCTCAGGATTTCTGATGTCTTTCCAACTCCAAAATTCTATCTTGGAAGACACTTTCTTAAGCCAATGATTAAAAGAAGCTTACGTTACACTACTTCACTTTGTTGGCAAAGAAGAAACAGATGTTCCTTAAAAATTGTTCTCTGTGCCCTTATTACTGCTTTCCTGGTAAGAAATCTGGCAGCGACGGCCCCAGGCAGGTTTTACACAAATGCCTTGTCCTGCCATTCCCTCCCCGTCACTCCCACTTTAAAAATTAACAGCAGGTCAAAGAAGAGGAGAAATAGCTTCTGCCTAAATTACCAACTTTTACTTTTATAATCATTTGAGTGTATTACAATTTTATATTATACATTTTTTTCAATTCAAATTTTCAGACTGAAACATTGTTATTTTAGTAGAGTCAATTTATAGGCAATTTGCAACAGTGATTTCTCATGGAAAAAAGACACAGACAGACAGTAATCATTCAGATCTGTGGAACTGAATGACCATGAAAACCGACCTCCTGCAAACCATGCAAACAGAGATATGCTGACCCATTCAGCAGCAGCATCTTCACGACGAGCTGAATAAAGACACATCTTATGTCATGCCCAAAATGTAGGGCAAGACTCAAAGCTGCAGGTAGTAAAATGTTCTTATAAAGGCAAGATCCAGGTGCTGCTCGCTGCAGTGCTTCACAGACTATACCACTTGCTTGCCAGTGGCTTGTGACTCTCCCACGCAGCAACAGTGAGCATGGTGCACTCGCACTCTCAGAGGAAGTACTTTCCCGTTGATGAGAGAAGGAATCTAGGCAATTCTTCACAAAAATGACAAGGTTCAAAAAACATGTTTGCTCCAAGGCACCAAGGGTGTAAAGCTGTTTAGAAAATACACAGAAATGAACAGACTAAAAAAGGGAATTATTTCTTAATGGAGAATCTATTACTGCTGTAACTGGTGTAATAATCACTTCGATAGATTACAATCAAAATGCACATTTATTAAACTGTACTGTGTGAGGGAATGTCTGACCAAAGAGCATTCCCACAGGCACTCGGGGCACTGGCTGGAAAGCGCTCTCAGGTGTTCTTCTCAGAGCCGGAGAAGCTGCACATCACTTGTATTTGTAAAATCCTTCTCCAGTCTTCTTGCCGAACTTGTTCTCTGCTACCAGCTTATTTAAGGATGGGCTGGGCTGATGTAATGGGTTCTCTGCATCCATTTCATGCCACCCTATTGAGCGGAGGGAAGAGAACTCAGGATGAAGTGCTGGGTTTATTTTTACATCTTGGCATTTCCAAGGACAAGTCTGGAGGCCTGCCTCTGATGTGGGAGAGCCCCCCAGGCATGGCGCCCCTCCGGCCACCACTGCAGAGGCACCAAGGAAGGCTGTGCTGGTGCAGCCACATCAGCCCCAAAGCTGCTGCACTGCCACCCACCTGTGCTGCCTGAAGCCTGGCCCTACTATGGTCCTCCTGCTTATCCAGTGTCTTCTCAGAAATCACTACGGCCAAAGGCCCAAGTACACTGACAGAAGCCATTAATTTGCTGGTTGGATTCATCACTGGCACAGTTAACTTTCAGAATACACGTTAAAAAATCTGCATTCCTGCCATTGGTATTTTGCATCCACATAAGATTCAAAATTTAATTCTTCAACTAGCATTCTGTGAAACTTGGGAACAGATAGCTACATTCAACTTCAGTAGTCCAGTTTTAATTATTATTTTTACCCTGTCTTCAGAGCTTTTACATTACAATGGATATATTTTTTAAAATGGATGTGTATCTTGCTTGCAATGGAGGTTACACAAATCTATTGATGTGATAACACAGTGTACCAGTGTCAATTTCCTGGGATTTAATATTGTACTATGGCTATATAACCACTGGTGGAAACTGGGTGAAGGGCACACACACAAGACCTGTCTGTGCTATATTTGTAACTTCCTGTGAATCCATAAAGGTTTTTTTTTCTTCAAGGTCACCCTGTTAAAGAGACACTAGACAGTCACATTCTTCCTTCTCCTGACATCTGTTCATGAATTCTCAACCTGGTGAGGCAGGATTTTGGAAGGTCTTTATTAAGACCCCTGCTAACTTTTTTTAAAAAGGCATTATAATTTACAGTTCAGAAAAACTACCTCAATTAAAGACAACAAAAAATTCCAATTCCTACCATCCACGATGAACTTCGTAGTATCCAGTCCGACATAATCTAGAAGCTCAAATGGGCCCATGGGGTAACCGGCTCCTAATTTCATAGCAGTGTCAATGTCTTCTTTGGATGCGTCACCTAAGGAGAAAACGGCAGCACTGGGTCACCACCACCTTTCCTTGAATTCTCCCTATCACAGGATTAGCCCCAGAATTACTAGAATTTTATATGCTTGCACAATAAAAAAAATGCCTAGACTGAGACTTTCTGGCTTGGGTAAGATTTCCTCTCTAAAGTACATGCCAAAGAGGTCATAAGACTTTGTTTTTTTTGAGACAGAGTCTTGCTCTGTCACCCAAGCTGAAGTGCAATGGCACAATCTTGGCTCGCTGCAACCTCCGCCTCCTGGGTTCAAGTGATTCTCCTGCCTCAGCCTCCCTAGTGGCTGAGACTACAGGTGTGCGCCCCCACACAAGGCTAATATTTATATTTTTAGTAGAGATAGGGTTTCACCATTTGGCCAGTCTGGGCTCAAACTCCCAACCTCAAGTGATCCTCCCGTCTCAGCTTCCCAAAGTGCTAAGATTACAGGTGTAAGCCACAGTGTGTGGCCCAAGATTTTCAAAGCTACGCACCACTGAGGTGAATTTTGGAGTACTGATACCCTGTTCATGGAGACAGAAGTCTCCATGCCTGAAACTTCAGCTACTTTCAAATACATTGGGATTTTCCAACTCTGGAATCATTTATTAAAGTATAATTTAATGCTACAGCATATTTTTGATTTATAAATAAACTTTCTTAAAAAGAAAACTAAGCTTTCTGCTTTTGTATGTATAGTTATTGTATGTATTCTTTCCCCCAGTTTTTTGGGTTTTACAAGTAAGGAGTATTCCCCTGGCATCACATTTCACACAAACCTTTTAGTCAAGATACCTTTTAAAGAAAAGCCCAAACCCGAGTTAGAATCACCACACGTTTGGAAGTCTGTTGAGTAGACTACGACAAGGATCAATGTGCTTTTCCCTTGGAAATTTACTATGTCCTTTGGCCCCAAGAGGCCTTTATGGAGAACAATCTGTTCCCTTTCTTTGAAATCAGAAAAGTAGAATAGTCTGCAACAGGTGGCTATCTAGAATTTTGTTCCAAAGCATTAAGAAGTCAATCAGATCAAAGCTAAAGAAAAGAGGGAAAAATGTTAAGACACTCAGAGAGAAACTACTTAAACATCGATAAAGAAGATATATTTTTAAAAGCAAATAAATTACTAAAGTAATTCCAAAGGATTTCAAGGCATTTTAAGGTGACTAAAATACACCACAATTATTTATTATGGTTGACATTACTAATAACTACACTAATTAGGATTAGAGACGCCTGAGAAATCATGATTTGAGTGTTAGGCCATAAGAAAGCAAAGAAACAAAAATAATCATATAGGCAGCGTCATTCATTCATTCATTCATTCAACTTCTATTCATTATGTAGCAGGCACCAGAGATGTAGAATGAGACAAAGATAAACCAGACAAGCACTCAAGGTACTCATGACATAATGGGAGAACTCAGATGTGTAAGCCAAAAACTTCAACATAATAAGACCTGAAGATTCATGACTCACACAGCTCTGTGTGAGTAAAGATGGAGAGATTTACTCACACTGCCAGGGCTTCACCAAAACCACCCCCATGCCTGGGTCCTGGAAGGTGAAGATAATCCTGAGATGAGCAGACCAGGAAGGGCATTCTAGGTAGAGAGAACAGCACATGCAGAGGCAGGAATGGGAAGGAACACAGCATATTTGGGGTGTGGCTATGAAGCTTAAAAGTGGGTTCTACTCAGAGGATTTCATTAGGAAGCCCCGCAGCTTCTGTGCTGGTAGAGCCCTGGAATGCTGGAAGTGCCGGCCTCACAGGCTCCTCAGGCTTGGGATATGCTCCCTGTGCCTAGGTGCTGCCCTCAGACAGCTTCGGAGCTCAGTCTCTCACTTCCTCCAGGCCTCTGCTCAGGTGTCATACTTCTGACAGCCTCTTCTCCTCCCTGCATATATAAAAAAAGCAACTCCCTGCACTAAAGAAAAGGCCAGGACACTAGGACAAGACTCTTGCCACCCCTTACTATCTTCTTCTCCACAATTACTCATCACAACCTAACATGCTTATGTACTGGTTCATTTGTTACTGGCAGTCTCCCTGGGACAGAAATCTGACAGCATAATGGTTGCAACTCAGCTAAAGCCATTTAATGAAATCTATATTCAAGGACAGGACAATTAACCCTAGAAGCAACGCTGTAATTCCATATTCAGAGACTCACTTGAGGACTGTTTTATTTCAAGAAATAATATGAAGATACAGCACATGATAGAAAAATATCTAAATAACTCTACAAAGTCAGCCCAACTCTAAAGATCGTGTTCTCAATAATGCAGAGCAAAAGAGGCAAACTTTCAGAAACAGAGAAACAAAATACAGAGATTGGTGTGCCAAGTGACAGTTAGATGTGGAATCATGTTTTAAACTAATAATTCTTAAACTTCTTTAGAATCAAGTACTTCTGACAATCAGACACCCTTTCCATAAAAAATGCACATATAACCCAAATTCTGCGTCAACTTTAGGAGGTTCATTGGACACCCTCTCCTACCTCCCTCCAGTTAAGAGCCCCTAACTCCAGACAAGACAGCAAAGGAAAGCTTCCTCAGTGAACTCCAGATCAGCACAGCTGAGGGGCTGGGACTTGCCCAACATCTGCTTCTTTGTCTGGCTCAGCAGCACCACCTGCCAACCATTCTTAGCATGAACAACAGAGGCACTTAGCAACAACTCAGAAACAGCATTTTTACTCATCAGCAGCTGCCTATGTGCCCGCCCTACACAGCACCTTGGGACATATGAAGATGAGGAGGAGCCAGAGTGCCCCAGAAAAGAGAGTATAGTAAGGGAAAGAAAACACCTGCCATGCCACAGGGAAGACAGTGACAAGTGACCCAAGGGAGAGCCAAAGCAAGAAGAGTTGTGATGACAGAGATGATGTCCAGCTGGGAGCTCTGCAGACACTCAGGTGGGGCAACGTGGGAATGGCAGGAGTAGTTGGCGGTGATAACAGCAGGGGCAGAGGTTGGCCAGAAGGAAGGCTCTCTGGCAGAGCTTGTAGATGGCAGGAAACCAGAGAACCACTGAGCCTGTCTTGAGCAGGGGCGACAATGTGAGCAAGATGTCACATGGTGACTGGGGGGCAGGCTCATGGTGCTCCCAGGCCTGTTGCCAGCAGAGCCCTCCTGAGAAGAGCTGACCATTTGGCCCCACCATCCTGCCCACACTGGCCATTAGGAGTGGGTGCCTGGCAAGGGCAGCAGTCCACTGTCAGACACAGCCTATCCAGCCTCTGTCCCTCTGACTCACAGGAGTGACAGTGACTGGGGCATGCATCAGGCCTCAGTCACAGTGTGAACGAACAAGAGCAATAGGAAGAGTGAGGACGGAGCTGGGATACTGGGAAAGAAGGCCCAACATGGAAGCCAAAATGAGTGGACAAACAGCAGAGCAAAAGGGCGTGAGCCTCCACGAGATCCCATGGGGACTGGCAAGAAGTGTTAGTGGCAGAGGCCCGGTCATCCAGGAGGCCTGACCTACAACAGCACACACATCCTTCCAGAGAGCCTGCACCACTCAAGGCAGCATTGGCCAAACCATGTGCCTGGAACCCCAGGTGTATCAACAGTGGGGTACAGAAAATTTCTCCTTGCATGAGTTCAGAAACAGTCACAGAGCTCCTGCCGAGGCTGTGCAGGGGGTGTGTGGGCAGATGCAGTAGGCGGTGTCTCAACTTCCTGGACAATATGATACTTTCTCAGTAAGTGCAGTAGCGGGGACCAGTCAGGAAAAGACATGAGTAGCGTGAATTACTCTGCTACCTAAGGAACCTCATGAAGGCAGCCTGACTGGGATGGGGAAAAGGTGGGATGAAGAGGTGGAACAGGCATGACAGGAAGGAATCAAAAGTGATGAACAGATGTGGCAGACGAGAAGGAGCCTCCAGATGCTTGAAGCTTCAAGGTGGAACTGTATGAACGGAGATGGCACGGTGGGCATGCTCTGAGCACTCCTCTGTGTTGGCTGAGAGGAGGGAGCAGGTGGTGGGCGGGGGGACATGGTAAGAGGCCTAGGGTGTGACTGTAGTGTGCAGTAGGGAAGCAGCACCCACCCCAGGCAGGACACCCAGCAACTTCAGAAGCAGATTCTGAGAAGGTGGTGGAAAAAGAAGCAGAGGGACCAGCAATGATAGGCTGTTGAAGCCCATGCCCAGAGCAAGCTAAGAGCATGTCCTGAGGCCAGGTCCTGCTCTTCCAGCTTCAGCCCACAGGCGGCCAGGGATGGTGAGGGCTAAAGGGCATGCACCTATGCAGAAAGGGACCACAGACAAGAAGAGGGCTTTCAACTTACCATCTGATACTTGGTGCATTGGAGAATGCATCAAATGGACAGTGAGGAAAACACCATTAAAAGGTGGATCTCTCACATGCTACATTCTAAAACATTACATTTTGTTAAAAAAAAAAAAAAGACATACAACTGCCTTTCAAGGTAGGGTAAAATGCTCTGTGCTTTCTTTGAGGTGTAATTAGGCATATTTGTTGATAGATAAACCAGAACTGTTGGTTTGATCTTGGAGCAAAAGTGAGGCAATTGCTTCCATAAACCATAGAGAAAAGTTTTAATATTTAAAGCAGATTTTGAGGAAGCAAATGTGCTTTCATCTCTCTGGAAGAGCTGGTGTAAATGTTTTGTTTAAAAAATGACACTCTCAGGAGTGAGCATTTATGAATGAAGTAATTGAAAACAATTACACTTGCTTTTTATCCAGTCCTATTAAGGCTTGTTTGCCTTTGAAGCAGACATGAGAGCTACCTTTCCAGAAACCAGGGAGGGAAAGCAGGCAGGAGAATGCAGATCAATTTAGAGGCCTGGACCCTGTCCCAAATCTGATATTTCTACAGCAGAGAAAAGCATTCTTTGTCAATCAAGTACTGAGGAAAACTGTTTACACCATTCTTAAGGTTACAAAAAGTACATCATGACATCACTCAGTAAGGACAGACTACTAAAAACTGTCCTTACCACATATCGGCCTTGTCACATATTTCTAATCACCTGTCAGTCACAAGTTTTAGAACCTTAAGGAACTTTCAAGATCTCCTAGCCTAGTGATTTTTACATTATGATTATTTTTAAAAGCAGTAAACCTTTTAATCAAAAGCAGAGATCCAGGATATCAATCTGGGCCGGCCATGCAATTGCTCTGGCTGGGACTGTAGTGGGGGTGGTGGGAGTTCCAGAAACCTTTCTCAGAGGCCCACAGGGAAGCCAGGAGGCCCTGGGAAAACAGTGAAAAAGGTACCAGGGCTCAGGGTGCAGCTGAGCTCACAAAGCTAGAAAACAGACACTGCTTCCTCCATTGTGCACGGCCCGACCCCTCCTAGAGACACTGAGAATTCCAGACAGTGGCGCCAGGAGCTGAGGTCTGCTGCTCCTGGCCTGGGTCAGAAGGATACCTCGTTCATACAGCCTGATTGCTTCCATGAGGTATGGAACCAGGAGGCGGTTCACAATAAACCCAGGAGTGTCCTGTTTTGGGAGACAGAAAAACAAAAAACTAGTAAATTTTCATTAAATGGTATCTTTTGTGAAGTCACCAAATTGCCCCTTCTTACCCTGGATCATGTTTGCCCCCATTTATCAAGCTGTACATTTTCAAAATTTGCAGCATGGCCTTATTTCTATCTCATATGACAATTTATCCAACAATCATAGTACTTAAAAAAACATTCAAACCCAGATGCCCCACTGCACAGATCCTGACATAAAGACAGATCAAGGCACAGGTGTGACCTGGAAGAGCATGGCTTTGGGAGAGACAGATTTGGGTTCAATCTTGAATACTCTCTTGGTCCTTCTGTCACTCTGAATCTGTTTCATCATCTGTGAACTGGGGGTGACAGTTTGTCTCAAAGTTGTGAAGATAAATCAGAAAACACATAAAATGCTGTACACACAGCCCTACACCCATCCCTTTATTCCTCCTCTTTCCTCCCAATTCCCTTTCAAGAATCGACAAAACGTCACACTCCACCTTGAATGGTCCTCAAAGGAGGACTGCTTTCCAGGCTCCTTGGAGCCACTCCTCGGCTACTCAGCAACTTCTCAGGTTCCAGCGCACACTGCAGTGGAGCTGACTTGAGGGCACGTGCTCCGACAAAGGAGCAGAGCCTCTGACAGAGAGCTGGCCTTTCACGGCACACCCCCTAAGACCTCTGCATCCTGCGGTGACCCCTGTGCCACATATGCCTTTCATCCATTTCCCTTCTCAGTAACTAACAATAATCATCTCTCTGGAGGACAGGTGTGGGATTTGGATTTTATCTACTGATCTCTTCCGGGGACTTGTAGAGAAAAGCAGGTGATTTTTTTGTTGAAGCTGATTTCCACTAGGCAAATGGTGCCTCCTCTTTTGTCAAAAGGCTGTGATCTTCCTGAGGGCAGAAATCCTCACCCTGGCCTGAACTCTGCATTCTGTTTCTAGCACACACCAGGTACTTCCTTAATGTCTGAATTACAGATGACCAGGCACTCCTCACAGAGCTAACCTGACTGCATGCGGGGAAACTGGACAGTAACACAAAGGATGTGAACCTCCTTTAACCCTAGGCAAACTGAAACCAAGCCCTAACCCCATCTATTGCCACATGAGCACAAAGATGCACAAACAAGTTTTATCAGCTTAATTAAGATTATGGAACAATACAGATTTTATAATTGAGGCAAAAATACTCTTTTCAACTTCAAAAGGTTCACTATAGACTCAAGATAGGGTACCTGAGAACATGAAGCTCCAACAGTTAATATCTTCTACAGAAAAAGCTCATAGAGCTCAATAAGGAAAAAGTGCCAAGACTCATTAAATATTTAAACTCACTGGCCAGTCGCAGTGGCTCACACCTGTAATCCCAGCACTTTGGGAGGCCAAGGCGGGAGGATCATGAGGTCAGGAGTTCAAGACCAGCCTGGCCAACACAGTGAAACCCTGTCTCTACTAAAAATACAAAATTAGCCGGGTGTGGTGGCACGCGCCTGTGGTCCCAGCTACTCAGAAGGCTGAGGCAGGAGAATCGCTTGAACCCGGGAGATGGAGGTTGCAGTGAGCTGAGATTGCGCCACTGCAATCCAACCTGGGAGACACTGCAAGACTCCATCTCGAAAAATAAAAAAATAAATAAATAAACTCACTAGTAATCAAAAAAATACGCATTTTTGCCAACAAGATTATCAAAGGTTTTTCCCCCACTGTAATAATATTTGATGCTATTGAGAATGCAGAGAGACAGATGCTATCAGTATATTGGTGGAATGTGAAAAGACACAGTCTTTTTTTTCTCTTGGCAGGGTCTTGCTCTGTTGCCCAGGCTGGAGTGCAGTGGCATGATCTCAGCTCACTGCAGCCTCCACATCCTGGGCTCAAGCGACCCTCCCACCTCAGCCTCCCAAGTAGCTGGGACCACAGGTGCACACCACCATGCCCAGCTATTTTTCTGTAGAGAGGGTTTTTGCCATGTTGCCTAGGCTGGTCTCGAACTCCTGGGCTCAAGTGATCCACCAGCCTTGGCCTCCCGAAGTGCTGGGATTATAGGCGTGAGGCACCGTGCCTAGCAGGAGACACAATCTTTAAATAAAGTAATTTTATTTTATGTAATCAAATTCATATTTTTCAGATTATTTATTAAACACATTTTATTTACTGTACTTACTGTGTGCCAGGTACTGTTCTAAATACTTTAAAAATATTAATTTATTCATTCCTCATAATAACCCTGTGACAGAGGTACTATAATTATCCTTATGTGAAGCATGAGGACACTGAGGCACAGCGAGGTTAAGTAGCTTGCCTAAGGTTACACAGCTAATAAGTGCCGGCACCAGGATTTAAACCCAGTTGGGCTAGTTCATACCCTTAACCTATATACCACAATCCCCTCATGAAGTCTCACTAGGAAGGCACATTCCAGGCACATTAATGCCCCTCTTCTATGTCAAGTATTGGTAAAGTACAATACTGTAGCCCACAGCCTGTTTTTGTAAGTCAAGTTTTACTGGAGCACAGCCACACTCATATTGCATATACTGTCTATGGCTGTTTTCATGCTACAACAATAGAACTGACTACTTGCAACAGAGACTGTATGGCTGAAAATATTCACTATCTGGTCCTTTACAGAAGTTTGCTGACCCTTGTCCTATGTAGTTGCCATATATTGTCCAGATGCCTCATAAAGAGCTTCAATAACTGACCCAGAAAGACCCTCTGAAAGCCCTTAGAATACCACACAGAGAGAGTTCTGGAATGACCTAACAAGATAATTTAATGAGAACAAAGAGTTCCCATCTCTGCAGCTGCCGTGGCCACTCTGATGGAAGACTGAATCATTACTTTGTAGATTAATTATTATGCTGCTGAAGATAATCATTAGCTTTTCCCTGTACTTCTGTTTCCATATCTTTTTGTCTTGCACAGATGTTCTTTTCAATACCATTACTACTTTCTTCCACTAACAAAGCATAACTGCGTAAGAAAGTACAATCATAACATCCAATTATTAATATGAGTTTAGAAATCTAGATGACTTAAAACTACAGAACCAAACAAACAAAAAATGGGTGTTAAAGCATGAGACTCCCTAACAACACTTTACCCATGGACGGGGAGGAGCAGGACACACAAGCCTGCTCTCTTTGGCTGCTGGAGTCCACCTCAACAGATGGCTTCTTCAGGTGATTCATGAACAACATGATTTTTCATGGGTTAGTACAGTACTGTAAGTTCAAACTCGAGAATATTTTAGAAAGCAAAAGTTTGCTATGAGAACTATAATGATACAAAGGATTACAGTTAAAAAAAAAGTAGATGACTTATATGTAAATCTTTGTAATGGTGTAGCATTTTGTGACACAACTACCCCTTAAGAAAAACTGCAAAGTCATGCATAAGTATAGTCCCCGAGTTTTGGGGGAACTAAAGAGGAACTAAAGCAAATGGAGAAACTGAAGGTAATCAAAATAATTACCTTCAGGTAGGTTATCATTTCAGCAACTGGGATTATTTTATATACAATAACTGGGCAGCTTAAGAAAGGGGAAAAAAAAGATGGAGGTCAAGCAGGCTTCCCACTAAACCATGCTGCTTCTTGAAAAACAAAACAACAAACAATAAAAACATAATGCAACTTCCCGGTGAGAAACAGGTTCCTTATTGCTATTTTGGCAGGTTGCTCTCTCACTGTCTTATCATTTATTTCACCATCTGTAGTATTTCTTGCAAAAGTAAAGCCCTCATTTTCTGTTAGGGAGGTATGTGTTTACCAAGCTGTACCTAAAATCATTTATGAAAATGCAGCCATTCATCAGGAGACAAAAGCCAGGACAGAGAGCAGTCCCGTGTCTTCTACTCAGCTGGTGTCCTGAGCTCCATTCAGGTCTCAGACTATCCACATAATGGCCTTAGGCATGGCTTAGGAGTCCAGTTTCCCTGTCTACAAACTAGAACAGGAGGCACGGATTGCTCTTTACAGCATGTGGACAAGCTTGCAGTATACAATGCTCCTTCTTTCACATCATTCTATGAGAAGAATTCTACCAGGAACAAGTCAGGGTCCAAGAAGAAAAGAACTACCTCCTTCCCAAGCTACCCATACTCTTACCTTGCAAGAAACAGGATGCTTTCCTAGGGCTTTGCTAAAGTCTACCAAAGATTCAAATGTCTTCTGGCTGGTCATTGGTGTTTTAATGACCTGGAAATGCAAAGCAGAGAATTATGACCAGAGTGTCAGCAAGCAACTTCGGTAGAATGGTTCAAGGAATGATTGATCAAAAGGCTCCATATAGGCAACAAAAATAGTTTGAGTTTCAGCATAGAAGTAGGAATCTCAAGCCAGAAACAATGTATTTCCCAAAATGACTATTTTAAAACAGAGGCCAAATGTGGTGGCTCATGCCTGTAATCCCAGCACTTTGGGAGGCTGAAGCGGGCAGATCATGAAGTCAAGAGATCGAGACCATCCTGGCTAACATGGTGAAACCCTATCTCTACTAAAAATACAAAAATTAGTTGGGCATGGTGGCATGTGCCTGTAGTCCCAGCTACTTGGGAGGCCCAGGCAGAAGAATTGCTTGAACCTGGGAGGTGGAGGTTGCAGTGAGCCGAGATCATGCCACTGCACTCCAGCCTGGGTGACAGAGCAAGACACCGTCTCAAAAAAAAAAAAAAAAAGACAACAGTGTACTGTAGAATGTACAAAATCACGGCTTAAAATACAAGTGTATGTGTGTACGTGTGTGTATAGGACAGTTTTACAGGCTTTGTTGTTGAGACAAGCCTGGGTTCAGTTGCACCACTTACTGGCTGTGTGACCCTGAGTATGTTTCTTGAAACTGAAATGACACTGAAATCACTCTGTTCACCTCAGGAAGTTGAGGTGAGAATGAAATTACATTGGGAGTAAAGCACAAAGCCTAAGCACAAATGCTCAATAAATGCTGACTTCCATTATTTAATTATTAGAAGTCTGGAAGTATATGATGGTTGCCCTTAAAGTCTTCTACGTGGGACCTGATCTTCTATTATAGAGGAGGAGGAGCCCCAGGAAAGTGAGTAATTTGCCCAAGTGACAGTTCTCCTGGATTCCTGAGTATTTCTCCCATGACTCCACCCTCTGCCACACAGATGCTCTAGAGGCCAGCGGCCCCTTGGCTTCAGAACAGACTCATCCTTCTGGGGAAGGCTTTCATTTACAGCAAGCGGGGCCTGCCACCTGCTCCAGCAGCCCTCCTGACCTCTGTGAGGTACAGGCAAGGGCACAAGGGCTGCCCTACTGGCATCTGTAGGGGATGGCACCAAGCACGATGCCCGGCACAGTCAGCCCTCAGTAAGCAGTTAGAGAACTCATGTGTAATGGTAAATGGAAAGAACCAGATGAAGTATATATATATATATTTTTAAACAGGAGAGATGCGTGTTTATTCACTCATTCATTCAACTATACACACACACACACACACACACATACACACACACATACACACACACACACACACACATATATATATGTAAAATGTAAAGGCCAGTAAAGAACTTCAATCGGAGTCAAAGGGTTTACTTTAGACCCTTCATGGGATCTTAGGCAACTGCCTCACCTCTCTTCTCTGGAATGGGGATCATGGGCATGTCTTCCCTGTGCAAGAGGGCCGTCTGACTCGGTGAACTAATGAGCTAGTGTCTGTGCAGGGATGAAAGGTGCTATATAAACAAAGAAGAGTTCTCACTCCTGTTTTCGTGTGATCACAGCCTGGGCCATGGTGTCATGTCGTGACATCAAGAGAAGTGAATGGATGGAAACAGGAAAAGACACAGTGAAGATGGAGAAGAGGAGCAGGACGAGAAAGACCAGAAGCCACCCTGCGGGTACCACAAATCAAACAGAATCCCAGAGCTGTTTGAAAGGAGGTCTAAAAAGTCTCCATCAAAACCACAGACTGAGCTGGGGGACAAACACTGCTGACTATGGAGTTTTCAAATTAAGTTTTTGGTTTAAGGGAGTTAATAATAGTGAAGGTTTGTTTCTTTTTAAACAGGAGAGATGGATGTTTATTCACTCATTCATTCATTCAACGAACAGTAATTTGTACAGATACGCTGCTCCTAGTTCCAACAGAGTCTGAAAAAAAATACATATATATATACATTTAAATGAGCCCAGTCCTAAGTAAAGGAGCCACTTAGCTTATTATACAAGTTATTTTGGTGTACACCACCAGCAACACAAGGAAGAGCTAAAGTTAAACAATAAAAACTGAATAGAGAAGAACACTTTTACAAAATACTTTCTAAAAAATAGTAGCATTTGCTAAACATCAGCTGTTAACAACCAACACACTACATTTCCAAAGACAAAAGCATACATTACCAGATAAATGCAGTTGAAAACATTATTAAAGTAAATCTACAGAATGTGCCTATCTCCAAAACACTTATATATACAATATAATAACTAAAGAAATCAACTAGTCCCTAAGTACTGAAATGTTGGAAATGCATGCCACTTCTTTGCTCTTAATCTGCATGAGATAAGAGCTGTTAAATGCTGTTTCTTCTGTTCCCCAAATCCCTCCCCTTCATTCTTCAATTTCTTCAAAAAATCAGCCTTAGGGGATAGGAGAAAATAGGAGGAAGCTGAGAAGCAATGTTAGTAAGACAGAAAAAGTCCCATTGCAAGATGGTCAAAGTTGTCACTTGAGAGAAAATGCTAAAAAAAATGGTCATTATTATGACTTATTAAAAATGCTTATGCTGAGTAGTGGTGAGGGAATGAGGAGGATAAAGGAAGGAAAAGGTAGTTGGAAAAGGCAATAATGAAGAAAACAGACGATACACACTCCCAGAGAGGCCACAGCCAGTGTGTGTAGGTTTGCCTGGCCCCACATCACCCACATGGCAGCATCAGCGTCCCCCACACTTCGCAGGGCAATAACTCCTCAACCTCAGAACAAATGCTACTTTAATAGCGGCTGCTCCTCAGACCCTGTAATTAGGACCCTGTAAAAGGCAAGTTGTCCCATTTCAGGTGCAAATTGCCTACTGTGACTCCAACTCCAACATATTGGAGTCTCCAAGCATTCCAAACAGGATGCTGGGGAAGCCCTCCCTGCCTCCCCGCTCCACCTTCCAGGTTTATGGTCAGGAGGCTCAAGGCTATCAGAAGCTGGTTTTATTTTTTTACTTTTAGGGTTTTTTTATTCGATATAGGATCTTGCTCTGTCATCCAGGCTGGAGTGCAGTGGTGCAATCACAGCTCACTGCAGCCTCAACCTCCCAGGCTCAATCAATCCTCCCACTTCAGCCTTCCAAGTACTGGAGACTACATGCGTGCACCAAAACCCCTGGCTGATTTTTTATTTTTTGTAGAAATGGGGTCTTGCCATGTTGCCTAGGCTGTTCTTGAACCCCTGGGTCTCAAGCAATCCACTAACTTCCACCTCCAAAAGTTCTAGGATTACAGGCATGAGCCGCCGCACCCAATGGGAGCTGGTTTTAATAGCTCTGATCACAATGCACAGGAGATGTACCTCATCTGGGGACAACGCTAAGGCACCATTACATGGGGTCAGAATTAACCCCAGGAACTGTGGACAAGCTAGTATAGTGTATCTAATGAGAACTGCATTTACAGCATGGGCAAGCTGACCTCGACGAGATAATATGAACACATGTAGCTGCCCTCTGTGTGGTCCCATCCAGCCCACGGTTTCTAGTGCTGCCTTCCCATTCTGATGCCTCTCAGCACTGCCCATCAGCTCTGGCACAAATAAGTAAATGACATTCCACAAAGTTAACAGCCTTTCTGGATATCACTAAGCAAGACACAGGGCTGTGAAGAAACAAAGCATAGAAGCCCTCCTAGATATGAGGCTCAGGGACAACCTTCTACCCTCAGGTTAAAACCCATCCTAGGCAACTGGTGGCAGGGCTGGTGTAACACAGAAAAGCAGGACTGAGAGAGCTGGCAGAGCGGGCAGACACACACAAGCTGACACCCACTGACCTCCACAAGTTTCATGACAGGCACTGGGTTGAAGAAATGGAGGCCAGCGAATCGGTCTTGTCTGGTGGTGGCATTAGCTATGCTTGTAATCTGCAAGGAGGAAGTGTTGCTGGCAAAGATTGTATGTCTGTGAAGAGAAAATATAGTGGGAGTATCAGAGTGAATCTCTTCTTTCAAAACAGCATGACTCTTGGATGCAATGCACAAGGTGACTGCTTACTGCCACATCTGTTGTCCTGACCCATTGGGGGAATGAGGGAGAAGACACATCTTCATATAAGAGGCTGAAATCAAGTGACTTCAGCTTTTTAAAAATTTTTAAATTTGAAATAAAATTGGAATTTCCTGTTCCGAAGAGGTATTTAACCTTCACCAATCCTTCCTTGATTTTCCAGAACAAAATTTCCCCTACCTACTTGTATTAGTTAACTTCCAAGGTATGTGAGATAACAAGAGGTGGCTAATTGATCAAGCTACTTAACCAACCCCAGTCACAAACGAAACTCAGTGATCAAAAAATAATGAAAGAAAGACACCTAAAAGCAACAAAATTCTAAATGAACACATAAATCCTCAATCAGAAACATATGATAATAAACGTGAATTAAGATATTTTCCCTGAAGTGAAAAGCTTTATTTTTCAATTGAATGGGAATTAAAATGAAAACAAGAACACCAACATGGTTCAAAAAAATTTTAAGGTTACATGGGTAGATATGGGGAAAAGAGGATATAGGCATATGCATATATAAGACATTAACTTATTCATTAAAAAAAATCCATACTGACTTAAACCAAATTTAGTTCTTTAAGGCCACAGTAAAGTGGCGTGCCAAAAGCATGAGAGGAAAAGCTTTAAACAGGTTGACTTCCAGGCTTTCCTGCAGCGCCACCTTGCGGATAAAAACATACAAACAGGCCTGGTGCTGATTCCAACCAAGATGGACTGTAACAGGGCAGGAAAGGAAAGGATCCCTTACTGACCAGGCTTGGGGGTTTCTGCTTACCTAACAGGCAATACTATAATCTGCTCAAATCAGGGGCGGGTGGGAGGAGAGGAGGAAGAGAAGGGAGAAGAAACCAGTTATTTGGAAAGGAGGGAAAAGAGGTAAAAGGCGAGACCAGTGTGGGTAGGCAGCGGAGAGCCTTCTCTTTCCAGGTATGAGCACATCCACCTTCTCCAACAGCTTCCAAGGTAGGCCATTTAAATGCCAGGGTTTCCTTTTTAAAAAAAAAATGACATTGTTTTAAGGTCTTAAAATTTCAGTTTTCAAAGTTTCTTGCTTTTGGTCATTGGGGAAAATAATATAAACTATTCCCCATTACAGAAGGTAATGAAAAAAAGATCCTCTTCCAATAACAATGTGTGTGGCCAACACAAGCACTGTTCAACCACACAACCTGCACCACAAGCACCTGGAACCACAAAAACAGAGCAGGGACAGCCTGGGCCCAAGGCTGTGCCAGCTGTGGCTCCACACTCCCGTTAAGAAAAGAAAGTGTTATTTTAAAGATTAGTATTACAATCGTAATACCCCTTTTTGTAGAATGTTTGAAGGGCCATTCACCTGCAAAAAGGGGAAACTTGGGCACATTTGGTAAAATAAAGTGACATCAGAGCCCAGTTCCAGGTATCACCAGTCCAGGGCACTCTGGCACATTTTATCAGAAGGAGGAAATGATCTCTCCCCAGCAGACCTCTGCTTCTGCCTCTCCCAACAGGGTCAGGCTGACTTTGTTCCTAAAAGTCTCACACTGTCTTCAGAGAATACTAAACACATAGGACAGTCTTTTCATCCACAAACAAAATGTACTCTGGGCTGGGCACGGTGGCTCACACTTGTAATACCAGCACTTTAGGAGGCCGAGGCAGGTGGATCACTTGAAGTCAGGAGTTCGAGACGAGCCTGGCCAACATGCCCCGTCTCTACTAAAAATACAAAAATTAGCTGGGCATGGTAGCGCATGCCTGTAATCCCAGCCACTAGGGAGGCTGAGGCAGGAGAATTGCTTGAACCTGGGGGGCAGAGGTTTCAGTGAGCTTAAGATCATGCCACTGCACTCCAGCCTGGGCGACAGAGCGAGACTCCGTCTCAAAAAAAAAAAAAAAGTACTCTTACATGTTCCTGGAAACACTTGTCTTGAACCATCTTTTGTTTTTTTCATTCGGACACTCAGGTACCAAAAAAACTACTTTTCTCTTAAATGTTCTAAAAGAAAATCGACAACACAAGCACAGTGATTATTAGCAATGGCCCCAGACCCTAGTATAAAGAAGACAAGAGGGTTGGTGGGGATGGCAAAGGATTCAAGAGTCTGTACTTTGTCTAAAGGGGAAAGTCAGGACTTCGATCTGGCTGCCTGTGCGTCTGGTCATACTTTTCATTTGTGTGTCTTAGGCTGCTGCTAGAGAAGTCATGTTCTCTCCAGGATGCAACTGTTTCATCAGGGCTTCCAACCCGAAATGTATCACTTGACTATATTTTCTTCTCCCATTATAGGATCGAACTGTAAAATTTGTCAGTAAAGTACCTCTCAATACGGCTGCTTAAAAATTGTAGCAAGCATTCAATAATGGTGGTGATCTAAAACAAAAACAAACAGTGCCAAGAAAGGTGGAGAAGGTCAGCAGCAAAGTCACATCTTTGGTATGACTATGGGTCATGCCTTCTTTTCACACCTCATATCTGTTTTGCATCAATTCAGGTTAAAGAGCCTAGTGTAGTGCCTGATACACAGCAGGCACTCAGGAAATGTGAGCTAAATGAAATGAGTTTCCTAAACAACTCTGTACAATAGGTACCAGTGCTGCTGCTCCTATTTTACAAATGGGGGAAGCTAGTCTTAGAGAGTTAGAGCCAGAAAGGTCTAGGAAATTATTTACCCCAATCACCTCAACTTGCATTACAGATGACGAAACTGAGGACCTTTCCAAGGCTGGAGGTGGTGAGGGGGTCAGCACCAGGCCCAGGCCTCCTGACTTTCTCCAGTGATCCTTCTTCTGTACCAGACATGGACAATGGAGGGCAGTCAGGCCTTTCACTGTCACCAAGAGCGACCAATCTTTTCAATAAAGATCAAACTGCTTGACAAAACTCCCTTTTTTGGGGTGGCTGTTTATTATCCCAGAGGGCTCCCTGCTGGCCTGGGAGCCAGTCCCGGTACCACAAGTATATTCTGTTTTTGTCAGATGTCTCTGTAGCCTCTAGATGCCAGTGTGAAATGCACGAGGACACTGATTGGCAGTGATGGACAGATGACAGAAAGGCAAGTCTCTTCTCTTTGTCAGGGGCAGGGCCTCTCTGGCCACAAGGCCACCCATCTCTGAAGGTTAACATTCCGACAAGCTGGTATGCAAGTGACTCTCTTTAGCCACTGCCCACCGGAAGTGCCCTGAGAATTGCTTTTGTCATATAATCTTATTCTGCCATTCAATTCCAACCAAGAAGCATGAAAATATAGTCAAACAAGTCACTAGAAGAGCACTGATCAGTGGGTCAGGTGTCACACACTCGAAGGCTCTGGATCCCAAGGTACATTCTGCCAGGAAGAATTCCACCAGGAAGCCAGCCAGCTAAGAAGTCAATGCTCCTTTAACACTCCCAAGAGTACTTCGATTGAACCCAGATGAAGCTCAAAACAGGAAAGTCCTCTCTGTCTATAGGCATTCCCTTCAATTACACCATTCTGTTTGCTCCATCCAAAAAAGGAGGAAACACAGAACTGCTCTGAGGGTCCTTGGCAGACAGTTAAGGACACGTAGGGTACTCCTATGCCCGAGAGTGGAGCACAGAAGTACCCTACATGTCCTTAACTGTCTGCTGTCAGATGTCTCTGCAGCCTCTAGATGCCAGTGTGAAATGAACCAAGGAACGTCAGAGCAGCTTCTGGCATAGGAGTATCCATGACCTACACACTTCAAGAAACATAGGCCTGTCCCTGGATGGACCCCTCCATGTTACCATGGGTAATTCTACACGCATCTGGGACAAGGATCAGATCACAGCAGCCCAAGCTTCAGAAGCAAACTGGGAGTGGGAGGATGGAGAACAACGGAAACCATATTGGCTTTTCTTGAAATAGCTGTGGGGTAGGAGAGAGGGAGGTGGATAAACTTGGTCAAAGGATCCCTTCCTGGGAGAAGGCAATAAACAAGGAGGAAAGTTCAAGGCCCAGGGAGGGACCCCTCAGAATCTGTCAAGAATGTCCAGGGGTCATGAACAGATATTTTTCAAAAAAAGACACACTAGTGGTCAATAAACATATGAGAAAATGCTCAGCATCACTAATCAACAGAGAAATGGAAATTAAAACCACAATGAGTTTAGCACCTGATACCAGTCAGAATGGCTTTTATTAAAAAGTCAAAACCAACAGATGTTGGTGAGAATCTGGAGAAAGGGAACCCCTGCATGCTGGTGGTGGCAATGTAAATTAGTACAACCTTTAAGGAAAACAGTATGGAGATTTCTCAAAAAACTAAAAACAGAACTACCATGCGATCCAGCAGCCCCACTATTGGGTATATATTCAAAGGAAAAAAACTCATTCTATCAAAAAGATACCTGCACTCATATGTTTATTGCAGCACTATTCACAATAGCAAAGACACGAAATCAACCTAAGTGTCCATCAATGGCTGATTAAAGAAAATGTGGCATATATACACCATGGAATACTACTCAGCTATAAAAAAGAATAAAATCATGTCTTTTGAAGCAACATGAACAGGAGTGAAGGCCATTATCTTAAGTGAAACAACTCAGTCAAATACCATATGTTCTCACATATAAGTGATAGCTAAATAACAGGTACCCATGGATGTACAGAGGGAAATAACAGACACTGGAGAGTTCAAAAGGTGGGAGGGTGGCGAGGGTTGAAAAATTACCTATTGGGTACAGTGTTCACTATGTGGGTGATGGGTATACTAAAAGCCCAGACTTCACCACTACACAATATAGGCATGGAACAAAACTGCACTTGTACTCACAAATCTATAAAAACAAAAAATAAAAATGAAAAACAAAAATAAGGTTAAAAAAAAAAAAAAAGAAGATTGTCCAGAGGTTACATACTCAGCAGCAAACTTGTCCAGCCTTTTGAAGAGCTCGTTTTTCACCTTCAGATTCTCCACGATGGCTTCCACCACCAAGTCTGTGCTGTGGACAACGGAGGCTGCATCCGTGCTGGTCGCTATGGTGCTCAGGGTCTTCTCCACAAATTCATCGCCGGCCTAATGCAGTGGGAGGAAGAAGAGAACATTCACCGGGCTCACTGGAAATTATCTTTCAAGTTCTTAGCTCTGCTCCAGTTAGCAAACTGGGTGTTCAGAGCACCTGTATTGGCCTACCCTATCTGTTCTCAAAGTGTCCACGAAGCCTGTAATTTATCCTTCCATAGCTCCCTGCCATCCATTAGTCTTGAGGTGGTGCTGACTATTCCTCTCTAATAAAAGCAGAGACTAGCTCCTATTAGAGCAAGGGCAAGAGCCAGGGTAAGAAAGCCGACTTAGCATTTATCAAATAATTATTGTCTGTCATATGCCTGAAACTGTTGTTTCCGAAACAAGCTAGACACAGCCTCTGCTGCCAAAGAGCCTGTAGTTTTCATCGTTTCCTCATTTTTCTCCTGTGACTCCAGGTTTCCACAGACCTCAATAAGGACAGAATTGGAGATGGTGCCTCTATAAGCCGCCATTTTATTTCATAGTGTAATTTGTCCACAGGGCATCAAAATAGTCATAATCAGCAAAGGCATCCAAAATCATCATGGAATAAGCAGCTAGATCTCAGCTGTTATACAGAAATATTCTACTAGCCACATTAAAAAAAGGGAAAAGACATTCGCAGGTGAAATTAATGTTATTTAACCCAATATATCTAAGATGCCATCACTTTAACAGGTACTCAATATTTAAAAATATTGAGATGTTTTATATATTTTTCCCCTATTATAGCTTTAAAATCTAGTGTCTATTTTACACTCAGAGCACATTTCTATCTAGACTAGCCACATTTCAAGCACTCAGTAGCCACTTGTGAGTAGCTATTATATTGGTGGTCAGTATAGAGCTAGATAAGCATAGTATGTCAACTAGGCAGAGAAACTGACACCTCCCTCCTCAGTGGTGTCCCTGGCAGAGGAGAGAAACCTCAGGAGTATAGACTTCTGAGGAGTAGCTAGCCAGAGCTGAGCAACTTGAGCATAGGGGCCATCCTTTTATCTTTAGGGTGTGGCTCAGAAACTCAGCCCAAGGAGACAATTAGCTGAAAGTCTGTAAACAAGCAGAAAATGCAGGCTATCTGGGTCAAACTCACTCTGTCCTAGACTCCAACCCTCAGCCCAGGGCTCTTATAATCTCATCTGTCTGGACCCTCCTCATAACATCCCCTGCATGGGGTCCCACTACAATTAAGAATATAAGGGACAGATGGTCCGGGCGCAGTGGCTCACACCTGTAATCCCAGCACTTCGGGAGGCCGAGGCAGGCGGATCACGAGGTTAGGAGATCGAGACCATCCGGGATAACATGGTGAAACCCCGTCTCCACTAAAAATACAAAAATTTGCTGGGCGTGGTAGCGGGCGCCTGCAGTCCCAGCTACTCAAAAGGCTGAGGCAGGAGAATGGCGTGAACCCGGGAGGTGGAGCTTGCAGTGAGCCGACATCGCGCAACTGCACTCCAGCCTTGGCTACAGAGCAAGACTCCTCCGTCTCAACAAAAAAGAATATAAGGGACAGGTGAAGAATATCTTAATGTAAAAAGTAAAGTAGAAGTTCCTCTTCAAAGAGACTCTCCTCCCCATCTAATTAAGAATAAATAGTAACTTTTCTTAGAAGCAAAATTTATTCTAAGACCTGTTAACATTCTTCAATATCTGCTAGCTGTAATAAAGAAATCAATGTACTTTATGTTCTTAGCTCCCACAATTTAGCCTAAATATTTGCCCTGGCATGCTTATACTGGTCCAAGTGGGCATTAGGTCATAGCCTGTTCCTCTTCCTTATTTAGAGGTGTTTTTACCTTTCTCAGCATTCCACAAGTTACTTCCTCCTTCCTTTGTTCTCATCTGCCTTTGCCTCTTTCAAAAAGTTCTAAGTTGCTAGCCAATCAAGACAAATACATTTGAATGTGAAGTCCCGTCCCAGCCAATAGAAACCGGACACAGCAGTAAGATGGACGTGTCAGGTTATAAATGACCCTGTCTCCTTTGTTCGGTGTACTCTTGTGGCAAAAATGCTGGCGAGTGTACCCTTTCTGCAGAAAGTAAAAATGGTCTTGCTGAGGAAATTAAATTTATTTCAAGTGCTATTTCTTTACAGCACCAAAGAACAAGCATTTCTAACATTAATCTGCCTGTGACATTTATTATTTGAATTTCATCCTAGAGAAGGTAAAATTATCTCCACCATCATCTAAAGGCCACCTAGACATTGGGGAAAAAATGCATATCAAAACCACAATGATAGCAGGACTCGGTGGCTTATGCTTGTAATCCCAGCACTTTGAGTGGCCAAGGTGGGAGGATCACTTGAGGCCAGGAGTTTGAGAGCAGCCTGGGCAACACAGTACAACTCTGTCTCTAAAAAAAAATTTTTTTTTTAATTAGCTGGGTGTGGTGGCTCACATCTATAGTCCTAGCTACTCGGGAGGCTGAGGTGAGAGAATGGCTTGAGCCTAGGAGTTCAAGGCTATAGTGAACTATGATCATGCCACTGCTCTCCAGCCTGGGTAGCAGAGCAAGACCTCATTTCCAAAACAAAAAAACAAAAAACAAAAACACCACAATGAGATACTACTTCACACCTAAGATGGCTACAATAAGAAACAAAACAAAACAAACATGGAAAATAGCAAGTGTTGGCCAGGATGTGGGGAAATTGGAACCTTCGTACATTGCTGGTGGGAATGTAAAATAGTGCAGTCACTACAGAAAACAATTTGGTGGTTCCTCAGAAAGCTAAATATAGGATTACCATACAACCCAGCAATTCTACTTGTAGGTATATAACCCAAAGAATTGAAAACAGAGACTCCAAACCAATAGCATACCAATGTTCACTGCAGCATTATTCAAAATAGCCAAAAGGTGAAAACAACCCAATTCCATTAACAGATGAATGAGTGATATGGTTTGGCTCTGTGTCCCCACCCAGATCTCACCCTGAATTGTAATAATCCCCACGTGTTGTGGGAGGGGCCCAGTGGGGGGTAATTTATAAAGGACAGTTCCCCTGCACATGCTCTCCCTCTTGCCTGCTGCCATGTAAGACATGACTTTGTTCTTCCTTCGCCTTCTACCATGATTGTAAGGCCTTCCCAGCCATGTGGAGCTATGAGTCAATTAAACCTCTTTCCTTTATAAATTACCCAGTCTCAGGCATGTCTTCATTAGCAATGTCATGAGAACAGACTAATACAATGGGTTAAAAAAAAGTGGTATAAATCCAATGGAATATTAAATTGGAATATGATAATAATCCAGTGGAATATTAAGCCATAAAAAGGAATGAAGTTGGCCGGGAGTGGTGGCTCACACCTGTAATCCCAGCACTTTGGGAGACCGAGGTGGGTGGATAACAAGGTCAAGAGATTGAAACCATCCTG
Organism: Homo sapiens; assembly: GCF_000001405.40. NCBI lineage: Eukaryota > Metazoa > Chordata > Mammalia > Primates > Hominidae > Homo > Homo sapiens. The sequence goes on along the minus strand of NC_000004.12, from coordinate 108,011,056 downwards.
GCCAACATGGTGAAACCCCATCTCTACTAAAACTACAAAAATTAGCTGGACGTGGTGGCGTGCGCCTGTAATCCCAGCTACTTGGGAGGCTGAAGGAGAACTGCTTGAACCCAGGAGGTGGAGGTTGCGGTGAGCTGAGATTGTGCCACTGCACTCCAGCCTGGTGACAGAGTGAGACTCTGTCTCAGAAAAAAAAAAAAAAAAAAAGAATGAAGTTGTGACACATGTTACAACATAGATGAACCTTGAAAACTTTATGCTAAGTGAAATAAGCTAGACACAGGACAAATATTGTATGATTCCACTTACATGAAGTATGAATGTGCGAGTGTAATTAATGCTACTGAATTGTATAGTTTAAAATGGCAAATTTTATGTTATATATTCTACCATAATAAAAAAATTTTTAAAAGCATCTAGATATACCACCTTGGATACTTGAAGTGAGAAACAACAAATGCCTTATGTGTACTTTTCTCTGGCTGCATACAGCGAGAAATTCTATCCAAGCCCCAAGGAAATCAATCTTAAGCAACTTTAACAAGATGACAAAAGGTAAATTAAAATTTGTTTGGGTGATTTGTGCTGTATTTCTAATTAAATGCAAACTCCTAAGTGAAAGTGCGCTGAAAAACAGCATGGCCCTTAGTCACCAACTCCTTCTCATCCCACCATGCTGTTGTATTCCCAGCCTCCACAGAGTTCCTCAAATTCTTCTATCTCTTCTGCTCCTGGCAAGTAGAATGATTCACTCTTAGTTTCTATAAATACCATATTTATTATATCATTCTCTTCTTAACTTGTAGTATAAAAATTATCTTCCTGTTTCTTCTTCTTCCATCCTTTTAGCAAAACAAGTGTTCTTCAATTCCAAATTCTCATGTTCTTCTAGAATGAGTTCACCACCTGTATGTACAAGCTTTCTTCTCAACCTCAAATCCCACCCAACAAAATGGTTATTTACTTCTCCTGTTTTGTAATCAGTACCCCCTGAATGTTTAGTAATTATGTTATTATATTGGTTTAAAGTTATGGAAAAATGAGTTTTACACTAACAAACTGAAAAAAAAAAAAAAAAAGAAAGAAAGAAAGCCAGAAATCCCCCATTGCCCTGCAAATGTAAAGCAGTCAGAGGACTTGTCTTGAAGACATCGATAATAAGAAATTACCTTAAGGTTTTCTGCAAACTTCTTCTTTGCCACTTTCCTAAGGCTTTCCTCAATTCCCTTTTTGGATTTTGCCAGGATGTCCTCTGTCTGGTCTACCAACACTACTGTGTGACCAGTTGCTGCAGCAACCTAGAGCAACAAAAGAACAATTTCTTTTTAAAAGAAAGAAAACATAACACGCACGCGCACACACCCCACCCCAAAAAACAGTGGCATTTCATATTCCACATGAATTCTACTACCATTCCATTCAAAATACCGAGTGAACATATGATAAGTCAACATTAACTAAACACACACTTCTTGCCAGGCACTGTTCTAAACCCTTTATATTGAATACAACAAATTCTTGAAACAACTGTAGAAGGTTAAGAAGTGTCCCTATGGTCACTCAATGGGTAGACAGCAGAGCCGGAATCTGAATCAAAGCCCTGAAGGCCAAGCTCTAAATACTTCTCTGTACTGATTTTAACACTGCACTGTTCCATTCAGGGGCCACTAGCTACATGTGGCTATTTAAATTAATTGGAATTAAGTAAAATTAAATATTCAGTTCCTCAGTGGCACTAGCCATATTTCAAAGTGCTCAGCAGGCTGTTCCCAGAGCACCCACTCCCCAGCCACCATCCTTTTCTCCTTGGAGCTGGAGCCCCTTGTACAGCTTGGCCTCTTGGCCCTTCTCTCTTCTACAGCCCTTAAATCAGTAATAGGTAAGAATTTAAACTCTAATAATGGTGGCAAAAAGACTCCTGTCCCCAAGGGCTATTTGGTGACAAGACTCCCAAGAAAATGAAGTCTTTGGGATCAGCTAATTTAGGATGGGCAATTCCCTGCCTTCACCATGCCACCCTGGCTGAGGGAGGAATCCTAGGGTAAGGGGAATGTTTAGTGAAACTGCCCAAGCTCACACACAGCCAGCTTAGCTTAGTCACAGTGAGTGACAAATCAATCCCTATTTCATCACTGTCTGGCAATAGCTTCAGCAAGGATCATGGAATAGGTATTGTGGCTAAAAGAAGATCATTGGGTCACCTCGATCACCTTATAGGCACGTGTAAGTGAATTAGTTCAGGCCAGAAGCAAGAGGACAGGCATGACCTAATATAATCATAAATGATGCAAGAGGACAGCAGAACTGAGATATCCCTCAGGATCTGAGAAGCCCCCTGCAAAACCATTGCTTTGGAACCTCGATGACACCAACAGTGTGCAGGAGAGGGGCAAGTTATCTGGAATGAACTTGCCCAGAGAAGAACAAGGAGATGACAGAAATAGTCCCAAACCATGGTCGTGATATAAGATTTTTGAAGCAAGGCAACCAAAACTCAAAAGCAGAAAACCAATGAGTAAAAGAAACAGAAACAAAAGAGCAAAACCTAAAGGCAAAGACGTTCAAATCCCAAGGCAAGATTTCCAAAGAACAGTTTTCAAAATGGTAAGACAGGTTTTAAGTGCAAGGTTATTTCAACTGCACTCATGGCTCCCTGAGAAAGCAGCACACAGTGGGCTCATGTCTGAGCCTGTGGACCTGCAGGCTGCATCAGCACCGTCTGGGAACCAAGGCATGAAAACGCTCCCAGGACCAAAAAGTCTGACAACCAGGACTGGGCAACCGGGGCAACGTGGAATGAATTATCTTGATACAAGGACAGAGGCAAGCAGGAAACCAGCCCATCAGCAGAAACATTCCACAGGCTGCGGGCAGGCAGCAAAGTAAAACAACGTCCCAAAAGCAAAACCCTCATCAATCCAAACCAAGGTTTTCCCCTAAGTGGCAACGGACCAAGGCCCATCTAGCCAATGATTCAAGTCAGTGATGCAGGTCACAATTTATTGTGTTGCAATAAACTACCACTATAGCATAACTTCAAGTGATTTCAAATTATAGTAGCATTTTCATTTTACCCATGTGCAGAGATCAACCCAATCTAAAAGTGCAAGGTTCCTTGCCATCATTTCTTACAGTCATACCCTAGAGACACAAGGTTAGCAACTTCTAAGGGCAGCTTCAAGTCTTAATCATCTTTACAAACCCCAGTGCCCAACCCATGACCCACAGTGAGCAATCAATGCATGAAAAACATATAACCTGATGCCTGGTACATATTAGATGCTTAATAAGATATCCACAGGATTATAGGTCCAATGTTCTTTGATTAATCTATCCACATGGAGTTGGTGTTCATCTCCTACTGGTGCGTTAGTCTAAATGGGCCATAACAGAGATGGACTCAAGATATTAGGCAGGCTATTCCTTTCTCTCATTTGGACCATTAAAAACTGCACAACTTTTATCCCCAGACTGGTTCGACAGGCTATGGTACTCTTAAGCATGGGTGAGCAGCCATAGGCCACCTGAAGGCCACATTGTTTATTTCTGAATTATTAGTACACTTGTCTTATTTCTTCTATGAGATCTCCAAGGGCTGAGAGAGCCAACAGAAGTCAATCTCTACCTACCCTCAGAAAGAACTTAAGCCTTGCCAGGCACAGTGGCTCATGCCTGTAATCCCAGTACTTTGGGAGGCCGAGGCAGGCGGATCACAAGATCAGGAGATCAAGACCATCCTGGCTAACACGGTGAAACCCCATCTCTATTAAAAAATACAAAAAATTAGCCGGGCGTGGTGGCGGGCGCCTGTAGTCCCAGCTACTCGGGAGGCTGAGGCAGGAGAATGGTGTGAATGTGGGAGGCGGAGCTTGCAGTGAGCCGAGATCGCACCACTGCACTCCAGCCTGAGGGACAGAGCGAGACTCTGTCTCAAAAACAAACAAACAAACAAACAAACAAAAACTTAAGCCTTTAAAAAGAAAAAAGCCAAATGCAGCAAAAATAAGAGGTGCCACATACTGAGCATCTACTATGTGCCGGGTTCATAATCTGCGTTTTCCAAGACTATTTCTGATTAATCCAACAACCCTAATCCATTTTATAGATGAGGAAAACTGAGGCTTAGAGAGGTTAAATAATGTGCCTAAGGCCCCAGGGCTAGTAAGTGAAACTAACACATACCACCCTCAACAAGAATCCTTCAGCTTCAATCAAATTAAAGTCACAGTAATAGCAAAAATTACCTGATAAACAAGTGCACCTATCCAGACAAATGACAGTTTCCATGTCAGCATTACAGACTCAAAAGCAACACAGAACACCCTAACCCTTTTGTGGTTCTAGGACAAGGGTTCTCAAAGTGTGGGTCATTGACCAGCAGCAACAATCACCTGGGGACTTGTTAGAAATACAAATTCTCAGACTCCACTCCAGACCCAATGAATCAAACTCTGGGTAGGGCTCAGTGAGCTGTGGTTTAGCAAGCCTTCCAAGTGACTCTGATGCTCACCAAGGTTTCAGAACCACTGCTCTAAGATCTGTGCTCTGATCTGGCACAGATTAGAAACAACTGGGAATATTTAAAAAGCCCAAACCCCAGGCCCCACCTACAGATATTCTAATTCCTCTAGTCTGGGGTGGTGCCTAGTCATTGCTATTTTTAAAAACACCCCCAGATACTGAGCACTGCCCTAAAATAACCTGTCGGCTCTGATCCCTATCCCTGTCTACACCAGCCACTCCTAGGTTGCCATCTATCTCCTCAAACCACTGAGAAGCTCTAAACCAATTGAGTTCCAAAGTCTTCCTGTTGCTCTCTGAAAGTTCCAGACGCTATGCTGAAGACACTTTTGGGAAGACTCCTCCCCCACACACTCCCTAAGGAAAGGTCAAGCCCCACCAGGCCTCCTGCCTGGGACTCTTCACATCAGGGTCTTGCTCCATCAGTCCTACATAAAGCTTGCTTAATTCCTTTCTTGAAGGTCAGGCCCTGCACTTGCTTCCTTGACTATGTTTGTTCTAGCCCCTTTCTCTGCAATAGCACTTTTCTAGCCTTGACCTCTGGCCACACTTGCATCTACCATCCCCTGTACAGATTCCTTGATGGTCACCTGCCTGCTCCTGGCTGACTAACCACCACCTTTGAGCTTTGATCCTCCTTTCTTCTCCACAGGCTACAATGCTGGGAGAAAATCTTGAATCTCCTAGAGAAGAAATTCCGTGAAAGACTCCACAACCAACTGAAACCAGAGCCCATTGAGGTTTGCCAGCCCTAATAACAGCTCCCATACAGAGTGCGTTCCAAATGCCAGACACCAGGCCTATCCTATCTCATTTAATTTTATTTAATCAGTTCTCCAAGGTCAAATGTCAATTTTAATGAAGCATCACTTTAGTTATGCAGTTTGTTCTTTCGAAACAAGATAATTATGATATTAAAATCTGGATTAAATGAGCATATGACTGTATTTGATATTTGGAAGAGGAAAATTCATTCACAGTTACCATTATGCCTATAACTAATTATTCTTCCAAAGAATGAATCCGGGCAACACACACATTTACAACATAAATACTGTACTGACCATTGTGAGGCCCCATTCTTTAGCATTCGAAGTCCTAACACCAACATTATCAAGTGCCTGTAATTGCTCCATTCTCCCACCATTTTTCTTTCTTCAACTTACGGCAAAATGTCCTTGGAGGAGACACTGTGGCTTCACTTGGCACAAATAATAATATGAACACAAATGCACATAAGGGGATGGATATCTCAGATCTCGTTAGTGATGAAACATTCAAATCATCCAGAATACACTTGTATTAATTCTAGGATCATCCAAAAAAAGGCAAATTTTAAGATTGTTTAATGTAAGTTTTAGATCCCCAAAGACCCTAGTTTGAAAAACAATGGCTTGATTTAATCTTTTTGGTAACCATAAGATCAAATATTAAGAAAGAAGGTATCTTGATTAGGAGTTTCCAATACAGAAAATAAAGAAAGAAAGAAAAAAAGAAGGTATATATGGTGAGTTACAGTATAAAATAAACATTTAAACTGAATACAGTATTATCACTTCGTTTAACATTCCTTTTAGTACCACATAACATCCTGAATACTAGTTTAGGGTCATCTTACCTCTTTAACAATAGCCTCCCAGCTGGGCTTCCAGCCTCCAAGCTCAGCTCTCCCAACCCTTAACATCTCCGCAGGGTCATGTTCCTTCCTCCAGCAGACACCCAGGTCTTGAAGTGTAGTAACTCCTAAGGCTGTCCTACACATGTTCTTCAGCTGCTTCTTTTGACCTTAAAAATCTCTTTTCCATCTAACTTCTCTCTTCATTCCTTTCTTGAAAGAATTATCCCTCATTGCTGCTGAGGCCAACCTCTTTCCTATGACAGATATGGAAGTTCATGGTTATGGCTTCCAGTTACTCCTCCTGAATAAAATCTGGGGTTCTTCAAGTTTGGATTATTCATTCACAGCTTTTGGTTACATGTTGATTTGAGGCTACAAACAGAACAAGAAGTGCTAAGTTTCTCTTGGAAGCCAGGCAGCTGCACTGGAGTATACCACAACTTGGACAGCAAGGAAGCCTTTGTACAGTTTGGGTAAAAAAATGCAGAGGTTAGAAAATGCTTCCTTTTGAATGATCAAAGGTTACAGACAAAAACACTTGGCTTCTCAGAGGTGTGTGCTTTTGATCCTCTGCCCAAGACTTGTGCTCCCCTAGGGATGGACCAAAACTACCACTTAGACCACCACGCTGCGCATGCCACTGCATTCATTCCTTCACTGACTGCAGCCTATTGACTCAACACCTGCCTTGTAAGGTGAACAAACAAAATCCCCTACTCTCAAGAGAGCTTGCACTTTTCATAAATTATCTCCTCTGATCTTCATAACTGCCTTTGGGGAAGGCACATTATTCTCACTGTCTACACGTGACAGGGAGCTCAAGCTGCCTGCTCACATGCCTTTCTTGACCCTGGAAGGCATGGCGGGGTCTGAGGGCAACAGCCTGAAACAGTACTGAGACAGGCAAGGGCCAGACTCCAGAGCCTGTGTGCCAAGTTGGGGATGGAAAACATTCCTTAACCTCAGCAGGCTGTCTCCTCATCTATAAAACAGGGGCAACAGGGTTGTTGGGAGGGTTAAATGGGTTAATACAAGTCAAAAACCTGCAGTGGTGCCTGGCACATCACAATAGCTTGCGGGTTTTTTTTTTGTTTTTTTTTTTTTTTAATTCTGGGCTGCCCCCTTCTTCTTTCTGCAAGGGTCTGAGGCCTATTGTTGGATCCAGGCACAGCCTTCTAAGGTAAACTATTTTATTTTGCTTTTGATCTCACATCTTCTGATTTCATGACTTGTTTTTCAGTTTTCATTTTCAAGTTTTCCCTTCTGTGTCCTTCTATTTTTTTACAAACGGGCTGGGATCCTGCTCCATATAAAAAGGGAGGAAGAAAAGGATCCTCCTTAATCACCTGAGGCTGGCCTTTGCTTTACCACCAAAGTCTTTAAATTACTTGGTGGCATGGTGATATGTGGAGAAACAAGCCTATAGTTGGAGTTCCTGGGTTTAAAACCTGGCTATGATTTGAATGTGTCCTCTTCAAAAGTCAGGCACTGCCAATATGATAGTATTGAGAGGTGCGGCCTTTAAGAGGAGATTAGGCCATGAGGGCTCCTCCCTCATGAATGGGATTAAAGGTTTTTATAAAAGGACTTGACGGAGAAAGTTCGTCTAGCTTTCTTCCACCTTCTGCCATGTGCAGACAGCCTTCTTCCCCCAGCAAGACACAACGAGTAGGTCTGCACCAGACACCAAAGCTGGTACCTTGATCTTGGACTTCCCAGCCTCCAGAACTATGAGAAAATAAATTTCTGTTCTTTATAAATTACCCAGTCTCAGGTATTCTGTTAATAGCAGCAAAAAAAAAAAAAAAAAAAGACTAAGACACTGATTTAGCCACTCACTCACTGTGTGACTTTGGGTGAGCTACGAAGCCTCTATGTCTTGGTTTCCTGATCTGTCATAAAGGTTAGTAACAAAGGTACCCACCTCATAAAACTGTTGTGAGGATTAAAGAAGTTAATGTGTTTAACATGCTTAGACCAGTGCCAGGCATGTGAAGGTGCACAAAGCTTGTTAGCTGCTATTTTATTCACTACACTTGGTGCTTCTACTTTCTCCTGAGCCATTAAATTCCTAAACTCTAGTAATATGGCTTATTTCAGTCTGTTAGTGCTGCTATAACAAAATACCAAAGACTGGGTAATGTATAAACAACAGAGATCAAGATCATCAGCATGTTCAGTGTCTGGTGAGGGCTGTTCTCTGCTTCCAAGATGGTGCCTTGCTGCTGCATGCTCTGGAGCAAAGGTCCCCAACCTTTTTTGGCACCAGGAAGACATGGGAGACAATTTCACGGAAGACAATTTTTCTACCGTCTTGCAGGGAAGAGGGGATGGTTTAGGGATGATTCAAGTGCATTACATTGATTGTGCACTTTATTTCTATTATTATTACATTGTAATATATAATGAAATAATTATACATCTCACCACAATACAGAATTAGTGGGAGCTCTGAGCTTGTTCTGCTGCATCTAGATGGTGCCATGTGGGGATAATGGGAGACAGTGACAGATCATCAGGCATTAGATTCTCACAAGGACACGAAACCTAGATCCCTCACATGCACAGTTCACAATAGGATTCATGCTCCTATGAGAATCTAATGCAACTCTTGATCCAACAGGAGGCAGAGCTCAGGTAGCAATGCAAGTGATGGGGAGCAGCTGTAAATACAAATGAAGTCTTGCTAGCTGCTCACATCCTTCTATGTGGCCCGGTTCCTAATGGGCCACGGACCAGAAGTTGGGGACCCCTGCTCTGGAGGGGACGAGCACTGTGTCCTCATATGGCAGAAGGGAGAAGAGGCAAAGTTGGTCTCTCAAGCCCCTTTAAATGGCACTAAGCTGTTCATGAATACAGAACCCTCATGACCTAATCACCTCCTAAAGGCCTTATCTCTTAATACTGCTGCACTGGGGATTCAGCTTCGACATAAATTTTGGAGGGAACACAAACATTCCTATCAGAGTAGCTTCTTCCACCACCACTGCTGCATGAAATTAGATACAGTTGGTCCCCCCTTTATCTGTGGTTTTACTTTCTGTAGTTTCAGTTACCAACAGTCAACTATGGTCCAAAAATATTAAATGGGAAATTATAGAAATAAATGATGCATGTTTTAAATTGCATGTCATTCTGAGTAGTGTGATGCAATCTTGAATTGTCCTGTCTGGGAGGAGACTCATCCCTTGGTCCAGCATATCCACACTGTATACTACCCAATCCATTAGTCACTTGGTAGTTGACTGGGTTATCAGATCAAAAAGACATAGTATGTATAGGATTTGGTACTATCTGCAGTTTCACGCATCCACTGAGGGTCTAGGAATGTACTCCCTCCCCTCGTAAGGGGGGACTACTGTAACTTATCAATGGTCTACTAAATTGCTAAAGTCAATGCCTGTTCTTTGGCTTCATCTTCTACAACAGCTCTGTACATTGCCAATAAAAGTTTCATTTTTGAAACTCTTCAGTTTCTTATCTGTCTGTTCCTTTTAGCCATATTAATTGACCTCTCTTGATCTTCTAAGCCTATAAACAAGGACTTCCTTCAAGGTTCTGTTTCCAATATAATTTCCTTCTGAAATTCCAATCGTTCTCATACTTCCAACTGTGCCTGAAACCAAAATAATCTATCTAAGCTGCAGTTATCACCTTGACCCTAAAATCAATTCTCCTTGGCCTTCATTACTGGTACCACTATTCTGTAGGTCACCATTTTCTGGACAACACTTTTTCCTTAATCCCAACCATTAACTGCTGTCCAGAAATGTTCTATCCATTATTCAGGCCCATTTCAAATGCTACCCTCTCCATGAAGCCTTTTTCCAAATGAATGTACTTTCTATTTTGAAACCTCAGAACTAGATTTTTACTGCTCTTATTGTACTACTTTACACCAAAGTAAACTGTGTCATTTAGATCTCTGTCTAATCTCTGCTCTTAGATTTAAAATCCCTTAATGGCAGAAATTGATTTGGTCTTTGTAGCCCTTAGTACTTATCACATGCCTTGAATATGATAGCTGGTCAATAACTGCTAAATAACAAATGCTTTGGACGGTAGTAACCCGATTCTGTAGTCTTCCCCAGCCACACCACACGTCTCCCTCCTCTGTGCTATCTCATGGCTCTGTGCCCTTGTTCATGTGGTTTCCTCTGCCATACATGTCCGGCTCCCTCATTGCTGCTTCATGGACTTCAACTTACCCTTCATAATCTAACATGGACACCATCTCTCCTTTAGTGAAACTTCTCCCAACCCTTAGTAGAGGTAATCACTTCTTTTGTGCCTCTAGTGATTTGCAGATACAGCAGATCTTTTGTGCAGGAATTCAAATACTGAAAGAAAATAACTGGGTGTGGCGCTGGTGTGAACCACCAATGGCTGCTCAGTTATGTAATGGCAGCCCAGTCCCCAGGATGTGAACAGAACAGAGAAATAAAAACTTAACTGGTTATAGACTATTTCATGTCATAAGAATCTCACCGATTTCAGAATAAAAGTTATTAACCAACCAGAGCATAGGAGAAATCCCAGATGTGAAAGATGAATGATACACTTGAAATAGAAAAGCTAACCATACCAACCTTTTCTTCTTTAAAAAACTGATATGTAATAGCTGTACATACTTTTGGGGTACATGTGACATTTTGATACCTGCCTAAAATGTGTAATGATCAAATCAGGGTAACTGGGATATCCAACACCCTAAACACTTATCTTCTCTTTGCCAACACCAACTTTAGATGATGAAATCAAGATAGTACGGAGAGACCTTTCAAAAGTGCTGTTGCATCATCCACTTCAGGTTGTCAAGCTGCTGTTACCACAAATCCCAATATAGGGTGCTTAGGAACACTCCTATCTACAGGCCAATGAGAATTTCCAGTAAATACAAATTTCACAAACATACAGGCAGTACAATGTATACATATATCTTTTAACATAAGCTTTTTTAATGTCCCTTTTTCCTTAGCATAAGATATATATACACACTATATGTCATATCACATCTTAAGTATTTAAAAACCATACTTTAAGGTAAGGTATGTAAACTATTATAACTTTCATCTGTTTCAGATCAAATCCCAGATATGACAGGTAGGCTGTCTGTGCCTTCATTACAATTAGTTGTTCATACCTGTATTTCTTCCACTAGACAGTAGGTTTCTCAAGAGCAGCAATCACATCTTACTTTTTACCTGGCCTGATGTCTAGCACAAGGGAGATATTTCATACTCATGAAATGAACACTTGAATGACAGAGCTATTTTTTCATAAGTCTCAATTTGTAAATTATTTTAGAAATAAGTTCTCAAGAAGTCATGACTGGTTTTGTTGCTAGAAACCTTTATGATAAACTTTGTGTAAGCATCAAGTTACTTTAAAATTATGAGAAGTCACGTTATTAGTTTGAAAAGGATAGTAAGGAAAAAAAAGGAGCTAATAGCCAGAGTCTAGTCAATTACCAAGTGGAAAAAATGCCACTAAAGTCTCTCTCTGTTATTTTGGTGAGCAGATTAACTGCTTTCTAGTACTGGTGGTTGTGACGCTAGGTAAAAGGGGAAATGTAGGGCAGTTGCTATGCGTTGCCCAATGCAAGATCAATATTCTTTAAGTGGTATCCAGCCCTGTGATTTCAAAATGGATGTGTGCTTAATTCACTCCAACATGTGAATGTGTCTTATACCTTTCATCCAAGAGGCTGTAAGGCTAGAGGCATGCCAACCCTGTGTCTGTGCCTGTCTGTGAGGGGCACATGTGTGAATCAGGTCAGAGATGGCCACAGACACATAAGCTCACTGCTCTCCAACACAGGTTTCTTCTCTATCACAGAAGGGAAACTAACACACCTAGCTTCTCAACTACTTTAAGAGATTGGCGAAAGCATTTATTGTTCAGGCTTATTAGCTACAGATAATCAGGATCATCAATTTTGAGAGGAGGAAGACAACCCAGAGATCATTCAGTGTGGCGGCTCTCAAATGTTTTAGCCATGAACACCTTTTTCCATAAGAATGCATATTGAAGACCAATATGTACAACAAAGGTCAGAGAAGGAATCTTTACCAACCTTTCGGGAACCATGAAGGAGATTCATGAAATCTCTAATGTCCATCACAGTATAATGTTAAAAACCTCTGATCTCATACCCATTAGGATGGCTATTACTAAGAAAAAAAAACAAAAAAACAAAAAGAACACAACTATTGCCTCATGCATGACAGTCTTAACACCACCACAAGGCCAGTAGCTCCCTACATCTGCCTCTCAACTCCAGCCCTTCTCTTGGCCTCACCTTCTCCCCAACTTCACCTATTAACTAAGCCTAAAAATCAGCCGGGCGCGGTAGCTCACACTTGCAATCCCAGGACTTTGGGAGGCTAAGGCGGGCAGATCATGAGGTCGGGAGTTAGAGACCAGCCTGACCAACATGGTGAAACCCTGTCTCTACTAAAAATACAAAAATTAGCCAGGCATGGTGGTGCACGCCTGCAATGCCAGCTCCTCAGGAGGCTGAGGCAGAAGAATTGCTTGAACCTGGGAGGTGGACACTGCAGTGAGCCAAGATCACGCCTCTGCACTCTAGCCTGGGTGATAGAGAGAGACTCTGTCTCAAAACAAAACAAAACAATCATTTCCAGTTAGTAAGCCTACTCCCCAAGATCCTCTCAGCCCTAAGCTAGATGTCCCCCATATGCCCTGTAACATCCCTGCATCTGTGTACCACAGCACCTACCAAACTGTGTTATAGTAATCTGAACTCCTCTACTGTAGGCTCCTGACCAAATGTCATTCATCTTTGTACACTGAGAACCTAGACCCTGCCTGGCTGTGGCTGGCCCTCAGGGAATGTTGACTGAATAAAGACATTTGTTGGTAAAGTCAAGATGAGACCTGGTGGCTCTTTCCACTGCTGTAGCTGATGGCCTCTCCTGATAACGTAACCTCTTATTTAGAAAATAACTACAGAGAAACAAGTACAATTCATTCTCCTGAGTAATTCAGTAACACCCAAGTTACCGCCAACTTTCTGGGATGGAGAAGGCAGTGGAGAAATGAACTGCAAAAAAAGAAAGGCCTTCTTCTTCTCCTTTCATAGACATCTGTTATTTTTACAACAAATGAGGAGGACTCTTCCTGGCAGTTTGAGTGACCACAATTTAAATCAATCCATTGAGAACTCATGTTTTATATTACAGTGACCTACATGCTGGTAAGACCTTGAGGACAAGCAGTCTGCAATGGAAAAAAAAATATTTGAAGGCTATGTCCTCAGCTCCATGACTTTTCTAGGCCTGGTGGAAGGCAGGCTCAGCCAGAGAGGAAATATTTTTAGACACGGCTGCTTCAGAGTTGTAAAAATAGGCTAAGTGACTAGCACATTTGTCAAAGCCCCAGAGCACTCTGACCACAGGACCAAGTAAACATGCCAAGCAGAAGCACACTGGATTTATTTATCTTTGTAAATGTATCAAGAAGATTTGAAGCAGCTTTCTCCGAAGCACAACTTGAGTGGTGAGTCTATGAGACCTACATCAACTGGTCTGGTGACTGGTCTCCCTCCCATCTCCTCCCTCAACAGTTCCACTGGATGTCCCATGTGCCTAGACATTACAAGGAGGGCCACCGTTTTCATCCTCTCTCTGGAAAATCCCAAAGTTATGCAAACTATCTACCACACATGATTTCTGACTTTCTTCAGATCCCCAGAATAAGTAGACTGAGTCAGAGCTCCCTGAGGCCAACTGTGCTTCAGAGGCTGCAGCGCCTTAACAGCAAGGCCTGCCTTTTACGGTTGTCATGGTTTGATCCAGAGAGGAAAAAAGTCATACATCAGTTGCATCTCTCAGGGCTGGCATTTCTGGGTTTATGATTGTCTCTGGTTGTGTAATGTCTTGAACTCTGCCATCAGCACAAGTTGTCTTCCCTGACTTCAACAATTAGCAAAAGCTGTTCTGTTGAGGATGTCAACCACCACCACCACAACCAGCTGGTTTGTTCTTTTTTTTTTTTTTTTTGAGAAGGAGTCTTGCTCTGTTGGCCAGGCTGCAGTGTAGTGGTGTGATCTTGGCTCACTGCATCCTCCGCCTCCTGGGTTCAAGCAATTCTTCCACCTCAGTCTCCTGAATAGCTGGGACTGCAGGCATGTGTCACCATGCTCAGCTAATTTTTGTATTTTTAGTAGAGACAGGGTTTAACTTTGTTGGCCAGGCTAGTCTCGAACTCCTGACTTCAAGTGATCTGCTCGCCTCAGCCTCCCAAAGTGATGGGATTACAGGCGTAAGCCACCATGCCTGGACTGGTTTTTTTCTTCAAACAGTTAAATTAATTGGACAGACTCCTTTATTAGACTTCGAATTTTACATTTCAAAAAGTATTTCTAAAAGGCAAAGAAAGTGTGCGCCCATTTTTAGACTAGAATTGTGTTACATAGTTTTTTTTTAATTCAGTAAGTGTGTAGGTTTCATAATAACCCAGATAACCTCTCCCAGACTTCTCACCTCCCACAAATTCTGAAAAGGTAAAGGGATAACCAGACATGTCAACAGCATCGTTATATTTAAGAATCCCTGGAAGATGTTGCTATGATGGACACTTTCCGGGTAGAGGAGAGTTATAAATCCAAATGCCTCTCCAGGAAGACTAATATGACAATGTTTGCCATGATGAGTGGGTTTTTTCTTTTAGTTTTTGCTGAAAGGACCAATTAAGAGGCTCCCATGACAATTCAGGTTAACACACCTGGTCTAGGAACTGCAAAGGAGAGGGCAGAGGAAAGAGCTCTCCCATGACCAAAAAGTTACAGAGCCTTTTCTGGTATGGAGACACTGATTGTGATCCCATCTTCAGAGTACATGTGGCTGGAAGAACAACTGCAGCAACAGGAGGGGCAAGCTCTCTGGAAAAAGCTGGAGGGGAAATAATGAATTAGATCTTGGCAGGTGAGTTTGAGTCTACCATGGGCAGAAGGATGGCAGCACAGCACCCTGATGTAGACGACCAGCAGGTAGACTAACTTTGAGTCCAGAGCCAAGGAGACGTCAACCTGGGATGTACTGATTCCAGAGAGCCACAGAGGATCCCCTGCCATGGATGCCACACTTCTCCCCACAATACAGCACTTGCCAGAGGTGCAGGCAGAACTGAATTCAGGCTTGGGGATTTACAGGCAGCAGAACAGAAGAGAACTCAAGTTCTAACCCCAGCTCTGCCTCTGACCATTGACCCCAGGAACCATCTCTGCAGGGGTGATTATTGTAATGGTCACATGAAATTAAATAAATCAAAATTCTTTGAACAGAATAAAGTGTCATATTTTGTAGAGTGGTTTTAGCTCTACAAAAACCAGTAAATGGTACACTATCTTTCTCAACAACCCACATAAATAAGTCTTAACATCTTTAGAATTGCTGGAACTCCCTATATCAAAACTCTTCCGACAGTGAAGACAATCTAAGAGAAATCCTCACTAGATCAGGTCTGATGGGTCTATGTGAAAGCAGCTAATATTTATCAGACAGTTACTATCAAACACACTAATGCTATTCTAGGAGCTTGTATATTAGTTCATTTAACTTTCACAGCTGTCAGGTGAGTCTCATTATTCCCAGGTAAGTAAAGAGGCAGAGAGGAGTTAAGTGATTTGCCCAAGGTTCCTAAAGGCAGGATAGGAAGGCTAGCATCTAAACCCTGGCAGGGACCTCATAGCCTGTACTTTTGAGATTAGAATACCACTACCAGAAATAATAACATCATGAATATAACAGGGGGAGCCACAGAGAACATCCACATTATCTTCCTGTGGTCCCAGGAGAACTAGAGAGTGAGGTGTGTGTGCCTACCACAGATAAGAGAGAAGGGAGAGGGGAAGAAAGAAGAAACTCAAGCAAGGGGCAAGTGATTAAAGCTGGAGGCAGAACATGGCAGGAAAATGCCAAAACCTGACTGACTGAAGTGCCATTTCTGCTCTAAAAAATGTCCAAACATATCCCATAGCATTATTTTCTGTTGCCTGTGAGCCCTACCTCTTCTACCCTCTAGGAATGACAGTATCTCCAACCTCACCCAGAGTCCAATAACTAATATGCTAATAGAGGGTGGTTCTACATCCCAGTACCTCAACCAAGAGCAGAGAACAGCCCAACAAAGATAAGCAACAACTCGGGAAGTAGGGGGAAAACTTCATAACAAACAGACACATCTCATGTCCTTCAGCAGGAAGGTAACAACTGGGAGTACAAATATTCCCTCCATAAGGAACAGTCAAAAGGAGAGCTTACAGCCAGGTAACTGCTGGTCTCCTGTGATCCTGAAACTTCTCCTAGGCATCTGTACTGCTTTGCAAGCAAAGCAGTACTGTACTGTACAGCTCAACAGAGCTGTACTCACAGTAGAAGAGAATAAAGCTAAAAAAATATGAAACAACTCTGATCATTCTCTTTTTCAGCATCAGAAAATGCAGATTTGGGGGCAAGAAGAAGAGATGAGAGAACAAATCCAGTGGCTGGGGAGAAGCTTTCAGGTCTACCTGAATCCTTATCAAGCATGGTAGAGTCACACAAAATCCCTGCAACGTAGCAGGCTCTCCCTGCCCTTACTTTGTTTTTAATAGCCAAAGAAGCTCTCTCTAGAAAAAATATGCACTTTCTGCTTTTTAAAAAGGAGG
The DNA here is from genome assembly GCF_000001405.40 of Homo sapiens. NCBI lineage: Eukaryota > Metazoa > Chordata > Mammalia > Primates > Hominidae > Homo > Homo sapiens. The sequence continues at coordinate 107,994,245 of NC_000004.12, read as the reverse complement.
AAAAAAAAAAAGCAAGCTTTGGGAGAGAAGAACCTATCCCCAACCCCCTTTAAGATGCAAACTTTCTCACTTCCTCAAAGAAGAGTAGTGCACTAAAAAGAAGGTTGCACCCGGAGAGCATGTAAAGTGTCTCAAGGGGGACATCTGAAGTGCCCCGTTCCCAGGGAGCCCACTGGCTCCTCACAAGTAATCTAATGAAAGCTATGCATTCTCTCTGGGCTCCTCATATGAAAAAACCCAATGTATGAAGCAAAGCCTAGAAAGGATTCAATACTGGAGAAATGCACACAGCTACCAGCTTTCTTCCTTTCTTGTTTTCCTCTTTATAAAGCAAAAAAACAACCTGTCCCCCACTCAAGGCTCATTTAATCCTATAAGCTTCTTTATTGGCCTAAGTATCCAGTGAAGATAAATTAGCAATCAAAACCAAGTCAGAAGTGTGTAATAAGCAAACACATGAAACAAGTTAACTTCAAATATTAACCTGCAGTCTAAGGGATTTTTTGTTTTTTTAATTTAAAACAAACAAAAGAAATGACAGGCAAAGTAGATACTCTCGGAAAATACACATGTACAAATGGCCTGTGCTCTGATCAAATGTAATTAAGCACTGAACTTGTCTTAAATTGCTTAATTGCTTGAGAAATGCATCAGGCTCCCACAAAATCTATTTAAATATTTTTTCATCCTTCTGAGCACAAACTGACGTGTTTAAAATGACAAAACTATTAAAATTATAAGCAGAACTGCACCTTGACTAACATTAAAACCACGTCAGAAAGTTCAAGAAAATTAAGCTAATGAAAATCAGTAACATAACCTCAATACTAGTTTGTGATTGTACTTTTATGGCTTTACTAAAGTTTAACAATAAAATGGGGGGTAACTAAAAAGTGTTCTCCCTCCTTTCAGAGGTCCCTGAAAAAACATACCCGCTGCAGCATCAGCGGGTATATGCATTCAAGATTAAGCAAGATGAAACAGGGAATCATGACCAATATTCTCCATCTAAACCTTACAGGCCTACCTCAGCAGCTGTGATCAGGATGGGAGTGGATATGAGGGGAAAAGGGCAAAAGGACAGGACAACTGCAATGAAGATGATGATTATTCTTTTTATTTATCTTTTTGAGACGGAGTCTCGCTCTGTTGCCCAGGCTACAGTGCAGTGGTGCGATCTCGGCTCACTGCAACCTCCACCTCTCAGGTTCAAGAGACTATTCTGCCACAGCCTTCCAAGTAGGTGGGACCACAGGCACATGCCACCATGCTGGCTAATTTTTTTGTATTTTTAGTAGAGACAGGGTTTCACCATATTGGCCAGGCTGGTCTTGAACTCCTGACCTCAGATGATCTGCCCCCCTCAGCCTCCCAAAGTGCTGGGATTACAGGCTTGAGCCACCATGCCGGGCCGAAGATAATTATTATAAAGGCAGCTAACTTTCTGTGAACTCTTATTACATGCCAGACACTGTGTAAGTGCTTGACATATGCTTGATATATGTAACTGCTTGACATATGCATGAATTCATTGAATTTATTCAATTCTCTCCCTACGAGGCCAGTACTAGCATTAGTCTACTTTAGAGATGAGAAAACCGAGACACAGAGGTAAAGTCCCATGTTAATACTGCATGAGGCAGAGCTAGCATGCAGACCATCCAACTTCTTATATTGAACTGTAGCCCATCTGTACTCAAAACACATCAACTAATTCGTCTCTGGCACTCAATAAGCAAAACAGATTTACCCTATGCCAAAAGCTGTTGGTCAAGGAGCATAAAGAATGAAGCAATACTGCCTAGAACTGCATGCTACAGGGTAGGGTGCAAAAGCAGATAAGCTAAACCACTGCAAAGCATTGCTCACAAATGTTTTAGAGGATTGGAGCTGTCAACTAAAGTAACTGAGGTTTTTCCAAACTGTGTTACATAAGGATGGAACTGTTTCTTATGGTCGTCCACTTTATAGATTTCTGGTCTTTATAACCTTTCAGAATGACAGTTCCATTATGTGTCCAGCCTATGGCATAAATAGCTTTTTTTTCCCTTAAGTTTCAAAAGGCACTCCCTGGTCCACCTATTTAAGAGTTTGATTGACAAGCACAAGCCTGTGTTCTCCATTAATGTCAATCATTTCTCCTTACTCCTTTGTCAGGTGAAAGCTCCAACACCATACCTGTAATTTTAGGTATTGCCCCTCTGCCTTTTAATGCAACACAACATCCATTTTTGGCCAATGATGGATGCAGCATTCAAAGAACTAAGCACTCTGATTTTCTACAAAAGTTGAAGTGACGCTTTCTACTTAGTTTCTAATCTTTTTCCACTGCTGTCTTCAAGGACACCAGCCACAAGTTTCTGGATCCATTTCCCATAATGTTCCTGGAGGCTGCTTAAGGCCCTAATATTTTGTTACTAAGATGTTGTTAAAATGTTTCTAAAAAACACATTGTTCTATTCCTGCTCACAACAAATCTCACTCTCACAGCCTTGGGAGATTTGGGTGGAGCCTGGGAATACAAACGTACTCAAACTAAACTTTCTCTTGAGTATAACCTGTGGAACTTTTAGGTTAAAGGGAGTTACTCCTCCCAGTCCACATACAACATAGATTATGGGGATACTATAACCTAGCAGCCAGGGGATCCACACAATAAAAAGGGCAATGTATGTCCAAAATTATGGTCTCAGAGGAAATGGGAGACTGTAAGAAGTCATATAAATAAAACATTACAGGGATATAGCTTTTAGAAGAAAATGCAATCAAATAAAAACGTTGTAAAAAACTTGCCAAGGAGAAGAAAATTGAGATATATAATACCTAATAGTAAAAGGTTTTTTTGTTTTTGTTTTTAAAAAGCAAGCATGAAAGCGTGGACTTGGTTGGAAACAAGACATTGAAAAAGTAAACTCTCTCATGACTGTAGCCACAGTAGTACTGTCCCCAAGAAAAATTAGATGACTATAACCGCCTTCCCCAACAAACCAAGTTGCAAAGGACTGAAATGCTAAGAATATAATCAGCTAGGATACGAAAACCATGGTTCTCCAATGTGAGCTGAAATGGAATAATTTTTAAAAAAAAAAAGTACAAGCATTACAGTAGCCAGGTAATCAATCACTCGCACAACTGAGCCTGAACCACAGCTCAGCAGAACAATGGAAAAGCCCTGAAGATGTACAATGGATAAAAGACTTGTTCCGGCTGGGTGCAGTGGCTAACGCCTGTAATCCCAGCACTTCGGGAGGCCAGGCGGGCGGATCACCTTTGGTCAGGAGTTCGAGATCAGCCTGACCCACAAGGTGAAACCCTGTCTCTACTAAAAATATAAAATTAGCCGGGCGGGGCGCCTGTAATCCCAGCTACTCGGGAGGCTGAGGCAGGAGAATCGCTTGAACCCGGGAGGCGGAGGTTGCAGTGAACCGAGATCGCGCCATTGCACTCCACTCCAGCCTGGGTCAAAGAGACTCCGACTCAAAAAAAAAAAAAAAAAAAAAAAGAGAGAGACTTATTCCGCTGCAGCGCCAAAATCGCAAGCTCAGAACTCTGCACAGACGGCACTATTTCAAAGGTCAAAACCAGGACCTCAGCAATCTTCCATTAGGTGACTTTACAAAGTGCTACAAAAGTCATGACTACTACTATTCTTTACAACCTAGCAAGCGAAGGAAAGACCGGGGAGAGCCGGGAGGCCGTTTAGGAGAGAAAACTACTTTGACAAAGACTGCACAATTACAGAATAAAAATCAAAAATAACTGATAGAATTAAAACTGATCGCAGTTCATGTCTTTGGCAGCAAACTCCCGTTTGAGCCGAGCAGGAACAAACGCGTTATGCCTGAACCTTGTGCACATACAATTCTTTCTTCTCTTGCACGGCCCGCTTCCAAAATGCATTCACCGCCACTCTCCATGGAACCTTCAGCGGGCCCTGGGGGCAGCCAGAATTTTCCAAACGAGGAAGCTGAGGATCGGCCCAGAACCCTGAATTTTGAGGGGAGTGAGACTTGGGCCCTCACAGGCCCAGACGCGAGATATTTCAACTACACCCGGGAGGCGCGGGGTGAAAACTCCCTGGTGTCGGGCGGGTGCAGGCCCCTCGCGGCCGGTCGCGCCAGAGCTTCCACCTCAGGGTGGGCGGCCAAGCGCGTGGGCACGCTGCAGGGAGGGCCGCTCACCTGGGCAATGCCGGCGCCCATCAGCCCGCCGCCGATGACCGTCACGTGCTTGACGATTATCTTCTTGGCCGAGGCCGAGGCGGTGGACGAGGAGGACACGGAACGCATGAACTGCCTGGTGACGAAGGCCATGGTGTGGCAGCGGCGGCGACAGCGAGGAGACCCGGGCAGGGAAGACGCGCGAGGCGGGCAGCCGCGGAAAGCCAGACTCTGGGGGCGGGGACCTACGCGGCCCTGCAGCCCGCGCGCCCCCGGCGTCCCCGTGACGCCACAAGGCGGGGGCGGGGCCTCGAGTCCCGCTCTGCCCATTGGCCCTGGCTGTAACGTCCCAGCGTTGAGCGGGTATACACGCGCGGGCTCGCAGCTGTCAGCAGCCGGAGCCCGAGTGAGCGCGGGCTTGAGACCTGCTGAGCAGCGGGACCTGGCGGCTGGCGTTCTGGTGTGGGGCCGAGAACAGACCCTTCTTCTGAAAAGCCACTGGCCCCTTGTTCTATGAAGTGAGTGGTGTTGACTCTGTAAAATGCTATCCTTTGATGACATGTGCATATCTAGGCTCTGAAGAAATATGTGCTGCTTGGCTGTGTTGGTAATGGACCCAAAATGTGCACCGTTGGTTGATGTCACCAAATAATCAACTCGGGATTATTTTAATCCCGTGGACAGTGATTGTTTCCCCTAAAAGGGAAATAAATGTAGACTGCGAACACCCAAAACAAATGTCTAGTGACCATGAGTTACAATGCAAAAATCAGGCTCAGGGAAGGTAAAGAGAGAGTTGACCTTTAGTTACCCATCTTGACGTTGGACGTCTATCAGTGCAGTGAACATGTGGACGGTTTAAGGTCATAGAGCAACCTTTCTGGAATAACGAATACTATTAGAAAGCATAGGAAAGAAATGTCTTGTCAAATAATGGAAGACTGGATAGCAGCTTGGCCAATCTTCTCACTCAGGTGAATACTTTCTAATTACTGTAACTTAGTGATATAGGATTCTTATTAATTTATTTGCTTTATGTTTAAATATTGTTAACAAAAAAACTTCAAACAAGTTTAGCAGAGTTTATCTGAGCAAAGAAAGCATGAATCATGTAGTATCCTGAGCCAGTAAAGGTTCAGAGAGCTCCAGCCCCTAACAGTGGGCAAGCCGCGTTTATAGACAATATTTTTTGCAGCCTGTAATGGGCTAAAAGCTCCGCTGCGGTGATTGGCCAAGACTTGGCCACTTGTTAGAAGAACGTACTCTCAAATTACATTGCAGTTTATTTACATATTAGGTTTGATTATGCTTTGCTAGGTAGGGAGGCAACTTTAGGCCAGATTTAATTTAATAACAGTTTCCTCCTTTGGGTCAGCCTCTCAGTTTTACGAGATTGACCAGAACCTTGTTTTGTCTCAGTATGGAAGTCACAATGTCAAATTAGTTGAGTGATTATACTTTCTTCATGTTGTTATTCTAACTGTAATAACACCATTTGGTGTACAAAGGATGGCTGCATAGAGACATTGAAGACTCTCGAGGGGACAACAACACATCAGGGAGACTATTATGGCCACGAGAAGGAGTATAGCAATAAACTGAGGTACACACCTTAACAGGAGTCTCCACAAACTGAACTGATCAAAATTAAACAATTCAAAGTTCAGGCAATAAAGATAGTTCAAAGTATTTGAGTCCAATTGGTCATGGTCTAATTTAGGGCATTATGGCGGTTAAGGACTGCTAGAAATGCTTATTTCTTGGTGCCGTAAAGAAATAGCACTTGAACATAAAATTAATTTCTTTAGCAAGGCCATTTTTACTTTCTGCGGAAAGAGTACACTCGCCAGCAGTTTTGCCACAAGAGTACACCGAACAAAGGAGGCAGGGTCATTTATAACCTGACCCGTCCACCTTACTGTTGTGACTGGTTTCCATTGGCTAGAACGGGACTTCACATTCTGTATTTGTCTTGATTGGCTAGCAACTTAGAAATTCTTAAAAGAGGCAAAGGCAGAGGAGAACAAAGGAAGGAGGAAGTAACTTGTGGAATGCTGAGAAGGGAAAAACACCTCTAAATAAGGAAGAGGAACAGGCTATGACCTAATGCCCACTTGGACCAGTATAAGCATGCCAGGGCAAATATTTAGGCTAAATTGTGGGAGCTAAGAACATAAAGTACATTGATTTCTTTATTACAGCTAGCAGATATTTAAGAATGTTAACAGGTCTTTGAATAAATTTTGCTTCTAAGAGAGGTTACTATTTATTCCTAATCAGATGAGGAGGAAAGTCTTTGAAAAGGAACCTCTACTTTACTTTTTACAAGGACCATAGTTCACTGAATGACCTGATTCAGCCTTATGGCCTGATTTAAAGAGGTATCCATTTTTGTAATTAGCCTGGTAACACAAGTTATAATAACCTGGAGAGCCACTAAAGAAGCATAAAGATTAGAAAAGTTTGGAATAGCCTAGCTTGCCTTTCACTACTCAGGATGCCTACAAACCAACCATTAGCTGCTCCCATAAATGTATCATGTGTTCCTTTCCCCTGAGAAGTTTCCTTAATATATTCAGTGGCAGTGTTTAGAGAAACAGCAGTATCTGCCACCTTTTAAATTAAGTTTTCTATAGTAGTAAAATTAGAGGAAAAATAAGTGCAACATTCAGTTTTATTCAGCACCATGCAAGAGCCCCCAGCATGAGCAAAGAGGAGATCCAAAGTTGTGTAATGTTCCATGAAGTGTGTTTGTTGAACACAAATGTTTTGATCCACTGAGAATATTTGAGTAGCTTCTACCATGTGAACCCCTAGGAGGTCTGACTGGCTACAAATTCAAGATTTTCCCCAATTTATAGATTAGTTTCAAATTCCATACAACAGGCACCCTGCTAATGCCAAGAGTGAGTTCCAGCACCTCCATTGGAACCTTTCCTCAGTAGAAACTAACTTGTCTTCATTTATTTTTAGGTTGGTGCTTACTTTGGTTATTGACTGCTTTAACCTCTGATTATGAAAGGTATTATGGGAACTTTCAGGGAAGGCTATTGGGATGTAGGAGCGAGCCAGGCCAAATAGCAAGATCTGAACCAGTGAGGAAACAACAGAGAAGGCAGGTCAGATTATCCACCAACCCAATGTAGGCCCTTGGGGGCTTGAAAAGAGGGCCACTTAGTGGTGTTTGAGCCGAGGTCAGTTAAATTTGTCCACCCACAAGTTGGCATAGCTCCTGAATAAAATCCAGTGGTGAACTTACTCTTCTGTGGTCCCTATATAGCATGTTGTAAGGGTGCAAACCACTGGATCTAGTAAAAAGACTTTGCTAGATTTAATCCAGTGAAATCACACAAGCAATTATTTGTACCCACATAGGTAGTCCCCAACGTCTTAAGTATGCAATGCCCGGAAGCACAAGATACCTTTTGCAGGCATCATTCTGATAGTTTTTTTTTTTTACTTTTATGTACAATTGACAAATAATAATTGTACATATTTATGGGGTACAGTGTGATGTCTCAATGCATGTATATGTTGAACAATGATCAAATCAGGATAATTATTAAATAATATGTCACTTTAAGCATTTATCATTTCTTTTTGGGGATAACATTCAAAATCATCTCTTCTAGCTATCTTGAAATATACAATACATTATTATTAGCTGTAGTCATTCTACTGTGTAATAGAATAGCAGCTTTTATTCTTCCTGTCTAACTGTAACTTTGCACCCATTGACCAATCCCCTCTATCCAGATTTTTTATATTTGGTAACAGTTTGGTTATTAACTGGAAAGATCAAGATACTATTTTCAGCAAGTATAGGAAGGCAGGTAGCAGTGATGTGTAGCATATCAAAGATAACCTTCCTCTCTTTCCTTGGGGTTGCAGGGTGACTCTCATTAGGAACACAGGCATTAGCGTTAATGAAATTGTTTCCAGATTTTTGCGCATTAGCTCATAAACCCAACAGTTACTCTGGTTTCTTGGAGACCATAAGACTTTGCCAAAGCCATCCACAGAGTATCATCCCAAATTGACAAGGAAATTCAGTTATTTCTGTTGCATACAACATTTTGAGATAACAACTAGAATTACGATTAATAGCCTTATACCAGGACTATTAGATTTCTATTAATTTCTTACAAGTTCTGAAATACATATTAATAACATATCCTTACATATATAATTCAAAAAAGTCTGGCATTATTTAGGGTTTTCCTAAAGAAAGGGAAGGAATTAGTATTGCAGGAAATAGAGAAAAAAGGAAAAAAAGAGAAGGCTTTCATGATAGCAAAGAACTCTTGATCTGCAATATTAGGAAAGCTGTCTACATATAGGATGCCATATGCTTCTAGGGAAAAACTTCCCTGATCAGCTTTATTTCAAGGTCTCCAACAAGTTTATAGTTCCAGAAGTCTACAGGACCTCTTTTGTGTTGAGAAATGCAGATCCAAGATTCAAGGCCTTGAAGTTTGCTGCAGAGAAGAACTTGGTATGGTCCCTTTCAACCGAGTTCAAGTAATGTCTTTCTCTGGAGTTATTTCCAAAAGACCCCCACCTCCAGGTTCTATATTATGAAACACTTGGTTGTCATCAGTTGGTGGGTCATGAAGGACTTCTTTCACTTGGTAAAAATATGCTTTGGCAGAATGCATTCAAGGCTTGCACTATTAAGTCATGTCAGGGTTTATAAGAGGGGAAGATACATGAGACTTTATTATTAGGGGCATAAGCCTTCCAGTAACTATTTTATGAGGGGTCAATTTATGTTTTACAGTGGGAATGGATCTTATTGCCATCAATCAGTAATACCTTTGACCAAGGCAATCCAATCAATTCAGTTAGCTTTTCCTAAGCTATTGTGTTTATAATACCTGTTTAACTGTTTTACAGCGTGTCCAGTGAAATGCATACCTCTCTGTTGCTAGAAATTTCTCCGGCAATGCCCCATAAGGGAAACATATTTTCCAATAACCTTTTAGCTATTGTTATATCATTGGCCTTCCTGCATTGGAAATCTTCTATACAACCAGAAAACATGCATTTAAAGTGGAAATTGAATGAAAGCCATTTGTAGGTGTTCAGGAAATGTATCACCTGAAGTTTTTATTGTCTTACCACAATTATGGGTTTGACAAACCAGACATTGGTTATAAACTATTTTAGCAATTTTATAACAGTCACCCCACCAATCTTTTTTCATAATTTGAATCATTTTATCTCCTCCATAATGAGTCATGGAGTGCAGAGCTTTTAATATTGGAAGATTTAAGACTCCAGAAGAACCAGGCAGCCATCCAGGTTCTTCATGCATCCAGGCTTAACATTGGATTTAATTCTCTTAAATACCAACTTTGTTTCCCCAATTCAGGTGCTTATAGCACTATTTATTGAATAGGTTTTATCAAATGTAATTTGACTTGGATCAATATTATATAGTTCATTCAAGTTGTATATCTTAATTTCAGTACTGGCTTAATTAGCATGAAATTCTGCCCAAGTCATTTCCTTTGTATTATTTTTATTCTGTGTGACATTAGGTTAGCAGTTTTATGAATCAGTCAATTTCTTCATTAGAGTCTGGGAATTCTTACCCAACCCAATGGTGTGATTTTAAAGTTATGAGAAACCTGTAATTCTCAGAGTTCTTTCCATAAATCTCCTTGAAGATGTACACTTTAGGCTTATGGTTTCTCAGAAAGTATCAGAGTAAACAATTAACTATCTGTGAATGACAAGACTTAAAATGGCCATGACTTTAAAGATCTGGGAAGAGTTCATTACAATAATGACACAATTGACAAGGAAACTCAGTTACTTCTGTTGTATTCAACATTTTAAGATAATTACTAGAATTATGACTGATAGCTTTATAGCAGAACTATTAGATTTCTATGAATTTTACACAATTTCTGAAATACATATTAACACATTCTATACAAATATAATTCAAAAAAAGTAGTATTATTTATTATTTTATAATCCTTTCCATATAATTTAATATATCAGATCAGTCCAATTACTTTAATATGTCTCTTTCTATAACAAGAGATATCCTTTTGAGATATTCTGAAGGTGCATATGGAAAATCTCAAAGTTAATTCAATTTCAAGAAAAGACTTAATTTAGAATTTTATTTTGGAAAGTTTATAAAAAATATCAAAGGTTTAAAACATTTGATCAAAAAAGGATCACAAGTCACTGTGAACAATAATCATTCATTTAATCAGAGTGGTAATTTAAAGACTTCAAAGGCAAATACAGAGAGTTGCAGAGTTGTAAATTACATTTTTTAATAAAGCGGACTCAGTTTTCATAAGTGATCAAAAACCCAATAAAGGCAACATGAAGCACAGGAAATTATCTTGGTAAAATACAGAATCTTTGCTTCCTAGGCCAATTATATAAAAAGTAAAGAAAAACTTTTCATAATTTCCTATCAAGAGCAGGCCAACAATTCAAGAAAACCTTATTGTTTTAACAGAGAGGACTACATTCTAGTTTTGCATCAGTGTACTTTTGATATTAATGCTCAACTTTTGGAGAAACTCAAATAATTTTCTTCTAATATTAGCCAGCTTAATCACACATAAAACTCCATTTATAAGATTCATCTTCCAGAAAACTTCTACAACTTCCTTATCTGTTCAGTTTTTGTCCTGTACTTTTCCTCTTCACATTTTGGAACAACCAGTCATTCTATTTGAGGACAAAAGTTACTCTTTTTTTCCCTTAACAAAAAAATTCTCATACCTTATAACTTTTTCTTAACCAGAGCACATCTTAACTTCCTGATACACTTGCATATAGAGTTTTTCTCTATTTCTAATAATTCTATATATTAAATAAAATATATTAATTAGAATTTTTTTTTAATTTGAGATGGAGTCTCGCTCTGTCGCCCAGGCTTAAGTGCAGTGGTGCAATCTCGGATCACTGCAACCTCTGCCTCCCAGGTTCAAGTGATTCTCCTGCCTCAGGCTCCAGAGTAGCTGGGACTACAGGCATGTGCCACCATGCCCAGCTAATTTTTGTATTTTTAGTACAGATGAGGTGTCACCATATTGGCCAGGCTGGTCTCGAACTCCTGACCTCATGATCTACCTGCCTTAGCCTCCCAAAGTGCTGGGATTACAGGCGTGAGCCACCATGCCCAGCCACAATTAGAATTCTTAATCCTTAGTGACCTTAACTGCCACTGAACACTACAAAGCAAGCAATTGTGAACTGTCACATCACCCATGGAACTGCCACATCACTCATCTGTACCTTGGCAAATCCATCAATCATTACTTCTAGAAGCATATGCTTTCTTATAGTACAATTCATCAGTGTCGCCTAGAACATGTTTGTAACAATTACAAATATCTTTAGTGTATCAGTAATAAGAAGCTGTAGAGGAGACAAAATTTCATCTCTAGCCTCCTAGGTTTTCTTTTTTTAATGCTAGGCCTAAGAATTAAATTGTGGTTTGTACAGATTTCCCTCAAGTTCAGTTTTCCATCTTGATAAGAATGTTAAGACCTTCTAATATAGGAAGGACTGTTTTACATGGAAATTTTATCTTACATCTGTTTAACTCACTTATTTTTAACAATTATGCATAGATTGTTTATAAAGATGAGACAGTAAGCAGCTAGTCATCATCTAAGTTATTTCTCTTGCTGACATATTTTGCAATATAGAGGTAACATAAGTTTATTTTACCAGTGAACCTAGGTAGGAAAAGTTATGTGCCTGTATTATATTTAATGCTGAAAATTCTGAAGACATGACTGTTTTAATGAAATCAACAAGATTCTTATTTACCAAGATCACCCAAGTAATGTGAATTTGAAAAGCATTTTAGTTCTTAATTTTCTGAGTGAATACTTCATTTATATTAGCACTTATTTTTGAAAAACCCAAATAAATAGAGCACTTTTTCAATTCAATTTTGGCAATATCATAAGGAGATACAAAAATATCACACATGTGTCATACATACAGATCTGTCCATAAACGTATAAGCAGATACAGATCTTCTATAGCTTTCATTTAAAATTTTTAGCCATTTGCCAGGTGCACAATAATATAAAACTCAGTAATTTATTAAAAAATATCTGAACCAGAATTGTTTTCCTGGCCAATAGAATAAGATTTCCTGCCCCCATGGGTAAAGCTTTTAAATAGTATTTGTGAAAAAGATATTTAAGATTTTTTTCATTTGTTTTCTGTAAGCAACCTTATAAAGAGGCAATCTTTGCTTTATTTGCTGCTTTAGATGCCTGTACATACCAATTTAAAAATATATCCCATTGCTTTGTGGCATTTTGGATTCTTTTTTTAATGCCCCTGCAAATGAACAATTTTATGTATGTTAAAATTTCCCCATTGTAACAACTATAATTCTAAGTTGTCCTAGTAAGGGACATTTTTTTCAAAAACTCACAGGTTCTAGGCCCATAATTTTTGTGCATAAAGTTAGCTGGCATACCAAAAAGTGGAGTCCCAGATTCTTGGAATCCCAGACTTTTCTTTTTCTTTTCTTTTCTTTTTTTTTTTTTTTTGAGGGAGTTTTGCACTGTCACCTAGGCTGAAGTGTAGTGGCACAATCTAGGCTCACTGCAACCTCTGCCTCCTGGGTTCAAGTGATTCTCCTGCCTTAGCCTCCCAGGTAGCTGGGATTAAAGTCGCCTGCCACCATGCCTGGCTAATTTTTATAATTTTAGTAGAGATATGGTTTCACCATATTGGGCAGGCTGGTCTCGAACTCCTAACCTCAGGTGATCTGCATGCCTCAGCCTCCCAAAGTGCTGGGATTACAGGCATGAGTGCCTGGCTGGAATCCCAGACTTTTTTTTTTTTTTTTTAATTTGGAGAAACCTATTTTCAAAAGATACTGACCTCAAGCCTCTGACTGGATCCAATTCAGTTACTTAGATCCAATCACATCCCAGATCCACTCCACTAAAATTGCTCAAATAAAGTCAGAGAGGTCAAAACAAAAATTCATAGAGCTTGAATTTAAGAGAGAACTCTGCCATGATCCCAGTTGCTGTGAGAGATGAGTGGGCACATAATCCCTGGTGGGTACCTTCACTTGGCCATACCGTGCTCCTGTGTGTCCCTGGAGGTCTGCTTTGGGTCCCACTTCTGACACCAATCTATTAAAATAAATACTTTAGACAAATAAAATTTAGTAGAGTTTATTTGAGCAAAGAAGTGGTTCATGAATTGGGTAGCACCTTGAACCAGTAACAATTCAGAGAGCTTCACCCAGCAATAGTGGATAGGTAGTATTTATAGACAGAAAAAGAAAGTGACATATAGAAATAACCTGATTTGTTACAACTGTTTATCTGCCTTATTTTATCATGGTCTGAGCAGTTGCAGCCTGTAATTGGCTGAAATCTCAGTTGCTATGATTGGCTGAGACCTAGCTACTTGTTACAAGAATATACTCTCAAGTTAGATTGTAGTTTGTTTACATATTAAGATAGGTTACAGTTTACTACGTATGGAGAGAACTTTAGGCCATATTTAATTTAATAGTATATAATAAAGACCCACGAACATCAAAGAAGTCCTCCGCCTACTAGAAGTAACTGTCATAGTGGATCCTGTGTTCACTTTTTTTTTGCTTTGATCTCATCTTTATATATAATTCTGTAAAAAAAATTTCAGAAAGCACTGTTGTTGAGCCCCATGTTAGGCTTGGGAGATCACTACTGGCTGAAGAGAAAGTGTTAGGTTCAAATAATAAAATCTGTTAAGTGCTAGACTGTAGCAAATGCAAAAACCTATAGGGTATAAATGAAAAATGAAGATTGCATAGACAAACTTAGTAACTTGAAGCATGAGTCAATTTATGAAGAACAGAGAATTTGCTTCAGAGGAAGCAACAAATTCAAAGGCAGAAGCATGAGAAATTAAAGCAACAGGAAAAGGGGGTGAGGAATTAGGTGTGGTTAGAGATGAAGCTAGGATGATAGATTGGGAGGATGATTAGGTGGGTTTTTAGTCCTCATTTACAACTTGTGTCAATCCAAGGCCGAACATAGTCTAATTACAGTGTTGTCATATATTTTTTAATGAAATTTGTGTGTAATGGACAGCAGTGATGCTTCAGAATGGTACATTTTCAGATCTGTAATTATTTTCCTTGGGAAAGAAAAAATAGCCACTTGTCTTAGTCTACTTGGGATGCTATAACAAAATACCACTAGTTTGGTGGGTTATAAACAATAGAAATTTATTTCTCACAATTCTGGAGGCTTGGAAGTCCAGATCAAGGCACAAGCAGATTCATCCTCCTTCCTGGTTCACAGATGACTCCTTCTCATTGTAACCTCACGTGATAGAAGGGACAAGGGAGCTAGCTCTCTGGGGTCTCTTTTATAAGGTCTAATCCCATTCATGAGAGCCTGCCCTCATGACCTAATCACCTCCCTAAGGCTCACCTCCAGATATCTTCACATTAGGATTCAACATAAGAATTTTGAGAGGACACAAACATTCAGTCCACAATACTGCTGCAGTATTTTTTTTTTAACAATTCTCAAATCTGAGGTATCTATAGTATGTAAAGATGTGATGTGGCCAGGTGCAGTGGCTCATGCCTATAATCCCAGCACTTTGAGAGGCCAAGGTGGACAGATCACTTGGGCCCAGGAGTTTGAGACCAGCCTGGGCAACATGGTAAAACCCTGTTTCTACAAAAAAAAAAAAAAAATTAGCTGGACATGGTGGTGCTTGCCTGTAGTCCCAGCTACTAGGGAGGCTGCAATGGGAGGATCACCTGAGTCCAGGAAGGTCAAGGCAACAGTCAGCTGTGATCATGCCACTGCACTCCAGCCTGGGTGATAGCGTGAGACCCTGTCTCAAACAAAACAAAACAAAAAGTGATGTAAAGAAAGGAGCACTGTAGCCAGAATTCAGTGTCCTGGCATAGTCACTAGTGTGCCGTATGACCTTCTACAAACACCCTCCTTTGGCTCCAATGTCATCTCTCAAAAGAAATAGTTGGACAAACAACATTCCAGCTGTTTTCTACTAATAGTCTAACACCACTTACCATCTTCTAAAGTGGGAGGGCCACCACTGCCCCTCCTCCTGCCTAGTGCTGATCAGATGACAGTTACAATAGAATCATTCTTCTTTTGCCAGAAGTGCAAATCATTTCCCAAATGTGGCCTTGGGTTTTCAGGAGCCCAGTAGTGACTTCTGTGGTCCCTGACTTGCACCCTCACCCTATTATTGGAGTTGTGCTTCATTTCTCTGTGTGGAAAGAGTGAAGTATTGGGAAATATGACCCTGGTCACCAAACCAACTCAGAGACAGCAAGTGCTTTGGCAAAGGAAAGGGCTGGCACAGAGAACAGAGTAAGTAATGACTACTTTTATTTTTGTACTATAAATGGATAATTATAGTACTTAAAAAATAGACATCAAAGAAGCATTATCTAACAACATACATGATGGTGGGCTCTGAGTGCAGCAGAAGCAGTGCGTAAAGTAGGTCCTTTGCCTCCAACAGAGCAGTGGTGGGCAAAAAATATCAATGCTTTTCTGGTCTTCAAGCTTTATGAAGTAGGCAGGCAGAGAGAGTCGAGCTGACACAGTACTGACACTGTCAGGTGATAGATGCATCGACCCAAGCACAGGATTTTTTAACAGCCAGGAGCATTTGGGGTTGGGATTCATTGAGTAAGTTGGGATTTTCCTTCTATTTGTGAGAAATTAATAATTTCTGGCTTATGGATAAAAAGTGAAAAATTAATGTTGCCTCTCCTGTTTTGTTGAGCAATTTAAAAATTTCATATGGCAGAAAACCAGAGGCTGTGGCTGCTCAGGGTGGCATGACAGCAAAGTCCAGAAAGTTCAATCAAAAGCTTACCTACTGCAAAATTAAAGATGGGTGACATTGCCACTCTTGTCAGCAGAGTTTTCAAGGAAATAATCATATGATTTGCATAATTAAGACATCATTAGTTCAGAAGGGAATGATCATGTATTTGTATGGCAAACTGAAACATGCTCTCAGGATGACTTATAAGACATATAAAGTAAAATCTCTAATAATACTGAATAACTTATCAAGTAATTCTGTGCTCTTGAGCTTTTAGAAAAAAAATTTATCCTGGCAGACCTTAAATATCTTGGTTTTTCTCATCATGCTAGCAGTTGTTGTAATACCAGGTGCTTTCTACCTCCATTTTCTCCTCTACTTAGAAAACCTTTATTCCACTTACAGAGCATTATGGCCTTCCAAAATAACGAGTTGAAATTAAAGTCTAGAAACTGCGAAGCATAGGATTCCTGGGATCGAAGTAGTCAAAACACACGCAAAACAAACATTTGTATAAAATGCTGCCTTTGGAAAAAAGAAGGTGATGTGTAGTACAGCTTATGCAATCTTGATTCAGGGTTTTAGGCATATTCTGCAATCTGGGTGAGAATTTATTTGGACTCTTGCTAAGGAGATGAAATGTTCATTTCACCCCAAACACAGATTTTGCACACAGAGGGTGACAATAGCCTATTTTACCATAAGTATTAGTGGCTCTGGGGTTTCATTGAGTATAGGTCAGGATTCTTTTTCTATTTTATGGGAAGGGAAGGATTTCTGAATTATTGAGAATGAACTATTTTTCTAACCTCAGCCAGCAGTCTCCAAAATGCTTGCATGAGATCATAAGACTCACTAAGTTGGACAATGAGAACCATGCAGTACACATTCATTACTACCCAAGGGGGGAACCACCTACAGAATGTGGCCTTTCACATAAATTATACCTTCTGATTTGTTTTCTTAGGATTTCCAGGTATGAAGTTTTATGCAATGAAAACTAACCATTCACTAGCCTTAAAAACAATGATAATAATGATGGCCATCCCTTTGAGCAATTTTTATATACCACTCAGTTAGGTTAAATGGTTTTGCATGTAATATCAGCATTTATTGAGCCCATTGCTATTTTTACACCATTCTGGGTACTACATGTGAATTCATTCATTAAATTCTCACAATAACCCTATGTGGTAGGTGCTAAGGGTACCCATCTTTTACGGGTAAGAACGTTGAGGCCCAAAAAGGTTCAGAAACTTAGCCAAGGCCACACAGCTAATGAATGGCACTGGCAGACTTCAAATTCAGGACAGTTTGTTTTCAGGGGTCGTGTTCTTGACTACATGCTGTTTTGCCTTTTCATAACAACCCTCAGGCTTTCGTGCTATCCTCATCTAAAATGAAGAAACAGGTTTGGAGCATTTCAACCATTTATTAAATGTAGCTCACGTAATAACTGACCAGGCTCAGATTTTATCCCACTCTGACCTCAAGGCTCTCATGCTTTTCACAATTCCATACTTGTTAGACAGTACCCCTGCTTCTAGAGGGGAAAAAAGGAGGGAGATGTTCTCCAGTAAACATTATCTACGTTTAGATTTGGAGCTTTTGCTGTTATAGTAATATTATCATAAAAATTAGGCCAATTAATATATTTGGACATTCTTACTAATAAACCCCAGAGCTGCAAGTTTCCCACAGTGATTCCCAATGGTTCTACCTGAAGACTGTAAGAGTCATATGTTTATACCATCTGATTTCCGGCATGCAGAATCTTGTTTCTCAAACACAAACATCCATTTTTAATTGTTTATTGCTCACCTCTCCTTGATACTTCAAATACTTATCAGATACTTCAAACGTAACTTATCAAAATTTGAGCCTATTATTTCCTGCCCCCCCACCTCACTCAAATAGCTTCCACCTCTTCTTGCATTTGATGCCTCAGTTCAAGGGGCCTTATGATGTACCGTGTATCAGCTGTTAGTTACTTTTTATTGCTGAATAGTATTCCATTGTATGGCTTTACCAGTTTTGTCTATACATTTAGCAGTTGATAGACATTGAGGTTGGTTCCAGTTTGGAATTATGAATAATGCTGCTATGAACATTCACAAGCAAGGAGTCTTGCTATGTTGGCCAGGCTGGTCTCCAACTCCTCTCAAGCAGTCCTCTCACCTCAGCTTTCTGAGTAGCTGGAATTACAGACATGTACCACTGCACCCAGCTTGGACGTACATTTTCATTTCTCTTGGGTAGTTTTGTGTTTAACTTTTTGAGAAACTACAAAACTGTTTCCAAAATGACTACACAAATTTTATAACCACCAGCAATATATGAGTTCCTTTTTCTCCACATCTTCACCAACACTTGTTATTTTCTGTTTATCTGTTATAGCCATCCTAGTGTGTGTGAAAAGGTACACTTAATTCTCTTCCCTAATTACTAATGATGTTGAGCATTTTTATGTGCTTATTAGCCATTCGTGTATCTTCTTTATTAAAATATTTCTTCTGGGGCCACCACTGCCCCTCTTGCACTTTTGCCAGAAGTGCAGATCGTTTCCCAAATGTGGCCTTGGGCTTTCAGGAGCCCAGTAGTGACTTCTGTGGTCCCTGACTTGCACCCTCACCCTGTTATTGGAGTTGTGCTTCATTTCTCTGTGTGGAAAGAGTGAAGTATTGGGAAGTATGACCCTGGTCACCGAACCAACTCAGAGACTTATTTTCAATATGTACTCATGAATTCTTAGTCTTTCCAAAGGTATATAATTCATTACTGTATTTATTTAATTATTTTGATTTTCCAATTGAACCAGATTTGGCCAGTGGGAATCTCTCCAAGATGGTTCCTTTGTGACATTTCCCCACTATCTTCTCACTTCTTGATTCCTCACCATCTTCTCACTTCCTGATTTTTGGACATAACAAGGCTCATCTTGTACCTCTTCTGACCTAGCTCCAGAAACAGCCATTTTCATTTAGAAGCTCTGGTTCCTCTGAGTGGAAATGGTATTAGAAACCAAGGTCTGGGCACAACCGTACCTTAAAGAGAGTAATCTGGCAGCTGAGTGAAGTATGCATTAGTTCTCTATTACCCTGTGTATTAGTCTGTTCTCCCGCTGCTATGAAGAAATAATTGAGACTGGGTAATTTATAAAGAAAAGAGGTTTAATTGATTCACAGTTCCAGATGGCTGGGGAGGCCTCAGGAAACTTACAATCATGGCAGAAGGTGAAGGGGAAGCAAGGCGCTTTCCTCACAAGGCAGCAGGAAAGAGAAGTGCCAAGAAAAGGGGGGAAAGCCCCTTATAAAACCATGAGATCTTGTGAGAACTCACTATCATGAGAACAGCATGGGGTAACTGCCCCCATGATTCAGTTACCTCCCACCAGGTCCATCCCATGACACGTGGGGATTATGGGAACTACAGTTCAAGATGAGATTTGGGTGGGGACACAGCCAAACCATATTACTGTGTGACAAATTACCACAGCTTTGTGGTCAAAAAAAGAAAAAAAAAATCTCACACTTTGTTTTGATCAAGGAATCAGGGGTGACTTAGCTGGGTGGCTGTAGCTAATGGTTCTTCATGAAACTATAGTCAAAATGTTGTCTAAGTCTGCAATCATCTAAAGGCTCGACAGGAACAGGAATGTCTGTTTTCGAGATGGCTTGCTCACATATGGTACATGGCTGTTGACAGGATGTACCATATTCTTACTGGCTGTTAGCAGGAGGCCTTGGTGCCTTGTCACGTAAGCATCTCCACAGGGCTGCTTGTGTGTCCTCATGTGACAGCAGCTGGCTTCCCTTGGAGCAAGTGACCCAAAAGAGCAAGGCAGGAACCACAATGTTTTTTTATGACCTAGCTTCAAAAGCTGCACATCATTTCTGCAATAGCCTAGTGGTTATACAAGTC
Organism: Homo sapiens; assembly: GCF_000001405.40. NCBI lineage: Eukaryota > Metazoa > Chordata > Mammalia > Primates > Hominidae > Homo > Homo sapiens. Next base: position 107,974,332 of record NC_000004.12, on the reverse strand, counting down.
AGTGTTATTCAGTGTGGGAGGGAACCATATAAAGAATCATCAGGGGCCATCTTGGACTCTGGCTACCACACAAGCCCAAGATGGTAAAGAGACTTTTCTGTGTTATTTTTATGTTATTTTCTATGCTGTGTTTTACTTTTCACTTGTAGGTCTATCACCCGTCAGGAATTGTTTTTAAGACATGGTGTGAGATAGGGAGTCAGGGTTCATTTATTCCTTTACTGATAGGCAGTTAATATGCACCATTTATTGAAATTTCCACTCTTTCCCCCAGCATACTGCAGGGGCATCTTTGTGACAAATCAGGTGCTCTTATGTGTGTAGGTCTATTGGTCTATTTGTCTTCGTGCCAGTGCTACCCTGCCTTGCTTATTGTAGTTTTATAAGGAGTCTTGACATCTGCTACCATGATTGTTTTGACTATTCTTGGCCCTTTGCTTTTACAAATAAATTTTATTTAGCGTTGGCCACTTTTTGCAATTATTTCTGCTCAGGCCTAACCCTGGTAAGGTTCTGATTTAATTGGCCTGGGGTGAAATCTAGGCATCAGTATTTTTATCAAACACCCCAAGTGGTTCTAAAATACTGCCATAGATGAGAACCATGGATCTAGAAGAACTCTAGTCTGTGGCAGCAGGGAAAATTAAGGCCCAAGAAAGTTGAGTGCTTACCAAAAGTTACACAGAGAGGCAGTTGCAGAACCAGGGCTCCAGCCCAGGTGCCTTGTTTTCCAGTGCAGTCCTCTTTCCACCATCTATATTTACTCCTGGACATGCCACTGTAGGTAAGTAGCAGAAAGGCAGAGAGGAGAGAGTTACCCAGAGACTTTTTAACTCCTTACATCTGAGAGCTTCAGAGGAAATGGCAGTTGGGGGACAACGGAGACATTAGATTATTAGTTTACAGACACAGCCAAGATGCTCAGCAGGGAGGGTGTAACAATGGAATAATAAAGCTACACAGAGATCTGAGAGATCATCTTTCTAATCTTTGATAGATGAAGAAACAGACCAAAGAGATCACATAGCTAGTTATAAGCAGGGGCAGGACTTGGGTCTGAAGTGTGCCACACTCCTGGTTCAGTCCTCATTGTCCCATCGTTGTCATAGACTGACAGGTTCTTCTTGCCTGCTGCTCAGAAAAACCAATGCACTGAGAACAGCAAGTATTGCAGCAAAGAAAGAGTTTAATTATTGTGGGGCCAGACAAATGAGGGGAATGGGAGAAATTTCTCAAATCTGTCTCTCCAATAATTCAGAGGGTAAAGTTTTTAAGGGTAAATTGGTAGGCAGGTAGTGGGGAAACTGAAACAATTGATTGGCTGAAGATGAAATCACAGAGGTGTCTAAATTGTCTTCACACAGCTAAGTCTTCCCAGGGAAGGGGGAAAGGGTGTTCTCAGAACCAAGTGGTATCTCTTTGTTGAAATGCTAAATCTGAAAAATATCTTAAAGACCAGTTCTTTAGGTTTCACAATAGTTATGTTATCTATAGGAGTAGCTGGGGAGTTACAAATCTTATGACCTCTCATGTGACTTTGGAGCAGAAAGCAATGTATAGAAAAGCAAGCTAAGCAGCAGTAGGTTATTGTTTAACCATGCTTATTCTTTAGCAAGGTTCAAGCCCCAACCATAATTCTAATCTTGTGTTATGAATGCAGCATTAGTCTCCAGCAAGAGGGGATTCAGTTTTCCTTGCTTCAAAGTTTAACTATAAACTAAATTCCCTTCATATTATCTTGGCCTCCATGCTAGAATAAACAACAACAAAAAGAAAGAAAAAAGAGAAAAGAAAAAGAGGAGAGGAAAAGAGAAGAGCCTGTGAGGTTGAGGTTAAAAGCAAGACAGTCAGTCATGTTAGATTTCTCTCATTACTTAACAATTCTGCAAAGGTAGTTTCACTATGTTCAGAGTTATACTGAGGTGCATTTAGGGAAAATTCTTCATCTTAAAGATTTTAACAGTGTTGGCATATACTAACCATTCAACATATTTTTTGAATGAATAAGTGAATAGCTTGAAATTTATGGCTATTTAAAAACAATGCCATTTCATGCAGTAACTCCCACCACAGGCTTGAGTTGTGGTCCCTTAGGAGTTTCTGTCTCCAACTTATCTTTGTGTACCTGGTCAGATGTTTCCTGAGAGGAGCAAGCCTTTATTGTTTTTCCTACAATTACGTTTCTTATTAATAGGGCAGAAAGAATATACAGCATATACAGATATACAGCTAAATGGTATTACATTAATCCCAGGCCCCCAGGGAAAATTATTTAACAACCAATGTAACTTTTTTTTTTTTTGAGATAGAGTCTTGCTCTGTTGCCCAGGCTGGAGTGCAGTGAGCTATCTTGGCTCACTGCAACCTCTGCCTCCTGGGTTCAAGCGATTCTCCTGCCTCAGCCTCCCAAGTAGCTGGGACTACAAGCGTGTAGCACCATGCCCGGCTAATTTTTTTTTTTGTATTTTTAGTAGAGACAGAGTTTCACCATTTTGGCCAGGCTGGTCTCGAACTCCTGACCTCAGGTAATCTGCTCACCTTAGCCTCCCAAAGTGTTGGTATTACAGGCGTGAGCCACTGCACCCAGCCTCCAATGTAACTTTTGCCTTTAAGATTTTTTTCTTTGAGACAGAAAAAAAAATCTTCAAAATTCTTCATCTTAAATATTTTAACAGTGTTTGGCATATACTAACCATTCAACATATTTCTTGAATGAATAAGTGAATAGCTTTACATTTATGTATATTTAAAAATAATACCATTTAACGTAGGTGCTTGAAACAATATGAAGTAAGAATCCTACCTGCGATTGTTTTTGGTAGGTCCTTAAGATTTGGCAGCTTACTCTCAATATATCTCTCTTACTCTCTCTCTCTCTCTCTCTTTTTTTTTTTTAATATGGTGAAATTAGACCAGGGGTCAGAACATAGATTTTAGTCTCCTTTAGTTCATCTACTAGGAGACTAAATTAGATAATCTCTAAACTCCCTTTTAGTTCTAAAATTCTGTAATTAAACTCTAGCATATCATCATTTTAGACTAAAAGTTTTCTTCTTCTTCTTCTTTTTTTTTTTGTTTTTTTGAGATGGAGTCTCGCTCTGTCACCCAGGCTGGAGTGCCATGGTGCAATCTCGGCTCACTGCCACCTCTGACTCCCGAGTTCAAGCGATTCTCCTGCCTCAGCCTCCTGAGTAGCTGGGACTACAGGTGTGTACCACCATGCCTGGCTAATTTTTGTATTTTTAGTAGAGATGGGGTTTCACTGTGCTGGCCAGGCTGGTCTGGAACTCCTGACCTCAAGTGATCCACCCGTCTCAGCCTCCCAAAGTGCTGGGATTACAGGCATGAGCCACCGCACCCGGCCTAGACTAAAGATGTTTTCAATTAAACATTCTTAGTATGCTTTAGTAAGAGCTATTGAGGCTTTCATTTTACAGATGAGTATTAAAGTATCATGAACCAAATAGGCTCTGTGCTATAAGAAATAACTCAATAAGAAATAACTCAATGGTGGTTCATGCCTGTAATCCTAGCACATTGGGAGGCCAAGGTGGGAGGATCGTTTGAGCCCATGGATTCAAGACCAGCCTGGGCAACATGGTGAGACCCTCCCCCCCCCCGCCCCATCTAAAAAAAAGTACAAAAATTAGCTGGGCACATTGGTGCATGCCTATGGTCCTAGGTCTTCAAGAGACAGAGGTGGGAGGCTCGCTCCAGCCCAGGATGTCCAGGCTGCTGTGAGCCATGATCGCGCCACGACACTCCAGCCTGGATGACAGAGTGAGACCCTGTCTCAGAAAAAAAAAAAGAAAGAAATAACTCAATTGTTTCCAGGCAAGCTATCGCAATCTGGTAGGACATTGTTCCTTTATTTTTTCAAGGAATAGATGTTCGTTATAGAAAATTTGAGAAATGTAGAAAAGAATTAAGAGTAAAACAAAAATCAAACATATACATTGTAAGTCAGATCATGTCCCTTCTCTGCTAAAAACTCTCCCATAGCTCCCATTTTATTCAGATAAGAGCAAGTCTTTACCCCACGCACTCCCCCGCACCACTATCCGCTACTCTCTTTTGTCCATTCACTCTGCTTCAGCTGTGCTGTTTCCCTGCTGCTGTTCCTCAGACCTTGCAGGCACACGCTCACTATGAGGGCTTTGGACTTGCTGTTCCCTCTGCCTGGGGTGTTCCTTTCCTAGATATCTACAGGGCTCACACCTCAATTCCTTGGCTGTTCACTTAAAAATCACCCTCCCAGTGAGGCCACCTTCCCTGGTCTCGCCACCTAAAATTGTAACCTCTCCCTGACATTTTGTATCCCCTTGCTAGTTTTATTTCTTAACACTTATCACTAACATGCTACACATTTTGTTTCTCTTATCCATTCAACTTTTTTTCCCCTTTCAGGAATTAAGCCTCTTCTTTTTTTTTTCTTTTGAGATGGAGTCTCACTCTGTCACCCAGGCTGGAGAGTGGTGGTGCAATCTCTGCTCACTGTCACCTCCACCTCCTGGGGTTCAAGCAATTCTCCTGCCTCTGCCTCTCGAGTAGCTGGGATTGCAGGTGCCTGACACCACGCCCAGCTAATTTTTTGTATTTTTAGTAAAGACAGGGTTTCACCATGTTAGCCAAGCTGGTCTCGAACTCCTGACATCAAGCGATCCACCTACCTCTGCCTCCCAAAGTGCTGGGATTACAGGCATGAGCCACAATGCCTGGCCAGGAATTAAGCTTCTTACATCACAGATTTTTCTTTTGTTCACTGCTGTGCCCCAACATCTAGAACAGGCCTCATAATTGTTTTGTGCATGGATGAGGGTGGGTATTCCATTGACCATAGTGTTGAGCATGTGGATTTTTTATCCCTTTTTTTCTTTTCTTTCCATTTCTCTTCTCCATTGCTCTCAAATATATCACTGCAATGAATAACGTATCCCAAACTATTTTTCATCTGATTATCTCCCATAGTTAGTATCTTAGAGTAGAATTTATTGGGCTAAATGACATAAATGCCTAATTTTTAAAATTTGGGGATGATTTTAAGTTACAGAAAAATTGCAAAAATGGTCCAAAGTTCTTATATTTCCTTCACCCAACCTCTACTAATTTTGACATCTTACATAACCATGGTTCATTTGTCAAAACTAAGAAATTAACATTGGTATGATACTATTAACTAAACTACAGATGTTATTTGAGTTCACCAGTTTTTCCACTAAAGTCAGTATTCTGTTCCAGGATTCAATCTAGGATGCCACTGTGCATTTAGGAATAATTAGAATCTTGGTACATATTCTTAAATTTTCTCCAGATATGTGGTTCCAGTCTGTATTGCCAACAGCAATGTATGACTGCTTCTCTCTTATCAATACTTAGTATTTTCCTTTTTCAAAAATATCTTTAAAATTCAATGGTTAAAAATGGTGTCTCACTGTAATAGTTCCATTTCAATGAATTTGAAAAATGTTTTATATTATTGGCCATTTGTATTCCTAAAAATTTTTGGCCAGGCATGGTGGCTGATGCCTGTAATCCCAGCACTTTGGAGGCTGAGGCAGGTGGATCACTTGAGGCCAGGAGTTCGAGACCAGTCTGGCCAACAGGGTGAAACCTTGTCTCTACTAAAAATATAAAAATTAGCTGGGGGTGGTGGCACGTGCCTGTAATCCCAGTTACTCGGGAGGCTGAGGCACAAGAATTGCTTGAACCTAGGAGGTGGAGGTTGCAGTGAATCGAGTTTGAGCCACTGCACTCCAGCCTGGGTGACAGAGAGAGACTGTCTCAAAAAAAAAATTATATCTCAAAAATTAACTCAAGATGGATTAAAGACTTAAATGTAAAACCCAAAACTATAAAAACTCTAGAAGATAACCTAGGCAATACCATTCAGGACATAGGCACTGGCAAAGATTTCATGATAAACATACCAAAAGCAATTGCAACAAAAGCAAAAATTGACAAATGGGATCTAATTAAACTAAAGAGGTTCTATACAGCAAAAGAGACTATCAACAGAGTAAACAGACAACCCACAGAATGGGAGAAAAATTTTGCAAACTACATTCAACAAAGGTCTGATATCAAAAGTCTATAAGGAACTTAAACAAATTTACAAGAAAAAACAAACAATCTCATTAAAAAGTGGGCAAAGGATATGAACAGACACTTCTCAAAAGAAGACATACATGTGGCCAACAATTATATAAAAAAGCTCAGTATCGCTAATCATTAGAGAAATGCAAATCAAAACCACAGTGAGAAACCATTTCACACCAGTAAGATTGGCTGTTAAGAAAATAAAAAAATAACAGATGCTAGTGAGGTTGTGGAGAAAAAGGAATGCTTATACATTGTTGATGGGAGTGTAAATTAGTTCAACCATTGTGGAAGACAGTGTGGTGATTCCTCAGAGACCTAAAGACAGAACTACTTTTTGAGCCAGCAATCTATTACTGGATATATACCCAAAGGAATATAAATCATTATATTATAAAGACACATGCACACATGTTCATTGCAGCACTATTCACAATAGCAAAAACATGGAGTCAATCTAAATGCCCATCAATGATAGACTGGGTAAAGAAAATGTGGTACATATACAACATGGAATACTATGCAGCCATAAAAAAGAATGAGATCATATCCTTCACAGGGATGTGGATGGAGCTGGAGGCCATTATCCTTAGCAAACTAATGCAGGAACAGAAAACCAAATACCTCATGCTCTCACTTATAAGTGGGAGCTAAATGATAAGAACACATGGACACATAGAGGGGAACAACACACACTGGGGCCTATCTCAAGGTGGAGGGTGGGAGGAGGGAGAGGATCAGGAAAAATCACTAATGGGTACTAGGTTTAATACCTGGGTGATGAAATAATCTGTACAATAAACCCCCATAGAAGTGACTATGTTGTCTGGGGTATATACCCTGGGGTTCATGGTCGTGCACCAGGAAAATGTTAAGACATGGACAAACAAGAGGAGTTTAGGAGTGGAGGTTTAATAGGCAGAAGAGAAGAGAAAGAGAAACAGCTTTCTCTATAGAGAGAGTGGGGTCCCTGAATGGAAAAGACCTGCAGGTGGCATTGAATTTTATAGTCAGGTTTGAGGAGGCAGTGTCTGATTTACAAAGGGTTCACAGATAGGTTCGATCAGGTATGACATTTACATAGCAGATGGGGAAAGGCCGGTTGTCTCACCCTAATCTTATTATGCAAATGGGCTTTCCAGTTGATCTGAGCCATCTTGTCTGCTTCTTACTGTACACATGGCTGGCAGAGAAGGGAAGATGAAGCTGCCATCTTAAACATGTCTAGCCCCTAGTTCCTGCCAGCATTCACCCATGCAAGCTCCCAGCTTCCTCGTCTATGTCTGCCGCTTGACTTTACAGGCTGCTCTTTGTTAGACAATGATTTGGGGCTGCTTTTCATTAAAGAGAAAAGCCTTACCGAGGACTTCTGTACCCTCACTATCTGCCTAAGTGATTTCTTCTTAACTCCTGTATCACCATGACACAGTTATCCTATGTAACAAACCTGCACATGTACCCCTGAACTTAAAAGTTTAACACAATAATTTGTATCTTTTGCCTGTTTTTAAAATTAGGGTATTCTACTACTGAATTATAGCACTTACAGTTCACTAGAAGAAATACTATGCTATAGTATATGAAAATATTAAAGATACTATATATTATAGTATATATGGATTTATAAGCACTGACTTATAAGCACTTTATATATTAAGGATATTGAATTTTTGGCAAGGCTGATACAAACATTTTTTCATGATTTGCCAGCCGTTTTTTGGAATACAAGAGTTTTCTATTTTTATGTCATTAAGTGTATGCTGTTTTAGTTTTCTGATTGATTCTATTATTTTTTTAAGAGTTGGATTTTTTCTTTTTTTCTTTAAACAGCCTTATTGAAGAACATTGATGGATAAAAATTGTACATATTTAAGGTATACAACTTGATGTTTTGATGTATGTATACATTGTGAAATGGTCTTCACAATCAAACCAATTAACATATCTATCACCTCACCAAGTTACCATTTTCTTTTTCTTCTTTTATTATTATCTTTTTTTGTGGCAAAAACATTTAAGATCTACTTCTTAGAAAATTTCAAGTAAGGAATATTGTTAATCATAGCCACCAGGCTGTACATTAGATCTGTAGAACGTATTCATCCTGCATATTGAAACTTTTTATCCTTTGACCAGCATTACCGTTTCTCCCTCCCTACTGCCCCTGGCAACCACCATTCGCTTTATAATTCTATGAGTGCGACTATTTTAGGTTTCACACATCAATGGGATCAAGCAGTATTTGTTTTTCTGTGTCTGCCTTATTTCATTTAGCATAATATCCTCCAGGTTCATCCATGTTGTTGCAAATGGCAAAATTTCATTCTTTCCTGAGGCTGAATAATATTCCATTGTGTGTGTGTGTGTGTGTGTGTGTGTGTGTGTGTACACCACATTTTCTTTTATCCATTCATCCATCAGTGGATACTTACACTCTTTTCATATCTTAGCTGTTGTGAATAATGCTGCAGTGAACATGGGAGTGCAGATAAATCTTCAAGATCTTAATCTTGATTTCCATTTCTGTGGGTATATCCCAAAAGAGGGATTGCTAGATAATATGGTCGTTCTATTTTTTATTTTTTGAGGACCCTGTATACTGTTTTTGATAAAGGCTGTCCCAATATAAATTCTCATGAACACTGTACAAGGGTTCCCTTTTTCCTGCATCTTTGTCAACACTTTTAATCTCTTGTCTTTTTGATTAATAGCCATCCTGATAGTTATGAGGTGATGTTTCATTGGGTTTTCATCTGCATTTCCCTGATGATTAGTGATGTTGAGCACCATTACATATACCTGTTGGCCATTTGTATATCTTCTTTCTAGAAATGCCTATTTAGGTCCTTTGCCCATTTTATAATTGGATTATTTGCTTTTGCTATTGACTCGTGTGAGTTCCTTATATATTTTGGATATTAACTCCTTGTAAGATATATGGTTTACAAATATTTTCTCCCATTCCATAGGTTGTTATTTAACTCTGTGATTTTTTTTTCTTTGCTGGGCAGCAGTTTTTTAATTTGATGTGATTCTACTTGTCTATTTTTGCTTTTGTTGCCTGTACTCTTGCTATCTTATTCAAACATATTATTGCCAAGACAAATGTCAGAAAGCTTTTTCCCTATGCTTTCTTCTAGTAGTTTTACGGTTCTGAGTCTTATGTTTAAGTTTTTAATCCATTTTGAGTTTATTTTTGTTTATGGTGTCAGATGAGGGTCTAATTTCATTCTTTTGCCTGTGAATATCCAGTTTTCCCAACATTAGTTATTGAAGAGACTATCCTTTCACCATTGTGTGCTCTTGGCACTCTAGTGAAGATTGACTGTGAATGCATGGATTTATTTATGGGCTCTCTATTCTGTTCCGTTAATCTATATGTCTGTTTTTATGTCAGTACCATCGCACTTAGGTTACTGTAGCTTTGAAATATCTTTTGAAATCAGGAAGTGTGATGTCGCCAGCTTTATTATTCTTTCTCAAGATTGCTTTCAACCTGGGCAACATGTCAAATCTCCATCTCTACACACACACACAAAATACAAAAATTAGCTGGGTGTGGTAATGTGCATCTGTAGTTCCAGCTATTCAGGGGGGTGGGGGGGTGGGGGGGAAGGATCACTTGAGCCCCAAGGCTGGAGTGAGCCATGTTTGCGCCACCACACTCCAACCTGGGTGACAGAGCAAGACCCTGTCTTAAAAAAAAAAAAAAAAAAAAAAAAAAACCAAGCAAGATTGCTTTGGCTGTTTGGGGTCTTTTGAAGTTCCACATGAATTGTTTTTCTCTATGCGTGTGTAGGGAGTGCTGTTTGAAATTTGTTAGGGATTGCATTGAATCTGTAGATCATTTTGGATAGTATAAACACTAATTCACAAACATGGGATGTCCTTCCATTTATCTAATCTTCTTTAATTTCCTTCATCATTGTTTTGTACTTTTGAGTGTACAAGTCTTTCCCCTCTTTAAGTTTATTTCTATGTATTTTATTCTTTTTGCTGCTATTATATATGGGAATGTTTGCCTATTTCCTTTTTGGATAATTTATTGTTAGTGTATAGAAACACTGCTGAATTTTTTATGTTGATTTTATATCTTGCAACTTTATTGAATTTGCTAATTAGTTCTAACAGATTTTTTTGTTGAGCCTTTAGGGTTTTTTACATGTGTAAATAATATTTTCTTTTTTTTTTTTTTTGAGACAGGGTCTCACTCTGTCGCCCAGGCTGGAGTGCAGTGGCGCGATCTCGGCTCCCTGCAACCTTTGCCTCCCGGGTTCAAGCATTTCTCCTGCTTCAACCTCCCTAGTACCTGGGATTACAGGCACCTGCCACCACGCCTGGTTAATTTTTGTATTTTTAGTAGAGGCAGGGTTTCACCATGTTGGCCACACTGGTCTTGAACTCCTGACCTCAAGTGATCTGCCTTCCTTGTCCTCCCAAAGTGCTGGAATTACAGGCATGAGCCACCATGCCTAGCCATGTGTAAATAATCTTGTCATCTGCAGAGATAATTTTATTTCTTCCTCTTCAACTTGGATGCCTTTTTATTTCTTTTTTCTGTCTAGTTGTTTTGGTTAGGTTTTCCAACATTATATTGATAATAGTGGTAAAAGTGGGCATCCCTTCCTTGTATCAGATCTTAGAGGAAAAGCTTTCAGTTTTTCTCCATTGATTATGACGTTAGCTGTGACCTTTACATATATGGCTTTTACTGTGTTGAGGTATGTTCCTTCTATACCTATATTGTTGAAAGTTTTTTATCATGAAAGGATGTCAAATTTTGTCAAATGCTTTTTCTGTTATCTATTAAGATGATCATGTGGTTTTTTACATGTCATTCTGTTAATGTAGTATATGGCATTGATTGATTTGCATATACTGAACCATTCTTGCATTCCAGAGATAAATCCCACTTGTTCGTGGTGTATGATCTTTTAAATATGCTGTTGAATTTGGTTTGCTGGTATTACATTGAGGATTTTTATGGCTATGTTCATCAGTGATGTTGGCCTATGGTTTTCTTTTCTTTTGATATCTTTGGCTTTCGTATTGGGGTGATGCTGGCCTTTAAAGTGAGTATGAACGTGTTCCCTATTCTATTTTTTAAGGAGTTTAAGAGGGATTGGTATTAGTTCTTCTCTGAATGTTAGAAAAAGCCATGGTCCTGGGCTTTTCTTTGTTAGGAGGTATTTGATTACTGATTCAATGTTCTTATTTATTTTCAGAATTTAATTTCTTCTTAATTTAGTTTTGGCAGGTTGTATGTTACTAGGGATTTTCTGTTTCTTCTAGGTTATCCAATTTGTTGCTGTATAGTTGTTCATAAGTTGTCTCTTATAACCTTTTAATTTCTGAGTCATCCATTGTAATGTCTTCTTTCTTATTTCTGATTTGTCTTTTTTTTATAGTTCAATTTTTTTTTATTATACTTTAAGTTCTGGGGTACATGTGCACAACATGCAGGTTTGTTACATATGTATACATGTCCCATGTTGGTGTGCTGCACCTGTTAACTCATCATTTACATTAGGTGTATCTCCTAATGCTATCCCTCCCCCCTCCCCCTACCCCATGACAAGCCCCAGTGTGTGATGTTCCCCACCGTGTCCAAGTGTTCTCATTGTTCAATTCCCACCTATGAGTGAGAATATGCGGTGTTTGGTTTTCTGTCCTTGTGATAGTTTGTTCAGAATGATAGTTTCCAGCTTCATCCATGTCCCTGCAAAGGACATGAACTCATCCTTTTTTATGGCTGCATAGTATTCCATGTTGTATATGTGCCACATTTTCTTAATCCAGTCTATCATTGATGGACATTTGGGTTGGTTCCAAGTCTTTGCTATTGTGAATAGTGCTGCAATAAACATATGTGTTGATGTGTCTTTATAGCAGCATGATTTATAATCCTTTGGGTATATACCCAGTAATGGGATGGCTGGGTCAAATGATATTTCTAGTTCTAGATCCTTGAGGAATCGCCACACTGTCTTCCACAATGGTTGAACTAGTTTACAGTCCCACCAACAGTGTAAAAGTGTTCCTATTTCTCCACATCCTTTCCAGCACCTGTTGTTTCCTGACTTTTTAGTGATCGCCATTCTAACTGGTGTGAGATGGTATCTCACTGATTTGCATTTGGTTTTGATTTGCATTTGTCTGATGGCCAGTGATGATGAGCATTTTTTCATGTGTCTCATGGCTGCATAAATGTCTTCTTTTGAGAAGTGTCTGTTCATATCCTTCACCCACTTTTTGATGGGGTTGTTTGATTTTTTTCTTGTAAATTTGTTTAAGTTCTTTGTAGATTCTGGATATTAGCCCTTTGTCAGATGGGTAGATTGTAAAAATTTTCTCCCATTCTCTAGGTTGCCTGTTCACTCTGATGGTAGTTTCTTTTGCTGTGCAGAAGCTCTTTAGTTTAATTAGATCTCATTTGTCAATTTTGGCATTTGTTGCCATTGCTTTTGGTGTTTGAGTCATGAAGTCATTGCCCATGTCTATGTCCTGAATGGTATTGCCTAGGTTTTCTTCTAGGGTTTTTATGGTTTTAGGTCTAACATTTAAGTCTCTAATCCATCTTGCATTAATTTTTGTATAAGGTGTAAGGAAGGGATACAGTTTCAGCTTTCTACATATGGCTAGCCAGTTTTCCCAGCACCATTTATTAAATAAGGAATCCTTCCCCACTTCTTGTTTTTGTCAGGTTTGTCAAAGATCAGATGGTTGGAGATGTGTGGTATTATTTCTGAGGGCTCTGTTCTGTTCCATTGGTCTATATCTCTGTTTTGGTACCAATACCATGCTGTTTTGGTTACTGTAGCCTTGTAGTATAGTTTGAAGTCAGGTAGCATGATGCTTCCAGCTTTGTTCTTTTGGCTTAGGATTGTCTTGCCATTGTGGGCTGTTTTTTGGTTCCATATGAACTTTAAAGTAGTTTTTTCCAATTCTGTGAAGAAAGTCATTGGTAGCTGGATGGGGATGTCATTGAATCTATAAATTACCTTGGGCAGTATGGCCATTTTCACTATATTGATTCTTCCTATCCATGAGCATGGAACATTCTTCCATTTGTTTGTGTCGTCTTTTATTTCGTTGAGCAGTGGTTTGTAATTCTCCTTGAAGAGGTCCTTCACATCCCTTGTAAGTTGGATTCCTAGGTATTTTATTCTCTTTGAGGCAATTGTGAATGGGAGTTCACTCATGATTTGGCTCTCTGTTTGTCTGTTATTGGTGTATAAGAATGCTTGTGATTTTTGCACATTGATTTTGTATCCAGAGACTTTGCTAAAGGTGCTTATCAGCCTAAGGAGATTTTGGGCTGAGACTATGGGGTTTTCTAAATATACAATCATATAATCTGCAAACAGGGATGATTTGAGTTCCTCTTTTCCTAATTGAGTACCATTTATTTCTTTCTCCTGCCTGATTGCCCTGGCCAGAACTTCCAACACTATGTTGAATAGAAGTGGTGAGAGAGGGCATCCCTGTCTTGTGCCAAGAGAATGCTTCCAGTTTTTGCCCATTCAGTATGATATTGGCTGTGGGTTTGTCAGAAATAACTCTTATTATTTTGAGATGTGTCCCATCAATATCTAGTTTATTGAGAGTTTTTAGCATGAAGGGCTGTTGAATTTTGTTGAAGGCCTTTTCTGCATCTATTGAGACAATCATCTGATTTTGGTCTTTGGTTCTGTTTATATGATGGATTACATTTCTTGATTTGTGTATATTGAAGCAGCCTTGCATCCCAGGGATGAAGCCAACTTGATCATGGTGGATAAGCTTTTTGATGTGCTGCTAGATTCGGTTTGCCAGTATTTTATTGAGGATTTTTGCCTCGATGTTCATCAGGGATATTGGTCTAAAATTCTCTTTTTTTGTTGTCTCTCTGCCAGGCTTTGGTATCAGTATGATGCTGGCCTCATAAAACGAGTTAGGGAGGATTCCCTCTTTTTCTATTGATTGGAATAGGTTCAGCAGGAATGGTAACAGCTCCTCTTTGTACCTCTGGTAGAATTTGGCTATGAATCCGCCTGGTCCTGGCCTTTTTTGATTGGTAGGCTATTAATTATTGCCTCAATTTCAGAACCTGTTATTGGTCTATTCAGGGATTCAACTTCTTCCTGGTTTAGTCTTGGGAGGGTGTATGTGTCCAGGAATTTATCCATTTCTTCTAGATTTTCTAGTTTATTTGTGTAGAGGTGTTTATAGTATTCTCTGATGGTAGTTTGTATTTCTGTGGAATCGGTGGTGATATCCCCTTTATCATTTTTTATTGCATCTATTTGATTCTTCTCTCTTTTCTTCTTTATTAGTCTTGCTAGCGTTCTATCTATTTTGTTGATCTTTTCAAAAAATCAGCTCCTGGATTCATCAATTTTTTGAAGGGATTTTTGTGCCTGTATCTCCTTCAGTTCTGGTCTGATCTGTTATTTCTTGCCTTCTGCTAGCTTTTGAATGTGTTTGCTCTTGCTTCGCTAGTTCTTTTAATTGTGATGTTAGGGTGTCAAGTTTAGATCTTTCCTGCTTTCTCTTGTGGGCATTTAGTGCTATAAATTTCCCTTTACACACTGCTTTAAATGTGTCCCAAAGATTCTGGTATGTTGTGTCTTTGTTCTCATTGGTTTCAAGGAACATCTTTATTTCTGCCTTCATTTTGTTATGTACCCAGTCGTCATTCAGGAGCAGGTTGTTCAGTTTCCATGTAGTTGAGCGGTTTTGAGTTAGTTTCTTAATCCTGAGTTCTAGTTTGATTGCACTGTGGTCTGAGAGACAGTTTGTTATAATTTCTGTTCTTTTACATTTGCTGAGGAGTGCTTTACTTCCAACTACGTGGTCAATTTTGGAATAAGTGCAATGTGGTACTGAGAAGAATGTATACTCTGTTGACTTGGGTTGGAGAGTTCTATAGATGTCTATTAGGTCCACTTGGTGCAGAGCTGAGTTCAATTCCTGGATATCCTTGTTAACTTCCTGTCTCGTTGATCTGTCTAATGTTGACAGTGGGGTGTTAAAGTCTCCCATTATTATTGTGTGGGAGTCTAAGTCTCTTTGTAGGTCTCTAAGGACTTGCTTTATGAAAATGGGTGCTCCTGCATTGGGTGCATATATATTTAGGATAGTTAGCTCTTCTTGTTGAATTGATCCCTTTACCATTACGTAATGGCCTTCTTTGTCTCTTTTGATCTTTGTTGGTTTAAAGTCTGTTTTATCAGAGACTAGGATTGGAATTGCTGCTTTTTTTTTTTTTCCATTTGCTTGGTAGATCTTCCTCCATCCCTTTATTTTGAGCCTATGTGTGTCTCCGCACGTGAGATGGGTCTCCTGAATACAGCACACTGATGGGTCTTGACTCTTTATCCAATTTGCCAGTCTGTGTCTTTTAATTGGGGCATTTAGCCCATTTACGTTAAAGGTTAATATTGTTATGTGTGAATTTGATCTTATCATTATGATGTTAGCTAGTTATTTTGCTCGTTAGTTGATGCAGTTTCTTCCTACCAGCGATGGTCTTTACAATTTGGCGTATTTTTGCAGTGGCTGGTACCTGTTATTCCTTTCCATGTTTAGTGCTTCCTTTAGGAGCACTTGTAAGGCAGGCCTGGTGGTGACAAAATCTCTTAGCATTAGCTTGTCTGGTAAAGGATTTTATTTCTCCTTCACTTATGAAACTTAGTTTGGCTGGATATGAAATTCTGCATTGAAAATTTTTTTCTTTAAGAATGTTGAATATTGGCCCCCACTCTCTTCTGGCTTGTAGAGTTTCTGCCGAGAGAGTCGTTGTTATTCTGATGGGCTTCCCTTTGAGGATAACCCGACCTTTCTCTCTGGCTGCCCTTAACATTTTTTCCTTCATTTCAACTTTGGTGAACCTGACAATTGTGTGTCTTGGAGTTGCTCTTCTCGAGGAGTATCTTTGTAGCATTGTCTGTATTTCCTGAATTTGAATGTTGGCCTGCCTTGCTAGGTTGGGGAAGTTCTCCTAGATAATATCCTGCAGAGTGTTTTCCAACTTGGTTCCATTCTCCCCGTCACTTTCAGGTACACCAGTCAGACGTAGATTTGGTCTTTTTACCTCGTCCCATATTTCTTGGAGGCTTTGTTTGTTTCTTTTTACACTTTTTTCTCTAAACTTCTCTTCTCGCTTCATTTCATTCATTTGCTCTTCAATCACTGATACCCTTTCTTCCAGTTGATCGAATCGGCTACTGAAGCTTGTACATGCGTCACGTAGTTCTTGTGCCATGGTTTTTAGCTCCATCAGGTCATTTAAGGTCTTCTCTACACTGTTTATTCTAGTTAGCCATTCATGTAATATTTTTTCAAGGTTTTTAGCTTCTTTGCAATGGGTTCGAACATTCCCTTTAGCTTGGAGAAGTTTGTTATTACCAATCATCTGAAGCCTTCTTCTCTCAATTCATCAAAGTCATTCTCTGTCCAGCTTTGTTCCGTTGCTGACGAGGAGCTGTGTTCCTTTGGAGGAGAAGAGGTGCTCTGATTTTTAGAATTTTCAGCTTTTCTTCTCTGGTTTCTCCCCATCTTTGTGGTTTTATCTACCTTTGGTCCTTGATGATGGTGAATACAGATGGGATTTTGGTGTGGATGTCCTTTCTGTTTGTTAGTTTTCTTTCTAACAGTCAGAACCCTCAGCTGCATGTCTGTTGGAGTTTGCTGAGGGTCCACTCCAGATCCTGTTTGCCTGGGTGGCACCACCAGAGGCTGCAGAACAGCAAATGTTGCTGCTTGAACCTTCCTGTGGAAGCTTTGTCTCAGAGGGGCACCCGGCTGTATGAGGTGTCAGTAAGCCCTTACTGGTAGGTATCTCCCAGTTAGGCTACTCGAGGGTCAGGGACCCACTTGAGGAGGCAGTCTGTCCATTCTCAGATCTCAAACTCTGTGCTGGGAGAACCACTACTCTTTTCAAAGCTGTCAGACAGGGACGTTAAAGTCTGTAGAAGTTTCTGCTGCCTTTTGT
The DNA here is from genome assembly GCF_000001405.40 of Homo sapiens. NCBI lineage: Eukaryota > Metazoa > Chordata > Mammalia > Primates > Hominidae > Homo > Homo sapiens. The sequence continues at coordinate 107,957,261 of NC_000004.12, read as the reverse complement.
TCAGCTATTCCCTGTCCCCAGAGGTGGAGTCTACAGAGGCAGGCAGGCCTCCTTGAGCTGCGGTGGGCTCCACCCAGTTCGAGCTTCCAGGCCACTTTGTTTACCTACTCAAGCCTCAGCAATGGCGGACGCCCTTCCCCCAGCCTTGCAGTTCAATCTCAGACTGCTGTGCTAGCAGTGAGCGAGGCTCTGTGGGCGTGGGACCCTCTGAACCAGGTGCGGGATATAATCTCCTGGTGTGCCGTTTGCTAAGACAGTTGGAAAAGCGCAGTATTGGGGTGGGAGTGTCCCGATTTTCCAGGTACCATCTGTCACGGCTTCCCTTGTCTAGGAAAGGGAATTCCCCGACCCCTTGCGCTTCCCAGGTGAGGTGATGCCCCGCCCTGCTCCGTGGGCTGCACCCACTGTCCGACAAGCCCCAGTGAAATGAACCCGGTACCTCAGTTGGAAATGCAGAAATCACCCGTCTTCTGTGTTGCTCACACTGGGAGCTGTAGACTGGAGCTTTTCCTATTCGGCCGTCTTGGAACCTCTTGTCTTCTTTTTTTTCTTAGTTTAGTTGAGGGTTTGTTGATTTTATCTTTCTAAAAAATCAACTCTTGGTTTTGTTGATTTTTCTATTGCTTTTCTATTTTCTATTTATTTCTGCTGTAATCTTTATTATTTCCTTTCCTCCACTAACTTTGAGCTTAGTTTGGTTTGTTCTGCCTGGTCTCTTGAGGTATAAAGTCAGGCTGTTTATTTGAGATCTTTCTCCTTTAACGTATGCATTTATCACTATAAACTCCTCTCATAACACAGCTTTTACTGCATCCCCTACATTTTAGTATGTTGTGTTTAGGTTTTTATTTGTCCAAAGATATTTCTTGAATTTCCCTTTGATTTCTTCTTTGACCCAATCTTTATTAGAGTGTATTGTTTTGTTTTCCCATATTTGTGAATTTTTTCATTTTCTTACCGTTTTTGATTTCTAGTTTCATTCCATTGTGGTTAGAAAAGATGTTTGGTATGATTTCCATTTTTTTTACATTTGTTAAGACTTGTTTTGTTACTCAATGTATGATCTATCCTGGAGAATGTTTTGTGTACACATGAGAAGAATGTATATTCTTCTGTTGGATGGAAAGTTCTATAGTTGTCTGTTAGGTCCATCTGGTCCATAGTGTTGTTCAAGTCACCTGTTTTTATTTTAATTGATTTTCTGTGCAGATGTTGTATCCATTATTGAAAGCAGGGTGTTGAAGTCTCCTACTGTTATTGTATTACTGTCCATTTCTCTCTTTAGATAGATCAATATTTGCTTTTATATATCTAGGTACACTGATGTTGGATGTGTATATATTTATAATTGTATCTTCTTGTTCAGTTGGCCCTTTCATCATTATATAATGGTCTTTTTTGTCTCTAGTTACAGTTTTTTACTTAAAGTCTATTTCATCTGGCATGAGTATAGCCATCCTTGCTCTCTTTTAATTAACATATGCATGGAATATCTTTTTCCATTGCTTCACTTTCAGCCTATGTGTGTCCTTAAATCTGAAGTGAGTCTCTTGTAGACAACATACAGTTGAATCTTCTTTTTAAATCCATTCAGTTACTCTATGTCTTTTGACTGGGGAGGTTAAGTCTATGTACAGTTAAAGTAATTATCAATAGGTAAAGGCTTACTATTGCCAGTCTGATAACTGTTTCTGGTTATTTTGTTGCTCTGTATTCATTTCTCCCTCTCTTTCTGTCTTCCCTTGTGATTTGATTATGTTTTGGGCTTGCATAAAGCATCTTATAGTTACAACTGTCTATTTCAAGCTGATACTAACTTCAATCTCATACAAAAACGCCATTCTCCCCAACCTTTGTGTCCTTGAATTCAGTGTTTAATTATCTTTATAGTGTGTATCCATTAACAATTGTGTGTGTGTGTGTGTGTGTGTGTGTGTTTTAGACAAAGTCTTGCTCTGTCACCAGGCTGGAGTGCAGTGGCGTGATCTCAGCTCACTGCAACCTCCAACTCCCTTGGTTTAAGCGATTCTCCTGCCTCAGCCTCCCAAGTAGCTGGGATTACAGGCATGTGCCACCATGCCCAGCTAATTTTGGTATTTTTAGTAGAGATGGGGTTTCACCATGTTGGCCAGGATGGTCTTAATTTCCTGACCTCATGATCTGCCTGCCTCAGCCTCCCAAAGTGCTGGTATTACAGGTGTGAGCCACTGGGCCCAGCCATCTTTTAACTTTTATATTAGGGTAAAAAGTAATTTATGTACTATTATAGTGTTACATTATTCTATATTTCCCTGTATATTTTCTTTTACCAGTGAGATTTATGTTTTCATGTTGCTATTTAACATGTTTTCATTTTAATTTGAAGAATTTCCTTAAGTATTTCTTATAAGACAGGTCTAGTGGTAACAAACAGATTCCCTCAGTTTCATTTGTCTTGGGATGACTTTATCCTTTATTTTTAAAGGCTATTTTTGCCCAATGCAATATTCTTGTTTGGCAGTTTTTTTCTTTTAGAATTTTGAATACATCATCCTACTCTATCCTTGGCTGCAGGGATTTTGCTGAGCAATCCACTGAGAGTCTTATGGATAATTAGCCTTTTCCCTTAACAAAAACTGATTATTTGACCCTCATACAAAGGGAAGAACTGATAAGAATATGAAATATCTTAGCCAGGCATGGTGGCACACACCTGTAGTCCTAGGTACTTAGGAGGCTGAGGTGGGAGGATCACTTCAGCCTGCAGTGAGCCGTGATCATGCCACTGCACCCTAGCCTGGGCAACAGAGTGAGACCCTGTCTCAAAAAAAATAAATAAAATAATATAAAAGTATATCATTTCAATGATGATAATACCAAATTATTTACTAATGAACAAATACCCTACTTAAATGAATTTGGTTTCTAAAAACAGTGCAGCAAAACCGAAGTAGATTTGAGGGTGCCACATTATTTGGTGTTCCCCTTGTTTCACTACTGTTATTTCACCAGAACTCATACTCTGGTGGCACAAGCCACAGTCACTGAGGCAGCAGACAGAAAACAATGACAGGTTTGCCTGTATCATCACCTCTGTAGCCTAAAGGGTCAAATAATCACCTTCCATCAAACTCACTTAATTCTTCATTTGCCCAACATATTTACTGATGCCTGCTCTGCATAAGGCATCCACTCTTGGTAAGTTATCAGATATAGTCAGTCCCTGACATCCTCATGGAGTGGAGATGAGAGAGAGGATAGAAACAGAAGGTTTAAATAAACAAGGTAGTTGCAGTTAGTGATGAGGGCTCTGGAGGAAATTGGGTGATGAGATTAGGGAGTTCTCAGGAAAGGCCACTTTGGATGTCATGGTGGGTGACCTCTCTGAGGAGATGCTGTCTGAGCTGTGACTTCAGGAAGAAGAGTAGGCTGTGGAAAAAGCTGGCAGGGGGTCCCTCCACAGGCAAAATATGGTTCAAGTATGAAAAAGCTCTTTTTCCTGAGCTGGGAAGTGTGAGACCAGCACTCAATACTTGGCCACAGCAGGCTCATGTGGGCCCATCTCCTCTCAACTCAACTCATGCTGGGCTTCTACAGGGAATATAAGACACCTGGGTGGTGATGCAGTCCTCTAAGGAACTTCACTCCATGGGGAAAGTTTTAAAGAATTACCCTTGTTTCTAAGGACCATGCTTACATTCTATTGTGGACATCTGTCTTTGGAGGCCTATTTTCTTTTCTTTTTACATTAACTTGACATCTGGTAAAACAAAATTTTGCATAGCAATTAAATCAAAACAAAAAACAGACATGACACTTTCTCAGTTAAAATAGTTTAATAAAAGCAACAAAACTGTGCTAACGATGAGAATCAAAAATGAGATATTAGGTAGACTTATAAAACAAAGTATAGTTATTTTTTGATTTCAAATAAACCATGTGCAAAATTGTAAAATGCCAATGTGTCTGAGAAAAGCATTAACAGTCCTTTTAGCAATTTATATATAAAGATGTTTTTAAAGTGCCACAGCTTAAGGCATTATATTTTAAAGTTTAATAAACATCTAATTTCAACATCTCTCCAAGAACAGACTTCTTCTCAATAAGCTATAAACTATTTGGTTAGGAATATTGAAAATGCATGTATAATTTAAGGAGTAATATACTTGTTAATGCTGAGTTATTAGTGCAATTCAAAAGCATATGAATTCCATATCAAGAACAAACTCTCCCGCCCAAGGTACAGTGTAATCCACACTGTATCATCTCATCTAAAAATCTATACAGCAGCTACCCCATCCACTCAGTTCCTCTGCAGTTAGGCTATTAGCTTTTCTTTTTCAAAAAGCAAAAATTCCTAAGACACCTAAAGATTAGCCTGTATTTCATTTATCTATACGGAAAGTGCTTAGTAATATTTCTAAAAAGGAAAAGAGCAGTATGGTAGATAAAGAATGTAGAGTCAAAAATCAATCATTTTAAAATTTTTCTTCTTCCTATGATTATGTTTTGGTTAAGCAGATATTATTTTCATTTTTTGAGCTTGCAAAAGTCTGCCTAGGAATGTGCTAAATCAAAGGAAAAATCTAGCCTCATGTTCACAATTGCCCTGGAATGCCATTCCCAGACTGAGATCTAACTACACAGAGTATGGCTAACGGCAGAAGTCAGAGGTTAGGGAGATCTGGTGTCTCCATTTATCTGGAAAACAGAGCAAAGAAGGGTGATCAGTTATAGAAGGCCAAACAGAAGTGTTTTAAGTTCAGAATTTCATCTTTCGTTTAATTTTCAAAGTAACAGCCACTCTGGATCTTTTCTTGCCCTCTTCTCTATCAGTATGAACAGCGTAGCTGCTTCTCTCCTTTAGGAAAGTCAGTGTGAGGTCCCTGGATATGGCCTAGTCTCCAGGTGGTGGGAGTTTACATTCTGTTACCTATAAACAGCTAAGGCATCGTTCTAAGTTTGTTTAAAATGGTTGTTTTAAATGGTAAACACAAAAGTCCAGTGATTTTTTTAAAAACTGGCTTTAATGGACATTAACAAATAATATACACTGATTTATCACCTTTAAGCAACAAAAACATGACTTGTAATTATTCAAATAAGGTAGGATTTTTCTCTTAAGTACACTTCTTAAAAGTCATTCACAAGACAACTGGGCATCCACTAAGACCAAGGCACTGTGAGGGAGGCAAACAGCACAACATCCTCACCTCAAGGAGCTCAGCCTGGGATGAAGACAGACACACACAACTCCAGCATGAGGCCAAGGGGTAGCCTGTTATGGGATCAAGTGGTGGCAGAATCAAGAAGTGGTTCTGAAAGTGTTCTTTAGTCACAGAGACCAGTAGGTTTGAAACCCAGTGATGTTACTTTTTAACTTTGTGCCTTACCTACTATAAGCCTCAGCTTCATCCACTACAGTATGCCACCCTCTTAATAGAATTTATGTAAGAATTACAGAAACATACAAGTAAAGGATTAAGTGTAGAGCCAGCATGAGGAAAGGTTCAGGAATGTGGTTGCTCATATGACTGCTATGCTTACTTCTGTACATGGAGCACTGTGGGAGAATAAAAGAAAGGGGTGGTCATTCCTTAGAGCATGTTCTCACTGGGGGAAATCCTGGCATCTTGAGCAGGACAATTCTTCACTGTATAGGACTACCTTGACATTTAGCATCCTGGTCCCATGGCAGCAGAAGGCCAGTAGCACCCCCATCATTATGATAACCAAGAATCATACCCACACATTTCCAAACTCCCTCTGAAGGGGTTACCACCCCTGCTGAAAACTGCTTTTCCAGAGGGACCATCTACATTTAGAAACAATTTAGTTCTCTTAATAAAAAGAGAGTGAATTCTTTGAGAGTATATTCAAGGATCAGATGCATTGGGCCTGGTGGCAGGGACGCTAGGACAGGAATGTTCAGTATAGTTTGAAAGCAGAATCCTTTCCTGATGAGTCCCAGTATCAAAATCCCCATGCTCACCATTCAGGCCTTAAGTAAAAAGGTAGAGCTGCATCTTTGCAAATAACTCAGTAGAAAGGAATTCTGCCAAGAAGCTACTAAAGAAGTAGCAAGGCTCACTGTTCCTGTAGTTGTAGTAGAAGTTAGACATATAAATTTAGATAATAATCCTACAAGGGATTTTTTAAAATTATAATTTCTTTTTTCCTCAATATACACGACAGAGTCCACTTCATCCCACATCTACAAAAAGTAAAAACTAAAATCATAAACAAAAAGATAGTGACAGAACAAGCCCAAAGAAGCTGGCATAGAATCTGTGCTGAGAAAAGTTCTCCCCCAGTATAACCTAAATCCACACCCATCTCTGACAAAGCATTCCAGGCTGAACACCACTTTCATGTTGTCATAGGTCTTTAAAAGCCAGCTGATAGATCTTCTTCTCCTGAAGTTCTTCTCCAGAACTTAACAGCATTTTAGAGATATCAGAAAAGATGTAAGGCATTTGACCATCATTAGTGCTGAGAGGTAGAGAGAAGCCAAGTTTTATTACTCTCATTTTACATATGGGATGTCTGAGGCACTAAGAAATGAGAAGATTGGCCCATCGGTGGAAGCCACTGCAAGTAAAATCCAGATATCCCGTTTCATAGGTACTTTGTTTTCTATCCCCCAAATCACAGACCTGCATTACTAAAATGGCTGAAGTATCCTGCTGAGGAATCCTCCAAGATGAAACCTCCCAGTGTGCTCTACCCTCCTTCCGACCTCTGAGCCCAGCTTGGATCCACTGAGTTGCTGGATTCACTGTCCTTTGCAGTAGGAAGAATCTGCTTAGAAGGATATGTATTTATATATCTTTTTACCATCTCTTCTTGGAGATGCTCTTCATCTCCTTGAAATAGTTATATTAAATGGATGTGGGGCTAAAGTTAGACCAAATCTTCCAGTCAGGAGGGGCTTCTTAGAATCCTCAGGTAAAGCAAATGCGAAACTCTGCATTAGGCTCACAAACATTAGGAATAATTCCATCTTTGCCAGTTGTTCTCCCATACACACCCGCTTCCCTAAAAATGAGATCAGAAAAAAATGAAGGATTATAATACCATCCCTTCTCCTATTTCAAAAAGTACAAATTTATATGAAATATCTAAATTGAGTATTCTAAATGCAGATGGAGTTTTTAAGTCAAATTGCCATATATACCACATAGCCTCCCACAGCATATGCTGATCAGAATTTTTACATATCAAATCCACATTTTAACTCTTACTCATAAAAACCTATCCCCATTCTAGACAGGAACTAGAGACAGATCCAGTGTGGCAGCTATCCTGTCTCTTCTGTGCCTACTTACCTCTTTCCTCCACTTTTGCCTGGAAGATTAAGGCAAAAAAATTCAGATAAGAATCCCTAGAGCCTCCCTTTTTCCACAGAAAGAATTCTATGTTCCTAATCTAGGAACCTAAAAGAGGAACTGTTGAGATTAGAGAACCCATCCTCTCACCCACCAGACCAGATCAGAAATTGCTCTTAAGTAGCTCCCTGGGACCCCCCAAAATTACCTGATCAGCTCTGAAAGTAAAATTTCTAGTCACATTTAGAGATTTAAAACCAACTGCTTTATTAAAATCTGAAATGAACATAGGGGAGATGCCTTGTCTAAATTATTGATCCCTTCTCTTATATTAGCTTGCCAAGAAAGAAACATTTTTAAAACAACATGAAATAATAAAATATTATTTTAGTTCTACTTCTTTTAAAAATTATGCAGTTTAAAAAAGTGTAACTGACCTATCCCAAAAGGAATAAAGGTTTCTTTTTTAATTAGTTGTCCTTGGTCATCCAGAAATCGATTAGGGTAGAAATCCTCCGGTTTCTCCCAAATGGCTGGGTCTCTATGTACTGACCACAGGTTGGGTAAGATCAATGTGCCTTTAGGAATGGTATACCCTTGGAGCACTAAAACAAAAGGAAACATATGGGTGTTATTCAGTATGCTTTTACTAGTAGTTCTCCCTGAACATCATTATCTGAAAAAAAAATGTAGTTATATACCTATCACTTTAATTGGCTGAGACCAAACTGTGAGGTACTTGAGGGCAGGGATAAGATCTTACCAACTGGCATCCCTCTCCCCGCACCATTCCAGGACCCACCTGAGACAGGGAGCAGGCAGTGCTCCAATGAATGCTGAATTAATAAATAAAACCATAAAAACATTACAATGAAGAGAAAACACTAAAACAGAAACAATAGGGGATTTCAAGTAAACGTTCCCTAAAAATTAAAATTCCCAATATGTATAAAACTTAGTTTACAGGGTCATTTATGTCCATATAACAATGTAATGAGGAGGTAAACTAAGATAAAGAAATATACAGGGTAGCCAACCCTGGCTCTTACCAGCTGACAAGTCAATATGCGCTTTAAACAATGCCCAAAAGATACTATAAACAGTCTATCTAACTTGTACCAAAAAAAACCCGTTAAGTGATCCAATGTCATGTATAAGCAACGGCATGCTATAACTGTCTTAAAACTAGATCAAGCCCATTATACTATGGGCTGACTCCAGAGGTAAATTCTTTGTTAATAGGGATGTTTAAAGAGAGTCTGGACATGACCAAATAGACAGAGTTCACTGTAGATGAGAGGCTGAAACAGGTGACTTTAGAAAAAGATGGGCTCTTCTAACTATGATGATGATGATGATGATTATTATTATTATTATTGAGACAGGCTGTCTCACTCTGTCACCCAGGCTGAAGTGCAGAAGTGCAGTGGTGCAATCTTGGCTCACCGCAACCTCTGCCTCCCGGGTTCAAGTGATTCTTCTCCTGCCTCAGCCTCCTGAGTAGCTGGGACTACAGAAGTGTGCCACCATGCCTGGCTAATTTTTGTATTTTTAGTAGAGATGGGTTTTCGCCATGTTGGCTAGGCTGGTCTCGAACTCCTGGCCTCAAGTGATCCATCCTCCTGGGCCTCCCAAAGTGCTGGGATTACAGGTGTGAGCCACCGCACCCAGCCCTTTTTTTTTTTTTTTTTTTGAGACAGAGGCTTGCTCCATCACCCAGGCTAGAGTGCAGTGGTGCAATCTCAGCTCACTGCAACCTCCCAGGTCCAAGCGATTCTCCTGCCTCAGCCTCCTGAGTAGCTGGGACTACAGTTGTGCACCACCATGCCTGGCTAATTTCTGTATTTTTAGTAGGGATGGGGTTTCACCATCTTGTCCAGGCTGGTCTCGAACTCATGACCTCAAGTGATCCACCTGCCTCGTCCTCCCAAAATTCTGGGATTACAGGTGTAGGCCACCACACCCGGCCTTCTAATTATTTCATATTTATGCTTCAGCTGCAGAATTTTAAAAGTTGAAGTAAGATAATTTTCAGGCAAAATCCTTAATCCACATTTAGATGAGCTCTTCTGACCTCCATGAAAAGGAGGGAGAGGTGCCTTTGTCAATTCTGGAGCTTTTTCTGCCAACATAGCCAATTTAAATTTTGACATTATTTGTTTTGCCAGTATAATTGTGTATGCTCTGAAGGCTACAGAACTACTAGTAAAACTAAGCAGTAGTAGAATTCTAGTACAACCAGTGATGCACAGCGGAGGGCTGAACATTCCCTAGACATTTTATTACATATGACACAATGCTAAATCTTCAGAAGGATCAAGCTAGACAACAGTCACCACACCCCTCACCTCAACTACCCTGGATTAGAGGGCCCTGCTTCCGTCAAGGGCATTCAAAGAGGAAGACCCTGGACTTGCCTGTGTTCTCTGAGGTCATATGAGGAATGGCAAGCGGCACCACCACAGTTAGCCTCTGCACTTCCATGATGGTGGCTTCTGTGTAGGGCATCTGGGCCTTGTCTGTGAGGGAAGGAGCTCGGTTGGCGCCAATGACTCTTTCAATTTCTTCATGAACCTTTTCTATGTAAAAAGGGAAAAATAAACCAGAAGATAAGCATGGGACAGAGTCGAACGTGCCCTCCTCTGCATACTTTCCATCACCACTAATGCATAACTGGTCAGTTGGCAGTTCAGGCCTGATTCTGCCTCAGTGAAGTTGAAGCATTGGTCAGACATTTCAGGTAGAGACAGCTAGCCCCAGGGTGCCTGTGCCACTCTGTGACTTAGAAGTGGGATAGTGTAACAGATAGAGGGGCCAAAGAGAAAACACTCTGGATTCAGGAGCATCCTAAGTCATACTCTCATTATGAACATGGGATTGACTCTCTAAGTAGACTGTGACAACATGTGATAGCCTAAGGTGGCCCCCAATATTCCCTATTCTTGTGGTTTATATCCTTGTGCAGTCCCCTCCTACTCTGTACCAAGTTGGTCTGTGTGACCAAGAGAGTAAGGGTGAAGTGAGGGCATGTCACTTCTGAGATCAGAGTGGCTCCTCATCTTTGCCACTCTCTCCTCTCTCAGGTTGCTCACTTTTGGGGAAGGAAGCCACCAAGTGAAGTGGCCTTATGGAAGGGTCACAGTGGTAAGGAACTTGGCCAATAGTCATATGGATAGCCACCCTGGACCTGGATTCTTTGGTCTCATTCAAGTCTGCAGCCCCAGCCAACATCTTAACTCTAACTTCATGAGAAACCCTAAACTGGAAGTCATTCCTGGATTCCTGACCCTCAGAAACTGGGAGATAATGCCTGGTGGCAGTTTTTATAAAGCTAGCAAATTTGGGGGTAGTTTGCTACCCAGCAATAATTAACTAATACAGGTAGGTATAATCACATCTATAGTAGGCAGAATACGGGCCCATACAAGATGTACACACCCTAATCCCCTGGAGTCTGTAAACATAATACCTTACATGGCAAAAGGGACTAAACTGATGTAATTAACTTAAGGACACAGAGATTGGAAGATTATCCTTGGTCACCTGGGTGTGCCCAATCTAAGAACATGGGTTTTTAAGTCAGATAACCTTTCCCTGTTGAGTTCAGAGTCAGAGGAAGATGTGACTATGAACAAATGGTTACAGAGATGCAACACTGCTGCCTTCAAAGACAGAAGAAGGAAACCATGAGCTGTGGAAGCCAGAAACAGCATGGAAATTGATTCTTCTTTAGACCCTCCAGAAAGGAATGCAGCCCTGTCAACATCCTGATTTTCAGTCCAATGAGACATATATCAGACTTAGAATGTATAGAACTCTAAGAAACTTGTGTTGTTTTAAGCCACTCGGTTTGTGGTAATTTGTTATAACAGCAACAGAAACTAATAATACACCATCCTCCCTGTATTCTTCTACTCTGAACTGCCACAGACTTTCAGTATCTATTGGGACTAGGTGGTAGAACTAGCTGTGTGACCTTGTGAAAGTCACACAACTTCTCTGAGCCTCTGTTCTCCAATTTCAAAAAAACAAGATGTGTTCAGATCAGCATTATGATTCCCTTCAGCTCTAGAATGTTCTTCTCTAAAGGTCTTTCATGATCATAGATTTCACATAGAATCAGACGCGTAGAGATTTAAGCAGGGGTAAGCAAGTTATGACCTCAGTCCTACTGTCTAGAAACTTGGGTTTCACTGTTAACATCTTACCAACTCCCTATGAGTTGCAAGTATTTGTTTGCCAGCCTGAAGACATTGCTCAGTGTTAGAAGCCACCAGATCACTGAGGTTGCTAATCCTCATTTAAATTACCTGGTTTTGCCATGAACAAAGGAAACACCTATTAATTACCTTGTACATCGGGGTTCAGCGACATATACAGCAGGCACCAGAGCAAAGAGTTAGTTGTGGTATCAGTCCCAGCAATAAAGAGATCCCCAATGATATAAAATAAGTACTCTTCATCAAAACTGCTGTTACTATTATTTTTCCTCTCCTCTTCCATGTGGAGAAGGTACATGTCTATGAAGTCCTGAGGGTTCTCTCTATCCAGAGACTCTTGATGGTCTTTGATGATTTTTTTAAGGAAACTGGTTATATCCTTTTCAATTTGTCTTAATTCCTTAAATGGTCCAAAGGGAAGGTAATAAAGCCAAGGGCATATGTTGACCAGGAGGACTTGACTGTTCAGACAGATTTCTAGGCCTCGTGACATAAAACCAAGCATTTTCTTGAACTCACTATTAGTGTAATCAAAGCGCTGGCCAAAGCACAAGGAGCAAATGATGTTAGAGACGGCATTGCTGATGATGGAGAAAGGGCAGAAGGGGTCTTCTCCGTGCTTTTGCATTTCTGCTTTCACATATTTGAACTCCTCAATAATCTTGGGCTCCAAGCTAAGTTTTCCCAACCCAAAATGACGAAGAGTTGAATGAGAGAACTTCCTTTGTTGTCTCCAGACGGGACCATAATGTGCAAACACAACCCCTGCAAAGGGACACCAAGAAAGGAAGATGAGAAACAGTATTCCTGATAACACTGAACAGACCTACCACGGAGTGCATTCTGTATTTTTCAAGTCACTTATGGAAAATTCCTCATATAAATATATATATATGTATATATAAAGACCACTAGTCAAGAAGAATGATTGGCAAAATTTAGTTATCAAGATAGTATGTGTTTCTAATAATAACAAAAATCATATCTAAGGAGAATTTGCTCTAAAGCTTATTATAGTTAGTAACTCCTGGTGAAATGAAAAGCAATGAGTTTCATTTTCAAAGTTATTGTGCATTTCAAAGTATTATATTTCATAAGAGTGAATCCAGGCTTAGAAAATTTCTCAGGTGGACAGGTACAGTGGCTCATGCCTATAATCCCAGAGCTTTGGGAAGCTGAGGTGGGAGGACTGATTGAAGCCAGGAGTTCCAGACCAGCTTGGGCAACAGAACAAGACCCCATCTCTATTTAAAAAAAAAAAAAATTAGCCGGGTGTGGTGGCATGCATCTGTAAGCCCCAGGTACTCAAGAGGCTAAGGTCGGAGAATCACTTGAGCCCAGGAGTTGGATGCTGCAGTCCACTATGATCATGCCACTGCACTCCAGCCTGGGTGACAGAGCAAGACCCTGCCTCTAAAAAAAGAAGAAAAAGACAGAAAAATAATTCAGGCTATATATCCCCATGTTCTAAACACCTATATTCTAAACATTCTGAACTGAAGGATAATTATAGCAACAGATTGACATGAGGGCACAGACCATATCTCATTGTGCTCACCATTAAAATCCAGCTTCTGGCATAGTGCTTGGTACATAGGAGAGGTTGTTAAATATTAGCTGACTAAATGAATAGCCCAACTAGATTAGAACTACTGGACATCAAAATTTGGAATCTGATAACTGGCAGGTAATCTAAAATGTCTGTTGTCGGCAGCAGCCCTGATTTTAAAACATATGAACTTGTTAAGGTCATCCACAACTACATCCTATTTGATTTTCACTTATACATCCCACCATCAAACCCCACAAAATTGCTCCCAGATGTTGTATCAAATTGTTCTCAAATATTCCTTGTTTACTGTCACCTATTTCATCCTATTTTCCATGGTGTACTCTATCATTTTGGCTAGCTTCCTTCCTTCCCACATTACTTCTGAATTCTTACTATTTGCCAGGCATGGGGTGCAGTAGATACAGCTGCAAATGAAATAAAGACCCTGCTCCATGGTTAAATTTTCTCATATTCTTTAATGTCCCTTGAAAATGTCTTTCAATGTAAACATCCATGCAGTCAAACATACCAGACAATTTATCAGTTCCACTTTCCTCATTGGAATCTTCCAAATGTCTGCTCAAATCTGCAGTGGTTGCTCTGCAGGCCTTTGGTTCAGGTGCTATGACTTCTATTAGTTATCATTTGGGAATTTTCTTCTGTGTCAGAACCCATTTCCTGAATTATATTTCTTCCTCTTTGTTTTACTCCCCCATTTTGCTGAAGCACATCCTCTAGTAGCTTCTGAGAAAGGACGCATGGGAGGCGAATTTCTAAAGATTATGTGTGATATTTATTTTACCATTGGACTTCCTCAGAATTTTAAAGACATTGCTAAGACTGGACTGACTGATAAGTCATAAGATATGTACATATTCAGTATGACTAGACATTGCAGTTTACTCTCTGAATTGGAGAGTACTCTGAAAGCGTGTTCACAGAAGTGTTTAAATGTTCTCATTTGTTCAGAATAGTTGCCATCACTTGATACTTGTCAATGTTTTAGTTTTGTCAATCAGAAGGCTGAAACGTATCTCATCGATTTTTATTTGCATTTCTCTGATTGTTACCAGTGGGTCAGAGCAGCTTTTTATACGGTTATTGGCCAGATTTCCTATTCTGTAATTTGCATTTATCTACTGTGCAATTTTCTTTTTCTTATATATTTGAAATGCATAGCAGATCTTTTATCATCTGATTTTTTAAGTTTCTAAATGGTATTATTTGATAAGCAGAAGTTTTAAATATAGTTGGATTTATCAATCCTTTGATTTGTGCTGCATATTTTAGAAATCTCCTCCTACCATGGGTTCATAAACACATTCTCTATTTTCTTGTAAAAATTTTAAATTTTGTTTTCACATTTAAGTTTCTATAATCTACCTGGAATTTATATTTGTGTTAGGTATTGCTACCTATTGTGAGGTAGGAATCCAAACATTTTTTCCCTATGTAGACAACCTATTGTTCAAGCATGATTTGTCAAAGGGTCCCCACTCTACCTCACCCTTCACCACCAATCTGTAATGCTGTCTCTGATACACATTTCCTATATAGGGGTGGGCCAGTTTACAGGCTTTCTAGTTGGTTATATTGGTCTATGCGTTTATCACTGTGCTCAAAGCACATTGTCTTAATTACTGTTACTTTATAATAAGATATAAATAGTCTTTATAGTAATTTTTATATCTAATAGGGAAGTCCCCTTTTCCCTACAAAACCTCGTTCTTTTTAAAAACTGTTTCAAAAACTTCAAAATCAGTTTCTCAAACTTATTTAGGATTTTGGTTGGAACTGCATTTAATTTCTTTTTCCTTTATTTTATTTTTTTTAAACACAGAGGTCTGGGGGATCCACAGAGCATAGGAGGCATTTGCTGAGGTGCAGACAGTGGGTGGAGGAGCCTAATAGGTGGTGACTGGCAGCTAAGTTGTCTCCTGGGAGGGCTTGGGTTCACCCCCAGGCCCCATCCCCAGTCTGAGACTGTTTGTCTCTGGATGTGGCCACCAAGACCCCAGGAGAGGCAGAATTTCTGCTGGCAGAACTTGGCTTGGACGCTCACTTTGTAGCGTCTATGTCTCCATTGTCACGCAGATACACTTCATTTCTAGGTTAATTTGAAAACTGCCTTCTTTATGATTATTGAACTTGTAATCTAAGAATGAATCTAAACTTGCTTGTTTTTAAATTTCTTTAAAAAATTGCTGGATTTTGTTTCGTAATGTAAGCTTTTTAAAAATAGTATATTCACGAATGACAATGGCTTATAAGTTTCCTTTCTCATGCTGTATTTGTCTTGAATATACTGGCCTCCTAAAACAAGCCAGGGTGTAGTCTTTGTCTCTGAAAGAATTTGTCTAAAATTGGAACATGTTCCTCTTTTCCTTTAGGTTCTCTTTTTATTATAATACATAATGTTTGCCATCTGACTCATTAATTTTCAGACCTCTATCTTAATAAATAATTTAAAGCTCTACATTTGCCTCTGTCTGGGTACTACTCTAGCTGCAGTTCACAAGTCTTGTTTCCATGTATTTTCATTATTTGGTTTTAAGTAAAAAAAAAAAAAAGTTTCTATTTTGAGTCTTCTTTGCTACCTTACCTGGTTTATCTTATGCTGATATTTGACATTTGACATTTGCTTGCTTTTTTACCCTAGTATGTGGCCAATGAAATTTCTAAATAAAGTTGAGAAGAATGTTTGTCCAAGTAATTTTGAGGAATATGTCCTCTCTATATGTCCAATAGAGAAAGCTTGATAACGGTCAAAGCCAAATTTTCTGTACCCTTAACAAATTTTTAACTGCTTGATCTCTCAACCAGATACTTATATTAAGCTATTTTGCTATAATGGTGGATTTATCAGTTTCTCTTTACAGTTCTGTAAGTTTTTGCTAAAGGTAGATAAATATCAATGTAGCTATACAGATTTATATTTATATATATATATGCTGTTAAATACAGATATATATTAGATGACATTGTTAGGTACATTCAAGCTTAGAATTCTATCTTCCTGTTTTTTAAATTTTTTAAAAGTGGATCCATTTATCATGAATGCCCTCCTTTTTCTTAACAATAAAGTATCACTTAGAGTACCTTTTGTCAAAAAAGAACCACTTTTCTTTTTAAAGTATTTTCTTAGTATTGTAAAACCTTTTCATTTTGAACTTTTCTGTACCCTTATGTTGGGGGAATGTCTCTTTTTTGGGGAAGATAGATTATGTCTCTTAAAACAACATATAATTGGATATTAAAAAAATCCATTCTGGCAAGCTGTCCTTTAGCCAGTAAGTTTAGTCCTCTTACATTTACTCTAATTACTAATATCTAACATACTATTCTGAGATTTGTTTATCTGCTTTATTCATTCTTTTCCCCCTTCCTTCTCATCTTCCTTTAGGTTGAGACAAACAGGGTGAATGTTCACTCTTACATTTTTAACACGCTTACTTAAAGTCTAGTTGAGTGGTTGGCAAACTACAGCCCAAAGGCCAAATCCATCCTGCCGCCTTTGTACAGCCAGAGAGCCAAGACTAGCTTTTACATTTATAAATGGTTGAAAAAAAAACCAAAATGTTATTTTGATACGTGAAAAGCATATGAAATTTAAATCTTTCCTTTAGTGTAAAATCAAGGGGCAAAAAGATCTATTTATAGATCTATTTACAGATCATGAAATTCGAATTTCATGATCTATAAATAAAGTTTAACTGGAACACAGCGGTTCATGATGTAAAAAAACTAATTTGTTTACATACGTTCTATGGCTGTTTTTGCATTAAAATAGCAAAATCTGCCGGGCATGGTGGCTCATGCCTGTAATCCTAGCAGGTTGGGAGGCCAAGGTGGGAGGATTGCTTGAACCCAGGAGTTTCAGACCACCTTGGCAACACAGTGAGACCCTGTCTTTAAAAAATAAAAAAAAAATTTTAATTAGCTGGGTGTGGTGGCTCAAGCCTGTAGTTCCAGCTACTCGGGAGGCTGAGGTGAAAGGATCACTTGAGCCTGGGAGGTCAAGGCTGCAGTAAGCTGATATCACGCCAATGGACTCCAGCCTGGGTGACACAGTGAGACTCTGTCTAAAAAAAAAAAAAGGAAAAAAAAGAAGAAATGGCAGCGTCAAGTATATAGTTGCCACTTAGAGTAGGGGTAGGAAAACATTTTCTATGCTAAGGTCCAGGCCAAGATAGACAAATGTCCTTGTTTTCTTTTGTCGGTGGCCAGGGTTGTTGAGTGTTCTCTGTCAAACTTTCACCCAGTTGAAGCACTTCAAGAGTTCTGTCTTTGTCTAGAAGCAACTTTTCATTTTGCCAGGCCATATCTCTTCCCCACCCCCCATCCCCCAGCCAAGGCTCTCTAGATCATCTACCTACTATTTTCTGCAGGGGTGGGGGCAGTGATAAGGACCTGATCTTATTTTATGTGCATTCCAAACTATCCTTGTTCTCAGTCTACTGGCTCATTTCTGTCTCCTATGATCACTGGTACCTCCAATTTCTAACCCGTTTTGAGATTCTGCATGGTAAACTAGGGGAGTAGTTCTCATTCTGTCCTCTCATACTCCACTGGCATTCCCCTCTGTAGATGCTTAAGTGTAGTCATCCTCCACTCTATTAAGTCATTTGCCAATCATATAGCCACTTTGTCTTCAGATGTTGTGGTGCAGAAATGTAGATGTGTCATTTCATTTCAATGTGGATAGAGTGTGTTCTTCTGTTCAACATTCCTCTGGTATGGTATGTGATTGTTGAGACAAAGAAGGAATGGAAATGTCTTAACCACTCCTGAAACCAGAACTCTCCTTTTGTGTAATAAAGGCCCATAAACTATTTCCTAGGCTACAAAAGTTTAATCATTCCTCCTGTCTTTAACCATGACCAAGTCTTCTGCTGCAGAGTATTCAGAGGCCAAGTGTTGGTGGGCCTCCTCTTCTCTTGGATAGATATGGTCTTCCACACCAGCTTCAGGATTTGATACCAATCCCACCTACCCTCTCTCCCTATTTTTATTTATTTTTTTGAGACGGAGCCACACTCTGTCACCCAGGCTGGAGTGCAGTGGCGCGATCTCGGCTCACTGCAACCTCCGCCTCCTGGGTTCAAGCGATTGTCCTGCCTCAGCCTCGAGTAGCTGGGACTACAGGCGCATGCCACCACACCCGGCTAATTTTTGTATTTTTAGTAGAGATGGGGCTTCACCATGTTGGCCAGGCTGGTCTTGAACTCCTGACCTCAGGTGATCCACCTGCCTCGGCCTCCCAAAGTGCTGGGTTAACAGGCATGAGCCACCGTGCCTGGCCCTCTCCTTATTTAATATATCATATATAGCATCTCTGCTTTGTCCTATTTATCAAAAAACATTATTTTTCCTTTGTTAGGTCCTCGATCTTATCATCTAACCATTTTTAAACTACAAATTTGTATTTTAGAAATATTTGGTCTAGCAAAATGGCTCCGAAGCAAAAATCAGGACTCTTTTGCTTCAGAATAACAAAAATATACCCTCAAGCTAGTTCATCAAACAGGCCAGTTAGGCTATGGAATGAACAAACAGGAAGGAAAGGGTATTGCCACCTCAGGGAATACTGTCACAGAACTCTTCCTCCCTGTACCTATTTTTCCCTCCTCTCTCTCTGACTTCATTCTTTCCAACTGCAAACCAGCTTTTCAATGAAAAATGAGCTATCCTGAGATGCCTATTTTCCCAGTTTCACCACCAAAAGGAAAAGCCCTCTATTTTCTAGATTCAACCTGAGAAATTCTGGGGAAGGATTCAAATGCTTCAGTAAGGTGTCCTGCGGTGATACCAACTTGAGATAACTTAAATTTATTTTATGGCTTGAGGTTTCTAACTATGCCATGCTATTCTTATCCCAAAACTATGTGAGGATTGATGTATAGTTGTGAATTGTTGAGTTCTGTGCCTGGCCTACAGATTAACCAGTTACAAAAAGGTTAGAAATTCTGATCAGTCTACTTTTGGTCAGTATGTCCCTCAACTTACTTATCACTGTGGCCAAGAAGGTGAGTTTATGTAAAGATATGGCATCTGCCGTTCAACCACAGTTAAGGGTAAAAGGGACTGAGGTCAGAAAAAAGGAATTCCTCAGAAGAAGCAGGTATTCTTGTCCAAGGAACAGGTGCTAGACAGTGGAAACATAAAAATCCAACTCAAACCAAATAAAGTATAGACTAAATTGACATTGATACATTCTCACAAACAGATATTATACAGCTCCTAAGAACTTTACAGGAGAATATTTAATAATATGAAAATATGCTCATAATACTTTAAGTGATAAAAAGCAATTTTTAAAATTATGAAAATTATTCCATTTTAAGGAGGCAAATATATTTCTAAAAATACATGTACATGGGCCAGGCACGGTGGCTCACGTCTGTAATCCCAGCAATTTGGGAGGCTGAGGTGGGCGGATCATGAGGTTAGGAGATCGAGACCATCCTGGCTAACACAGTGAAACCCCCTCTGATAAAAATACAAAAAATTAGCCAGGTGTGGTGCAGGCGCCTATAATCCCAGCTACTCAGGAGTCTGAGGCAGGAGAATGGCATGAACCTGGGAGGCGGAGCTTGCAGTGAGCTGAGATTTTGCAACTGCACTCCAGCCTGGGCTACAGAGCAAGACTCCACCTCAAAAAAAAAAAAAATACATGTACATGTAGAAAAAAGACTGGAAGGTGATACATGAAAATGTCAATACGATCTCAGTCTTTACCTACTGAACAGAGGATGTTGTACACTGATTACATTTACCCTTTTCTTCCATAGGATCATAGAAGTGTTCCTATTAGGGAGAATTCAGGCCGTCTCAATGTGAGTGCATAACTATTTCAAAATCATTTCAAATACCTATTTTATTACATACTCAGTTAACTTGTTTCCCTATTCATTTTCAAATTCCCCAGATGAACTTTCATTTTCTGTTTATCTTCATTTCCTAATTTCATTTTGCATCTTGTTCCCCTTTGAGGTATATATCAGACTGATCTATCCCATACTTCTAAAATTCTTCAAAATTTCTTTTTGCCTTCTATTTTTATGGCTTTACAACTTGCTTTGACTCTTGCTCCAAGTCTCCAGTGATATTATCCGAGCCATATCAGGTTTTAAGAGTCAAATCAGTGTTTCTTTTTCTACTTTCATGACTAGTGTCCTACAAGCACTTGTGGTAGCATAGTTTGTAAGAGCAAAAAAATGCAAAATTTACCTAATTTTTATCAACAGTGAAATAGAGAATATGATACCATTTTATTCATTCTATTTAGTGGAATACTGCATAATACGGTTATTTTAAATAGCAAAAGCTAGTTAGAGAAAGATACTTTAAGTATCCAACATAGGCAAGTTTTAGAAGAACATACCAAATAAAGCTATGTGTTATTTATAAATCTGAAGCAAATCTGAGCTGCAGATAATCAAGTTTATACTGTTCTTTAAGCTTTATATTTGAATATTTTAAAATAAAAATGTGATGTATACAAACCTTTTAGAAGAAACAGATCACATGTCTTACCCTGTTTTGTGTTGCTATAACAGAATACCACAGGCTGGGTAATTTATAAAGAACAGAGATTTATTTCTTACAGTTCTGAAGGCTGGGAAGTCCAAGAGGATAGCACTGGCATCTGGCAAGGGCCTTCATGCTGCATCATCCCATGGTGGAAGGCAGAAGGGTAAGAGAGGATGAAAGAGAGAGAGAGAGAAAGGGGGCCAAACTCATCCTTCTTCTCAGAAACCCACTCCCACAATAACTAACCCACTCTGGTGATAACAGCACTAATCCATTGATGAAGGCAGAGCCCTCATGACCTAGTCATCTTTTAAGTTCCCATCTCTTGACACTGTTGCATTAGGGATTAAGTTTCTAATACATAAACATTTGGGGACACCTTCAAACCATATCAGCACACTTAAGAGTGAAACGCTCCTTTGGTAGCCTTAGCTCTGATTTTGTAATTTTCTTTTCTTTTTGTGCTTAGGAAAAGAATCAATCAGAATGATGGACACAGCATCTTTATGGCCTATCTAGTTTACTGTAGTTTTTATGGGCTTAAGAAGAAGACCACCTTGTCTAATCATGAAATTTTGAAAAATTTAAACATAAAAAATAAAATTCCTACATTCTGGAACTTTTCAGCAAATGTATTAAGTCAACTATTTCTAGCCTCTCTTTGCGTTATGAAACATACCCTTCTCTGCTATTCTCACCAACTTCAGCAGCAAAGTTCTTTCAAAAAATAATAAATATTCAATAATGTTATTGGCCTCTAATTCCTAACATAATTTCTTTTCTCTTATGGCCTACACATCTTGTTTCTGGACAGTATCACATTTACTCCTTTGCTACTGGGCACAGTAGCCAAAGATGGTTTGAGCTGTCCTCAAGTCTTGCTGAGCTGAGCATCTTGACTGTAGTCACAGTGGCCTCTTTTCTTCAGGCTGATAATGCTGTCCATTTCTTGATCTGGGAAGTCCACTCACACCTCATCTGTTCCTTCATCCTTTGATGATCATCTTGAAATAAATTCACATCCTCCCTTTTTATTCTTCACTCTTGAAAAAGTTCTATTAAAAAAATCCTCTGCTAGCCACACTTTCTTATTCAGATGATCTGTTCTTTATTCCATGTTAACTCCACAAGCATTTACTTCATGCCATATGGTTCTTGCCTTGCATTATCTTGTCAACACCTTCTCTAGCCACTGAAATTTCTCTCATTAATTCTTTTACAGCACATTCACCCAAAACATACCAGAGCAGCATTGCCTAAGAAAATCCTGTCTCTTGGGGGAATAAATACTTTAGTTGAGATACTACTGAAGCACCAAATTGCCTCCAGGCTCCCAGCCCTTTTCTAAATAGAGATTTAATAGTAAGCAGTCATCCAACTAATGCTTAGAAATGACCTTGTTATAGATTCTCAACCAAACAGTAGCCACCAAGAAGCACTCTGATAAACTGTTTTGTTAAGAATTGGAAACTACACTGTTGAGATCTCAAAGAAGAAAACCTAATTCCTACCTTAAGAAATCCAGAGGAAGAGACAGACACACAAAACAAATTACAATAAAATGTGATACATACATCAATAGATGCTTGTATGCACGAATTCATTCATCTTTTGGTTCTCTATTCTGTGCCAAGAAGTAGGGATACAGTGGTTAACAAAAGAACAAAATCTCTGCCCTAAAGAAACTCACATTCCGTTGAGAGGTGGGAGTGGTCATAGGCTAAATACTTGCCAGTGTTTACTGAGAAAAATATGAATGAGATAAAATAAGAGGTGGTACTGGGCATTGACCAAAATAGCACTGAAAGGTAACAATTGGCCTGAGAGGCCTGAGGGATGACAAGCAATCAGTCAAGTAAGAAGTTATTCCAGGCCCAAAGAAGACAAACATCGTACCTTGAGGCAGGCCCAGGCATGGCAGAAATCAGCTTAGTGTGTCTAGAGTAGGAAGGTCAGGTTGAAATGTACAAGTGAAGGCAGAGCTAAAAAAGAGAAAGGCAGCAGCCAGATCCTTCAGGCCATAGTAGGTCAAGTAAGGAGTGCAGAGGCAATTGGTTTCAGCCAGAGAGCTACAAGATTTGATTCATGGTTTATGTAAGAGATACTTTTGGCTGCTCTGTGGATGAAAATCTGGAGCGGAAGCAAGCAGGTCGGTTAAGAGGCTTCTAAAGTATCAGCTTAGAAATGATGGTAGCTTTAGAAAAAAAAGAAAAATAAATAAATGATGGTAGCTTGGATGAGGATGCTGACAGTAGAGATGGAGAAAAGTAGATGGATGTAGCACACATATCTGCTGTAGGAGTCAGTAAGACTTATGGATTGATTAGAAGGGACTGGGAAGGTCTTAAAATGAAACAATGGTATCATAGAAGTTCATCTCCTTCTGCAGGGTAGGGAAGCATCTCAGGGTACACATTCTCAAAGAGGTAACATTTAAGCCCAATCTTAAAAGCAAGTGTGAAAAAAAAAAAAAAAAGAAGTGTTGGTGAGGACGTGGAGAAATTGGGACCCCTGTGGGAATGTAAACTGGTGCACTCACTGTAAAATAGTATGATGGTTCTTCAAAAAATTAAACCTAGAATTACCACATGATCAAGTAACTCCTAGGGACTCAGATATTTGCCCCCTTCTATTTATAGCAGCATTATTCACAATAGCCCAAAGTTGGAGGCACAAGTGTCTATCAATGGATGAATGGGTAAACAAAATGTGGTATATACAGTCGACCCTCCACATTTATGGGTTCCACATCTGTTGGTTCCACCAACCGCAGATCAAAAAAACACATCTGTACTGAATGTGTAGACTTTTTTTCTTGTCATTCCTTAAACAATACTGTATAACAACTATTTACAAAGCATTTACATTGTAGTAGGTATTATAAATAATCTAGAGATGATTTAAAGTATCCAAGAGGATATGCATAGGCTATATGCAAATACTACACCATTTTATATCAGGGACTTGAGCATCCTAGGGTTTTGTTATTCGCAGGAGGTCCTGGAAGGAATCCCCTACAGATAAGGAGGGATGATTGTACATATGATGGAATATTAGTCTTCAAAAGAAAATTTTCACATATGCCACAACATGGATGAACACTAAGACATTATCTAAGGATTTTAAATGAGTAGGGATAAAGATCATAATACTTTAAATGCCCCACTGAAAAACAAATGTCACAGTTCACACCTCATCCACTACATGCCTTCGTAATACTGCTTCTACCTAAAATTCTCTTCTGAGCTCATGGGTGCCTGGAGAAAACCTACCTGCTTTTCTTTTCTTTTTTAAAAATTGTGGTGAAATACATATAAAATTTACCATCTTAACCATTTTTAAGTGCACACCTTAATGGCATTAGGTACTGTCACACTGTTGTGCAACCATTGCTACCATCCATCCATAGAACTTTTTTCATCTTGCAAAACTGAGACTTTCTGTCCCTATGAATTTCACTACGCTAGGAGGCACCTCATATAAGTGGATCATACAATATTTGTCTTTTCCGTTTAAAATCCTGATGCAAAACTCTGGCTTTATCAGATTCTGAAAAGCCTAGATCTTTCTTTGCCATGTTATAGGGGCAGGAAATAGCATTCATTTAATAGATACTTGAACTCCTACTATGTTTCAGACAGCAATGACTCTGTCCTCCTAGATGTCAGAACAGTGGTGAAGACTGACATCCAGGCCCAAGGTCATAAAGTTATGTAGCGTCAGTTTTGAAAAGTGTAGTGAAGGAAAAGTGCTTGGGCAAGGGACCTGGTTCTAACAAGGGAGGCTACCCTACTTGCAGAGGCTGTGAGAAAAGGCTTCCCCAAGGAAAAGGCATTTAACACCTGACTGATGCGTAGGAGTGACTCAGAAAAGAAGTCAGAGACCTAAGCCAGCCAGTAAGACAAAGGGGGACGGTAGAGACAGGTTAGATTGGACATTTTATTGCAGCAGATAACACGTTTTCCAACCCCCAAAAATGTCCAATTTAGACTCCCATACGCAGGAATCAGAGGCTATGAACCAAAGCCGGAGATTTGGTAATAGGCTTCTTCTGTGTTTTCTGGACTTTTTATCTTATTGGAAATTATCTTCTTAAATTCTTACATTCGAAACCCACAAGGTAAAAAGAATATCCTTCCCTCTTTCTAACATGGGGGCCAAAGTTTCTCTCCGAGGTCACAGCTGGTGGAAGGGAAGGCTACTTTTGGAAAGATGGAACCTGGCTTGCCACCTTGTCCTTCCGCCATCCCTATTACTCTCCCTCAATCTCCGGATGACTTTTCTACTTATGATCTTGGAGTATGAGCAAGTCACGCGTCCGTCACTACTTGATGGGATCTTAAAGGCATCAGAAAGGAGAAGCGCCGCCACCACCATCACCTGTTAGTTCAGGATGCAGGTGTGAGGCAGCCTGGGGGCGCGGGCGGCCGGAAGGGGCACAGGAACTGCAGCCCCCACGCACCTGGAGACTCATCCGCGGCATCCGCGTACCCACAGCCCACGACCTCCCGCTCACCCTTCTCCTTGGTCACGATGGAGATGAGCGGCACCCGCGGGCGGTCGCTGAAGACCTCGGCCTGCTGCACCAGCGCCTCGCGCACGCTGTGGAAGTCGCTGAGGACCACCACCAGGTAGTGGCCGATAAAGAAGCTGAAGATGCTGCCGTACACGCGGGCTAGGTGAGCCAGGAGCACCTGCGGGCCTATGACCGAGGGATCAATCCCTGCGGCCCTGGTCCTGCTGCTCAGCCAGCTCCGCCGCCGGAGGAAGGGAGGCAGCAGCACGTGACCGAAGTTGCCCACCAGAGGCCAGGGCGTGGGCCCGGGCGGGATGCCCCGCGCCCGGCGCCTCCGCAGCCAGCTCCAGCCCAGCAGCGCTACGAGGCCGCATAGCAGCAGCGCGCCCCCGCTGGGGTCCAGCCGCAGCAGCCCCAGAGGCGCACGCAGGAGGCGCGCGGGCCAGGGCGGGTCCTCGGCCGGCGGCTGCGACGGCCCCGGAGACGACATGGTCCGGGCGCCGGCGGCCTCGGGTTCCCCTTGCTGCCTGGAGGAGACGCGCACGCAGCTGCCTGACCCGCGGCGCCAGTGTCCTGCTCTGCTCTGGAAGGTCGGGGGCGGGCAGGGGGTGTAGGAACGCCCCCGGATTGGCTGCGCCGCGCGCATTCTCCCCGCCGCCGCCACTCAGCGACGCCTGGGCGGAACCTGGAGGCGCGCCGGCTGCCTGGCGGAGGGGGTTGGCGGGCTAGCAGGCGGGGGACCTGAAGTTTGCCCCGAAGTCCGGTTACGACCCTTTGCAGGGTCGGGCTTGGCGGTGACTGTCCCTGAAACTGGGATGCTGGCAACACAACCTTGCGCTCTGATTGGCTGTTGGTTTCCCTTGTGTCATTCGTTTGTCATTATCACTCGTTTGTCAGTTGACAAACACAAACGCATGGTTATGAAGTGCATAAACCGTGTTAGGATCTGTACTGAGTGTGGGAAACTGGTGAACAGGCCCGTGAGATGGGTCGGCCTTAGCACCTGTGCCCTGAGCTGGGAGAATGGGGTCAACGCCCTATTCCTGCATGCTTCGGTGTAGTAGTGAAAAGACGGGGTTCCTTATCTAAACTGGGATTCGCAGCACCCTTTCCTCCACGCAGAGACAGCAGGATGCTGGGAAGCCGTGGAATGCAGAATCTGTGGGTGTCGGCTTGGCAGCCAACTCTGCGGAAGGGATGATGGCGGGAGTGGGGGGAGCGAGGGGCGGGCAGCGAGGCACGAGGAGTCACGTTCTGAGAGCTTGCCCTGGGCTAGAAAACTTATGCGGAGAGCGAAAGCTGTGTCCATTCCTGCGTGTGGCCTGGGTGCATTAGAAAATGTACTTAAATCCAGAAATAGCGAAACCAGAATTTGCTTGGTGGATTTAAGTAGCTAGAAATATGAAAAGAAGATAACCGGTTGAGGGAGGGGTGGCAATATTATTATTGGTGTTAGACAACACTTGAAAGGCTGAGGTTGAAATATTAGATATGAATTGTATAATACTTTAAAAACAAAGTATTACTTTATTTTATCTTCTCAGATAATGGCTTTCCTGATAAGGGCTTCCCTTTCAGTCTTGTTTAGGCCAAATCCTGTAGTTTCTGTTCAAGTTGGATTGAGCATAGAATTGTCTGTACTGGGCCATTTTTCTAGCCGTTTCATTTTTCTCCATACATTAAAAGTTTGAACACCACGCTGTACCTATAAAAATGTGATCAAAGAAAGCATAGTGAGTCCTCAAATAAATACATGATCCATTTTATTTTTCTATAAACAAGTGATGCCAGTAGGATATGTTAAATTTCAAGTCCACTCTGTTCTCATATTCTTTTTGACATGCTTTTCATGTTATTTTAAGCTTATGCACCCCAAACAAAAAAAAAAAACCTCCACACCTCTCATCTTCTATAATTAACCACTACTTGTGAGATTACTTTTCTCATTTTTTTTGAATTTTTGAATTAAGAGAAGTTTTTAAAAATTTAAACTACTTGTTTGCAGATACGATCTTCAACATGACATTCTGGATGTCATCTGATTCTAGGGCTTTGCTCTCTGAAACAGTAGCCACTATATACATCATCCCATACAAGCAATTTAAATTCATAAATGATTTTAAAATAGTTGAAGCTGTGACTAATTTAACAACTCCAACAGCCACCCTTTTATATTGTACAGGATGTAACTGCACGTGTAGTGTTTTCCTAAATCTCTCATTTTCACTAGGTTAATAGCTGTGCGGGGCAGATAGGAAATCTGGGCTGAATTCAGCCTCTCCTCACCACTATATGTTGAAGTCCTAACCCCCAGTGCCTCAGAATAAGACTGTATTTGGAGAAAGGGCCTTTAAAGAGGTAATTAAGCTAAAATGGAGTCCTGTGGATGGGCTCTTACCAATATGACTGGTGTCTGAAGAGGAGATAAGGACACAGAGAGGAAAGAGGATGTGAGGACACAGTCAGAAGGCAGCCATCTACAAGTCAGGAGAGAGGTCTCAGAAGAAATCAACCCTGCTGACACCTTGAGTTTTGACTTCTAGTCTCCAGAACGGTGAGGATATAAATATAAATTTCTGTTGTTTAAAACATCCAGTCTGTAGTACTTTGTTATGGCTGCCCTAGCAAACGAATACAGGAAGGGATATTGTTCATAATATTATGGATACACTTTTATTTTATTATTATTATTTTTTGCGATGGAATCTCGCTCTTTCGCCCATGCTGGAATGCAGTGGTGTGATCTCGGCTCACTGCAACCTCCGCCTCCCAGGTTCATGCGATTCTCCTGTCTCAGCCTCCCAGTAGCTGGGATTACAGGCCCGCACCACCACGCCCGGCAAATTTTGTATTTGTAGTAGAGACAGGGTTTCACCCTGTTGGCCAGGCTGGTCTAGGACTTCTGACCTCAGGTAATCTGCCTGCTTCAGTCTCCCAAAGTGCTGGGATTACAGACGAGAGCCACCATGCCCAGCTGGATGCACTATTTTAAACATGAAACCACACAGCTCATTCAGTGCTCCTTAAGGATGAATTTCCCCAAATTACATTCAGGGCGATTTTGCCACATAAAGGAATACTTTCTGCTTCATCTCTCTTATTTTATATAGGTAAAAAAATAATAGCAGAAGCAGTAAAGGAAGAGAATACTAAGAGATCTTTTGGGTGGGCAGAAGTGGTAAGAAAGATAGAGGATTATGGGAAAAAATCATTTTTATTGAGACCCTAAAGATAATTTTAAACCACCCACTTTCCTACCTATATCCTTGTTCGACATGGATTTTGGCCGGAATTGTTGGTCACAGTATATCCAAAATAGCTGAGTACTTATTTTGTTATAAAGAGTGGTATTAAATTACTCTATTTGTAAAACTACAATTGTTCAGTTGGTTTGTAATTCTCTGGGAGGTAAATGCCACCACACACGACACCCATCCAGAATCAATGAGCATGAACAGAGAGAGTGCATGGCTTAAGAAGGGTTTGCAAAATGCTAATGAAAAGAGAAAGTAGAAATGTTATTAGCACTATTTAGTTGCACAACTCCACTGGCCATTTAAAAATTAACACCTTTGTTCCCTTTAAGTTCTTATGATTTGCTTCATATATATTCCGTTGAGTGTCTTCTATATATGTGTTTATGTACTCTCTGAGCCTCCATGTTCCTGAACTGAAATTGGGATGATAAATATACCTATACCAAGCATAGGGATTAAATAAAATAATTAAATAATAATAATTAAATAATAGCACAATGTCTAGCAACTAGTACTCAATACATAAAAGCTGTAATTATAATAGTTATCACTGGGTTCTTGATAATAGTTTAAACTTAATAGGTTGTCACTATTGCTGCCTCTTATTCACACCTTGCAGATTTACCAGCTTTTTCCAATATTAGAATGTGAGACTTGCCAGGATATTGTTTCCTATATTTAGCCTTTATGTCTTGTATAATGAATAAATAAACGTGCCTATCTTCAGTATTACTTCATTCCTCTCCACTTGCATGTATTATGTATGATTTACTTGGAGAAGAGATGACGGGAGAAAGGCCCCTGAAAAAAATCTAAAACAGTGTAAGGCAGAATCTCAAAAGTCACAAAATCCAATTCCGAAAACATCCCTTTATTTGGTCAAGGTGGTGCCAGGATTAGGACACATTTTTTATTTAACACCAAAATGAACACAATCCAGATGTCCTTCAACAAAAGAGGGGGGCAGGGGAAGGGGAAACTATGGTATACTTATTTGATAGCTCACTACACCACAATAAAAATCAATCAGTTATGACACACTCTACAGTGTGGATAAATATCAAAAAACATGCCAAGTGAAAAAGCCAGGCACAAGAATACATACTAAATAGCTGCATTTATATGAAGTCTGGAACAAACAAAGTGAACCTATGGTGATAGACATTAGAACAGGGTGGATTGTTTGGAAAGGGAAATTGAAAATTTTTTCTAGGGTGGTAGAAATGTTCTATATCTTGACTGAAGTGTTGGTTACTTGGATGTATGCACTTGTCAAAACTTAACTGTGCATTTCACTATAGGTAAATTATACCTCAGTAAAACAATTTTTTTAAAAAAGCCAGTATCTTGGCGAAAAAGACATGGTGAAGTAAGAAGACTTAGCAGGTTTAATTTATGAGATGAATCTATTGTGAGGTGGGTACCCACAGGAACAGTTAGTCACTTTAGTTAGCCTGGCCACAATTGTTACTGATTCCTGACATTTTATTTTTGTGTACGCCAAAGCGTTGCTGAATTCTCTGTTCCTTATTTCTTCCTCATTTACTTCCATTTACTATGCAGAAATCATCGTGGAAACCACATGGGGACCTCTGTCCAAATCTAACTGGGTTGGCCAGGCTATGCTGTTAACATTTCTGATTTGTTTTCTTCATCTGGTCAAAAGAGAGAGTTATAACACAAGGACTCTTAGATTCCTCTGGTCTCTAACATTCTTCTTAAGTGGATTCTTAGGACTTTGACTTTGGCCTCTGATTAACAGCATGCTTAGTCAATAAAATCTGAAAGAATAAATTATATTTACATGGCAAAGTGTAAGCCAGTTACTTCAATAAAACTAACACAAGGGGGTTGGGCACGGTGGCCCATGCCTGTAATCCCAGTACTTTGGGAGGCCGAGGCAGGCAGATCACTGGAGGTCAGGAGTTCGAGACCAGCCTGGCAAACATGGTGAAACTCCGTCTCTACTAAAAATACAAAAAAAAAAAAAAAATTAGCTGGGCGTGGTGGCACATGCCTGTAATCCCAGCTTCTTGGGAGGCTGAGGCAGGAGAACCGCTTGAACCCTGGAGGCGAAGGTTTCAGTCAACTGAGATCACACCACTGCATTCCACCCTGGGCAAGAAAGCAAGACTCTGTCTCAAAAAAGAAAAAAAAAAAAAAAAACTAACACAAGATTGTTACCTCCTGGTTTAGGTAACTGTGCTTGGCCCTCTGCCTAATAATGAAGTCTTATTTCTAAACCTCACTGAGAATGAAGTTTTAGAAAGAAAGGACATTGAAAGGTTACTTACTTCTTCTTTTAGGTAAGAACATACTCATTGCAAACCAGATATTTCAAAGCCAATATTTTATTCTGCTTTTTAAAAGAGTAATACAGTTTTCATAGAAAATTTGAAAATGCAGGAAACTATAAAGGAGCCAACTATCACCTTTTTATTCTTACCACTCAGAGGTAATCATTTATAACATTTATGTATATATTCTTCTAGTCTTATGTATTTCTAAACTTTATAAATATTCCTATTTATAATATTCACATATTTATAAATATATGAATGAAAAGATATCATTAACATTTTCCATGTTGTTCTCCCACAAATCTTTTTTTTTTTTTTAATACTTTAAGTTCTAGGGTATGTGTGCACAATGTGAAGGTTTGTTACATAGGTATACATGTGTCATGTTGGTTTGCTGCACCCATCAACTCATCATTTACATTAGGTATTTCTCCTAATGCTAACCCTCCCCCAGCCCCAACCCCTCCACAGGCCCCAGTGTGTGATGTTCCCTGCCCTGTGTCCATGTGTTCTCATTGTTCAACTCCCACCTATGAGTGAGAACATGTGGTGTTTGGTTTTCTGTCTTTGTGACAGTTTGCTTAGAATGATGATTTCCAGCTTCATCCATGTCCCTGCAAAGGGCATGAACTCATCCTTTTTTATGGCTGCATAGTATTCCATGGTGTATACATGCCACATTTTCTTAATTCAGTCTATCATTGATGGTCATTTGGGTTGGTTCCAAGTCTTTGCTATTGTGAATAGTGCCACAAATAAACATACTGTGTGCATGTGTCTTTATGTAGCATGATTTATAATCCTTTGGGTATATACCCAGTAATGGGATGGCTGGGTCAAATGGTATTTCTAGTTCTAGATCCTTGAGGAATCGCCACACTGTCTTCCACAATGGTTGAACTACTTTACAGTCCCACCAGCAGTGTAAAAGTGTTCCTATTTCTCCACATCCTCTCCAGCATCTGTTGTTTCCTGACCTTTTAATGATCGCCATTCTAACTGGCGTGAGATGGTATCTCATTGTGGTTTTGATTTGCATTTCTCTGATGACCAGCGATGATGAGCATGTTTTCATATGTCCGTTGGCTGCATAAATGTCTTCTTTTGAGAAATGTCTGTTCATATCCTTTGCCCACTTTTTGATGGGGTTGTTTTTTTCTTGTAAATTTGTTTAAGTTCTTTGTATATTATGGATATTAGCCCTTTGTCAGATGGGTAGATTCCAAAAATTTTCTCCCATTCTGTAGGTTGCTTGTTCACTCTGATGATAGTTCCTTTTGCTGTCCAGAAGCTCTTTAGTTTAATTAGATCCCATTTGTCAATTTTGGCTATTGTTGCCATTGCTTTTGGTGTTTTAGTCATGAAGTCTTTGCCCATGCCTATGTCCTGAATGGTATTTTTTTTTTTTGAGACAGAGTCTCACTCTGTCACCCAGGCTGGAGTGCAGTGGCGCGATCTTGGCTCACTGCAACCTCCTCCTCCCATGTTCAAGTGAGTCTCCTGCCTCAGCCTCCCAAGTAGCTGGGATTACAGGCACCTGCCACCTCACCCAGCTAATTTTTGTATTTTTAGTAGAGATGGGGTTTCACCATGTTAGCCAGGCAGGTCTCGAACTCCTGACCTCATGATCCACCTGCCTTGGCCTCCCAAAGTGCTGGGATTACAGGCATAAGCCACTGTGCCCGGCTCATTTTTAAAAAAATTTATTATTATTATTATTATTATTATTATTATTATTATTATTATTTTATGAGATAGAGTCTTGCTGTGTCACCCAGGCTGGAGTGCAGTGGCACAATCTTGGCTCACTGCAACCTCCACCTCCCAGGTTCAACTGATTCTCATGCCTCAGCCTCCCAAGTAGCTGGGATTATAGGCGTGTGCCACCACACCTCGGTAATTGTTGTTGTTGTTGTTGTTGTATTTTTAGTAGAGACAGGTTTTGCCATGTTAGCCAGGCTGGTCTTGAACTCCTGGCCTCAAGTGATCCTCTTGCCTCCCACAAATCATTTTTAGTTACTATATTCTAGCCCCGGGATCAGCAGTCTTTGCCTGAAAAGGACCAAATAGTAAATATTTCAGATTTTGTGTGCCATATGGTCTCTGTCACAACTGTGTAACTCTGCTTGCCGTGGGAGCAGGAAAGCAGCCACTGACAATAAGTAAATAAATGGGTATGGCTATTTCCAATAAAATTTGCTTTAAGAAAAAAGGCAGCAGCTGTGCTTAGCCTGCAGGCTTTTATTTCCTGACACTTGAATTTAAAAAAATCTAGTCGATTGTTTAAAAATATTTCAAAGTTTAACCAATAGCCAGTTATTGACCCTCCTTACAGTTTTTTTGCTATTATAAACCATAGTGGGATATATACATCTTTGATTATTTCAGTAGGATAAATATACCAAAAAGAACTGGTACACCTCTAAGGCTATTGATACATAAAGTGTACACATGCACACACGCGCACACACACACACACACACACCCTTTTGCCTTTCTACCTCTTGGAGTTACTTGTATTAAAAGTGTGATATATCCTTTCGGATTTCTTATGTTTACATAATTTCCCTCCTGCTCCCCCATAAATGGCATCACACTCTACTTTTGGTTAATTAACCTGCTCTTTTAACCTACCAATGTATTTTGAGAATCTCGCCACGCCAGTGAGTATCCATCAGCCTCATCCTTTTTAATAGCTGTCTGGTAATTTCACTGAATAGACTCTTCATCAATAGATTTTTACTGGAGCACACCAATTGTCATGAACTATTCTCAGCACTGGAGATACTATCTAAGCAAAACAAAGTGCTTGCCCTTCGAAGAGCTTTTCAGTGGGGGAAGACAAAAGATGGACAGGCCAGTCATGGTGGCTCAAGCCTGTAATCCCAGCACTTTTGGAAGCCGAGGTGGGTGGATTGCTCAAGCCCAGGAGTTTGAGACCAGCCTGCACAACATGGTAAAACTCCATCTCTACAAAAGATATAGAAAGGGATGGACAAATGTATAATGTCAGTTGGTGATAAGTACTATGGAGGAAATAAGGCACACGAAGAGGATGGTAGGAATTGCTGTGTGTGTGTGTGTGTGTGTATGTGTGTGTAGGGGAGTGTTTTATTTCATTTAGGTTGTTCAGGGAAGGCCTCTTTTAAATAGACAGCTGATCACCTGATGGACGGCTTTTAGATACCTGGGGAAAGAGCATTCCAGATAGAAGAAATGGTAAGTGTGAAGGCCCTGAGGCTGAGGTGTGCTGGGAGTTTTCCAGGAACAAGGAGGCCATCTGGCTAGAGTGGAAAGAGGAAGGGAAAGGTGGTAAGAGATGGAATCAGAGAGGTAGCAATGTAGGGCATTTTAGAGATGTTGATCTTTACTCTCAGTAAGATGGTGCATCACTGAAGAGTTTTTGAGAAGGAATGCCATCATTTGGCTTGTATTTTAACAAAATCACTTTTGCTGCCTCTAAAGGGGCAAAGATCAAACCAAGGAGCCCATTAAGAAATCGATTTAAGTATGTCACAATGTATTACTCAAATCCTCTATTAGTAAATATCTAAGTTATTTTCGGTTTCTTTCAATTAAAAATATGCTGAAATGTCAGGAGTTTTTTGGGGTTTTTTTATTGTGGTAAAAATATGTATAACATTTACCATGTTAGCCATTTTTAAGTGTACAGTTCAGTGGCATTAAGTACATTCACAGTGTTGTGTAACTATCACTGCTATTTCCAGAAGTGTTTCATTATTCCAAATAGAAACTCTGTACCTAATAAGCAACAACTTGTCATTCTCCCTTTCCTTTAGTCATAAGCTCTATTCCGTTTGTCTTTATGAATTTGCCTATTCTAGGTACCTTATTTAAGGTGAATCATATGATATTTGTCCTTTTGTATCTGGCTTATTTAACTTAGAATAACATTTTCAAGGTTTACTCATGTTTGTAGCATGTGTCAGAATTCCATTCCTTTTAATAGCTGAATAATACTCCATTGTTGTATATATCACATTGTTTATCCTTTCATCTGTTGATAGACACATAGATTGTTTCCACCTTTGGGCTACTGTGAATAATACTATGAACACTGGTGTGCAAATAGCTGTTTGAGTCCTTGATTTCAATTTATTTGGCTAAATACAGAGGAGTAAAATTGCTGGATCATATGGTAATTCTTTTGGGGACCCAACATGCTGTTCTCTACAGAAGCTGCACTATTTTACATTCCCACCAGCAACAATAAGGGTTGCAATTTCTTTTATTATTTTTTAATGGGTTCTGTAAATGAAGAATGCAATTTGTTTATATCCTCACCAACACTTGTCATTTTGTGTTTGTCTTTTCCTTAACAGCCATCCTAATGGTAGTAACGTGTATCTCATTGTGGTTTTGGACTTGTATTTTTCTAATGACTAATGATGCTGAGCATCTTCTCATATGCTTTCTGGACATTTATATATATTCTTTGGAGAAATGTCTATTCAAATCCTTTGCCCATTTTTGAATTAGGTTGTTTGGTTGTTGCTGAGTTGTAGGATCATTTTAGATATTCTGAATATGAATCCTTTATCATAGGGGTCCCCATCCCCCAGGCTGCAGACTGGTACCAGTCCATGGCATGTTAGGAGCTGGGCTGCATAGTAAGAGGTGAGTAGAAGGCCTGTGAGCATGCATGACCACCTGAGCTCCACCTCCTTTCAGATGAGTGGTGGTATTAGATTCTCATAGGAGCGCTAACCCTGTTGTGAACTGTGCATGCGAAGGATCTAGGTTGCATGCTTCTTATGACAATCTAACTACTACCTGATGATCTGAGCTGGAACACTTTCGTCCCGAAATCATCTCCCTCCTCCCTGCTGGTCCGTGGAAAAATTGTCTTTCACGCAACTAGTCCCTAGTGTCAAAAGGTTGGAGACAACTGCTTTATCAGATATAGGATTTGCAGCTATTTTCTGTCATTCTGTGGATTGTCTTTTTGCTCCCTTCATACTGTAATTTGATGCAAAAAAGTTAATTTTGATTAAGTTCAGTTTATCTGTTTTTTATTGCTTATTCTTCTGATGTCATACTTAATAAGTCATTACCCAGTCCAAGGTCATAAAGAGCTTCATCTGCTTCTTCTAAGAGTTTCATAGTTTTGGCTCTTAAATTTAGGTCTTTGATCCATTTTTTGCATTAATTTTTGTATGGGGTATAAGGTAAGAATCTAACTTCATTCTTTTGTATGTAGATTTCCAATTTTCACAGAACTGTTTGTTAAAAACACTATGCTGCCCAGGCATGGTGGCTCACACCTGTTATCCCAGCACTTTGGGAGGCCAAGGCAGGTGGATCACTTGAGGCCAGGAGTAAGACCAGCCTGGCCAACATAGCGAAATCTTCTCTCTACTAAAAATACAAAAATTAGCTGGGTGTGGTGGCACGCACCTGTAGTCCCAGCTACTTGGGAGGCTGAGGCACTAGAATTGCCTGAACCCAGGAGGCGGAGGTAGCTGTGAGCTGAGATTGTGCCACTGCCCTCCAGCCTGGGTGACAGAGTGAGATTGTGTCTCAAAACAAACAAACAAAAACAATAACAACAAAAACAGCAATCCCACCTGCCCCACCCCAATCCTTTCTCCATCTAATGGTCTTAGTACCTTTATTGAAAATCAACTGACCATATATGTGAGAGTTTACTTCGGGGGTCTCTATTCTATCCCATTAGTCTGTATGTCTATCTTTGTGCCAGTACCACACTGTTTTCACTACTGTACATTTGGAGTAAGTTTTGAAATCAGGAAATATGAGTTCTCCAACCATTCCTTTTTCAGTAGTTTTTGCTATTCTGAAAAATTTGGGCATACTGACAAACAATTTGGCTACTATTTTACTCCCTTCAGATTCCATATGAATTTTTGGACAGGTTGTTCTATATCTGTAGAAAACACCATTGATATTTTCATAGAGATTGCATTGAATCTGTAGATTGCTTTGGGTAATATTGTCATCTTTACAATATCAAGTATTCTAATCCATGAACATGGGATGTCTTCCCATCTATTTGGATCTTTAATTTCTTTCAGCAATGTTTTGTAGTTTCAGCACACAAGTCTTTTGCCTCCTTGGTTAAATTGATTCCAAAGTACTTTATTCTGTTGATGTTATTATAATTGATATTATTTTCTTAATTTCCTTTTCAGATTGTTCATTGTTAGTGCATACAAACGATTGTGTGTTTTTGTCTGCAAATTTGCTGAATTCATTCATTAGATATAACAATTTAAAATTTTTCATTTTTAACTTTTTAATTTTTAACTTTTCATTCAGACTCATGATTTGAAATCTAAAGTTTTTCTGTTGAATTTTTAACATATAAGATCATGTCATATGCAAATAGTTAATTTTACTTCTTCCTTTCCAATTTCAATTCCTCTTATTTCTTTTTCTTGCTTAATTGCTCTGGCAAGAACTTCCAATACTATGTTGAATGGAGGTGGAGAACTGGGCATTCTTCACTTGTTCCTGATCATTCTTGACATTTCCCTTTTAGAGGAAAAGCTTTCAGTCACCACTGAACATAAGGTTAGCTGGCTTTTTCATGATAACTTCCTTATGTTGAAGCAACTTCTTTTTATTCCTAGTATGTTTAGTTTTATCATGCAAGAATGTTGAATTTTGTAAAATGCTTTTTCTGCATCAATTGAAATGATCATGTACTTTTCACTCTTCATTCTGTTAATGTATTATGTTGATTGATTTTCATGTTAAACCATCCTTGCATTTCAGGAATAAATCTCTTTTGGTCTTGTTATATATCCCTTTTAATATGCTGCTGAATTCAGTTGGCTAGTAGTTTGTTGAAGATTTTTGTGCCAATGTTTATAAGGTATATTAGTCTTAAGTTTTGTTTTTTTTTGTAGTGTTTTTGTCTGGCTTTGGTATTGGTGATAACTGGCTTCACAGGCTGAATTAGGAAGTGTTCTTTCTTCTTTCTGGAAAAGTCTAAGAAGTATTGATGTTAATTCTTTATTTCTTTTTTGAGAAAGGATCTCGCTCTTTTGCCCAGGCTGGAGTGCATTGGTGTGATCACAGCTCATTGCAGCCTTAACCTTCCAGGCTCAAGCAGTCCTCCTATTTTGTGCCCAAGTATCTGGGACCACAGGCATGTGTCACCATGCCCAGCTATTTTGTTTGTTTGTTTGATAAAGATGGGGTTTTGTTAATGTTGCCCAGGCTAGTTTCAAACTCCTGGGCTCAAGTGATCCATCCACCTTAACCTCCCAAAGAGCTGGGATTAAAGGCGTGAGCCACCACGTCTGGCTACTTTTTTCCTTAAATGCATAGTAGAATTCACCAACAAAGCCACAGTTCAGGGTTTTCTTTGTTGAAAAGTTTCTGATTACTCATTCTACCTCCCTGCTAATTAGAGGTCTGTTTAGATTTTCTATTGCTTCATGATTCGGTACTGGTAGGTTTTTTGTACATTTGTTCATTGTACTCTTATAATCCTATTTCTGTATAATCAGTGGTAATATCTCCACTTTCATTTCTGATTTTAGTAATTTGAGCCTTCTTTTCTTAGGCAATCTAGCTAAAGGTTTGTCAAGTCTGCTGCTCTTTTCAAAGAACCAACTTTTCATTTCATTGATTTTTCTATTATTTTTCTATTCTCTATTTATCTCTGTTTTAGTCTTTATTATTTCCTTCCTCCTGCTAACTTTGAATTTTATTTCGTCTTCTTTTTCAAGTACCTTAAGATCTAAAGTTACATTATTCTTTTCTAAAACATATGCATTTGTAGGTATACATTTCATTCAGTGCTGGTTTTGCTGCATCCCATAGTTTTGGTATGCTGCATTTTTGTTATTTGTCTCAAGGTATTATCAAATTTCCCTTGCAATTTCTTCTTTGCTCCACCAGTTAAGTGTGTTGGTTAATTCCCACATATTTGCAATTTTTTTCAGTTTGGGCAATTTCATTTTATATAGCTCCAGGAGAAGACTTGTCACCACTTCTTTTGTAAAGGCTGCTATACAAAACAATATTGAACAATTATTTGTTTTTGAACTGAATTCTGATATAATTTAATCTCAAAATCCTCTGAGAACTGCCCAAACTCTGATATTCTCTCCAATATATAGGCAGGTTATTAAAAAATCAACTCACTAGTTACTGGTGAAATACAGTAATTTTGTTGGTGGTACAGGATGGTACTAAACATATTGTGTCACTGTGCTGGATCAGCTGGAGTTATTAGATTGGTGCAAAAGTAATCGTGTTTTTTGAAATTAAAAGCAATGGCAAAAACCGCAATTACTTTTGCACCAACTTAATACTTGGGACTGGGATAACAGGATCACTCTTAATCCCATGGTCAAGGGTGCCATAGATTAGTGAATGAAATCTTCTCTTTTTATTAGAAAAAAGACATTTCCACACTAGCAATTCATCATTCACTTTTCTGGAAGTTTCTGGAGAGATTACGGCTAAACAATTCATGTATCTGATTAGTGTGCACAATGTGGGAAAGGCAGGCAGAGTGGGGGCTTTGGAAACATAATCTGAGACATATGACATTAAAACTCATTGACAGTGAGTTTGCTTTATTCTAACAAACTTGTGGGTTCAGACACTCGAGGATTCTTGAGGAGTTCTTTTGCCTTCAAGGCCATTTTGCACTAGGAGCCAACTTTTCTCCCCTTTGAAATTAGTAAATTGTAATTTTAAGAAAAATCTGTAGCATGTGACAAAGAACCTGTCCCAAGGACAGTTTGCTTCTGAAACTAATTTCCTAACAAAACCCTAACTGTGATGGTGACCATAGTAATTACGACAGGGAGGCAGCAAGCTACAGCCCACAAAAACAAAACTCAAGTTCTAGCTCTAACATTTATGAACCCTTTCATGTCATAAAATGGGGTCACCTTCTCTTGCCTTGCTTACTTCACAGGGTTTTGTGAAGATTAAAGAATGTATGCCAAGCGTTAACTGTAAAATGCTATGTTTGATTACAGGTGCCACATATGGATTAAATGTGCATTTTATATATATATATATCTATATACATACACATAGTAATACATAATCCATTACTATCCTAACTTAGATTAAAAAATGTATGCCAAGCGTTAACTGTAAAATGCTATGTTTGATTACGGGTGCCACATATGGATTAAATGTGCATTATATACATATATCTATATACACACACAGTAATACATAATCCATTACTATCCTAACTTAATACAGTATTATGCTTCTGATATTCTTATTTATTAGAAGAAAATAAAATTTACATGTCAATTCGTGAAGCATCTATGACTTTACTTACAAGCCCACAAGTTAGCCTGTTCCTGTTTCATTGGATGCTAGAAGACACAAGACTCCTGAGTCAGAGACAAAGGACTTCACTACACATAGCATAGCAGTATCCAAAGTGTCAGCATGGTCCCTTTGGCTCCCTTGTCTCTCAAATCCCATGGGGATGACTTGGAGAGGTGAAGACAGATGTTACATATGCAGTGGGTTTTCACCTCAACTGAGGACCACTGAGCTTCGCATTTTTACTGCTTTACAGTAAACAGAAAAAAAGACTTCTCTTTATTTAGGGTGATATGCTACCTCATTACTTAACATTGCTTACTGCAAATACAATCCTGAGAAATGGCCTGGGTAACAGGAGTTAGGGCCTTGCACTCAGCATGCCCAGCAAAAAATGTGCTGGATGGATGCTCAGAGCCCATGGCACATTACCTCTCCCAACCTTTGGATGAGATAAAACATGACCTCTCCCAACCTTTGGATGAGATAAAATATGACCTCTCCCAACCTTTGGATGAGATAAAATTTGATGTCTATTGTGCAATTTTGCTAAAATATTAAATAGAAAAGAATGGTAAAATTCAGTGACAATGCATCCAGAAAAGCAATTCACTTCCACTTCTGAAACATCTAGCTGGCTATGAAGGCCCTGACCAACATTTCCTAAAACTTACAAACATTTCCTAAGACTTGCATATATTTTATGCAATTGAAATTCTTATGATGTGACTTAGGAGTTATGGGCGAGTCTTATAGTGCAGACATTTCCACTTAAATGTCAGGAATTTTATGTATCAGCAGCTCTAGTGTATGGCACACAGAATCACTCAAATGGTTGGTGAACATAGTCTAGTTTCCTGTCTTCCTGTGTCTCAGCAGGAGATTCAAAATATCAGGGAAGATGAATATTATCAAAAGTTGTGGCGACCTCTTAATAGCATGATCATCTGGAGAGACTGAAGGCATTACGCAGGGTCAAGACTGTAATGACCTGCAATCAAAAAACCTTACAGACTTGAAGCTGAGTCTGTCGTTAAGTAGACATATAGATCATATAGATACTTTTCTATCTTTAAATGTGGTGGGGATGAGATGGGGGTTGAAGTAAGCGAATTTAAATTCACTTTCTAGTGAGACTAGCATCTAATCCTGGTGGCAAAACTTGTTTGGACACACCACTACATTCTAATTCTAAAATCAACAGCTGTGAGGTAGAGATCTCAAACCAAGCATGAATGATCACCATTCTTTTTTGTTTTAAAGTGGTTTTAATTACTTAGGAAACTTGCCCATGATTAGTGTGATTGAAAATGCCACTTTAACTGCAGTTGTAAAGTGCCTATTGATTCCTTATTGGAGTAAGAGACAGAGTACTACTTTAAAAAACTTCACTATCCTCAGTACTTTCAAAAATGCCCAGAGAGTTTTATCCTCTCGTAGGAGGCACACTCAAGAGCTTTTGTATGAAGAAAACAAATGGAACCCAGAATGAATTAGCCCCTTAGTAAAAGTTCCTGTTAGTCCCTTGCACGATGAACAAGAGTTCACGTTAGTTTCTTGCACGATGCATTCTAGATAAGGGCAGACTTTGAAGCTATATGGCCAGCAAAATCAGCATGCCAGTGTTTCCACAGGATGATGGGAACGTCACTGTGATGAGCTTTTCATCCAAGGTCTGGGTGGAGGTGGCAGAAAAACTATTCTGATCTATGCTCCATCATTTCTAGATAATCTAAGGATAAAGCCTGGACTATCTCCTGTAACTTACTCTTTGAACCTTATTATCTTATCCTATTCACTTCACCCCAATGAATTGCTTTTACAAAATTTATCTTGGAGGAGGGGCATTTGTCATCAGCAGATTCAAAACCTACTTACCGCACCTTGCTGTTGCAATGTCTAGCAAACTCCAGTTGAGGATATTACCTTAGGCTTCTGTCTTGTGAAGGCATAAGGAGACCTAGTGACAGAAAGGGGTCTGCTTTTCATGAGTGACTTTGTCCTCTTGTGAACAATGAAAATCAGAATCATGGAATGTGTGATTATTTTCTTCTCCATGAATGACCTTGTATTGTTCTGAATTATTTTTCACCTTAAATCCACTAATTGAAAGTTATTACTTTATTTTAAAAATAGTGCTTGAAGAAAATATCCCTCTTGCGGTTTTAACAAGTACTCTAAAACTAGAACTCTTTTAAAAATGACACATTTTGTAAATGGAAAGAAACAGTAATATTAATTTTGAAAAGACTGTTGATGTCACTGTGGTTTATTAGGTAAATACAAAGTATAGGCTCTTGCATTTTTTAAAAAGCAAAACCAAAGAGATTAGAAACCAAGTACACATATCCTCTTTAGAAGAGAAACATAAATCAGTTTTAACAATTAGGCACTTAAAAATGTAAATGTAAGACAACATTATAGAAGTATAAACTATAGTTACACTCCTAAATTCCTCCTGAAATGTTTACAAACACAAAATCACAAGCATGGAAAACAAATTTCCTCTTTATCAAAAAAGGAACCTGAATTTGAATCCAATGTGATAAACCAATGATTAAGGTACTGGTGGG
Source organism: Homo sapiens (assembly GCF_000001405.40). Classification (NCBI taxonomy): domain Eukaryota; kingdom Metazoa; phylum Chordata; class Mammalia; order Primates; family Hominidae; genus Homo; species Homo sapiens. The sequence continues at coordinate 107,914,709 of NC_000004.12, read as the reverse complement.
TAGGAAAAAAGAGCTTCTGAAATTTACATATTTGATTAAAATGTAAGCATTTCATAAAACTATCACAATAGCATACAGTAGATATCATAATGAAAAATATATGTCAGGAAAATAATGAATCTAGACTTAAAATTTTACTTTACAACAAGGCACTTAACACATTGAAACAGTACAGTAAATTTCCAAAAGAATGCAATTGGCTACCTCTGAAACCTTGTAATAATATTTCTTTTGTGAATATACGGTAACATAACCATACATTTTGCAGCATTAATCATTGCATAGGAGGTAAATTAAATAATGAATTCTAACTTGGCAATTAGATTAGTTTTTGTTCATCGTTTCCTCTTTTTCTTTTAAAGGACAGTTTTAAATAATTTCACAATAAAGCACTCTTCTCATTCATGATTTATTTAGAACACAGCATAATGAGTAAGAAAATAAATCAGAACTTATAAGGTGTGTATCTGTATAAAAACTTATCTTTGGGTAACATTGACATGATTTTCAGTGTTTGGGTGTTGAAGTCAAGAGCACTTCTTAATAGAAGAAATATTTTCAGCAACTGAGTCAAAGGAGTTAAATTATTGCAACACAAGGACACTAAAAACAAATACTAAAAATCTTTATATATATAAATAGAAAAGCCTTCAACACATGGCATATAACTTATAATATGCTTGATTTAAACGTGTAAACTCATTAAGAAACTCCTTCTCACACTTCCTTACACTACAGAGGCTAGTGCATTAAGATTGGCTTAAAGTTTTCATCAGTTTTACAGTGCAAAACAAAAACAAAAAAGAATTAAGAAAGAAATGTTCAAACTATTCAAGGGGCAAGATGTGAACTTTCAACTAAAAAAGAAACTGCATGAGTTCTGTCATGTAAAAAAAACCAAGACAACAAATTTGGTGTTTCAAAGTAAACAAAACATAGGTCGTTATAAAGGGAGACACTAATGATTGTGATCATGAGAGGTAAAAATGTTCTACAAATTTTCTTTGATCAAATGGATACAAGGTTAGAATTACAAGTGCCTATAATCTGAGCACATTTTACCTTTGGGAAAGGTTTAAAATGCTTTTAAAATAATTCCTTTCACATGATACTTTCAGATTATTGGCAAACAACAGAAAACAAATGCCTTTCAAAAACTTGAAAACAGGCTTTTAAAAGTGGTGTTTGCATTCCAAGTCATAAAGTATATTGCCACAAGGGGGCACTGGTAATACAGGAAATAACCCTAATGCAATGTCATCCACAAACCAGAGTAGACTCAACGCTCACTCTCAAAACAGCCTTCCTGCCACAGCAAAACTTGTTTCCCAAGATGCCAGTAAATTAAGTAACAAATTCACAATTAGTTCAAGTGGACTCAGGAAAGGATGCTTTATTTTCAGATCTAGTGGACAAGCTCAAAAACTAGAATCTGAGAGAATTTCATTTGAAATGAGTTAGAAAAAAAATGTGGCATACTCTATAGGAATTATATGTTATAGGTATTTCACAGACAACCTAAATTACAGGAAAAGCTTCAAACAGGAGCATAGACTTGAAAAAAACAAAGATAATAAGATATGTATCTTAACTGGCAAAGAACAGGTACCCCAAACATTTATGATTTCAAAGGCAAGATCATACTTGTTTTATATCTTCAGTTTATATATATATCATACTTGTTTTATATCAAAGTGGCACATTGGGTTGAAGCTCAACTTTTCTTTCCTACATGTAAATGGGTTTTACTATTTGTTTTATTTTTCCATCTTGAAATTTTGATTCCCCCACCCTTATTTGCAAACCATGGACTTCCTCAACTCGATGACAGAGCTATACGACACATGCGTGTAAAGACATGGCAGCGGCAATGTCCACATTGGCATCACAGGTGTTTTTAAAGTTCTTTAAAAGGTGATGGTTTTTTTTAAATTAAAAAAAAACTGGATTACTTGACTAAAATCCAAGGCTTACTGTTTCAAGGATCTGTAGTAATTGGTGCACAATTTTTTATTTTATTAAGTTTAAACACTTTTTCTTATTCAATAGATGAAAAGTGAGTTATCCAGACACAGATGAATAAGGCTGTAAGGTGTATCAGTTTGTTTTATTTGAATTAGAGGCTCAAGGAAAACACCAGTGTTAGGAGAGCAAAATCCAGGCTTCTGTGTCAGATGATTTTCTTTACAATCGGGCAACAGGAACTTAAAAATCAGTGTTTTCAAGCAGAATACCTTGTTCTTGCACAAGTGTTGCTAGTTAATAAATGAATATAAGCGAACATTATATAGAATTATGTCTAAACTCATCAGGTAAACTAAGTATATGTTTATTATTGGTGTATTTAATAAGAAATACTAGAAAATTCTGTGTGCTTCAAAGCCTGCCAAGGATGTTTGGGGTTTTAATTCTTGTTTAAAATAACTGAATTAAAGAGTCTTGCTTCATGACTTTAAATTCAACTACCTTTCCTTTAGTGATTATTCTATAACATACAGAAAAAGCCATTCTGAAAACATACACAAGATTTTAGCACCAAAGGATGTTGACCCTTCTGAACGATTTGCATTGTGTTTTTCTCAAGCAACTTAAAGGTCAATTTTGTGTAGTCAAGGCTGACTAGTTTATAATGATACATTTGGGGATGTTTTCCATTCTAAATGAAAGAAAAATTTCACCTTCAATATAAACATAACTGCCTCCTTCTACCCGCATTGGCCTCTCCACCCTCTGCCCCAGTGTTGATAACTTTGCAACCTTAAAACTTTTCTAAGGTTTTAAAAGTCTTGCAAATTAACCTTCAAGTAGCTAAGAAATTAAGCCAAGAATTATCCAAAAGATCCAATAGCATTAAATAATGCACTAAATCTGGTAACATTAAATCTGATCAGATTTTTTAATCCATTTTTTGGCATCACCTTAAAGAAATTTAGAAACAGTTATCCCCCTTCACTGTATAGCTGTAACTAACACACTGATTCCGAGAGTATATTATAGTGCAGCACCATGTTATTTTCATAGGGTAAAAGTAAAATTACTCAATTGCGGCATATGTCCTTAGGACTAGTTATAAGAAACTGAGTCTCTTGCTAAAAGCAAGGATACATTAACTTTCAGGTTCCATCTTGGTTTTTCCATAAAGTACAACAGAAAAAGGAAGAAATCACCTTCAATGAAATTTGACCAAATACATTTCTGTGCTCCAATTAGGAGCCCTAAAATTGATCTCACACCAGGGCCTGACCTGGAAAGAAAACAGGCTCATTCCCCAAGTGGTGTGAACCTCAGTTGACACACACGTGTTTTCAGCCTGTGCTAGAAGAGTTGACTGCCCTGGGGCACCAGATCCAAATTTACAGGGCAGACAGCATCTAAGTGTGTACTCAAGGGCCACTCATTAGCAGAAACCATCTCATGTTTCCTGTGTATCTGTCATAGAGATTTTAAAGTGAAACATTTACACACATGTAAAATCTGTGGGGTGTGTCAAATACTTTCGTGTTTACTTGGATCAGCTTTCCTTTTTAAGATAAAATGATCTTTTAAAAACAAAACAAAACAAAACAAAAAAAAGTGATATGTAGCGCATTGGGTGGCAGCAGCAGTGTGCACTCCTGGACTCAACCCGAACTTTCCCCGTGACAGGGTAGAAACAAAATTCACCCAAAGCTGACGCACAACCCACGGATCTCCCCCTTGCTAAACCTAATGCTAAAAACCACTCTCAACATTAGGCAGTTCTATTTACACAGTGGCTGTAGATGTCCAGATATTTTATTTAAAATATTAACACATTCTTCTGACCTTGGGCTGAAAAATATCCTGAAAAAATTCTGAAGTAGAGGGTTTTGGTGGAGAAAGAATAAAGAAAGGAGGAATATGTTCTTTGGCACCTCTTTAACAAGCTCATTAGTAAAGTCCCGGGGTGGGGGCTTGTCACCAATGAATGAAGAGCTGCAAGAGAATGTATCTTTCTCAGGATGAAGAAGAAAACCAGTCAAAGGGCAATACTTTGTTCATCTTTCTAATCGTTTACACAAAATTTGGTCCATTTCTTCATTTACCAGTCAGTTCTCCTAAAATAAAAAACAAAACTATACCTTTGGTTACAGCGTTAACTCTTTTGGTGTAAGAGCTGATGCCTTTGTTTTGCTCCTCAGGTCGATTTCTCATTGTCTTCACCAATCTTCTGAACCCGTGAATACTTTTTGCATGATGATTTGAAGCAGCCAGGAGGCCAAGACAGCGGCCAGGAGAAGCAGCAAGGAATTGAGCCTTGTACATTTTTCTCAAAAAAATAAAAGATGGGGAACCACCATGCTCGAGATAAGAAATTAGTCTGTGAAGAGACCTTCAAGTTCTGTAAATGGTAGAAAAAAATTTAAATGAGACATATCTTTCTCAATTTGCATCCCAATTATTTTCTTAAATTGTCATTCACTGTAACCTAGGGAAAACAGAATTCAGAATCACATGGCAGTAATGATTTTCATGTCCTTTCCCTAACTCTACCATGACTCCGCTCCCCTAACACACCTAGGTGTCTTTCTTTCCTTTGTGGCTCATGCAATTTCTTCTGCCTGCAATTCCAGTAAGAATGGAGACTCTGGGAATGGATTTCAGAATTATTCAGGAGGAATAATTTTCAGGATGTGTGAGTGATCAAATCTAGGGGCCAAGCAAGTCAAAGAGTGAAAGAAGAGCTCAGAAGTTGAACACATTTAAGAGGAAAGATGAAAATTTTGGTTCAGTGGTGTCAGTAGTCAACTAGATGGAAGTGTAAGAAGGAAGATGGAAATGGGAGACTACAAAATAGGAAACAGAGCTACAAAGAGAAATAAAGTAATCCAAAGAAAGAGCATTTATTAGTGGACACCAAGAGTTGGACGTAGATCCTTTGGAAATGTAATATTTCAATTGCTCACAAATTCTCCAAATTGACAATATGGCAAGTCTATTCAAAGATAAGTAAGTCATGGTACACAGACCAACTCTATTACACCAAGGACACATACCAAGACTAGGAGAAAAGAGAGACTGGGAGGAATAATTCTGCCTTCGGACCAGAGGAAGAGAGCAAGAGTTAGAGACAGCTTCCTGGAAGAGGTGGCATTTGAGCTAGCTCTTTAAGTTTCAATGGGAGAAGAAAGAAAAGGCATCTGGAAACAAGGAAGCAGCAGTAGCAAATGAGGAAGAATCAGAAGGGAAGCCAGAGAGCACCATTATCACCAGAGGATATACCAAATCCAGTCATTCATAAGCTATTTATTTTGTGTGATTTTAAACAATAGCTGCTATCGGCTGGGCACGGTGGTTCACGCCTATAATCCTGGCACTTTGGGAGGCCGAGGTGGGAGGATCACCTGAGGTCAGGAGTTCAAGGCCAGCCTGGCCAACATGGTGAAACCCTGTCTCTACTAAAAATACAAAATAAAAATTAGCCAGGCGTGGTGTCGTGCACCTGTAATCCCAGCTATTTGGGAGGCTGAGGCACAAGAATCGCTTGAACTTGGAAGGTGGAGGTTGCAGTAAGCCAAGATTGCACCACTGTACTCCAGCTTGGGCAATAGAACAAGACTCTGTCTCAAAAAAAAAAAAAATTAAAAAAAATAGCTGTTACCTTCTCCTTAAAATTAATTTAAGTTGAAGGCAGGATTATGTCTTACCCAGCTGCACTACAATGCTTTTACAGAGAAGGTTCCTAAATTTTAATTTAGTACATATATTTTTTCATTCTAGTTTAAGTTACCTGAATTAGCAATGCACTGTGCTCCATAACTTTATGGCATTTTTATCCATAAATGGCATTTATATTTGTGAAGTTCTTTGCTTTATTTTAAAAAGCAGTAATGGATATATGTTTAAGTGAATGTGGCAACATCGGTTATCCCCATTAGGCTATCTAAAACCCCACGACATGAAAAGGGTCCACTGCATTCAAAGAAAAGAAATTATCCAAGCATCTTCACTGCTCTCACCTTTTCATTGGCCATTGAATGGTACCACCAAAACAGTCGTGTTGTGATATAATAAGCAATGATCACATCGATAGTGTAGTGTTCGTGTGCTACAAGAATGCAGATGATCCCGGCAGCACTCAGCAGCCAGCAGATTAAATGATACCACCAGAAGTGACGAGGCGAATCTGGACAGTAGAAAAATTACAGAGTTAATAAGATTCCCAGAGATGAATGTAATGATTACAGTCTGTCCTAACGACCTTAAGTAGAATAACCCAGGATCAGGAAGTCACCAGAAGGATAAAACTGATAACCTAAACTGAGTCACTATGAACTGCCCAGGATCTGCTCAGGTAGGAGGGAGGCAGAGGGGCTCCCTGGCAGCGGGCGTAATAGTCATTCACTGGGGAAGCTGGTAACACTAGACATTCTAGGCCTTACCCACGTGAATAAGCTGTTTAGTAAGAAAGAACAGAATTGTTTCTTATTAGGTTTGCTGGAATTGCTGCATACTGGCTCACATAAAGGAGCCACTTTCCCACTGGAAAGAAAGATAGTAGGGATCAAAAGAAAAGGTGGTGGTCTATGAAAATAAGGGGGGAAATGGGAAAGCAGGAGTAATTTCAGGTTTTAAATTTATATTATTTCTCCAGGGGTATGTGTAGGGTAAGGGGGTCAGAAGGAATGGCATTGTGGCTAGCAATATTTTGATTCTCAGCAATTTTACACTGTTATTGCCAATAGAAACTATAAAACATTCCCTCTGTAAAGGTTAGGGTTCCTAACCATTCACTTATGGACTCAGCCTTCCTGGTAAAGCCACTTAAAAGTTCATTCTACTTACTAGCTGTAAGAGACAACTGTGGCACTCACTGGTTTAAACATGATGGTCCTCCCCTTCTCACACAAGTGTTAATGACAAATATAACTGAAACCAGAGTTCATCTCTAGCAGCTTGGTGATCTGTTTTATTTTAAAGCTGTATTAGCTCACAATAAAAGTTAATCCAATAAACTGAAATTGATTTCATATTTAACTATGTTTACATTTATAGTGATATTTACATTCACATGTAGAAAGATGATTGAATAGCAAAAGGATCCATTTCCAGAACTTTATATTTATTTATTTATTTTTTGAGAGGGAGTTTCGCTCTTGTCGCCCATGCTGGAGTTCAATGGCACGATCTTGGCTCACTGCAACCTCTGTCCCCTGGGTTCAAGCGATTCTCCTCCTTTAGCCTCCCGAGTAGCTGGGATTACAGGGGTGCGCCATTATGCCTGGCTAATTTTGTATTATTAGTAGAGATGGGGTTTCACCATGTTGGCCAGGCTGGTCTTGAACTCCTGACCTCAGGTGACCTGCCTGCCTCAGCCTCCCAAAGTGCTGGGATTATAGGCATGGGCCACTGCGCCCAGCCCATTTCCAGAACTTTAAATGAAATACCAAATCAGGTATCATTCAAATATAATCTCTTGGTAAAACTAGCCGTTGCTCTGTTGGTCCCAAATGGCACACAGTAAGAAAATAAACCTGTATGGCATTTGAAAGTCTGATTTTCTAATTTTGGATATATTCCTTATTACTTGTCAGTTACTTCATTCTGCCACTAAGTTCTGGAAGAAAACTCATGGAATCTCAGAATTTTAATGGGAGAGGCCTTACTCTTGCAGTCTTAGGAGCCAGATCCAGTCCCCATAACTGTTGTGTTAGACTCAGGACATTAAAAATTGAATGAACATTGAGAAATCTGGAGGTCTCACTAAATATGCGTTTCCCAGCACCTCAGACCCTACCCGCCTCCCACCCCCAAGGTCTCTTAGCAACCCTGCTTCCCAACTTACAGGTCATCTGGGATTTACCTTAGAAGTTCAAAATGTTTAGGCAAACTAGAACTATTTTGCATTTGTTTATTCACAAGAAGCAAAGTTGAAGTAGGTCCAGAGGTGGCCTGAATCTTCTTTTTACTACTCACGGAATTGCAAGTGAGGTTTTAGGAACGGCTGGAAACCCCAGCAGTGCTTTCTCATAAAAATGTATTTCCTGTTATGCTACCACATTGGGCCCACCACTCATTAACTGAGAACACTGGCTGACCCAAAGAAAAGATTGAATAGAAGCTGTTTTGAAATAGAATGGCAAAATGGTAATCCTCTTCTCATTCATCCCATAGGGATAACAATGAGCTAGATGATGACACAAATAATAGCTAACATCACTGTCTGTGTGGAATTCTAGCCCTAGGGCTCATTAAATAATAGAGACTTGGTAGGGTGGCCAGGTGAAAAAACAAAAAACCAAAAAACTGTTCTCTACTAGCCAGATGATTGGCACTAACAGCTAGTCTGATTTCTCCAGGCTAATTTTATCATGAACCTACCCCCCAATTATAATATTTGCACGACTGTATGAAGCCCTCCCTTGCTAACCCCGAAATGGTCCTGGTGCCACATCTTCATGTGCTCTCACAACTAAATTTAAATCTACTCATGACAACAGAGCAAACAAGGAAAAGAGCCCAAACTGATCAAAAGGCGGGAAAGTAAAAAAATATATATATAAATGATACATCTAATTCTAGAAGCAGACTTTTCAAAGAAACCACTGGAACCACTGCTTACTCAGAACAAGAACATATGGTATAATTTAGAAGATAAATGTTTTTCCTAATTGCATAGAAAAAAACAGACACAAACATGGAATGCTCTGCTTACATACAGAACTGACTATAAACTGAGTTTGTGTTAAGTATTACAGATTTGTCCCTCTATTTCTAATCAAATATTGGAGAAAGCAGAATGGTATTCCTTGCACACTATATATAAATGTACACAATTTTAGAAACCTCTAGTCAAAATCATGTCTTGGGAAAAAATGTCTCTACATACTGAGAGGCCTTCATTAAAGTATAAAATCAATCACAAGTTGCCTTGCTGTTGCTCTGAGATGAAAGAATGTACAATAATGAGCAATGTCCCTGCTTATAGATAAGTAGACTATTCCTTGGCAATACGATAGAGTTAGCCAGCTTGAATTTCCAAAGTTCTAAACAGAGCCAAGAAATTAAAAGCAAAACCCCTGGATTCAGCCTCCTTCAACATGAATACCTGCTTCTCAAAATGATGGCTCTGCACTGTGGCCAAGTCACTTTCTCTAAGCTTAAGTTTACTCATCTGAAAAATGGGAAAAAATACTGCATTCCTCAGAGGGTGGTTGTAAGGATCAAATGAGTTAATTTACATCAAGGCCCTAGAATAGTGCCTGGGACAGAGTATTATGTCTATTTGCTATTATTGTTTATGAGGTTTGGCAGTGTCCCCACCCAAATCTCATCTTGAATTGTAGCTCCCATAATTCTCATGTGCTGTGGGAGGGACCTGGTGGGAAATAACTGAATCATGGGGGTGGTTTCCCCCATACTGTTCTTGTGGTAGTGAAATAAGTCTCACAAGAGCTGATGGTTTTATAAGGGGAAACCCCTTTTGCTTCGTTCTCATTTTCTCGTCTGCTGCCATGTAAAACATGCCTTTTGCCTTCCACCATGATTGTGAGGCCTCCTCAGCCACGTGGAACTGTGAGTCCACTAAACCACTTTTTCTTTATAAATTACCCAGTCTTGGTTATGTCTTTATCAACAGTGTGAAAACAGACTAATACAGTTAATATCAGTTGGTTTTCAGTTATTTTAGAAAACTGAATCTAAGTTTCCTGGGGGTGTTTTTATTACTTTAAACCTACAGTGCCTTCACTCTGAAATGCACCTCTTCCCCCACCTCCACCCTCATCCCCATCTTCTTCTGTAATTTTTTTATGATCCTCAGATTATAGAGAAGATCCTAAACTCAAATGTACATCTACACTAGAAAATGACTGATCTTACATAGCATACTCATGGAACTTTCCTTGGGAAAATTAGAGTTAGAACCAAAGCAACATATATCCTTCCATCCAACCCCCCAGAACCAATAACTCAATATTAGAAATGGAGTGACTAAATTTAAGGAAGAGACCATCCTCTGATGATGGTGCAGAGACAGATCCAGGACCCACTCCACCACCACAAGAGTGTGAGAACAGAAATAAGGAAAAAGCTTTTAAGTCAAGTATGAAGACCCCACATGTATCCCACTATTCTCCCTACTGCAGGTCTGTATGTAGAATTTACAAAGGAAGCAACAAAAAGACGCTACAATTCTCACAAAAAAGACTTGACTTCATCTACTACAGAGAACCTCAACTCTTGTCATCTTACCCTCAAAGCAGAACTTAAATACCCCAGGTAATCAAAGGGGCAATAATTCACTTCTGCACCACTGAAGATAACCCTTGACTTCCACACCACCAATTAGGATAAATCTATTTGGATGAACAAAGGGCCAAGAGAGGAGGGAAGAACAAGGAGGACAGGGGAGGGGAAGCTGCCTTCTGCTGCTCTCTGCTGAAAGACCCCCTTTTAAATATGCCCAGTGAAAAGGATTAAGATAAACCTCCAAAAAATACTGCCATGAGGTAACTTGGAACTAAATATGAAGGGTAATACTGACCAGCTTTGCAAACATGAAGGAAGAAGCATTATTACTTCAAAAAGATTTTGAGGTAATAGGCCTAAATATACAAATCCTCCGAAATATATAAAAATGAGACCTACTGGGCAGCTAAAACAGTACAACCCTACAAAGAACAAGACATGATTTTGGCCATAAAACCTACTAGAAAACCCAAGGATTTTGTATAATGTGAACTAAGCATACAAATATAGAAAGAGATTTTTATTTCTTGCCACCACATTTCTTATTGAGAAGAAAATAATCGGTATTGGCAAAATGGTCCATGAAGACTCCTATGAAAGCACAGAAAGTGCTAGATGATGATGAAATTAGAATAAAGTGGGACTTGGAAATGTTTTAAAAAGGGGAACACATTAACCGAATTATTTGGAATGCTAGAATGGAAGTGTCCTACAAATAATTCAAAGGTCATTACATCTGTCTTTAGAATGTACCAATCCTTTTTGCAATAAAATTAACAATTAATTCCAATATTAAGATAGCTTTTCATACCTTAAGAAGTACTAACCAAGAAGGGAGATGTTTTAGAGGCATGTTAAATGCTAGAGAGAAGCCAGGGCCAGGTTTTAAGCCTTCAGGGTTCAAATCACATATGACTAGTTGAAATTTTATATTTTATATATATACAGACACACACGCACACACACACATTCACATTCACATACATATATACACACACATCCGTCTCTTTCACAGCTTATCAATCCCAAGAGAATAAGGGCTCCTATCAATTTCAGGGCCCAGGGATCCCTCCCACTACAGCTATCAGTTCAGTGGGAATGGGCTATTACTTACATTCTTTGATGAACAAATAAGTCAGTGTCAGCGTAACCGTGTGACCGCTGAAGAGGAAGTCTCCACATAAGATATGTGATCCAGTTATGGACAATCCACCACCAGAAATCAATCGTAGAATCCGTTGAACTTTTGCCTGAGAGTCTCCATTGAGCTGAATGACACAAGAAGATTAAGAAGGGAATTTACAAGTGGCTAAAATCATGTTTCAGTCTAATTGTGTGACTCTTAGAAAGGACACCAGGTTGTGATTTTTTTTTTCTTTTTAACCTAGAAAGTCAAAAAGAATCCAAGGAGAAGCTCCTCAAACTGGGTTTTATTCATTTATTGGCAAGCTTTATTGACGTTTTAAATTATTCAATATGTTACTAATAATATGTCTTGGTGGTGGTGTGTCCTTGGGCAAAGCTTTTAAAAATATTAATAACCAATGACTTCACCACAGCTACGTGCTAAAAAGCAGATCAAAGCTACTTTCTTTTTGCAGGGGGAAGTGAGGGTTTTGAATGGTTAATATTTGATTCAGCTGCATACCACATTACCAATATTCTCTGCAGTGTATTGGTATCTTGTATTAGGTGGGCAGCCTAAAGTGGACAGATATATAGCTGCATTAATGTCTGATCAAAACATTTACAATTAAGAAGAGGAGTTGCAACTCATTAAATAATTTAAATAGGTTTGAAAATGATGGATTAGGGATGTACTGGCAGCTTTAAAAATGAGTAGCTTTGATTAGGAAAAACATCCCCTAAAGAAATAGCCTGTGTGCTACGGCAGGAGGCTGGGAGAGCTCCTCTGGACAAGGTGCAGCAGCCCTGCAAAGCCACTGTGATGACAGTGAGAAACAACGCTGGGCTAGGCCAGGGGCCAGAGAGGTTTGTACCCCATTACAATTTAATCATACTGGAAGGAGTTGGTCCAAACTGTAGGCATAGAAAATTGGAATACTGAATTATTGAGGGGCTAGATAGGGTGGGGGATTCAGATCAGATAAGTATAAAGCAAATTGAGAAAATCAAAGAACAATGCTCAGAAAAAAAAATCATGTAATAGAATACATGGAAGAGAAATACAGAAAGACCTTTTTTTTTTTTGAGACAGGGTCTTGCTCTTTCACCCAGACTGGAGTGCAATGGGTGGCACATTAGGTACAGGAGAGACCAACTTGGCTGCTGCCAAAAAGGAAAGCTTATCATCTACACTGTTTCTTCCATTAAGAAGGTAAGTATCTGAGGTCAGGAGTTCAAGATCAATCTGACCAATATGGAGAAACCCTGTCTCTACTAAAAAAAAAAAAGGAAAAAACAAAATTAGCCAGGTATGGTGGCACATGCCTGTAATCCCAGCTACTTGGGAGGCTGAGGCAGGAGAATCACTTGAACCTGGGAGGTGGAGGTTGCGGTGAGCCAAGATTGCGCCATTGCACTCTAGCCTGGGCAATAAGAGCAAAACTCATCTCAGAAAAAAAAAAAAAAGAAGAAGAAGGAGGTAAGTGTTTGGCCACCTATGGCCAAGATGAGGGATAGCTCGCCCTAGAAAGCTTTCTCAGGGAAGGGAATGTTGCTCTCCCAGCCAAACATTCTTGTATGTGGAAAAATAGGTTTGCAAAGCTAAATCATTTCACATAATCCTTTTATAATAATGGGGCCAACACTTATGTAAACACACTTTGAAGAACACAGATTGTCTGACTGTAAATCAAAACTTGGGTTGGAGGTTGAAGCAAATTATAAGCAAAAAATTAAAAGTGAACCATAGGATACATAAGGGAGCAGGCAACTGGAAAACTAGGAAAGCAAAGCTTTCACTGTGTTGGCTCTTGTAAGCATGTCTGGTGAGTTACAAGTTGTACAGGCATCAATTACTATAACAGATATGACACTTTTCCATAGTGAGTGGCTTCCACATACAAAGTTCTGCCATGCTTATACTCATGAAGGACATTCCTATAGAGTCAGCAACACAGGAGACAAGATTTTGTAATAGCTTTGTAACCATAAAAATCTAAGCAGCACCCAAAGCCAGCAGATGAACCAAATTTAGAACACAACTCTGATGCCTGTTCTGTAAAAGCACCTCACCTCTAGTCAAACTAAGTGATTTGTGTTTGTTTTACTGAACCATGATTCAGGCATATATGGCTTGCTTATGCTTCAGGAAGGGGTCCCGACAAGTGAACCTGGGAGATGATTAGTAAGGATGTTACTAGAGGTTCCACTATGACTATTTGTAGCTTGGCTATCCAACGGCACTGATGTGGCTTCCAAAGATTGCAACTCTTCCACAGAGGACAATCTTTAATTTACTTTCTTTCTGTAATCATAGCAATTCATCCTGCAAACCTCATCCGTTACTAAGATGGGTTTGCCTTCTTTTCTGTGGCCATTTCTCCATTTAACACATTGCAATAGCCCCTTAGAAGTGTTTATTACACTTCTGAACTTCTCCCACGCCTTAAATTAGCTTCACTAAAATCGGCCAGTGTTTAAATTCAATATGCACAGTTTTAATTACAGATATTTTCTGCTTTGATGGCTTTGGAAAAGTATAGCTTCTCCAAACCACACCTATATTTGGTGAGGGAGACTGTGGACGTCTTCAGAGAAGCTTGATTTTTCTTTCACCTCAGACATCTGCTTAGTGTTCAGTAAAATATGATGTTAGACTTCATTCCTTTGTCCAGAAAGCACATGATTTGTAATTTTCCATTTTGTAAACCAGGGTGCACTGAAGTCCGAGATGATTAACAGCTCTCTCAAGAACTCGCTCTTCCTGGATAAACTGTAATTCCTTCTTAGGATGGTTTCAGAAGACATCCTCACACACTATCTCAGTCAAAGGCCACTCTCTCTTTCCAGCTGCTAAAGAACCTTGGGGTCATCCTTGACTTCTTTCTGTCAAACCCATATCCAACTTATTAGCATATCCTATATCCCGAACTGAACAACTTCTCATTATTTCCACTGCTACCACTAAGGCTAAAGTTCCTATACTAGGCTGCAAGACCCTATGTGATCTGTGGTCTGCACACCCCAACCCTTCACAACTCCACTCTGAGACACCGGCCTCCCTACTCTTCCTTTAACCCACTGTGAATAAGCAATGTTTTAGCCTGCAGCTCTCATGCCGTCCACATGGCTCACTTCCTTGTCTTGGTTCCTGCCCAAATGCCTCGTTATTAAAGAAGGCTTTCCTGACCTCTATATCAAATAGAACCCTCAAGCACCCTTTCACCTTACTCAGCTTTGCTGTTCTGCTTGTGACAATCACCTGACAATCACCTGACTTATCAGCATGTGACAAATTATGAATTTGTTTATAATTTGTCATCCCTCAATAGAATATAAGCTCCAGAAGAGGGACATTGTTTGGGTTACTACAATCCCTGGTACATAAGCTTAATGCCTGTAGAATGAAAGCATTAATGAATAAGTAAATGAGAAGGTAAAAAAGCAGAGTCAAACCCCCAATGGTAATTTTCAGTTAACAGAAAATACATTTTTTTAGCACAAAAGGTATATATTTTATAAATACATTTTAATTTCTTCCCCTCAAATCTAAATAGAAAATAGAAAAGATGCTAGATTTCAGCTAACACATAGGGAAGTGTCTAGAAGAATGTATAATACAGGGTAAGTGATCAATAACTGTTTGCCTGATTTCTTCTAAGTGGCAGTTTGGAGGTACTGACCTTTGGAGCACACTGGAAATGCATTCCAGGCACAGGTAGAGTAGTAACATACATTGTAATGCAGCGATACAGGTATAAAGTTCCAATAATAAAACAGAATCTGCGTCCCACTATTGACCTAAAAGAAAAAATAGGGATGGGGAAAAACAAGTTTACTGGTTGGTTTTACTCCTAATGAAAAATAAAACAATGTTTAACAGGATAAAGAATAATCAGTACAGAATGGCATTAACAAACAAACCACAGTTTCACAGAGTTTAAAGGCTTACTTTTGAGTTGCCCATCCCTACAGTTTCATGGAGAGATTTGCACCACAGTTTTCAGAAATGAAGATTCACATACTGCAATAAATCTAGGTGGTTTGGCTTCCAAAGGATGTGTGTGTGTGGGGTGGGGGAACTAAAGTAGACGAAGAGTCTACATAGTCACCTCTCCTCAAAAGCACTCTTTGCCAGAGAATGAACCTGTCTGTATTTTCAGTCAACTCACTGCATTAAAACCCTTTCTTGAGAACATATGAAAGGAATAAGCAAGCCACAGTAACAGAGGAATTAACTAATGAGCCAAGGTGACATTACATAATTAGACACATAGGGAAATGTGACAACACATTTAGCCCACGGTATATAAGCAGGGTTTATTTGAGGACCATCTGAAGGTATTTTGACAATACGGGCATGAACTATTTTCTCTATGACTAGATTTTCAAAAAACTCTATCTTGAAAATGTCCAAAGTGTTCTCATACAGTTAATTACATTTAATAGTGAATGTGTAAGCTGATTATTTCATTCAATCTTGATCAAAAAAAGGATAAAAAAATCCCACAAGTCATTTTTCACTTTATATTTTTGTGAGAAGAACGTTGTCCTAACATCAGCCCCTGTGCTTCATGACCTGAGTCCTCAGCCTGAGGCAGGCTTCCCAGTGGATGACGGAGGATCCTGTCTTCAAAAGGGAAGGGCTCTGCCACTGTACCATTGCCTCATGGGTATCTGAATGGGCATCATGGGTCTGAATGTCTTTAGTCCAGCTGAACAGGACAGCTCCTTTTCTGTTGTATAGTTAGGTCTGTCAGCTCTGGGCTCTGGGGATTAAGAGATGAGTGGGACTCCACATAAAGCCCCTAGACTTGCTAGGTGTAACTTCATTACTGCATAAAACATATTACTCTAGGTCTCTCATTTTCAGAGGTCTCAAGCTTTCAAGACTGGTAGTGATCAAAGACTTCTGAAAAAACAGGCAGTTTCAGGTAATGTGACATATTTTAAGTTTTCCCTAAGATTGTGGTTCTGACATGAATCAAGGTCTAATTCAGATAACATTTGGAACTTCTAATTTCAAGAATTATGTATAAATATATATTTCAGCTGTCTGTTTCCAACAGCTATTTTAAGAATATTCCAAGGTTTCTGGGGTCAAAAAAAAAATAGAAGGGAACACCACCTAGACTAGTAGATGAGAGTATTTATTTATCCCCAAGGAATTTCTTTAAAGGCTTGCTATTCTAGTTCTGCCTTTCCTGGTACTAAAAAGGAGCAGGTAATAAACAGTGCTGAGTTTCTTCCCTTGGTTAAGGGAAAACCAATTTAGCCTTTGATCCAACCTCAGGTTCCAACAGAGTGCTGTTTTGAATTGTGCTCCATGCTGTTAGACAAGGGGAAGTAATAAGCAGAAATTATTATGAGTCAATTACATTCATTCCAGCATTCTGAGTTCAGCTGTACTCAGAACAGAAAACCAACTTAGAAGGTGAAAGATGTACTCTACAGCCTTATTTAGAAAAAGAACTAGTGCTAATGACTTTTTCCCATAGCTTTGAAAGGTGCTTTTAAAAGAGAGAGCAAGCAACATTCCTCATTCAGCTGGGATGTTCAAAACAGGTTATAAAAATTATTCTACTAGTTACTAAAATGTAAGATCCAATTCTACTTCAAATGTAAAAAGGCAAACTTGTGTGAATTGCGACTGAAACAGTGGATATCATTAAAATTTATGGTCTGGCTATGTGACCGTGTGTTTGGACATGTTGAAAATCTAAGGTGGTAGGTAGAGGCAGTTAATAATAACTATCTAATGAAAATTCAAAAAGGATCTAGATGAAAATACAGCTAAATTGAGGGAAAGACTGTACTTCAGGGTGGAGTCCACATACTTACCAGATTCTGGACAATTTCTCTTTTCACACATATATCAATAAAACCTTGCTCTAAATAAAGGAGAAAGCAAATTATCTGCCGCCTTAGCAGGCTCTTACATTGTGTTAATTTCCAGACACTAAAGAGAAAAACACTGAAGTTCATAAATACATTTTTTGCTTTTAGCATAAAGCATCCTTTAACAATTTCAGGAGCAGGTTACTTTTTTAAGTAAAAGACAACTCATAGCTAAGTCTATTACTTAAGCATATTAAGGAAACACATGAAGAGTTATATTAAGGAAAATGCTTAGGAATGACTGCAGTTTGTGGAATAAGGTTTTAAGACTGCAAAGTTGCATTTGGGGAACTCTTTAACAAAGATAGACTGAATTCCTCTAATCACAAAACAGTAACAGTGTTAGGGTCTGAGTGGATATACCACATTGAGAGTTCTATAATTGATCAAGTAATGAAAAGTGTTACCAACTAAAAAACAATACAGCCAAAATTCTCTAAGAATGATCTTGTGGCATTAATACTGAAATCCTATTTGACTTGGAATGTTCAGATTGTATCCAAGTTAGCATACATTACATTTTTAAACTCTGTATTATGGTCAGTGTTTTGATCAAAATCATATTTTAGTGATTTAATCACTACCATCCCAGTGGAAAACAAATGTCTAAATGATGAATGAGAGGAAAGGAGGAATTAAGGAGCCTTCGTTTTTATGGACTAGGAGTCAGAATTCACATAGAGAAGCAGAAATAACCACTTCAGGGCTATGTCCAATTCTTAAGTGTCTTCAAAGCAAAAGTACCTGACTTATTTCTTCTTGATTTCCTACTATTCCAAAAATGAGGAGGCTGAACCCAGTGAACCATGAGCTCCTTTGTGGTGTCCAAGGAAAATCAGAGGGCAAGTTTACTTTAGAAATCTAAAAATCAAAACCGCATGGATCTGGTTCTAAACTCAGTCTCTTAAACACTTGTAACTAGATAGCAAGCAAACAAAAAACCGAAACCACATCCACACACCCAGCCCCACAGAAATGTAAAATTTGAGAATTGAATCTAGGCAAACCTTAAAGCAGGCTATTGACTCTAGACCAATACAGACATCACATTATGAGTAATGGAGAAAAAAGTTTCTCAACCTATTCCTTTTCCCACTTGTCAAGAGCCTGAAATAACAAACATGATGGGAGTGAATGTTATTCCTTTCCAAGCCTCTTGATTTATCATACAAATACCATAGCACCAAGTTGCTGGAAGTCAGGAACTGCACCTTAAATTCATCAACTCTGAGTCATCCACCACAGTACTGCTGTACACTGCCACTTTCATACACAGTTGCTCATCAAACACTTACTGAATAGTGACTGAATTTATTCAATGTGGTAGAGCTTTCTACTGTTTTCTTTCATCAAATGTTTGGGTAAGACTGAATTTATTGGGGGAAAAAAAGGAAAAATAATCTCAATAACCCATCTATTCACTCAAAAACAAACCCATGACAAATCCTCAAAACATTAGATTTACTTACTTGTATCTCAGAAACAGCCACTGGGTGATCCATAATCCAACTAATATAATCCCATTTATTTCTGATACAGAAAATGCCCATTTCACCCTATCAATGTAATCAAAAAACTTGTCTGGGAGTGGAGGGCTAAGCTCCTTGGGAGGGACCCTCTCATGTACAACTGTGATCATGACGGTTGTCAAGACGAGGTTGAAAACTGCATATATGAAGGCAATGCCCGTTTTCCACCACTCTAGTGGAAATTTGTTCCTTGATTCAGTGGGCATAGCAATTTGGATATAGTCCGGGTACTTTTTGGTGCCTTTTCGCAGCCCACTGGATAAGCTCTTGGGTTTACCATTGCCATTTTTGTTTTCTTCTTCAACAGGTTCAGCGGGTCTTGCATAAGTGTTCGTAGGATCACTGGGTTGATTTTCCAAATGTTCTTCAAGTTTTGCTGTCTCTATGATATCCATTGTCCCCTAGTCTTCAGATCAAAAAGGAGATGGTCAAGTTCTTGTTCTTTGTGGAAATTTAGCTTTTTTCAATCCTTCTATTTCCAAGATCAACATGGACTCTTACAATGGACTTTGTTTCCTAATACAAAATGTAGAAGGTAGCCATCCGATTACTGTTTCTTCCATGCAGCTATATGCTGTACCTTCACCACTTTCAAGAAAGGAAGCCAATTCTTCCCTCAAAAAGATGTTACTATCCCACCTAAAAGCAAAACAAAATTATGTTCAGAAACTATGCTTGTCCAACTGTCAACCATCCAAAACAGAAACATTCTTAAACTAAGGAAACAAATACCAAAGCCATTTGCTTTATAAATGTAACGTCAGAACCTAGTTAAAGCTGCTGAGATCAAGTTTATTTACAAAATACTGAACAGTTTTATCTTGGAATTCTTGTCTCTTTTTGAGCTAGTATTGGTAGAAATAGGAACATTTTAACAATCAGTTCCCTTTAAATTTCCTTAAAGAAAAATCAGGACCTAACATTGCAAACACTTCATCAGACACTATCACTTGTTGCTAACCATGAAGTCATAATAAGCTAGAAATTACCCAGAGATCACATCAATCCTTCCTAAGACTGTATTTTCTATGAGCCATAAAGAAAGAATAAAAAACTGGTAAGAGGCTTATATGCATTGAATAATTGTTACTCTTCATTTGTCAAAATAGTCAATTTTCTATTTTCTAATTAAAAAACAGAAGTCTTTTTAAGTGACCGCTTTTAAGAACAGATTCAAGAACAACACATTCAAGATTTTTAAAATGGCACAGCCTCAGTTTATCCTTTTATATTCAGAGACGCACACCATATACAAGAAAAGCTGGCAGCCTTCAAAATAACTCTGAAAAGATACACCAAGCCTTAGCTATGTCTCTCACGCAGGTAACAAGTAGAATTTATTTGAAGGATAAAAATACCTCACTACAATTGGCATGATAAATTAGTAACTAACAATATTTTGATTCAGCTACCACAATTTCTACCAAACAACAGAAACGGGCCTCCAGAGGACCAGCTCAGGGGACTCACCCACCACGACACTGATGAGGATAACTACCTTTGGCTTCAGCTCCACAGGCTCCAGAGAGCACACACTTCTTTCGGACACGGGGCACCACTGCCACCTCTTTTATACTTGCTAGCACACAGCCCCAGCTGTTCTCAATTTAGGAGAGCAGTCTTTTAGTCCTGCTACAGAAACCAGCCACCTGATGAGGTTTTCAAACCTCGTAATTAGTCCTCTCCCTGGATACACTGCTCAACTTAAGCACAATCCACTGCATTTTAAAGGACCTCCCCCCTCCCCTGCCTCCCCGTTTCAGGGTAACTTCAGGGAAAACTGAGGAGGACAAACTCAAAGTGATGACAGCTAAGCCTTTATTTAATGAAAGAAAAAAAACACAGCGAAAATGGCAGTCAATATGTACAGGCAATGTCTGTTTACAATTATGGGTGGCAAATAGATAAACCACAAGTGTTTACTGTGCACCTAAATGCCCCAGTGCTGAAGGCTATGTAGGGCAAATTAAAAGGAGTGAAAAACACCTGACCTGAACATTCAGCCAAAGAGCTTGCAGTCTAACCAAAGAGACAGGACTAAAATGATGAAAGACTACTGGAGAAGACTGAATGGCATATTGTGAAAGGAAGGAGAGGGATGAGCTGATCACTAGGTAAAGTGAGAGGTTTAGCTGTACTGTTTCCCTGCTCCAGGGACAAGATGTGTCCACACACAGGCTCTGTTTCTGAGAAAGCAAAAGCATGTGGAAAGCTGGCCTGGTAGAGAAATGGGGGATAAGGGAGCATGAGACTAGCTAAAAGGTACTACTGAGAATTATAAACATCTCACCTTTCCCTTGTCCTTCTGCAGAGCCCCCAGCTATCAATACATTACAGCAGGATGAGAAAGACCCAGGCCTTTGACATCCCAGGCTTTGACAGGCCCAGGCTTGACAGTGTCTTGGCACAATGTTGTGGGAAGAATAAGCACAATGAAGAGGTGCCTCAGGAAGGTATTTTCAACAACAAACCTTCAACACCATGAACTGCTACTTCTAACGGAGGTCCGAAGCACTAACACAGCCATTTCCTGTCTCTCTTTAGCAGCCTTGCCTAATCCACTTACAGCATCTTGCCAAATCATCATCCAAATTCCCTTCAACTTTACTCTTCCATATGTGCTCCTAGTCTTATGTTCATGTGGGAAAGAAGCTTGTGATTTTGAAACTCCATTTCACAGTGGATGTACAGATGGTCTTTATAAGGTAGCTACTCGGTTCTAGAACACAGAATGTGGAACAGAAGAAAATCCAATTAGTAACCTTTTTTCTTTTTTTTTTCCAAGAGGACACACTCAGCCACCCACCTCATGGGACTGCTATGAGAATGACTGAAATAATTAATTGTGAAGAGCTTTGTGCCCCTGGGAGTAAGAACACTATGTGAGTACAATGCCCATTTATCGTTATTAGTGTTAAAATTAATATTTTCCTTGGGATTTCATTAAGATTAAATATACATAGCACATTCATCATGTGTGAACAAATCTTGGGACGAAATGTTTGTCATCAAGATAATGATCACAACATATTCATTCCTATTTTGAAAGGAAAATATCTCGGGGTCCCAAAATCACTCAGCTAAAGGAAAAAGTCAAGCTGGGAACTGCTTAGGGCAAACCTGCCTCCCATTCTATTCAAAGTCACACATCTGCTCATGGAGATAAATGCATATCTGATTGCCTTCTTTGGAGAGGCTAATCAGAAACCCAAAAGAATGCAACCATTTATCTCTTATCTACCTATGACCTGGAAGGCCTCTCCCCACTTTGAGTTGTCCCACCTTTCCGGACCGAACCAATGTTCATCTTACATATGTTGATTGATGTCTCATATCCCCCTAAAATGTATGAAACCAAACTGTGCTCTGACCACCTTGGGCACATGTCTTCAAGACCTCCCGAGGCTGTGTCATGGGTGTGCAACCTCAACCTTGGCAAAATAAACTTTCTAAATTAACTGAGACCTGTCTCAGATTTTCAGGGTTCACATTTTGGTAACCACAGAGGGATTCTGAGTGGAGGTGCCCCTGACCTTTAACAAATCTCCTATCAGTGCTTGGTTCAACCTTGGGCTATCTTTATGGCTTAAACCAATAGGACAATTTGCTGAGGCCTGGAAGCACCCATTCCAGAGAATCCCTGATCTCCCCAATTCTGGTTGAGATCTAAAGTTTATTTTGCTGTACAACCTTTTTTTTTTTTTTTTTTTTTTTGGAGTTTTAGTTGCTTCCAACACAAGGCAGGCAAGTTTTTCCTGCTTCCATGATGATGGAAGGTAGGTAACTCCTTTACGGAGTTTCCCTTCCAACAGGGAAGATGAGGTTTTTTTTTTTTTTTCCTGCTCCTAGTGACACAGGAGATAGAAGTTATTTAGGCAGATAGTGAGGGTAAGAGTTCTTGGCAAGGCTTCCCTTCTAACAGAAAGCAGCCCGAGAAACTTCTTTTGTCTAATGAAGAGCAGCCTGAAAAATTGAGCTGCAGACATAGATAAGCAAGCTGGAAGCTTGCACAGGTTACTGCCAGCAGCTGTGCCAATACAAAATGGCTACCTGGGGGCCAGGTATGTTCAACGTGTAGGCTCCATCTTCCTTTTTGTCACCATGTGTAAAGAAACAGGCAACATGGTGTGGGCCAGGAAGATAATCCATTTGCATAATAAAACATTAGGGTGGGGGTGGCCAGCTTTTTGCACCCTTATGCAAATGGCACACCTGGTCCAACCAATCTTTCATGCCCTATGTAAATCAAACACCACCTCCTCAAGCTCATCTATAAAACCTGCATTTCACTGAGGAAGCAGAAACCCATTTGGGACCCCTCTCTCTGCAGGAGAAAGTTCTTCTTTTCCTTTTGCCTATTAATCCTCTGCTTTTAACCTCACTCCTTGTGTGTCCATGTCCTTGATTTCCTCTGCATGAGACAATGAACCTCAGGTATCACCCCAGACAACAAGGCTGCTTCACTAGGATAGAAAGCAGTCTTCAGCCTGAGACCCAACAACCCCTAGATAACTAAATTGGGGTTTGTCTTGGCTAAAGTTAAAATCAACAACCAGCTGGTCTTAATGTCTTTACCATTAGAGTGCTCAGTAATCATATAAGTTGTGCAATCATTTTTTTTTTGCTTAACTGTTTTTTTTTATTGTTTCTCTTTTTCTTGTTGTTTCAGTCTTTTTCCCATTGGGTTTGACCAACTTCTTCCGACTTGATCAAATCCGAAGGAAAGTTCCAAATTATGGGGAACAAGGCCACTGAAGTGGCTAAATTCTCATAGACACACACAAAAAAGGTAGTATGGTAAGGTGGTATAATGGGGGGGAGAAAAACAGCCAGAAAAAGGAAAAAAAAAGAAAAAAAAGGAAAGAATTTTAATTTTGACTACTTAAGGGGCTTTATTTACATAACAAAGCCACCTTTTTGCTAGCCAGGTCAAACTGAAAGCAAAGGCAGTCACCTCACACTGCATTTCAATAGCTAGGGTTCTGCCTTTTTTTTCCCACCATGACAGCCTGAGTTTTGTTTCCTAAATCAAGCCCTTTCTGGTTTGATACTTGGTACTTCTGAAATAGCGGCAATTTGTCCTAGTTCGTGAAATATGGAAATGAGATTTAAAGAGTTGTTTTTTTAAAGGAACTTAATGGTTAAAGTCAGCTTAATTGAAAACTACCATCCAAGATGTGTGTCTGTACGTTTACATGTGTTTGTATTTAAAAGGCCTTCATGTTTTTATTCCTTTTTTCTCCCCCAGGACCTTGTCTTTTTTTTTTTTTTTTTGAGGTGGAGTATTGCTCTGTTGTCCAGGCTGGAGTGCAGTCGTGTGATCTTGGCTCACTGCAACCTCCACCTCCTGGATTCAAGGGATTCTCCTGCCCCAGTCTCCCAAGTAGTTGGGATTACACGCACGTACCACCACACCCAGCTAATTTTTGTATGTTTAGTACAGATGACGTTTCACCATGTTGGCCAGGCTGGTCTTGAACTCCTGACCTCAGTTGATCCACCTGCCTTGGCCTCCCAAAGTGCTGGGATTATAGATGTGAACCACCATGCCTAGCGCCCGTTTTTTAAATTTTTTCTTCTCAGTTGACTGGATTCTGTTTTCTTCATTTACTTCTGCTGTCTCTCCTTTCTCTTTCACCCTCTGCTGCATGAGGGACCTAAACTAGTTTATAATAGCCTGGGGTTCCTTAAAGAAAATGGAGAAGACACCAGACTCCCTTTCGGGGAGAAACCTGTTTCTCCTTATGGAACTTGAAGAGTGTAAACAGACAAGTTCATCTCAGCTTTTAAACTGCTTGCTTTTATATTGTTACCTGATTTATTGACTAAAATAGTTACTGCAACAGAGGCTACTCTTGGGTTTTTAAAGAAAAGTGTAGTTTAGACACTTAAAAATGTCTTTGTTTTAAAAAAATTTTTTTTAAGTGAACCATAAAAACATCACATGGTCCAGCCTCATAAAAATTCTCCCTTTTTGGAAACCCAGGATTCAGTGTGGGCTCTGCCCAGGGCTCAGAGATCTGGTTAAAAGATAGGTAGTCTCTAAATAAAATTGGTCTCCTTATGCAATCCTATGATAGATTTTTATAATTTTATGTTCGATTTGGCATCCATCTTTAATCTCCCTCTAGACTTTTTCTCTCTGTATCTTATGATGCAAATTTTGCTATTTGATTTTCACCTGAGTTGTTTCCTTTAATATGCAAATTTAAGGCTATTTAGCTGACAACTACCTAAGGTTGTGAAACAGGTTATCAAAATCTTGAAAATCTAGGATAGGAAAAAAACGTTTTTTATGAATCTAAGATGTGTTTCTATTGGCATGCCTAACATGTCTATGCATTTATATGTTGTGTACACAATGTTTCACTACTGAAAATATATTAAAAAGCTCTAATTAATTGGCTTAAAGAAAAAAGCACTTGAATCAAATAGTTTATCAGGAAAAAATAAGAGACTAATCAAATGCTTTTTCAAGTTTACGGAACTTAAGTGAAATCTTTAATAAATAAGCTAGCTTTAAAATTATTGGTAAAGTAATATTAGAAATGTCTTAAGAATTGCCAGCATACATTCTTGTTTGCATTTATTAATCAAGCAATTTCATACTTATCCCTGCCAAATACTATAAGGTGTCAAAATTTGACATGGGGGTTATAAAACTATGAACCTAGCCCAAAGCTGAATGAACTTTCCTTGTGTAACCTTTAATAAACAAGACATTGATATTGGTTTAATAAAAAATAGCTACATCTTGAATTTAGTAAGATTACCATAACTTCTAATCTTGTGGCTTTGGGCAGTTTAGTCCACAGGGACTGAGGTTTGTTTTGAGAAAGGACTGTTACTGTCTTTGTTTCAAAGCTAAACTATAAGCTAAGGTCCCAAATAGTTTGGCCTACACCCAGGAATGAACAAGGACAGATTGGAGGCTAAAAGCAAGATGAAGTCAGTTAGTTTAAATCTTTTTCACTGTTTCAGTTACAATTTTGCAATGGTGGTTCCAAAACTTTAAATGATGACTATCACAGTTTTCATAAATAATCTACATAAACAATTAAAATAATTAGGTAAATGTAATGGGATAAATAATTGTAGACAAACAGGTCATAATTTAGAATCTAAAGTTAAATTAAATAATAGATATTTCATTATTTGGATATTTTCCAATAAAATATATTTGTAGGAAAACATTCTTTCTTAAAAAAAAAGTGTGTCCTTTTAAAAAAGGGTGAACAATTTTTGTCTAATTCAAAGCTTATTTAAAGGTTATGTATAAAACCAGGTAAAATGAACCAGGAAATACAAGAGATGTAGAGAAAGTTATAAAAATAATTTTTTTTTTGGTAAGAAAGCTTAAAGAGAAATAATTTCAAATGAAAAATAATTTTGTATGAGATTCTTCATACGAGAGAGAATTTAGTCCTAGAGTAGAATGACTGGTTGTTTAAGAAAGAGGGATGTTCAGGACAAACCAGAAAGTCCAAGCATGTCATGAACGGTCTGTGTAAGTCACAATGAGAGGATTTAAAAATAAACTTTTATATTATCAAGTTGTCATATTATTAAGTTTTGGTTTGCTTAGGAAAAAACTGAGATTAAAAGTTTTTTTTTAAATTAAGGTTATTGCATCCATGTATCTCTTTGTATGTGCTTTTAAGGTACTTGTGACATTAAGTTACAGGCCTTTGACTTTTGTGTCTGAAAAGGACACCAAGTCCTGTTAAATTTTAAACACTGACAGCAATTAAACCCCATCTTCAGGCCAGGTAGAAGATGCCAATCAAAATAAACTGCATTCCTAAGACACTGGGCCAGAAATTAAAGCTATTCAACTCCTCAAGGCCCAGGAACTATCGTGGAAGAGGTGGGCGTATGAGACTGTAGGAACTGATTTTGAGAGATAAGTTCAGTTTCTCTACAAATTAATTATCAATGTCAAAGACACACTGATGCAAGACAAGCATATGGGTCCCTGTGTCTGATTAACAAGGTTTTCTTGAAGCATTAACTGACTCCTTAATAAAGGTTATAAAGGTTATAAAAGGCTTATGGAAGTTTTATCTTATGGTCAAAATTAAAATTTTATGGTTTATAAAATTTTGAAAAACAAATTTAATTGGCTTCATGCTGTTTTTATTCAGGCTTATTGTTTGGAAAATTAAGTCTCCTTTCCCAAAGAATGAAGGTTTTGCCTTTTTATCCTTGTGTTATCACTTTGGTTAAATGAAATGACTTATTTTACAATGACCTGTGATCCTATTTTGTGATATCAAGTGTTTTAAACTTTTGATATTTGACAAACTTTCCAAATCAAATTATAAAGTATGCCTTTTTCTTACCTAATTAATCCTTTAAGATATTAGGTTCCCTAAAGTCCAAAAATGACATATTTGGCTTTGGTATAAAAATTATGCAGAAAGCATTGTCAAATATAAAATGATGTTTGGTTTTCTTTGGGCTGTATTTGTATAAATATGCTATTGGTATGTGTTCTAAAATTATGGGAAACTTCCATAATTCTGATATGACTTAATGTACATTATCAGTAATAATTATAATTATGTTAAATTATTGTATGCCACAGAGGTAACAAATTTCTTTCCAATTGTGTCTTTGACTATGGCTGCCCTAAAACGTTTTGTCATCCACAGAAAATTGTCTTATTTTGGTCCTCTTTAGAAGGTGGTTTTATAATCAGCTATAAAACCCTTACAGGTGCTCCTGAATGCAGGTTTCTGATAACTGTGGAGACTGTGACATCAGAATAGAGGAAAAACTTTCAGGACTCATGGAGAGCTGAAATGTTCATGAATATTAAGCAGAACAGGAATTAACTGCATGGACTAAACTAACAGAAGTCTAAAGTAATCTTTTTAACTTTTTTTGTTTAAAACCTGCTCATCCTTTGTTTTTCAGAGTCAGGAAAACTTTTAAGCTATTTACAGCTTTTAACAATTGAGTAAAGTATACTCCTGTGAACAAAATGTGGAGCATATTTGTTTTCTCTCTACCTGCTTTCTCAAGAATTTGGAAACTATTGGCAACTATTTGTATTCTTAACTTACAGCAATACAGTTATTTGCGTAAGTGCAATAAGAATCTGTTTTCATTTATAACAGGACACAACTGGAGAAACTGGTTATTTTACCAAGGCTTAGGCTGGAATGGTGTGCTTTCCTTTAAAGAATCAAACTTGACTTATGGAGCCAATAAAAGCCTCTTGGGAAAACTGGCCTCATACATGTCTACACAGTCCCTGTATAGGGTTCCTGACCTGTGGTAAGTAAAGAATGTCACTTTCTGACAGGCCTAGGAGCTCCAAGCTTTATCTTAGAACCTCAAGAGGAGAGAATCACCCAATTCACAGGTATTTGATGATACAAATCCACGGCTGGGCTGGTTTTAAAAAAGTCTTATCTGAGGAGATTCCTTCTATTGATGTGGTGGCTCATACCTGTAATTTCAGTACTTTGGGAGGCCAAGGCAGGAGGTCATTTGAGCCCAGGAGTTCAAGACCAGTCTGGGCAACATGGCGAAACCCTGCGTTTACCAAAAAAAAAAAAAAAAAAAAAAAAAAAAAATTAGCTGGGTGTGGTGGTGCACCTGTAGTCCCAGCTACTTGGGAGGCTAAGGTTAGAGGATTACTTGAGCCCAAGAGGTTGAGGCTGCAGTGAGCAGTGATCACACCACTGCATTCCAGCCTGGGTGATGGAGTGAGACCCTGTCTCCAAGAAAAAAAAAAAACAACAACAAAGGTGCTGTATTAGTTATGTAATGTAACCTAGTGGTGTAAACCTGCTGCTGCTACCATTTTTACTCTCTGATGAACTTTAGAATCATTTTATCAGACTACAGGAAAAATTCTATTGGCATTATTAAAAGGAAATGACTCACATTATATAGTATGGCAACATCAAATCTTTACTGGTATAATAACCTCAGCTTCCCATGTATGAATATAGTATAGCTTTATGTTTGCTTCTATCCACATCAGCTAATTTTTACAGCTTTCCTCAAATAAGTTCTGAACATTTATTTTAATTATTAAAATTTGAGGCCATTTTTGTCTTTGTTGTAGTGGCTACATCAGTAACCAATAGTCAAGTAAGTGATCATATTTTTATTAGGTTTTCTAACTGGTTATTACTGATTCTATAAGGATACTGTGTTTTTAATTTGTAAACAAAATCTAACCTTCCAGTTGAATATTGTATGTTTTAGTTATTTTCACATATATATTCTTTTCTGCCTTTTAGTCATTACCTGCCTGTTTTGTTTTCATTTTCTTGGCTTAATTGGCTAGAACAATGTTAAAAAGTAGAGATGTAGAAGTAAAACACAGAAGCACAATGGTGTCTATGGATGTGTTTTCTTGTATTTGACAAAAAGATTCTAAATCTTATTTAGGAGTGAATATGAAAGCAGCAGAAGACTTTTCCCACTAGGTATTAGAACATATATTACACAGCTAAAATTGTGTGATATTGACATCAAAAGAGCCTAACTATACATACTTCTATTAAAATAAAATACTGAATATTTTTCCCTTGCAACATCAATTGGATACTGAGTTTTACCAAATGCCATTTTGGCTTCACTCCAGATAATAATGTCTTTTCCTTTTAAACATGTTTGTGATGTATTTTATTACAATCATTTTCTAATTTTAAATCTTCCTTACATTTCTGGAATAAATCATGCTTAGTTAAAAAAAAAAATGTAACAAAACACTAGCAGTGTAACTGGAAGGTTCAGAGTTTGCCATTTGCCTTCTAAAGGGAGATGAATCTATAGAGATCTTTAACTTTTTCAGTATTATCTAGGTTAACTTCCAGTATTTTGCAATGTAAGAAGACTCAGAAGGCTTGGCATATGCTTTGCACTCTGGCATGGTACCCTAAACAAATGAACTAATGAAACTGCCATCCACTGAGAGAGGAACTATTGTGGCTTTTTTTGCTTTCCCAGACACTGGTAGGAAAGGATAACTATAGTGTGAACCCTGAAAACCTGAGATAGGTCTCAGTTAATTTAGAAAGTTTATTTTGCCAAGGTTGAGGATGCACACCCATGACACAGCCTCAGGAGGTCTTGATGACATGTGCTCAAGGTGGTCATAGCATAGTTTGGTTTCATACATTTTAGGGGGACATGAGACATCAATCAACATATGTAAGATGAACATTGGTTCAGTCTGGAAAGGTGGGACAACTCAAAGTGGGGAGGGGGCTTCCAGGTCATAGGTAGATAAGAGATAAACGGTTGCATTCTTTTGGGTTTCTGATTAGCCTCTCCAGAGGCGGCAATGAGTTATACATTTATCTCAGTGAGCAGATGTGTGAGAATGGGAGGCAGGTTTGCCCTAAGCAGTTCCCAGTTTGACTTTTCCCTTTAGCTTAGTGATTTTGGGGCCCAGAGATATTTTCCTTTCACATTTCCCCCCCCTTTGTTTAAATCTTTTGGAGAAAGCATTTTAGAAGAAAAAGTCTCTGGGCTCAGGTTTCATCTTATCTCTCATGGCTAGGATGGTTTGTTCCTAGATGGGTAGGCCCTGAGTTATTAGGAAAGCTCATTTTTAGAAGGTTGTGAAGTCTCATGTCCTATGAAGAGAATATAGGGGAAGGAAGGGAGAAAAACAACAACAAACAAAATAATCCTGGAAAATCAATATAGATCACATTACTCTGAAGTCCATACATTAGTAGGCAGGTATGAAAGTGGCTTATGAATGTAAATAGATTGTTATTTTCTTCTGAAGTTTAAGTTGTCTAGCTTCAGTTCACAGGGCTTCATGAAAGCACAGCTTAGTTTTCAGTGACTTCAAATTAGGAAAAATGGGGAAAAAAGAAGAAAAAATTGAAAACATTATTTTGAAGACTTCTAGCCAAGAAAAATTAGAATTCAGTCCAAACTGTAGAAAATATTAAAAATTGAAAAACATTAGGCAAGACTAGAATCTAACAAGTGTACTATAGTTTTTGAAATGTAATT
Organism: Homo sapiens; assembly: GCF_000001405.40. Lineage (NCBI taxonomy): Eukaryota > Metazoa > Chordata > Mammalia > Primates > Hominidae > Homo > Homo sapiens. The sequence goes on along the minus strand of NC_000004.12, from coordinate 107,883,954 downwards.
TTTCTCTCTCCAGTTCCCCATTTTTACTAAAGACAAATCATGGTAGGACTGGTTTGCTTTATTATACTTGGCCTAATTATTTGTAGACAGTGCAGCAAGAATAATGATTTTTTACATAGGCTTTTAAATTGGGTTTGAATGGCATTTTTATTCAGTTATCCTATTTTATGACTTTATCTTAAGGGAATTAGATTAGATGTACAAAACATATTTTTACAAGCATATTTTCAACAGTTACATATAAGGGAAAATTGGAAATAATCTAAGAACATGGGGTTAGCTAAATGAATTATGGTTACCTTAATATTACACATAATGTGTGATACCATAGTAACTATAAAATTGCAAGACAGATATATAAATACCATATAAGAAGAAAACAGTGCTGAGGTAGGCAGATCACCTGAAGTCAGTAGTTTGAGACCAGCCTGGCCAACATGGCAAAACCCTATCTCTACTAAAAATACAAAAAATTAGCTGGGCGTGATGGCACACGCCTGTAGTCCCAGCTACTTGGGAGGCTGAGGGACAAGAATCCCTCCAACCTGGGAGGCAGAGGTTGCAGTGAGCTGAGATTGCACCACTGTGCTCCAGCCTGGGTGACAGAGCAAGACTCTATTTCAAAAATAAAAAAAAGAAGTATCAAATTAAGAAGAAACTTCAAACTTAATAGAAACTGTAGAATCTCAATAATTCATATCAAAGGTTATAGTTCAAAAAATGGGAAAAGGCCATGTGATCGATACTTATGGCTACAGAAAAAGGTGCAGGGATGGCAGTTCAGATCTGAAGCTCATTGACGGCAGCTGCAGAGGCTACTGAGCATAGACATGGGTTCCAGTAGAAGGGCGTAGAAATGCTTTGTGTTCCAGATTTGTAAGTGTGCCTTGTGGTGCATATGAAGTGTTTAAGATATATTAAATGTGTAAATATAATTTTAAAATTAAGAGATTTTTATCTACAGATTATAGTTTTAATATTTAAAAGAATTTAATCTGTTCAAGATAGATGCAAAACATTGATCAAAAAAAGCATGTTCCTGCATTTATAAACTGCAATAATGAATAATAGATGTTTATACATTGAACTTAAAGGTTTAAGAAAAACTAGGTCTTGAAACAGAATTTTATTGAATTGAATATCAGTTGAAACAATCTGCTGAATTTCTTAACAGACACAAGAGCTTTCTTAGACCTTAAAAAAGAAAACTGTTGTCACTATAAAGCCATTAAAAAAATCAACTTGTAGAATAAAATAGTCACAACATAATAGTTCTCAGCAAATCTTACTTACATGGCAGGTACTATGCTTCTGTATTATCTAATTAATCACTATAACAACCCTAAGAAATATTGTTAGCCAGATTTTTTTTAAAAATTGAAACAATCAAAGTGAAGGGACAACCCACAGAATGGGAGAAAATATTTACAAACTATCCATCTGACAAGAGATTAATAACCAGAATATATAAGGAGCTCAAACAACAGGAAAAAATCTAATAGTCTGAGTAAAAAAATAAGCAAAAGTTCCAAATAGACATTTCTCAAAAGACAGACAGATGGCAAACAGCTATATGAAAAGTGCTTAACATCAATGATCATCACAGAAATACAAATCAAAACTACAATGAGATATCATCTAACCCCAGTTAAAACAGCTTCTATCCAAAAGATAGGCAATAACGAATGCTGGTGAGGATGTGGAGATGGGGGAATCCTTGTACACTGTTGGTGGGAATGTTAGTTAGTAAAGCCACTATGGAGAACAGTATGGAGGTTCCTCAGAAAACTAAAAATAGAACTACCATATGATCCAGCTATCCCACTGCTGGGAATATATCCAAAAGAAAGAAAATCAGCATATCAAAGAGATATCTGCACTCCCATGTTTATTGCAACATTATTCACAATAGGCAAGATTTGGAAGCAACATAAGTGTCCACTGATGGATGGATGAAGAAAATGTAGTACATATACACAACAGAGTACTATTCAGCCATAAAAAAGAATAGGATGTCATCATTTGCAATATGGATGGAACTGGAAAACATTATGTTAATTGAAATAAGCCAGGCACAAAAAGACAAACTTCATGTGTTCCCACTCATTTGTGGGAGCTAAAAATTAAAACAATTGAACTTATGGTGATAGAGATAGAAAGATGGTTACCAGAGGCTGGGAAGAGTAGTGGTGGGTGGCAGGGCGGGTGAAGTAGAGATGGTTAATGGGTAAAAAAATATAGTTAGATAGAATGAGTAAGTTCTGGTATTTGATAGAACAGGGTGACTACAGTCAACAATAATTTATTGTACATTTAAAAATCACTAAAATTATAACTGAAATGTTTATCACAGAAATAAGTGATGAATGCTTGAAGTGATGGATACCCCATTTACCCTGATTTGATTATTACACACTGTATGCCTGTATCAGAATATCTCACGTACCCCATAAATATATACACCTACTTTGTACCCATAAAAATAAAAAAAAAATAAAAAGAAATTGAGATGATGTACGTTGCCCAAGGTCAGAGAGGAAGTAGCAGAGCCTAGATTTAACCAGGAATCTGACCTCAGGAGCCTCTGTGCCTAAATGGTATACCACTGCCTCTAGTACCATTCCATATGAAAAGATCAACAATAGCATCACTGAAAAAGATTAAGAGACAATCAATTATGAACTTTTTTTTTTCATTTCTTAAATTTCAACTTTTATTTTAGATTGGGGGTACAGGTTTGTTATCTGGTATATTGCATGGTGCTGAGGTTTTCTAGACTGCAATACAGGCAATTCTTCAGTCTTTATAATTTTGTAAAAATCAATATAAACTTAGAAAAAAATTTAACTTATAATTCACCACTATTGTGGGGAAAAAAGAAAAGGAGCCTGTTAAAAATTTCCCTATCACCCATATCTGCCATTTAATTAATGTTACTAATAAGCTACCATATTAAATCTGTAATACACGTGGGTATATAATTTTATGTTAACAGCATTCAGTTTAGCTAAGAAATCTCATGCCCATAAAGTTTTTCCTAAATACCAAGACATCTTACCTTTTTCTTTTCTTTTTTCTTTTTCTTTCTTTTTTTTTTTTTTTTGAGACAGTCTCGCTATGTCACCTAGGCTGGAGTGCAGTGGCACGATCTTGGCTCACTGTAATCTCAGCCTCCCAGGTTCAAGCGATCTTCATGCCTCAGCCTCCTGTGTAGCTGGGATTACAAGCATGCCATCATGCCCAGCTAATTTTTGTATTTTTAGTAGAGATGGGGTTTTGTCTTGTTGGCCAGGTTGATCTCGAACCTCTGGCCTCAAGTAATTCACCCATCTCAGCCTCCTAAAGTGCTGCGATTATAGGTGTGAGCCATCGCACCCGGCCAGCTTTTTCTTATTAACAGTGTTTGAGACTAACTTGTTTATAAAATTCTTTCCAGCCAAAATGGGAAGGTACCAATATGCTTATGGATGTGAGGGTGCTTTGTGAGTGATGGGATTCTATTTCAGAAGCACCCACAAAATTTGTTAAGTATTTTTACTAACAAGTTCTTGAAAACTGACAGGAGATCCACTGCTTACCAAAAAGTTACCATGTATTTCTGAAATACTTTCCCAACAAAAGTAACATTGAAAAGAGTCCTTGTCAGATCATTACAAGTTTTTATACTTTAACTAAGTCCTATATCTTTTTTAGTATGATAGGATTTTTAATTTGGGAAATGGGAAAGCTTGATGGTATCTTGATGACACTTTCTTCTGAGAATGGCTTGGTAAAAAAAAAATTCAGGTAAAAGATATAATTGAAAAATTAGCTTCTAGTAGCTGTACTTCTGAACTTCAGGGGAGATATGCTTGGGTAGAGGGCAGATATTTTGATTTCTGGTACTTATTTTCCATCCCATATTAAGGCAGATTGGACTACTTTGGTTCTATATCCAGTTTTTATACGAAGAGAAAGATACGGCCTAACAAACAGATACAAAGTAATTAGTGGTTATCTGAGAATGCAGGTGAGAATGGCAGTGACTGCAAGTGGGCTGGAAGTTTCTTTCTGGGTTACAGAAATGTTCTAAAATTAGTAATGATGGTTGCATAATTCTGTAAGTTTATTAAAAATCATTTCATTTTACCCTTAAAACAATTTAATTTTATGATATTGAGTTATCACTCAATTAAGCTGTTTAAGGTATAGCCCACCAGGTGCGGTGGCTCACGCCTATAATCCCAGCACTTTGGGAAGCTGAGGCAGGTGGATCACTTGAGCCCAAGAGTTCGAGACCAGCCTGGGCAACATGACAAAACCCTGTCTCTCCTAAAAATACAAAAATTAGTCAGGCATGGTGGGGTGTGCCTGTAATCCCAGGTACTCGGGAAGCTGAGGCATGAGAATCACTTGAACCTGGGAGGCAGAGGTTGCAGTGAGATGAGATGGTGCCACCGCACTCTAGCCTGGGCAACAGAGTGAGACTCGGTCTCGAAAAAAAAAAAATAGCCCATCAAGATAAATTATTTCTAAAGAACTAGAAAACCAAGGAACATCCCATACTCTCTTATTAACTTCTGGGCTCACTTATCCCTTTAAAGTGTTGTACTTACCAGCTGAGCACTACTTTTGCAGTGACTCTGAAATAACACACATTTCTAAATTTTCTACAGACAAGATCAAGAACTATCTAATGAAAAGCAAACTGTTTAACAAAATTTGTGTAAACTGTGCTCTAAAAAACTTGTAATTAAACAACATAAAATGACAAGATGGATTTTCTAGCAAAATTCATCAAAATTTACTAAGAGCTAGATTAAAAGGGGGAAAATCGGTCTATTTCTCACTAAAAAAAAAAAAAAAATGGCCAGGTAGACCATTCAATACTTGTTGAAATGAATACAGTACTTACCCACAGCAAATATTAGCTGTACAAATTTGAAAACAATAAACTGTAGAACTGAGAGTATCTCACAAGCAGGGATGATCTGCAGTCCACAGTGTAGCACACAGGGATGGTGGAAGACTGCTCACCTGTATCAACTGTTTCTGCCTTAATGACGTTGATATAATAAAGTACCTTCAATACAACTGGAAGTTCCACAGGATATTTTAAAATCTGGCTTCTTTTTTTAGACATTTCCTAGCTGTGAGGCTTTCTGTTGGTGACTGGAAAATTTAATGATTAAATCTGATTCTTAGCATATTTTGGAAAGAGAGAAATTGCAGCCCTGGGATTGTGAAGCTAAAGCTCTCCAGAAGGAGAATCTTAAAAGAAGATGGAGTCACATGGGAAGTCGCTTTAATAATCCACGGTACAATATGGAAAATGCTGTAAGGTGAATGAATGGACAAATGAAAAAATAAAGGAGAGAATAGATAAATAGGTAGGTAGGTAGATTAACTAGATAGGTAGGTATGTTAATGGAAAGATAGATAGGGCTACCCAAACCCTGAAGACAGAAGAAGACTGTAAAACAAGGTCAAAGACTAGGGGATATTTGAAATAATTCTTCACATTTCCATTCAAATATACCCTAGATGAGAGGTTCTCAAAGTTAAGGTGTGAGAGTGGGGAGCATATCATGCATTTGAGCTTTTCCCAAATGATGGTTTATGCTTGCTCCCAACCCCTTTTCCCCAGCTCCATTTCTGACACATCTAGAGGTTCTGTAGGGTAGGGAAGACGGGACTCCCCAAATAGTGTCTTCCTTCTTGACCTAGATGTTTTCGGTGTTTAGTAGAAAGAGCAAGGCTGAGGCCGGGCACAGTGGCTCATGCCTGTAATCCCAGCACTTTGGGAAGCCCAGGTGGGTGGATCGTGAGGTCAGGATATTGAGATCATCCTGGCCAACATGGTGAAACCCCATCTCTACTAAAAATACAAAAGTTAGCCGGGCATGGTGGTGCGCACCTGTAGTCCCAGCTACTCAGGAGGCTGAGGCAGGAGAATCACTTAAACCCGGGAGGTGGAGGTTGCAGTGAGCCGAGATTGCACCACTGCCCTCCAGCCTGGGTGACAGAGTGAGACTCCATCTCAAAAAAAAAAAAAAAAAAAAGAAAAGAAAAAGAAAGAAAGAAAGAGTGAGGTGGAAATTTTCTACTTTCCATCCCTTTTTGGACTTATTGCTAGTGAAGTATGACATACCCATGGCCTCAGAGAATAAGCTGTGTTGAAGGCTTATCTTTGTGTTAAAATGCTTATCTACTTTAGCAGATGAACAAAGGAAGTCCCTATAATATAAACAGACATTTGCGCTTTCAATAACCTAAACTATCATTTTACTAATTCACAAAAAATCTTTACAGGATAGATATGTGGTCACTAGAATCATTTCGTACAAGATAGACACGTGGTCACTAGAAACATTTCATACAACTTGCATTACCTGTTCCATGTTTAATGGTCAAACAAAAGCAGCCAGCAGTTGTTTAGGCCAAACACCCTGGGGGCTTTATCAGTAAGGTTAAATATAACAGCCTAACTGAACAACAGTGATAATTATCTGCTTCTACATTCCTAGCTTTCCTTATATATCCCCAAGATTTATATACCTAGAAACTGATTCTCTTAGGTTTTAATACCTCAGGGTTTAATTTACTCTGTAACAGGAGGCTGCATAGATTACCTATTGAAGTGAGAGGTGTTGAAAAACTTAAAAAACATCCCATTTAGTCATTTTTGTTTTGTTTTGTTTAGACAGGATATCTTTCTGACATCCAGGCTGCAGTAAACTCCTAGGCTCAAGGAATCTTCCTGCCACAGCATCCTGAGTAGCTAGGACTGCAGGTGAACACCACCATGCCAGCTAATTTTTTAAATAATTTTTTTTTTTTAGAAATATGGGTCTTGCTATGTTCCCCAGGCTGGTCTCATACTCCTAGCCTCAAGTGATTCTCCCAAGTCAGCCTCCTAAAATGCTGGGATTATGGGTGTGAGCCACCACACCCAGTCCCATTTAATAGTTTTAAAATAAGATATTTAAGACTTATATTGGAGTTAATATTTTCTCCTAAGAATAATGGCTAGTCCAGGGAAGAAGGAAAAGCAAAACCTGAGTCTAGTAGTTTAACATTATATTCCCCAAACCACATAACACTCTCTAAATGAAACTAGAGATCTCCTTCTAAGTAAATAGATCATAATCAAAGTCAACAGTATATTTCCTTGTCTACCACAAAAAATTTCCTAGATTTGGAAACATAATCTTGTTGTAGAAAACTCAGGATAAAAAATGAAATGAAAAAAAAGAATAGTTCTCTGAAAATAACTTTATAACTCTCTATTTTAATACAGCTCTTGTATTCTGTGACCTTCAGATTATTTTAGAAATCCACATATTGATTGCTCCCTCTACCACATGGAGACCAGTGTATATATTTCATACCATTTCAAAACAATGTTGCAAAGCATAATAAAAACAGGCGACTGAAACGGGTATTTAAAAATGACTTCTTGAAACATTGCTTGCTGTTTACTAGTGCAATGGAAGAGATATTACCTCTCTGTTTTGAGATTTAAGCAAAGTTACCTTTAAGCAAAAATCTATAGAAGTGAGTTAGATAATCCTGCTCTGTATGGAGATAAAGGCAGAGACTTGAGGAGAAACATTTAACCAGGTGCTGTGGCTAGAACATTTGGTGGTTATAGCGGATGGCACATGCCTAAGAACAGGAAGTTTACTCAATCCCTGTGCTGCTGCAGAAATGGCACCTAGATACACTTCAATATCATTTCCTTGTAGGAGTCTAATGTCTAGAATTAGACATTGATATTTATTTAAAATATAATGGGTTACTGGTTATTACATTTGTGCTTTGTGCTCTGTGCTAACAAAATGAGTTCAAGAAATAGCTTAATACAGCCTGAGAGGTTTAGGGGCACATTTCCTAGAAGCAGGAATTGGGCACTGAAAAATTATTAAGGAGAAGGTTGGTTCTAGAATCTGTACTTTGAACAGTTTATTTCCATCACTTGCTGCAATTTACCAGGCCTTAGTATGGGGCATTGTGGAGTGGGGAGCATGAGGGCTAGAAAGCTCCTAGTGTCCTGAAGTCCTATGCTTCAGTCCACCTGGATTCTTCAAGGTAGAGCAGGGTCTTCATTAAAAGGAAAGGAAAAAATAGAGAAAGGGAGACAACACAGAAGAACCAGAAAGGACTGTAAATCCTCTATTTTTCATTCTCTTATGCCAACCACAAAAATGTTCCACAAATGAAGTAATAAACAATGTAGACCATTCATATACAGTCTATACTATTTTCTGCTTCCATTTAAAAATGCAAGGCTGTTTTTCTTTTCTTTATTAACTTTTAAGTTCAGGGGTACAGATGCAGGCTTGTTACACAGGTATATGTGTGTCATGGGGGTTTGCTGTACAGATTATTTCATCACCCAGGTATTAAGCCCAGCATCCATCAGCTATTCTTCCTGATGTTCTCCCTCCTCCCACCCTCCACCCTTCGGTAGGTGGGCAGCAGTGTATTTTGTTTCCCTCTATGTGTCCATGTGTTCTCAATATTTAGCTTCCACTTATAAGTAAGAACACATGGTATTTGTTTTTCTGTTCCTGCATTAGTTTGCTAAGGATAATGGCCTCCAACTCCATCCATGTCCCTGCACAGGACATGATCTCATTCTTTTTTATGGCTGCATAGTATTCCATGGTATATATGTACCATATCTTCTTTATCCAGTCTATCATCAATGGCCACTTAGGTTATTCTGTGTCTTTGCTATTGTGAATAGGGCTACAATGAACAGACATGTGCATGTGTCTTTATAACAGAACGATTTATGCAGGGCTGTTTTTCCAGAGTTGCTTTTGCATGAGTGACTAAATAAGCCACTGCTTTCAAGTGGTATGAAACTGTAAAAAGGTAAACCTTCTCTAAAGCTATTAAGGTTGTTGTAATAGGCTGTAGGTTCTCCTAGAACTTAAACTGTTATGTTGCTTTTAAATAAATAATTGTCTCTCAAAAGCACTTATTTGACCAGTGCTTCCAATCATAGGCTTCAGAGATTGGCTTCTGCAAATAACCTAATAATGATGATTTATGTTCTTCAAATTTGGCTCTAGGAAGAGGGACGCAGATATCTCAACCCAACCCTTCACTGAAGACATGAGGTAGAGACACGAAGAGAATAACCTAAGACATGAAATTTACCTAAAAGATTAAAATCATGCATCTAACAATGCCATTTAAACAATTTTAAGGAATGCAAGTGACAATGATATTGATACTTAAAATATACAATATTTATCTATTGAATTTTCATTTATTCTAATAAATCAAGGAAATGAAGAAACTGCCATAAAATGTAAATTTCCAAAATGTTCACTAGAAAGTTTGTATACTTAAAAAAATCACTTGGAAATAAATTTGGTTTATTCATCATAGTACTTAAGTACTGTTTTAGATAACATTAGTGGTTTAGTATATTCAGAATGGCTACCAACAGACATAGTCTTCTAGGGAAAAATAAGGTTCTTTAGAACTAAATCCCTATGTTGCTAGCTCTAGAGCAAGTAAACTAATCCAGCAACCTTCAGGGAATGGCGCATTTCTCTCTTAAAAAAGGCAGAACAGCTCACTCAAGACTTTTATTTCCATTTGTGACCAACTGTGCTGGTTCACAAAGTTGCAAAGCAAAGTTTCTAATAAACAAATGTGTCTTTTGTTGCCTACTCTACTAAAGTAATGCCCCCTGTACAGAGCTTGAACATTCCATCACAAAGCTTTGGTGGCTGCTGGCACAATAATGATTGTGGAGTGTCTATTTGTACACCATTAATTATGCTGTGATCCCTAGTGAACTGCCTGTTTTTCTTTCGCAGAAACCTAGAACACAGTATACAGCTCTTATTTTGTATTTCTTTTAGATATATTATAAAACAAGAAATTTAGTTCCAATGTATCCAAGCTGTCCCTTCGGAAGGTGATCAGAAGAGAGAAATGAGTTTGGAAAAGAAAAGGAATAGCTGAACAAGAGTAAGAGTTTCTGCAATAAAGCCTTAAAAGAGAATAAAAATGTGGAAAAGTGAAGGTAGACACTGCAGCTGCACTTAAATAGTTCTTAGGAGCCCAAAGTAAGACATGTTCTGTAAAAGTAAAACTTACAGGGGGATCAATCCTTGCCATTAAAATCCTGAGTATTTGGATGAAAATCCAAATTGTGGTGGGAACTGTGGGCAGGTGCTCTTACACAGCAACGTGATATTGAAATTCTACAGACTGAACTGAAATATTTCGACTGTGGCAACAGTAAATCGTATACAGAACCACAATTAAAACTAATTTACCATGTGAAAAAGTCAGATACTCTCTCAGGAACAGTTCATTATTGTATGCAAATAAACACAGCATAAGTATATAATAAATTTTAGATTAATAATATATAAAATATAATTTTGATTATTTATATAATCAAGGCTTTCATCTGGGGCCTTGATGCTCGTCTTTCTTTGCACATTAAGTCAGTTTTTCATTTTCACATTCTTTTCATATCCCTCGTATGTATATGAAGGCAAGTGATTTCAGAAATCTAAACCCTGAGAAAACATGGGTAACAGAGAAGAACTTCTGCTGTGATATCTACTTCTGCAGGGAGTAGAGAAACAGAAGTAGAAGGTAAATCTGAGGTAAGCCAGAACTCATTTCTTTACTTCCTATTTGAAGCTGATTTCCCCTATACCTTCTCTGACAAATCGTAGGCAAAAGAGTTCTTGTGACTAAATATTTCCAAATTACCAATAATAAGAACTTCCTACAGAATGTCTCATTGACAAATTAGCACACAAGCTTCTACCCTATTCTAATTCATGGATAAGGAACACTGGAAAGTTATTTTGAAACAAATCCCATTAAAATGTAATTTAAGCTGTAATCAGAACGGAGCATAAAAACTGCAGTGAGCTGCTGGTAGAATCATAAATTGGTACCATTCTTTTGAGAATCTCTTTGTAAATATATGATGAGCTTTAGAAATGCTTTTATCTTTTGACATAGTAATTCTACTACTGTTCAGATTTTGAAATTGTGGATAAGTGATTCTGGATCTGTAAGACTGAAAAACCAGAACCACACTGTCCATCAAAATGGGACTAGTTACATTATAAATAAATGTATATTATATAAAGAAAATTGTGTTATATAAATTACATGGTTACTGGAAGGGTGATACTACATGGAACATTTACTTCACTTTTTATCTTTTTTTGCATTGAAAAAATAAATAAGCAGCATGTTTTAATTTTACTGCCTAAAAAGACAAAGGTTGTTCTTCTTATTGTTTTTTTTAAGAGAAGGGGTCTCACTCTGTCACCAAGGCTGGAGCGCAGTGGCACAATCATAGCTTACTGCAGCCTCTAACTCCTGGGCTCAAGCAATCCTCCTGCCTTAGCCTCCTGAGTAGCTGGTACTACAGGTGCACAATACTATGCTTGGCTAAGATAATTATTTATTCAATAATATTTAGTGAGTGCCAACTATGTACTAGTCACTGTTCTAGGGATATAACAATTTTTTAAAAAGTCGCTTCCCTCATGGAGCTTGAATTCTGCTAATGTAAGACAATAATAATGAAAGATTAAAACTGCTACGAAGACAAAGCAGGATGGGACGTTAAAGGGTGGCTATTCAATTAGGCTCACCAGGCTTATGAGATAACACTCAATTTAAACACTCAATTTGAGTGTTATGAGATAACACTCAATTTAAAATTTTAAATGAACAACCATTGTCAGAAAGAAAAATCAGTGCAACATCAAGTCAAAAGAACATCAGGAACATCTATGTTCCAACCTACTGAGATCCAATTACAGTAAATGCCCTCTAGAAACCTGTACTAATATAACTTTCTAAAACTAAAAAGATTCCTCTGAAGATGCTCCCATACTTACTCAATTATGGATTTTTGCCTTTGAGTTCTTTTCTATTTATAATAGATCAAAATAGCATGTGTATAGTATTCTAATTACACTGGTCATGATGGACTTTTATTTAATTGATCATCCCAGTGCTGTTTTTTTAAAATAAGTGTTTAACGCATATTAGGTTTTTTAAAAAAGGCTAAAGATGCAATATTATAAGCAGAGGAAGAATAAAAACAAAAGCATTATGTGGAGACATAAAAGTTAAAGCTATCAAATATCTAACAAGAATTCAGAATTTGACCTTCAATGCAGACGTTTTTAAATTTTATCTTGAGTAAACGGGATAGAAACTACAGGTATAGAAAACTTTTAAAACTGTACCCTGGGTTGAATGAAAAACAGTGACCAAACTCAAGATACCAGTACTTGCCGGTTAAATATGTAGCAATGGTTAATACTATTGCTGATAGCCTAGAAGGTAAAGTAAACAGACAGCCAACAAAGACAGAATTATTTATGTCCTCCTGTTCTGTGCAGAATTGGGTCCTAAGTGCTAAGGAAGGCGGCAGAAGAGAAAGCTGGCTCCCGTCCTCAAGGCATTTTTGATTCAGTAACTGCTTTTTCCCCTCTTCCCAAGCAGAAGTCACTTAAAAAGAACAATGAGAGATAAAAACTTTTACAAATTAGAAAACAGCCTGAAATAACATTTGAAGTTTAGTGAAACCATATGCCAGGTAGATGTAAAAGTGAAAAGTAAATTCAAATGACAGAAATAAAATGGGAAAAAGACTGGTTATATATAACTTAACAGGAATTTTTAAAACGTCTAGGGTATATAGATAAAAACTGAAAATAAAATCAGAAATAAGTAAAATAGTCTCTCTCTCTCTGTTAATAGCCTTTTAAAATGCCAAGCTCCGCCTATCAGCAGTGAATAGAAAATCAGCCAAGTACTTATCCTATTTGGTTTGGCACTGGTCTATCCATGGGAGTGAACTATGATCAAAACTGTTTTCTAAAGGGTGAAATGGGCTTAGAAAAACACAGGATGATTAAAATCGCTGTCTCTAAACCTGAACATAATGCCAAGAGGTAGTCAGGAAACATTACAAACTCAATGTTCAATTAGCATTAGGAAGCTAAAAGATGTAATTTTATAGTTAATCTTATTTCCATTAAATCTAATTGTCATTGATGACTCTATATAAATAAAAGTGCTTGCCTATAAATAATCACTTTAAATTGCTTTTTAAAATATAAACATGCTATCAAAAATTTATATTTAAAAATATCAAAGAATTATACTTCTTTGCTTACCATGAAACAAAGAAGCAGCCTAGAAAATGAGTTTTTGTTTTTATTGTTTCTAAAATTATCTCTTACAGCATAATCTGCATCAATAAGCATAGGACATTGGGAGCCCATTTCCAAAGCTTATACCAAACCAAACGAAACCAAAAATGACATTCTGGTTAACGTGCATCTATACTTTAGAGGAAATCTTAAAATTGGCAAAAGTGATTATGGGTTAATGGCGGGTATCTTTAAAGGAAAGGAATGAATTCCATCTAAGAGTTCATAGCTCTAAGAACAAAGAAAAAGCAGATGCTTACAACTCATGTACCAAAACACACTTGACATTTCCTTCCACTCACGCACCTCCTCTTCCATTTCTTATCACAGTAAACGGTACCACCATCCAATCAGCTACTCGGAGTAAATAAATGTTGGCTATTACCCGACTTCAAACTCCCTCCCCTGCTCACCTGAAAATCACTACAAATCCTGTCCATTTTAATCTCCCATCTATTTACCTCTGCTTTCTTTTCACAGACATCTCTTACTTACAGAGGACAGACATAAGTCCAAACAAATCAACAGCCACAACAATTTTTAAATGGATCCAATCCATCCACTAAAAAGCTACATACAAGATTATTTTGTAAATAAAAGGCTGATATAGTTATTAGGAATAGCAGGCATCACCAGTACTTTTACAACTAGAGTACAACGTAAAAGTATTGAGAAAATAGATAATAGAGAACAGCTCACCAAGAAGATATAAAATCATGGACATTCCTACACAAGGAAAAACTGACAGCTCCACAATCATGGTATTTAATGCAGCACTCCCTTCCTCTCTGGTTTTGTTCCTAATCTATTTCCTGCTTTACTGACCTCGTTAAAGACCTTAAATGGCTCCCTATGACCCAAAAGTCCATTGCTTATTTTGACTTAAGAAAAAATTTATAATAGAAAATCTCAAACATAATGAAAGTAGAAAATACTACAGTGAACCCCATTAGCCATAACAATTATCACAGGAAATCTTTTTTTTTTAATCTGTCCTCTACTCTGTATTTTTGGAAGCAGTCTCAGAGACCATGTAATTTCATCTGTAAGAAAGAGATTCTTTTTTCCCCAACATGACCCTAATGCCATTTTTACACCTAACAAAATTAACACAATTTACTTAAAAAAACAAATACCTAGTCAGGTCACCTTTATCCAATTACTTGTTCTCAAGACTGCTTTTTAGATGGTGGCATGTCCTTCTGACATCTATTGTTTCTTAGCATTGCTTACAAGGCTTTTCATAATCTGGCCCCTACCTTCACTTCTAGCCTCAATTTTTGAAACTAGTATTTTTTTCCATCCCCTAAATCCTGCACTTCCACCATATTTACTGAATTTCTGTTTATTTCACATGCAATATCCCCTCTTATCAAGCTTTATGTAAAAATTTTTTAGCAGCCTAAACTTCTTCCCAATCCCATCGACTTGCTTACACACTTGGCTCTCGTGCTTCAGGTCTCAGCAGATGTCATATCCTCCAACAAACCTTTCCTGCTACAACTCCCTGGTATGTGCTACTGGACCTAGAAATGAACTTTCAAATACAGCACTCACTACCCAGTTGGGTTACAAAACCTAGTGTCCCCTCTCTCCTAAATTCCCTTTTAAAAAGAAACACTCATTTCCATTTATAACTTTCTGCTTCTTAAGAAACCAACCTCCCCCTCTTGGGTGCTTTGTGCCCAACATGTTCATGGTATGGCTACTATTCTTTACTTCTACCTTTTGACCTATATTCATGCACAATTACACAAATCTCTTAAAAATGGTGTTCTGTAAGTACAAATCAGACTTGTTCAAAGGCTGTCAATAGTAAGAAAATGCACAAAATTACTTGAACATAATATTCAATAATCATAAAGCTTTCAAATGTGAAAAATATCCAGGGGTGCTAAAGGCAGGTACAAAAGGGATAGTGGAAAAAGAAAATCCTAACTCTAAAATAGGGCTCCAGAATCCTATGATTACAGGAGCAGAAAAAGGCTTCATTTTATTCTGAAAATGGCAGCAACTTTTTTTTTTTGAGACAAAGTCTCACTTTGTCGCCCAGGCTGGAGTGCAGTGGCACGATCTCGGCTCACTGCAACCTCCTCCTCCTGGGTTCAAGCAATTCTTGTGCCTCAGCCTCCCGAGTAGCTAGGATTACAGGCGCCCACCACAACGCCCAGCTGATTTTTGTATTTTTGGTAGAGACAAGGTTTCACCCATGTTGGCCAGGCTGATCTCAAACTCCTGACCTCAGGTGATCCACCCGCCTAGGCCTCCCAAACTGCTGGGATT
The DNA here is from genome assembly GCF_000001405.40 of Homo sapiens. NCBI lineage: Eukaryota > Metazoa > Chordata > Mammalia > Primates > Hominidae > Homo > Homo sapiens. The sequence continues at coordinate 107,868,460 of NC_000004.12, read as the reverse complement.
ACAGGCGAGAGCCACCACACCTGGCGGGCAGCAACTTTAAGAATAAGAATGCACTCATCAAAGGCATTATTGCTCTTCAACAGATAACAGCCTAAATACACACTTTCTTTGCAGAGGTTTTTACCGAAGTGCAATCAGAAACCTTAATTTGAAGATCAACTGTCAAAAAGAGTTTTCTGGGAAATGTTGGTTGACCACTTTGTGTAGCTTTCCTTACCTACGATAAAATCATGCAAAACTAAGTAAAAGTGAAAATTTCTCCAAGCCTTTAACAATCTAATTTATATTGCAAACCCAAGTGATTATTATATTGTGGCTTTGTTGTTATTTTAAGCTTTTATTTGGAAAAGTATTTACAAATATACACTTTAAACAATTTCATCAACATTGTGATCATGCAGAGCTAATTGGGCTTTATTACTATTATGCTATATTTCCTCTGCCAAAAATATATTTTTATTTCAGTTTAACAACACTAGATTGGAATATTTTCCAAGTGTTTAAAAATTTTGACTATGTATCCTATTAATGATTTAAATTTATATAGCCTGTGCTCGATTCGGCAACACATATACTAAAATTGGAATGACGCAGAGATTAGCATGGCCCCCGCACAAGGGTAATACACAAATTCGCGAAGTGTTCCATATAAAAAAAATAAATTTATATAGCCTAGACTTAAGAACAAGAGCTATAGCTAACACTCATATAGTACTTACTATTGCCCAAATGCCACAGTTCTAAATGCTTTGATTATCTTATTTAATCATCTCCACAATTCTATGAGGTTAAATATTATTACCCATGTTTTACAGATGAGCACAGAGATATCAAGTGAATTGCCCAAGGTCACCAACTAGTAAGCAGTGAAGCCAGCATTTGGTACTTTGGTAGCTCTGACTCGGCAGGCTGTTCTACCCCTCTTTGGGAAAAGCGTCGCAAATGAGCACACAGCTTCAGGGTGAATTCTTACAGCAAAGAAAAGGAAATGGGATAGCACAGCCCTGCTATGTCAGAAGAACCAACATCAGACATCAGTGGATTCTCATAGCAACATCTCCCCACTGCTTCCTCTTGACACACAGGAAAAATGTTCCAGAATCAACTGGGAAGACTGGCATTTCATTTATAAATGTAATTCCCAGGCTGGGTCGGTAACTCCTCCAATCTTTCCAATTACGTTCATTTCAGATATAGGGGACAGAAATGCTCCAGAAAAGAACTAGACCATATTTGGAGGAGGAGAGAAGGAGTACACCCTTCATCTGTGTTGTGAACTATGTGGAGGAGAGTAGTATGTTACAGTACAGAGAGTCTTGGGGAGGCCATGTGCATGTGTCTTCAGGCCTCCACCTCCTTTCAACTTGAGGAGCTCTGCTTTTCCTTCTATTTTAGAGGGGTTACCCAAAATCTCATCTGAAATCTGGGTTCCATGGCTAAAGAAGTTTAAAAACTGATAGTGCCATGACAAAGCCCTGGATCAGAAGTCACAAAACAAGAATCCAAGAATCTCTCTCTCAGTTTGGCCACAAACAAGTCATGATTAATCCTGGGTCAGTAATTTTGCAATCTTGGGTTGTAGTTTTCTCAGTGTAACACCATTACTTTACAGATTTCTAAGACTCTTGGCCATATTAAAAATATATCATCATATAAAACGAAAGAAATAAAAGATATGTTAGTGACCTCACCAAAGAAAGTTTAAAAAGGTAAATAAAAATCCCATGTCTCACAGAAAGAAAAGAAATAGGGTAAGGTAATTTATTGATAAAGAATGTACTAACCATCATATGATCTAGTGCTCAGAACACCACCGTGAGATTGGTCCCATCATATATTAATATTTCCCAAACACTTTTTTGGTTTGTTTTTTTTTTGTTTTTGGTTTTTTTTTGAGACAGAGCTTCACTCTTGTCACCCAGGCTGGAGTGCAATGGCGCGATCTCAGCTCACTGCAACCTCCGCCTCTCAGGTTCAAGCGATTCTCCTGCCTCAGCCTCCTGAGTAGCTAGGATTACAGGTGCACACCACTACGCCTGGCTAATTTTTCTGTTTTTAGTAGAGACAGGGTTTTGCCATGTTAGCCAGGCTGGTCTCCAACTCCTGACCTCAGGTGATCCACCTACCTCGGCCTCCCAAAGTGCTAGGGATTACAGGTGTGAGCCACAATGCCCAGCCAAGAGTTTTTTTTTAACTTGGTATTTTTATTTAGCTTGATGTAGATAATTTGTGGATAACACATCCATGTGAATTTACTATTAATCAATAACAAAAGTTTATTCAATAACCATGGCCCCTACAACATGCCCTTGCTAATCTCAGAAGCAAATTAAACTCAGGTCAAATGTACATTGTAACATCTTAGAATCCTAAAATCCAGGTTCTAACCCTGACTCTGCCACTTGATGAGAATTAATGCAATCTCCTTGGTCCTTAGTTTCTTCTGTCCTACCCCTATCACATTCTCAAATAAGGGGCTATGCTAAATGATTGGCCATTGGCATATTATGGTTGATCTTATACTTTTATTTCTTGTGGCAATCACACAGTCAGAATAAGCCACATGAAAAGGAAAATAAATTCATGGAAGAATCACCCATTAGGTTCTAGTCACTACTTAAGGCATCTGAATGGAACAAGAGGAGACTATGGGGGTGGGGGGATTTCCACCAGGACTGAAACCAATTAAATAAGATCTTAATGAAGAGCTCCTGATTCAGGTTTATTAGAGAAGAAATAAGGCATTAAAGCTAATGAAAATAATTTTATAAAGTTGTAGCTGAAAGGTCATATTCCCTAGAACAAGAGATAGTTAATTAGAAGGTAAACAATAGAAAAGTTATTGGGTGAGCTCAGAGGCCAACATGAAAGAATATAAAAAAGTATTCTGCTTTATAATTCTAACTGACCATTATACAGATGCAGATTCAAAATTAGGAAATAATGTAATACCAATTAGTATAAACTGGTTAGTGTTTATAAATAGTTGGTACTTTAAAAGGCCTTTTCCAAAATACCTAAAATTGAAATATAATAATATCCCAAGTAATCTGAAATTGCATATTTTGATTTAAAGTTAAACTATAAATTCCATTAGCATTAATGTTTAAAGGTAGACAATTTACAGTATTAAGCTAGATGAGACCTCTCTCGTAAAAGATTAGCAATCCCAGATTGTGTATTTTTTTCTGGGTTGCAGACTATTCCAGTTTTAACATCATACATGACATACACTCCTAAGCCAGATAGCTTTGAGAAAGCAGCTGATTATGTCTTAGAACTTTGTTCATTAAAACTATAAATTCCTATCTCAAATGCTTCTTGGAACAAACAAATATAAACAACGTGAATTCTATCGAAGCTTATTTGAATCACTTGAGGCATTATTTATGGCTGTTTTTGAAAATGTTATGTTTGTTCAGTAATATTTTATGAATAATGTTAATACAGTTTTCCACCAAGTAACATAAAGATACCTGATGAAAGATAGAGAACTTAAATTCATGTAAATGGTAATAAAATAGAAAAACCTCTGGGCTCTTTATAAAATAAACCAAACTTAAATGCATTTTCCCCAAACCAACATACACTTATAGGAAGTTATTCAAGGCATAAGACTGCATATAAAACAGGGATTCTACCTTCAACATTAAATTCAGTGAAGCACTTTATATATTGTGACTTCAAGGAAAGCTGGAAAATTTTACAGTTCAACGGGCTTTCTCCTTTACTTTTTATAGAGATTGAAAAGTTAACCTTAAGACACTAGGCCATTATTTTGGCAATAAATAAATCATTATATCATGTTATACACCTTAATATATACAATTTTTATTTGTCAATTAAAAACACATATTTTTAAAGAAATCTCTATAGCTGTTGAATAAAACGTCATGTACTTATGTTGTACAACTGACCAGAGTTTCTACCTAATTCAAAATTAACTATTATGACTGGCTTTTGAGGCAACTCTGAGAGTCACTCCCCAATCCTTTTCATCCTTTTGACTTTCAGGCCAACTACTTCCTTGGGAAACACCACCATCTCTCAGTCAGCAAAGACAGAACCAGAGAGAGAGACTCTGCAAGTTCAGGAAGAAAGGTTCCAACTACTTTTACTCTCCGTTGCATCTCCTAATGTCACCACTTCCTCAGAGCAGGGTTTAGTCACTACTACAAAACATTGCTCAGGAACTGCAGAGCCACTAGCCTGGCATGTGGTGACACATTCCCAACACAATTCTCTAACATTCTGATTTCCCTTGCAAAGATAAATTCAAGCGAACTTAGAACTCTTAAAGATCAGATTGAGATTGAATGCCATTGGCTTTCTCCCCATACCTATGCTCCTACACATCTCTTCAGCCCAGCACAGGGTTTTAAAAGCTCACTGCTTAACACAGGGCTATCTCCTCTGCTGGTTATGAGCTGCAAGGATAGAGTCCATGTCCTGTTTGTGTTGGTGTTCCTGGCCACTAGCCAAGAACCTGCAGCCCAGCCCTAGAATAGCAGTTGAATGAATGTGGCAGCCCACACACTCAAAGACACCAGAATTATCTTACCCTTTCCCAGAGAGCTTCAGGTACCTTTCTTTTCCTAAATGAGTCACTAATGTGTCTGTATAAATATGGTTTCCATATATGTCACAGAGCCCAAACATTTCATCTGACTTACTGTGGTTTACTTTTTGTGACTGCATTTTTATTATATCTTATATAAAAAGGGGGATATAACAGAAGGAAAAAACAGTAAAGCAAAAACCCATATCTAGCTTCAGAGCATTACATATCCACTGGAAGCCCTAAAGCAATGCTCCATGATCGCATGGCCTTTCCGCTGCATAACCCTGAGGTCATTTTTTGATACATAATTCTCAAAGTATGCAGTGCTGAAAGACCTTGAAGAGCTTTCTTAAATGATGTTATGGTTAAAATTTCTATGATTGCAGTCCTTGAAATCATAAAAGAATAAATACATCCTTGGAAAAGATCTCACTTCTCTTCTTCTTCATTCCTTCACAATTCAGCCCCCACCTCTCAAGGAGCTGTCTAGAGCATGGCGAGCAAGCTAATGCTTTCCCAGAGTTTATGACAGATGCCAGTTTTAGTGTTCCCCAAATGCTAACATTAATACACACAACTACTGTATAGGGTAGTCACCATTACCACCCCTATCTGAGGTATGAAGTTAGAAATGTAACAAGTGACAGAGGTAGAATTTGAACGCATCTGAGTCCAGGCTCCTGGAACCATGCTATGTTGTGATTTTCTGGGATCTTGGGCTATTTTTACAATTAGAGATGTGACCCAAGGGCAATGGATTTCCATCCTGGTGAGTTCTTCTGGGGAGAGACTGCACTTCTCCCAGTCCTGTCCCCAACTCTTCCTCCTCACAGTTACCATGTAGGAGCATGAAAACTATCCATGTTTGCCCAGTAAGGTGGCATTCTTCCAAACATTAGCTGGCCCCACCTTATAACACATAAGCGAGAAGCTCTAGGTCACTTGACCTCAGGGCACATGCAAATGTTTATCAGGCTGCCCAGTGACTTGTAGAGGCGGCATTTCCTGGAAACATCATGGTTAGACATTTCATTCAGTGAGGTGTTCAGAACATCTGAATCACTCCTGTTGCCTAGCAACTTGTTTGTGTTTGGCAGGATGAAGACAACTCAGGCACAGGTACAGTCGGATATAAGGCAGAAATCTATTCAGCACGACGTCCTCCCAACACTAGACTGCTGATTTAGTGCTTAAACTTGACAGTGTTCTTTCCCACTTTCTCACTCTTGGTAGAGGCTCCTTCAGTCATTCTCTTTAAGTCAGGAGCATTCAAAAGGCACTATGCTGTACACAGAATAAACAGGTCCTTTGTAGCTGAAATATAGGCTACTATTTTTCCTACAGAGTTTTGAAAAAAAACTTTTAAGACAAAGCTAATTACAGGGTTCTTACATATAAAAGGGAAAAGAGTTATACAGTATCATGGAAATTACTTGTCATCCTTAAAAGAATTAGTTCTTTCACATATTCGCATATCTGTCCCTTTTCTTTGATAACAAGAATTGATTAGCACAATATAAGTAGCTTCGGAATCAAGGAGGTTCACCCTCCAATACCGTCATAAATACAAATATATAGCAAAGCTGGCCTAAAGTCACCTTACTAACCTTCATCTTCAAATTTAAGTTAGCATGTGTGCCTGGGTTACTCTAGGAGCCAAAAATCTAGAACAAAACACTGTGGGCTTGCATTCCATATACATTCTCCGACAGTTACGGCTTTTCCTCTATTATTTTAGGTCTCCGCTACTTTCCCAGTCATTTCTATGCGTTAAATACTCAGAGAAAGAAAAGTGGTTTTAGAAAAGCCGCCCCCACCACCACCCCAATACTGGGATTTCTGTTGTTGTTTCTTTCGTTTTTGCTCTTCTTGTCAGAGGACATGCCTGCTATAGAAACAAGAAAATAAGATGTAAGGGTGTGCTTAAATGTTACTCCTAATCTTAGTGGGACAGTCCTGAGTTCTAGATTTATTAAATGTTTATGAACAGGAGGATACAAAAGTTGTTTAGAAAATTTTATTTTTTCTTCCTTTCATCCAATAATATTCATCCTTACCTTGGGGTTTCAGTATCCTGATATTTGTAAGAACTATTAAAAATCAAATAGATATGAATTACTTCACTTTTTTAACAACTATAAAATGGGTATATGAGTTTACTTAGCAAAGATTTTCAACTTAAACATGTTAATCCTTTATCTCCTCCAAAATATTTTTCTTTTTGAAAGGCATATTTAAGGAAAAAAATCTTTCCATATTAAAAAATTCTTGAATTCCACCAAAGTCCATAACAGATTTAAGAAAAGAGTACCCTCATTATCTAGAACTGGCTAACTGTAGGCTGCAATTACTAGTGGCAAGAAATAAGGGGGTTGAATCACTCTCCAAACTATTTCAAAGTCCTTAACCACATCTCTCAAGCAAGTTTTCTAATTTGGGGTTCGTAGTTGATAGGTGGACCTCCTGAAGCCCTGTAAAATGTTTTGGCTCATGCATATAACCAGAAGTAGAAAGCTTATTTCTTCAGATTCTCAAAATCGAATTTAGGTCTTGGGAAATCAAATTGCCAGCAGATAACTGAGGATTTAACCTCATGAATTTGTTGCTGACTACCTGCTTAATATAAATTGCAGTAACATAAAAGAAGAATGTTTGTTCCCATGCTGAAACTGAAGATTTCTAATAATTAAATAGCAGTAGAGCCCCATCTATGACAGCAAGCCAGTTTACTGCATTTGTATACCCTGAGAGCTAAATTACCACTAATTGTCTCATCTTTCGAAAATGTATTTAAACTTCATTAGATATGTGAATGTCTGTTATGGCCAGGCGAAAGAGACCGACCTAGTCCCTGGCCTCACAAAGCTTGCAGTCTGGTTGGAGAAACAAACAAATCATTATCACACAGGGAGATAAATGTTTAGATAATTGAAAGTTCAGGATGCTATAAGAACACATTGCCAAGGCACGCAACCCAGTCTGACATTTAAGCTATGAGAATTGGCAAAATATCCAGACGCTGATGACAGCAGGTACTCTCACAAGTTTCTAGTAGATATGTAATAAGAAAACCTTGGCCAGGTGCAGTGGCTCATGCCTGTAATCCCACCACTTTGGGAAGCCGAGGCAGGCGGATTACCTGAGGTCAGGAGTTCGAAACCAGCCTGGCCAACATGGCGAAACCCCATCTCTACTAAAAATACAAAAATTAGCCAGGCGCAATGGTGGGTGTCTGTAATCCCAGCTATTCAGGAGGCTGAGGCAGGAGAATTGCTTGAACCCAGGAGGTGGAGATTGCAGTGAGCCGCCGAGATCGCACCATTGCACTCCAGCCTGGGCAACAGAGAGAGGCTCCGTCTCAAAAAAAAAAAAAACACCTTCCTCTCAGAGATGCAATTTAATGATATCTATTAAAATTACACATACACCTTATGACCTGCAATTCTACTTTACAAGTTTATATAGATATATTGTCTACATGCAAAATAACCTACATACAGTTACTTACTGCAGTACTGTTTAAGAGCAAACAATTGGCCACAACCCAAATGTTGTCCATCAATAGATCACTATTTTAACTGTGGAACATCCATAAATGGACTCTGTTATTCTGTAACTGCTTTAAAAAAAGAATGAGGAAAGTGTCTTAGTACTAGCTTATTAAGTCCTCCTACATATATTGTAAGGAAAAAAAACATACATTGCAGAGAAATATAGTACGCTATCTTTTACATTATGAAGAGGGCAAATAGGAATATTCCTATTTGCTTATTTATGCATAAAGAAATTCTAGAAGGATGCTTTAGACATTGACAGAGGCTGAGAGGATGGTGGAGGCAGAATTTGGGCAGACTCTGTGAATGCGAAATGTATGAAAATGGTATACTTAAAAAGTAATCCTTACATCAAGTGTGTGGGACATTGCAAAGGAAAAAAAAAACAGTAATCCTTTATTTTTCAAGCCCAAGTTATATCAACCTAGCACCTTTTTTTGGTTTATTATTTTAACACACTTCTAAAATTCTGCAGTGATTAAATTAGAACATACGACTACTTTATTTTCCAAATCAGGGTTTCACTCTCTCCTTTCCTGCTTGTGTCCATCTGCCATCCTGAAGGGGGTTTCCCCAGAGTACCTGAGAGCGAGGCAAGTCCTCTGTGCCTCCCTGCTCTGGTTTGTTGGCTGAGGATATTCAAGAGCTTTTTTTAAAGCTCATGAAAGGATTTTGTTTTGTTCACTGCCTCATTCGCAACACTGACAAGAATGCCTGGCACATAGAAAGCGTTCAGTAAGTATTTGTTGAATAAATGAATTCTTTTCTTCACTCAGCTTCAATGAGACAGACACCACCAGACAAAGGGAAAGATATCAAAATGGTGTCAAATATTTAGAAATAGCTGCCATTCTTAGTGCCAGCTCAAAGTAGGCATTCTAACCTTAGCAACATTCCTAGAATTATTGTGAATTTCACAGAAGACAAATAATGTTATAGAATACTGTGCTGAATAATATTAACTACCTACAAATATTTATTTTAAATGATTTGGGATTACATGGTCCTGGTGTCTATCTTAGGGTAGAAATCTTTTTAGGCAAACACCACAATAAACAGTAATGATAAAAAGTAAAAAAAAACAAAACAGCTATCATCAGGGTCAAATGAACCCTAGTCTTAAGGTGCCCAGAGATATAGCAAGAAAAGGGAAACTCTTTTGCACTAAAAAATGCAACTATTTTTATTTTCAAGAATAAAATTATACTTGAAATAAAATTCCAAGTACTCTAGGCAGTGAATTGAGTTGTACTGCTTCAACCACACAAGCAAAACCTCTTCTTCCTCAGTGGGCATAGAATGGGTATAACTGCCACAGCTCTTTAATTTTGGTTTAGATAACTATAAAAACAGAATAACTTTGCTAGTAATTTCCGTACTGTTGCTGAAAGGTGCATGGCTGACTGATATCTCTTTGAAGATTTTCTGTTTTCTTAAGGCATGGTTGAGACAGTTAATTGAGTGCTCTCTTTTGGCAGTAATGCAAACAGGTTAGAAAGTTATGGGGTTACCTCTATTTCTCTGGCTGTCATTTAAAACGGCAATCCAAGACCGAGAAAACATCCATTCACCTGAAAGAACTTGAAATTTAAGACTCTCCTGAGGATGAAATAAAAATTCTCAGAGTTACGACATTTATGAATGTCTTAACCAGAGAAGGGAAGATAGCAGCAGCAAAGCTGCAGGACAACTGATAGACAGCCAACCTTCAGCTGATGTAAGTTAGACTCATGCTATAGCAGCAGGAAGCACCAAACCTACTGTTTCCAGATGGTAGCACAGCAATTCCCACCTTGGTCCTTGCAGCAGTCAACACTCCCAGTCTCTGGCAGGTCCTTTTGGAGAAGAGTGTTATAGGGCCACAGGATGCAGCTCTAGGGGAAGAAAAAGTCAGAGATTAAATAAGAATGAGGCTTTGTTGCTATGTTTTGCTAGTTTTCTGGGGGTGGAGGTGGAATGAAGAGCCCTCTGATGCTACCCTCCTAGAGCTCTCCAATACTGGCCCTCTAGGAGAGTTGCCAGGAAAACACTGGCTATAACAGGTACTGACACTTCAGGTCAAGAAAAGCAACTCAGCCATTCACTCCACTAATATTTAACACCTGCCAGCCCCTATTTAAAGTTGGAGCAGGGCAGGCAGGCAGATTCCCTTGCCTCCTGATGTTCGCGTTCTAACACAGGAACACACAGATAAACAAGAAGACCAGTCAATGTCACTCAAAAAAGTCAGTCAGAGTCAGGGCAAGGCTGATGTGGTCGATGTAGAGCAAGTGGTGTCAGGGAAGCCTTTCTAAGGGGATATTTAAGACTTAATAAGGGTTGGGGATGGGGGGGGTGGGGCAGCTACAAAAGAAGAGTAAGCCAGGCAGAGGGAACGGCTGGGCTGGCCCAAAGGCCCTGAGGCAAGAATGAGCCAGGAAGGTTTAAAAAGAATGGAAAGCACGGCGGGAGTATTGTGAACTAGGCATAGAGAAGGGAAGAGGAGTGCAGAGGGCTTTATAGGACAGTAGAAGGACTATGTACATAAAGGGCAAACTAAGTGTCACAGAAACTTAGGTTGATGTGCTGTGCATAATCTGTCACCTTCTACTAAATGGTGGAAGATTTCCTTTGAAATACATACAGTTGCTGCAGTCTTTCAATGGATTTTTTAGTTGAAATTTGCCTTGTGGATGGAAGCAAAATATAGGCTACTGGCCAGAGGTCTGCAGTTCATAGAACCACAATATGAATATCCAAAGAATACAACCTGAGACTACCCAATAGTGCATATATGTATATGATTTGGTAGCATATATATATATATATATATATCTTTTAACTACCTAACAAATTTCATTAAAATCTGTTTAACAACTGCAGGATGTACACTCATGTGCAACCAGAAATCGATTTTTAGTTGAGATCCCATCTTAATCAAAAATACTCAACTCTTGGAAGAAACTCAAGAACAAATGTGTCACTCTTAGGTATATACCCCCCAAAAAAATGAAAACACCAGTCCAAGCAAAAACTGTACACAAATATTCATAACAGCATTATTCATAATGGCCCCAAAGTGGAAAAAACCCAAATGTCCATCAACTATTAAATGGATAAACAAAATGTGGCAAACCCATATAATATTATTGGGCAATGGAAAGGAATAAGGCAGTGATACACACTGTAGCACGAATGAATCCTGACAACATTATTCTAAGTGAAAGAAGCCAGTCACAAAGACCACATGTTATATGATCCCATTTATATGAAATGTGCAGAATAGGCAAATCCATAAAGACAGAAAGATTTGTGGTTGCCAAGGGCTAGGGGAAGAAGAGAATGGAAAGTGAATGCTAATGGGTATAGGGTTTCTTTCTGGAGTGCTGTAAATATTCTAGAATTAAATAGTGGGGTTGGTGGCACAACTCTGAATACACCAAAAACTACTGATTTGTACACTTTAAAAAGGCCAGTTTTATGGTATGTGAATTACATCTCAGTGCAACTGTTGTAAAATTAAAAGAACAAAAGAATATCTGAAATGCTGTGAACAGATGAAATAAACTTCAACTGGCCCAAAATGCTATATTCCAGTAAGCATTACTAGACCCCATTAAAAGGGACAAGCAGTTTAGTTTTACACTTCAGATACTGTACACTACACTCCCCATGGTACATGTTTACCCCTCTGGAAAGATCACCTTATCCTTGGAGGATGTTTTTCTCGTTTCACTTGGAACCCTTCTCCGGTTATCACCCTCTCTCGACTCCACCTACCATCCCCACTCACTCCACGCAAATAAAATTAAAGCAGATAGTTGCTTTTGCACTCTAACTCAAGTCTGTGGACAATTACAATTGTTTAGAGCATGGTATTAATGATATTTCTAATATGGTCAGCTTATAGATTTTATTCAGTTACGTAGCCAAACCTAGCACTTTTCATCTAGTCAAGCTGAAAATGTGTGCCCTTGTCAAAAAGGAGAATGGGCAAAAGGGTAGATACTGGAAATGCAAAACAAATTCAAGCTTACTACTCCAAAATCCCTTTCTGTATATATCTTAACATGGTGTTACATTAAGACTACATTCATTTTAAATAGTATCTTATAAGTTCATGATTTATTTTAAAGTATATGTAGAATGTATAATTTCACAAAGGAATAAAGTAAATTATATAACAACAGCAAAATACTACTGTGAGATGATTAATGTAGAATCACAGAGGCAGGTAAATATAGAGAAGGTTTCTTGATCACAAGGTGTAGTGGAAGAGGGAATGCTATCTCCTGGGACTGAATATTGTTCTACCTGCTCCCGGTAGCAAATCACTGCAGAGACAGCAAAGCTTGATGTTTATGAACAAGGATTCTGAAGGCCAACTCCACACTTAGCATGACTCCACGATTAAGTATTATGGCTCCAGGCATGATACTTAATTTCCCTGAGCCTTAGTTCCCTCATCTATAAATAGTACTAACTTAACAAGGTCCTTAAAAGAATCAAAGGTTATATAAAAACAAAAATAGATCTAAAGGGAGAGACAGATTGCAAAACAATAATAGTAGAGGACTTCAACACCCCACTTTTGGCAATGGACAGATCATCCACGCAGAAAATCAGTAAAAAACATTGGAATTAAACTATACTCTAGACCAAATGGACCTACTAACAGACATTTACACAACATTTCATCCAACGGCTATACAATACACATTCTTCTCAGCAGCACATGGAACATTCTCCAGAATAGATCATATCTTAGACCACAAAACAAGTCTCCACAAATTCAAAAAAGTCACTATTATATCCAAGTGTCTTTTCTGAATCCAATGGAATAAAACGAAAAATCAATAACAAGAAGAGCTTTGGAAACTGTGCAAATGTATGGAAATTAAGCAAAATGCTCCTGAACAATCAACAAAGAAATTAAGAAGGAAATTTAAACATTTCTCAAAATAAATGAAAATGGAAACACAACATACCAGAACCTATCAGATACAGCAAAAGCAGTACCGAGGGAATTTTATAGCACCATATGCCTACATCGAAAACATAGAAAGACTCCAAATAAATAACCTAATGGTGTACCTCAAGGAACTAGAAAAGAACAAATCCAAAATTAGTAGAAGGAAATAATAAACATCAAAGCAGAAATAAATGGAGAAAAAAGAAAGAACCAAAGGAGTTAATACTAATAAAGACATCAGAAACAGCACCTGGTATATAGTAAGCATTATATGTATTTGTTAAATGATTAAAATAGAGCATACTAGTTAAGTCTTGCAAAATGACTAAAACTGTACTGCATATTTGGCTCTCAACTCCTTTGTAGATAGAGGGGAAAAAATTTTCCAAACTCAGAGAAAGAGAGAAAATGCATATATCTCCATATGTGTTTGGAGGAAGGCAAGTGGGAACCATATTTTGTTCCTCAGGAGGAAAAAGAAAGCATTTGACACTTAACTTTAATATGGTCTGTACACAAGAGGCAATGAGCAATACTGCAGACCAGGGAAGACCGCCATATGACGTCACTTGATAGTTTTTCACTGTTTCTCAATAAATCCCAAGGCATAACTCTCTACAATTTCTGTAGTAGGAAGACAAGGCAATGTGATACAAATATACAGCTCTGATGATCGGCTCACAACTGCACCAGAAATCTCCAATCCATCTTTTACTTCCATTTCCCTCTGCCATGCTTCTGATAACCAGAGCTGAGGAGGAGACAGTTCCAGATCTCTGAAACAAATTCTCCAACATTAGGAGATGGCCAAAATATAGCCACATAAAAACACTAAGTAACCTGATGCATTGAAAAGCAACTCCCCCTAGAAGCATCTGTTTTTAAGTTTAATGGACTTCAGAGCCATTGTCTGGCTAAAGAACAGCCATAATCATCTCAGGGGATTAAACAACTTGGAAGAATATTCCTATTAGTCATAGTCATCTCAGGCTCCACCTAACAGTTAAACACAGAACTTTTATGAATTACAAAAGCTATTATGCTTAAGCCATGTTTTATTGTAAATTGGACAGTAGATAACTTTTCTTTAAAAGACTAGTTATACGGTGCAAACCTTAGCTAGAAAACGACCCGTCTTCCTTCAGATAGTCCCATATTGTACATGGAAGACACGATAAAGTTGAATTTCCACAGCTATTACACAGTCCTGTGACTAAGCTGATGTCCCAGTGATTTATCAGCCGTTTTCATTCCATCTGGCAAAGCATGTTGTTCTTAAGGCTAATTATTTAACAATGTTTTCTTCAGATAAAATGGTAATAATCTTATTAATCAACTATAGCAATGTATTTTCATTTGCATACCTATGGAGTATTGCTAAAGAGAATAGAAAATAGATTAATTCCCTTGCGGTTCACGTACACTAAATGTAGCATTCTGCAAGGAAGGAGAGCAAGAGATGGCATTTATAACTAACTCCTGTGCATTCTTGGAGAAGCTTTTTTTGACCATTCCAGACCGCATTTGGTTTCCTTTCCCTTGCTCCACGTTACTTTCTACTTTTTCTCTGACTTAACAGTTTGCTAACTGTAACTTTGGTCAGTTATTTGTAGAGATTTACTTGTCTCTTTCCAGTGAGACTGCAAGCTCTGTGAGGGAAGGGATCACATGTGTCAGATTCTCTGCTGTCTTTCTGGCACAGAATTGAGGGTTATAAATATTTGTTCACTGACTAACTCCCATTTTATAAGATAAGCTGTGTTCCTAAAGAATCACATGTCAGTTCCTCTCAAGATAAGGAAGTCACTGAAGTAATCTTATAAGGGGAGGGAGTAAGCCCCACTAATATCATTTAATATTATGAAACAGTGACCCACAAGTTTGAACTTACAGAAGCAGAGTCCATGGATATGGCTATGGCAGATGTGACTGAGGGGGAGGGAGAAAAGGAGTGGGGAGGAATGACCCACTAATTTAGATGGGTACTTTCAGAGTGAAAGTTTATTATAAGAGCTCAAATAGTGTTTTCTAATTATAGACTGTTAAATTTAAAATATATTGAAAGGCAACTCTGTACTTCTCTCTGCCCAATGCAGACTGAATTAAAATATCCAAGAAACAGGACTTTTTTTTTAAGCCCAGAAAGCCTGACACACCTATTAAAAAGTTCTGTCTCATAAGCTCTGCTTTCTACAGTTTCTGTTAGGTCTTCCATGGCCCAGACAATTGGCAATCTTGTTCTTTCTTTCATGACACAAAGTTGTTATATCCAAATGATTAACCTCCTAAGGTTAAAGTCATGAGCGATGACAAGAAGGTCATATAATATCATAACAGTAAAAATTAAATAATTTTAAACAAATGCCTTCAAACCTTCACAATAAAAGAAAATAAACTCTTATACTTTAACATTTAAAGTGAGAAAGTGTTTAACCTTACCAGTGAGAAAAGAAACTCAAAGAAGTGAGATACCATTTTTCTACATATTAAATTGACTCTTTAAAATACCAACATAAAATTATTACACTGCTTTCCAGGGCTATTGTAAAATATATTTCATATATTCTATAAACCTCCTAAGAACATCAACAAAGATTAGTTCTGAGCCTATTAACCAAGACATTGCCAGTAACAGTAAAAAAAAAAAATGAGAAACAAGTGTCCAATAATAAGAGACATGTTAAAAACAACATGGTGGGTAGGTACAATGGAATAATGAAATGCTCCTATCACAGTTAGTGGGGAATGATAAGAGGTGCATTATATATTCATGGGTATAAAACAATGATATGTGTATGATCCTATTTCTCCTGTTTCTACAAGTTGCATGTGTAAATATAAATGTGACTAGAAAGATAATGCAAAATGCTAACATATAATAGATTTATAGATGACTTAAATTTTTCTTTTGCTTATCCAGGCATAACATTTCCTAAAATAAACATGAGTTGCTATTATAATTAGAAAGTTAAAGAGAAAAGATGACACAAAAACTCCCAAAACACATTTCCAAATAGCTACCATAGTCACATTCTTTTTTAAAAAATTATTATGACTTGGGAGGCTGAGGCAGGCGGATCACGGGGTCAGGAAATCCAGACCATCCTGGCTAACACGGTGAAACCCCGTCTCTACTAAAAGTACAAAAAAAAAAATTAGCTGGGTGTAAGTGATGGCAGGCACCTGTAGTCCCAGCTACTCGGGAGGCTGAGGCAGGAGAATGCAGTGAACTCAGGAGGCGGACCTTGCAGCGAGCCGAGATCGCGCCACTGCAATCCAGCCTGGGTGAAAAAGTGAGACTCTGTCTCAAAAAAAAAAAAAAATTATTATGACAAGCACATTGTTTCATATCATTATGCTCCGAGGATAAAAACGGTACACCTCATTTTTCATTTTGATCAGTCTGTGTGTGGGGCAAGCAAATAAAGGCATTCAGTCTGGAATCTTAAAAGTTTTCCTTTTAGCAAGATGCCATTTGTGGTGATGTACCACCAAGTAGCAAAGAGGTCAGCCTCTCCAGTTAAATATAGCCTAATTATATAGTTGATAAAAATAAAGGAAAATGTACATATTTACTATGATTACTACTCATGCTCAAATAAAATCCTGTCTTTGAAATAGAAATGAAACCCAAAGTAAAAATAAAACAAGAAACTTAATTCAAAAATGTGAATTAAGATAGAAGCAAATTTGGGAGGGGGTTATTATAGAGAAGCTGCCCTTCTTGCTTAGGGAGAGAGGATATTTGCTGGGATGCAGAAAAACTCATCAGGATATACAGAAGTGTTATTGTCAAAACTGTAAGGATCCTGTAGAATATACACCTGAGTAGGTTAACAGACTGAGCAGAATGGCTATACCTGAGTAATTTAGTCAGAGCTAAGTGTATGTTAACTATCCAGGTTAGGCAGTGCCCTTCAGCTTTCTAGCCATCCAAATCTCTCGTTGACTGGATGGTAATTACTTGGACTACCTGGTTGGCAATCCATGTCCTCTAGTTTTTATTTTCCTCTCTCCTAATCTGTTGTTGTCCTTGTTCTTAAGATTTCTAAGAGGTTGCTTACTCTAGCCTCCTCTGTAGTTATCAGCGGTTTGCTTCTCTTGTGAGAAACTTGTTTGAAAGATGAATGATTTGTACTTGTCATAACTCTTACAAAGACTTCCACCAGGTGTACCATGAGCATGGCATGCACCGTAGACTTCCACACCCTGCAGGCTTCCAATATTCCTTCCAAGCAATCAGAAAGCAAGTTGCATATTAGCATATTTACATAAACCCCTATTTCACAAAGCAAAGTTTTTTCAAGTCTTCTTTTAAGTTTTAGAGGCAGGATGACATGCAGAGAGAACAAAACGGGAGTTAAGAAATTAAATATTCAGGATGCTAAGGAGTTATTTGGTGGTGTCCATATGAAAGAGAGTATTAAAGTACCAGGAATCACTGGAGCAAGAGAAGAAGAAAGTGAAATGAGGGGTACACTCGTAGAAGGTTTTGCAACTGAATCTTGAGCAACATAAAGGAAAATAAAGCAAAGCCCCCAGAAGTTGGGAAGATGAATGCATTTGGATGAGTATCAAGGTGGAAATCAGAGGACCTGCCAGTGGAACCTCAGAAACCACCCAAGCTCTAATGGGCTGTCACAAAACGGGATGGTGATGCTGACCACGTAAATAGGTCAGCCACATGCTTTTACCTCAGACTTCTAAGTCATGCAAGGTCAGAGGCTACACCTCAGGTACTATAGGAAGGGAAAGTGAAAGGAGTAAATGTTACTAATGTCATTTTCAGTGATCACACCTCTCTTCTTGGGCTAGGTACCCTGGATGCCCCTTGATCTCAGAATATGGCACCTTCAAGAGAAGGATGGGGTTTACCACACAGAAAGAGAACCTCTGAGGTTTTCCCTTACCTCCATAAAGAGTCTAAAGCTTGCTATAGGAAAAAGTAAAGAATAATTCTTATCTTTCCAAAAAGGCTTAGAGATAGTAAACAATACCAGTTTTCCATCACATTTCTAAACAAACAAAAAAGTATAAGGGAAATGTAACCACATTGTCTTAGACCATTCTTGCACTGCTATAAAGAAATACCTGAGACTGGGTAATTTATAAAGAAAAGAGGTTTAATTGAAGTTCTGCAGGCTTTATAGGAAGCATGATGCTGGCATCTGCTTGCTTCTCAGGAAGCCTCAGGAAACTTATAATCATGGTGGAAGGTAAAGGAAGAGCAAGCACATCACATGGCCAGAGCAGGATCAAGAGACAGTGGGAGGAGAGATGCCATACACTTTTAAATGACCAGATCTTCTGAGAACTCACTATTGTGAGAACAGTACCAAGAAGATGATACTAAATCATTCATGAGAAATCAACCACCATGATCTAATCACCTCCCTGCAGGCCCCACATCCAATACTGGGGATTATAATTCAACATGATATTTGGGTGGGGACACACATCCAAACTATATCACACGTGTATTCTTTCCAGTGGGGATACACACACTCATTTTTCACTTTGTTTTTCATTTCAAATTTAGTACTTTGGCTAAATTGTAATAATGTAATAATAATGGAATAATGTAGTTTGTGAGCTACCCTCTAATTGAGAGCAGAGGGAAATATGATGAAAACAAGCCAAGGGCTTTCTGGGGAAAAGACCATGGGCAAAAACTATTTATTACAATTAGGAGATCTGGTTTTAATCTGGACTCTGATATTGTGATCTTTAAAAAGTCAATTGTGATCTTTAAAAAGTCACTTTAATTCTGTGGACCACAGTGAACTCAACCACAATTTGCAGTTCATCTGTACCCTCAGGACCCAGACATCTCCTAGTACATAGTAAGTATTATCAAGTATTTGTTGAAGGAGAAAAATAAAGACACTGATTTAATAGTCTCTCAAATTTGTTCTGACTTTCTATTGCCGGACTGTCCAATACAACAGCTACAAGGTACATGGGGCTACTTAAATTTTAATTTAAATTCATTAAAATTTAAAATTCAGTTCCTCAGTCACACTAGCTACATTTCAAGTATTCAATAGGCACATGTGATGACTTGTGGCTACTGTACTGGACAGTGTAAAATTATGGAACATTTCAGCATTGCAGTCAGTTTTGCTGGACAGGAGTGCTCTCAGACATAACTAAGGAGAAAGGCAACGCATTGTACCCTCCTGTAGACACAGCTCTCTATTCTATGAAACTTCATGAAAGGTTTACAGAGGGAACACGAGGAACTCAAGCAGAAATTAAGCATTCCCTTAGAGAACCAGTCTGTTTCTCTGCATGTTGAAAGTACTGCTTCTCAGGATAGTCTTCTCAACGAATTGTGCTGAACAACCCGACTTCCATATGTAAAAAAAAATGAATCTAGATACTAATTTATAAGATAACATAGAAGAAAATCTAAGTGACCTTAGGTTTGGCAATAGGTTGTTAGATGTAACACCAAAAGCATGAAAGAAAGAAAAAATTGGTAAGTTGGACTCCATTAAAATTAAAAACTTCTACTCTAAGAAACACTGTTAAGAAAAAGACAAGTCATTGACTAGGAGAAAGTATTTGCAAAACACACATCTGATAAAAAACATATTCTAAATATAAATAGAGCTCCTAAAACTCAACAAGAAAAATAACCTAATTAAAAGGTGGGCAAAATATCTGAACAGATGCCTCATCAAACAAGACATATAGATGACAAAAAATTATATGAAAAGATGCTCAATATCATATGCAATTAGGGATTTGCAATTTAAAACAACAATGAGCTACAACCATATACAACAGCTAAAATCCATACTAACACCACCAAATGCTGGTGAGGATGTGGAGCAACAGGAACTCTCATTCATTGCTGGTGGGAATGCAAAATAATCCACCCACACTGGTGGACAGTAAGGCAGTTTCTTATAAAACTAAACAGAGTCTTAGCATGTGACAAGGCAATAGTTCTCCTTGGTATTTACTCAAATGAATTGAAAACTTCTGTCCCCACAAAAGCTGCACACAAATGTTTAAGCAACTTTATTCATAATTGCCTAAAACTGGAGACAACCTAGAGGTCCTTCAATAGGTGAATGAGTAAACAAACTACGGTACATCACATAATGCAGTATTATTATTCAGGCTAAAAAGAAATGAGCTATTTCAAACTACAAAGACATGAAGAAACATTAAATGCAAACTGCTAAATGAAAGAAGCCAATCTGAAAAGGCTATATACTGTATGATTCCAACTACATGAAATTCTAGAAAATGTAAAACTATGGAGACAGTAAAGAGATGAGTGGTTGCCAGAGGTTGAGGATTGGGGAGGAGTGAATACGCAGAACACAGACTTTTAGGGCAGTGAAACTATTCTGTATAGTACTACAATGAGAGCTACATGTCATTACACATTTTTCAAAACCCACAGAATGTACAATATAAAAAGTGAACTCTAAACTATGGACTTTGGTTAATAATATATCATATTGGCTCCTTAACTGTACAAAGTGTACTACACTAATGTGGGAAACTGAGGGGTAGGGGTATAGCTTATGGGAACTCAGTACTTTCTGTTCATTGTTTCTGTAAATCTGAAACTGCTTTTTAAAAAACGCCTATTAATTTACCAAAAAAGTATTTCTCAGAATTAGCTATAAACTCTTAGTATTATCTAAGACAACAATAATCTGTTTTCACAAAGTAAAACAAGAAATACTCCAATTACGTGGTTTAAGATGCAACGCAACACCCAAACATTAGTCAAAAACAGCTTTCCTTTAAAGTTCATATGGAACCAAAAAACAGCCCGCATCGCCAAGTCAATCCTAAGCCAAAAGAACAAAGCTGGAGGCATCACACTACCTGACTTCAAACTATACTACAAGGCTACAGTAACCAAAACAGCATGGTACTGGTACCAAAACAGAGATATAGATCAATGGAACAGAACAGAGCCCTCAGAAATAACGCCGCATATCTACAACTATCTGATCTTTGACAAACCTGAGAAAAACAAGCAATGGGGAAAGGATTCCATATTTAATAAATGGTGCTGGGAAAACTGGCTAGCCATAAGTAGAAAGCTGAAACTGGATCCCTTCCTTACACCTTATACAAAAATCAATTCGAGATGGATTAAAGACTTAAATGTTAGACCTAAAACCATAAAAACCCTAGAAGAAAACCTAGGCATTACCATTCAGGACATAGGCATGGGCAAGGACTTCATGTCTAAAACACCAAAAGCAATGGCAATAAAAGCCAAAATTGACAAATGGGATCTAATTAAACTAAAGAGCTTCTGCACAGCAAAAGAAACTACCATCAGAGTGAACAGGCAACCTACAAAATGGGAGAAAATTTTCGCAATCTACTCATCTGACAAAGGGCTAATATCCAGAATCTACAATGAGCTCAAACAAATTTACAAGAAAAAAACAAACAAGCCCATCAAAAAGTGGGCAAAGGATATGAACAGACACTTCTCAAAAGAAGACATTTATGCAGCCAAAAGACACATGAAAAAATGCTCATCATCACTGGCCATCAGAGAAATGCAAATCAAAACCACAATGAGATACCATCTCACACCAGTTAGAATGGCAATCATTAAAAAGTCAGGAAACAACAGGTGCTGGAGAGGATGTGGAGAAATAGGAACACTTTTACACTGTTGGTGGGACTGTAAACTAGTTCAACCATTGTGGAAGTCAGTGTGGCGATTCCTCAGGGATCTAGAACTAGAAATACCATTGGACCCAGCCATCCCATTACTGGGTATATACCCAAAGGACTATAAATCATGCTGCTATAAAGACACATGCACACGTATGTTGATTGCGGCACTATTCACAATAGCAAAGACTTGGAACCAACCCAAATGTCCAACAATGATAGACTGGATTAAGAAAATGTGGCACATATACACCATGGAATACTATGCAGCCATAAAAAATGATGAGTTCATGTCCTTTGTAGGGACATGGATAAAATTGGAAATCATCATTCTCAGTAAACTATCGCAAGGACAAAAAACCAAATACCACATGTTCTCACTCATAGATGGGAATTGAACAATGAGAACACATGGACACAGGAAGGGGAACATCACACTCTGGGTACTATTGTGGGGTGGGGGGAGGGGGGAGGGTTAGCATTAGGAGATATACCTAATGCTAAATGACAAGTTAATGGGTGCAGCACACCAGCATGGCACATGTATACATATGTAACTAACCTGCACATTGTGCACATGTACCCTAAAACTTAAAGTACAATTATAATAATAAAAAAAAACAGCTTTCCACACCCCTAGTTAGATCCTTTAAGAATAATGACAATTTGCTCAAATACAATCACTGATCTAAATTTACCTTACAATTCGAAAGCACTTAAGCCTTCTAAAAGTAAAGAGCATTCTAAATGCAGCTTAATGTTGATGAAACAACATTTGTGGTCAGGGCAGCATTCCATTTGGTGGCATAACATTTAGATCTGTAACTCCATTGCTGCCTCCTATAGCTTTCCTATTCAACATACATATTCATGAAAGGGAAGCTTTATATAACAAATGGCAGGACACGCCTTATCCCTCATTCAGCGTGCAACACAAGCACATGTAGGGAAGCTTAGCACAAATCCTTAATGTGCATCTGCAAAATTGTGCCCTGACAAAACAATGCCTAAGAGAAGACTTGCTTTACTTCCAAAATGACATCTTTTCAGACATCCCTTAAGAACATACTTGTAGCCCAAGATTCACTTTAATAGTGCCCCTAATTAAAGGGTTTAGTAGCTGCTTGTCTCAAGGAACCACACTACAAGCCAGGTTTCTCTTGTTTAAAACCTTTTCTCAAGGGGAGACAGCTATCCTATACTTTATTTGGTTTGTGAGTCCCATTAGGCTCACAATAGTGAAGCACCCTTGAGGACCAGCTGATTATGTTGAGAATGTTGGGGTACAAACCACACACAACAGAGGAAGGTGCAGAGCACACCTCACAATGCTTCTCAGTAACCCTGTTTTCACTAAATGGCCACATGCTCCTCTTCCTTTCAGATCACGGGCTCCTTTACTACTCCTGCAACATATGATGATCACTCTTTCTTGTTTCCTGCTTCCAGTACCAAATCCAGACTGTTCTCAGAGCCTTGGAGAAGGAAGGTTCTGCTAATCCAGGCCTCAGATGCCTCTTGCAGGATGCTACGACATCATCCTGTGGCCCAAAAGACTCCATCTCTAGGGAGTTCTATAACTTTCTGCTCCCTGGCCTGGGGCATTCAGCCTAGCCTCTTGTCTCATTTTTCCTGATTAGTTTCCCTTCCTGGCTCAGCAAAACTGCTCTTGCATGTATGGGCTCTGGCTTGCCCCTGACTTGAGGGGACAGGGAAGAAGACTTCCAAGCCTCTTTTCTAGGAGAGCTACAATCATCTGCCACAGCTTGTATCAACTCTCTCCCCAGTTTAAGAGAGAACAAATGGTCCAGTCTCCATTAGGAACTAAGACAGATCAAAGGCTACATCAATCAGCACCTGAAAGAAAATTAATCTGTATTTGACTATACCTGGTTAAATCCCATTTACACATGAGCTCTTTGAAGAGATGGACTGTCATTTCATTGGTTCATTTTAGAATCTAAAATTGGTTCATTTTAGAATCTAAAATTAAGTCTTAATGAGAATAGACACATTTTTTTGGAGACAGGATCTTGTTCTGTTGCTCAGGCTGGAGAGCGGTGGTGCAATCACGGCTCACTGCAGCCTTGACCTCCTGAGGTCAGGTGATCCTCCCACCTCAGATTCTCCAGTAGAGTAGCTGGGACCACAGGTGTGCACCTCCATGCTTAATTTTATTTTTATTTTTTGTACAGACTATCTTTCCTTACATTGCCCAGGCTGGTCTCAAATTCCTGGGCTCATGTGATCTTTCAGCCTCAGCCTCCCAAAGTGCTGGGGTTACAGGTGTGAGCCACCATGTCCATCCGACACTTTTTTTTTAAACACTCCTAGACACTTTAGTTACATGCCCACCCAACCTGGCCAAATGCAAGATGATTTTAAAAAGAGCATTTTTTTTTTTGAGATAGAGTCTCACTCTGTCACCCAGGCTGGAGTGCAGTGGCCCAATCTCAGCTCACTGCAACCTCCACCTCCCAGGTTCAAGTGATTCTCCTGCCTCAGCCTCCCAAGTAGCTGGGACTACAGGTGCCCACCTCCATGCCCGGCTAACTTTTTTTGTATTTTTAGTAGAGACTGGGTTTCACTATGTTGGCCAGGCTAGTCTCGAACTCCTGACCTCATGATCTGCCTGTCTTGGCCTCCCAAAGTGCTGGGATTATAGGCGTGAGCCACCGTGCCTGGCAAAAAGAGGTATTTTAATCACCTCTTGAAACTACTCATCGATCAAGAATATACAGTTAACATGAAGCATATCTACAAATAAGATTCTACCATAAGACAGAAAACTGACTGCAGAAATAACAGCCAGGTCCCCAAAAATAATTTTCTGCCATTTTCAAAATTCCATGTAAGTTTTATACTGTGATTTTAAATGAAAACATCTCAATTTCAAACAAACTTTTGAAACTTTTTTGGTGTTTTCTGTGAATTACATCTAGAATTCAATGGGCTCTGCCCTGCTTCAGACTTGAGGGGACAGAGAAGAAGACATCCAAGCCTTCTTGGAACCTGGTTGGTCACACTGAATGCCCTTCATAACACAGCACTCTGTTGCACAATAAATTTACTCTTCAGTCCTAACCCAAAGGATGTGAGATCTTTGAGCCTTTTCAGGTGAAAGCACCCAGAGGATGGAGGTTGACCTGAGCACTCCAGGCCTCAGAGCTCCTCCTCCAGTCTCTGTTGCCATGACACTCAGCTTATTCGGCTTCTCTTTGTTGACAAGCACATCCATGGCAATTCACAGCTGACACCACACATCTTCCACTACTTCTGCTTCCAAATTCCATATTAAGAAACTATTAGGAACATTTGTGCTTTATAAACATTTAATAATTTGTTAAATTCAGGATAAGTTTAAAGTCACAATCCACATTCTCTTTAGAATATAATCAATTCTCATATAAATAAGTAAAAACGTTTTTGAGAACAAATGATTCAAATTACGCATTTTGTCAATATTTAAGTTGAAGGGATCAAAGGATTCTCAGAATGCCAGAATAGCTAATTACTTGTATAAAAAAGTGAAGAGGAAGTTTTCATTAAAAAAAAAAAACCAGTGAGTCTATACCCAACCCTAAGATTGTTTCACAAATAACATTTTAGTAGAAGGTTCAAGCACACCATTTAAAAACAAACTGAAGGTCTTGTTTTGTTTAGTGATGATGGCAAAATAGGGCCATCTCAAAGTAGGGGCTCAGTTGCTTGTGCAAATGGGGCAAAAAGAACAGAAACGAAATGTAGCGACTAATACCATATATTGCCTTTCCTACTAATTCATTTAGAAGGAACTTTTATAAATCACATCCTTTCTGAATGTAGTTTCATAATTTTCCTGCCCCTACTAAAGGGAATTTGCTTGTTAAGAAGGAAAACAAAACAAAAAGATTAAAAGGGGGAAAATCAGCTCCGATTACACCACAGGATTTAAAGAGTTGAAAAAAAAGTTAAGATCTATCTGGCACTAGTGGCTGATGAAACAATAAAAGGATGTAATGCCTTTAAAATGTTGAAGTCTGATAGAATGAGCCTGCCTCAAAAATTCTTTGAGGCACTCATGGGAATTACACGACAGGTCATTAAGTCGTGTACACCTTACTCTAGTTTCCATGACTGTCTACCAGACAACTAGAACTAATTTGATCTAAATGTCTCACTCACACACATCTTGATATAATTTAGATGTTCATCCCCTCCAAATCTCATGTTGAAATGTAATCCCCAGTGTTGGAGGTAGAACCTGGCAGATCCCTCATGAATTGGTTCGGCACCATCCCCTTGGTGATAAGTTCTCACTTTGAGTTCACATGAGATCTGGTTGTTTAAAAGTGTGTGGCACCTCGCTCCTCTCTCTCTTGCTCCCGCTCTAGCCATGTGAGACACCTGCTCCCCTTCACCTTCTGCCATGATTGTAAGCTTCCTGAGGCCCTCACCAGAAGCAGATGTTGGCATTACACTTCTTGTACTGTCTGCAGAACAGTGAGCCAATTAAAGCCTCTTTTTGAAATAATTTAGCCAGCCTCAGGTATTTCTTTATGGCAATGCAAGAACAGCCTACTACACACCTTAACACACAGACACAGATACAGAGCAGAAGATACAGACTACAGCTTTCTTACCTAATTTCAAATATATTCCCTACTTTTTTCGCAACCTAATACATATTACATGACTACCCTTAACAAGCCATCTAAGAACTTTCAAGCTCTACTTCCAACATCTTTATTCTGCTTCTCCCAACCTCATGGAATATTAAAAAAAAATTTTTTTAAAGGTCAGGCATAGTGATTCATGCCTGTAAGTTCCAGCATTTTGAGAGGCCAAGGCAGGAGGATTACTTGAGCCCAGGAGTTCAAGACCAGCCTGGGCAACAGTGCAAGACCCTATCTCTACAAAAAAAATTGAAAAGTTTAGCTGAACATGGTGGCATGCATGGTAGTCCCAGTTACTTGGGAAGCTGAGGTGGGAGGATCATTTGAGCTGCAGTGAGCTGTGATTGCACCACAGTACTCCAGCCTAGGCAACATAGTGAGACCCTGTCTCTTAAAAAAAAAGGCCATAAGTATATACACCTACAATGTACCCATAAAAAATAAAAAATTTTTAAAAAGTACCATGATAAGTAGCATCTATTATTACAGCTTTCCCAACTAGTGTTGGTCTCTACTTCAAGGGACTTAAAGTTCAACTGAAGATCCAAGGACAATTTCTGACTGCCTCAAAATGAGCCCTACTGCTAGACCATGCATTCTCAACAAGGGCAAAGATTGGTGCTTGAAAAGCATATTGAAAAAAAAAAAGGTCTGTAGTCTTCCAAAGGCATTAAAATTTCACAGGGGAAAAAGAGTGGCTAGAAAAAACTTGCCTAAAAGGTGCCTTCAGGGGTTAATAATGAAAAAAAGATTTGGGAAACTCTGCAAGAGGAACCCAGAAGGGCCTCATGTTTGGTAATAGTTGGTTCAATTACCCTGAACAAATTACTTAATGAGTCTCACCTTGATACACCACCAACTTCATAGAGTTTTGGTTTGGGTTAACAACTACACATGGCCAGCAGCTTCTCAACTTTAATATTCCTTCCTAAAAGGGGCCTTTTACTAATCACTCTTTAAAGTGGGTCTCTCTTCTTATTTTCCCAGCACCATTGGTCCTTTTCCATAACTTGTAATTATATGCCCATTTCCTTGTTTTAATTGGGTGTCTCCCACACTAGGTGGTAGGCTCCATGATGGTAGGGACCACATCTGTTTTGTTTACAATAGTACACTCAGCCTGGCACAAAATATGTGCTTGCTTGGTTGTCACCAAGCTCTTACCTTCACCAACCTTGATTCTGCTGACATGTTGAAGAGTGCAACAGGACTCTTTTCTAGAGATTAACCCTGAAAGATGGCCTCCAATACTAGTAATTCACTAACTCTTACTCACTTTTACAATCACTTCAAGATCCCATTGGCCCTAGAGCATAACCTGCCCAAAAATTTCTCCAGGATCTTTCATTAAATTATAAAAATTTTAGTATGATTTTCAG
This sequence comes from Homo sapiens, assembly GCF_000001405.40. Classification (NCBI taxonomy): domain Eukaryota; kingdom Metazoa; phylum Chordata; class Mammalia; order Primates; family Hominidae; genus Homo; species Homo sapiens. Next base: position 107,840,693 of record NC_000004.12, on the reverse strand, counting down.
AGTTTTTACAATAATATACTTGATATTAAGAGGAAGGTGTTAGGGAAAGAATGTGAATATTTTTAAATGCAAGATTGCATATCAACATGGAACTTTTTACCTCTTACTGTGTCCAAGTTTTAAAAGATCTTTCCTTTCCTATTTCCTATTCACTCCAGTGGCTGTTAGTCTACCCTTGGGTATATCAATAACTGAGCTGCTAATAGAGAGATGAGGCTATGAACAGTCTAGGAGAAGAAATCTATTGTGAACATGAGGTGAAAATGTATATGGAGGAGGGAATCAAACTTGAGATACGATCTTTTCAAATCACAACAGCTAATATTTGTACAACACTGACCACCCAAAAACAGCCCTCGCCCAGTTAGGAGGAGCCAAGTCAGGCATTACTACAGTGCAGTGAATCTTAGTGAAAACATAACATGAGGAAATCAGAGTTCTATCAAGAAAAGTTCTTTTGACTTGCTTACAACAGTAACAATATATATCTTTCTGCAGTTTCAAGACATTGGGGCAAGATTCTACAAGTTTAGTTGCAAAAGTGAAAAATTACATATGTATGTGCATATGTGTATAAAAGTTATGTGGATTAAAACAGGATATATGAAATACTTCACTCTTCAGTTTTCTATTAAACGTAGTCTTTAAGTAGGGTGACCATATAATTTAACATCCAAACCTGGCCAGTTGTGACAGTGAAAGACAGCCTTACTAATGAATAAGTACACTAGGACAATAGGTATACACTGTGACTAGCGTGAACCAGGACACACAATCACCTTAATTATTATAGAATAAAGGCCATGGGAAGCTGCAAGAGTTCAAGAAATAGAAATCAGATGGAACAATATTCAAAAATGTGTCTCCCTCTAGTAAAGTTTTAAAAAGCTTTTAAAAATAAATTTTAAAAGATCATTTCAAGAAAATATTCTGTCTATATGGGGAATTTATGTTCAAGGGACTTAATGAACAGCAAAGTATTAAAATAGGGTATTAATCTCCAATAAGATCAGAATCTTAATATTTTCTTTAATTAAGAAATTCAATCCCTTCTAAAAACACAAGCAAATCCTATATAGCCATTTATATACCACGGTCTCCAGTAACATTAATTATTTTTGTTACTAGGAAACATTTGCACAAAAACAAGATTTATAACCTCCTCTTGCTTCTACCCCTCCACTTAAAGGAATAATCCTCCATTAGCAATACACTTAATATCTCCACAGCAACTAGCATAATTGGGGTGTTGCAACAGGAGGATAATGAAGTGGAAAACAAACTGATAGAAGTAGGAGAGAAGGGAAAAAAAAAACCACTTCCACACAGCCCTGGTAGCAAAATAACTACCGTTGGGGTGGAGCAGGGGGAAGTTGTTAAAAAGAACCCTTTTGAAGTTGCCATGGTCAACTATTACCAGGCAAATAGAACCCAAACTTTCTAGGTCTCTAAGATACTTAAGTGTGCAATGGGGCAAATGAAAGTTTCAAAAATGGTAAATTGTATGAAGTAAATTCAGAGATGTCTTCACCCAAAGAACTCAGAGGTGGGGGAAAGATGGAGTTTCTGAAATAGGTAAGAAGGGGATTTCCACAGGTTTTCATATATGACTCCCAAAAAAGTACAGGGTACAAATGAAATGTCCAAGAAGAAAGGAATGGAGCTAAGCAAGCCTTCAGAATCAATCACTGGCAATTGGCTTGGTTGTGGTGGAGGAAGAGTCAGAGAGGAGAGGGAGTGATGTAATTCTGGGCAAAGATATCCTCAGTCCAGGCAAGGCAGTGGCTACAGAAGGCAGATGGTGCAGGAAGAGGTTAGCAGATTGATTGGAAAACAGGAAACCTGGGCTCTTCATTTGCTTCTGCCTAAGAGAACACAGTAGCAGATGATATAAGCAAAAAGCAGCATCCAAGAATATTCAACTCATTAATTCAGCAAACAGGTATGAAGTGGCACCATGCTAGGAAATACTTAAAAAAAAAAAGGATAAACTCTGCTCAAGGCACTCTGTCTAGAAGAAATACAATATAAACAGAAAACCAGATTATAATATAGTAGTGGAGTGACAAAGAAGGGCCTGCGAACTTTGGAACAAAAAGAGGACTGGTTTTGATATTGTACTAGAATTACACAAGATGCAACCATCAGGAGTAACCAGTGAAGGCTAACAAAACCCTCTGAATCATCTTTGTAACTTCCTGTAAATGCACAATTATTTCAAAATATTTTAATATGTAACTTCAAAAAAAGAAGAAGAAGAAGAAGAAGAAGTCCTCTAGCCCACAGGGTAAAGTGGAAAAGACAGAGAGCAGGAAAGTTTCCTGCAGGGGATGCTGGAAGTAATTAATTTGTGCTTTGAATCACTTCTCTAAAAATGCTCAACAAGATCTCAAGTATCCTCCACATTGCTAAACCCAACAAACATTGTGTTCTCATCTTACTCAACTCTTTAAGAACTTAACAAGAGAACTGATTACTCCACCCTGTCTTAAACATTTGGTTCCTGTAGCATCTGGGACATTGTTCTTTCGGTCCTCCTCATTGGTTACCCCATGGTCTCCTACTTGACCTATTAACTGTTATTCCTCAGGGCCTCTCTGCCTACAAAATATTCCCTGGTGATTCTAGACTTCCCATAACTTTATATATCACTTCTATACTGACACAACTCTGGCCCTGATCTCACCCCTGAATGCAGGTCTCTGCATCACAACTGGCTATTTGACATCTGTCACCATTAGGATGACTAATGGGCAACTCTAATCAATGGCTAAACTACACCACCATTCACTACAACTCTTTACCCACAAAAAAAACTAGGAGTCATGCTTAATTTTTTCTACTGTTATGCCACATATCATATCTGTAAGTCTCCAGTACTTTCAAACCCATCCAACATTCTCGATCTCCACCACCACCACCCTTCTCCAAGCTGCATCAATTCTCATACAGAATGCTCCCAATAGCCTCATAACCATCTCCTTGCTTCTGCTCTAACCCCCTCCTACTCCACTCTCTGCCCAGCAGCCAGAGGGATCTATTACAGATGTAAATCAGACCTCATTCTCCTTATGTCACATCACAATGCCTTCTCGTGGCATTTGGAACAAGACTAATACTCCTTACAAAGCATGCCAGCCCTACCCAACTCGGTCCTGCCTGCCTCGCCACACCCATCTCTTGCCTACTTCTGCTGCTCACAGGCTGCAGCAGATTGGCCTTCTTCCCTTTCCTGTGTAATCACGCTTTTTCCCTCCACAGGTTGTACATTCTGTTCACTCTGCTGAGTCTTTCTCAGCCTTTACAACTCAGTGTAAATCTGACCTCTTCTGACAAACCTTTCCTGACTGTCCTAGGGTAGGCTGCCCCAGTCACTCTCTACTTCCTTCCAATAACTAGTCCAAATCTCAACTTATTCATTGGTTTTACTTGCCTATCATCCTATCAGTCCTGCTTTTCAACACCTTTTCCTCTCTCAACATATACAACCAATTTCCATTGGAGGAGAAACCTAGACTCCTGTTTACTGCTGAATCCCCAGAATCAAAAATGAGGTCTAGCACCTAGCAAGTGCAAAAAAAAGTGTTAAATACATTAATCAATTTCCAAAGGAATGGAGGAGGGCTTGGGACTGCATCTCAGCAATCTGTGTCATGAAGTTATTTGATTAAGTCAATATATTTATGAAATCCAAGGCAACCTATCCTGGAAGCTTGATAAATGCAGTGGCTTCCCCAGTGGTCAGGTGAGTTTTCTGCTATGAAATCTTTCATCTGCACTGAGTTATTTTTCCCCCAGAGAACTGTACTCTCCTCTCCCTTCCCTCCCCTGCCCATCCTCTCTCCCAGTCTCTCTACTATGCCTGGGTCTTCTTACATTCTAATCATATGTGTTCCGGCCGCCAAATATTTGATATCAAGTAATGTTTTCTCTGATCTAGATTTTACAGTGGCCTTGCTTCCCAAATTGTCAAAATAAGCAACTGAGGAAGAGCACAAATTAGTAAACAGCATTACCCACAAAAACAAGGAAAGGATAGGGTAAAGATGATGGTGGACAAGAGGTAGACGATGAGGTGATAGATGAGGAGTTAAATGTATTGATGCACTAGAGCTAAGAGACCAGACCAGATGCAAAAGTGTATGAGTTGTCATCTTTCCCATACTCATGAATCAAATAATCTAAACATTTCATTTATAGGCCCAGGCACATTTTATGGCATTGATATTCACAAATCGAAGGTACAGACAACCTCAGAGAGAAGCTTCACTGTAAGATTTGTTAACTCATACTTGCAAAAGACACTGGAACCAGTGTGCTGTGACACTCACTGAGTAACTCCATGATATAATTCAGTTTTTAAAATACAATATGCCAAAGTCATTGGATGGCAACGCTTAATGAATTGTCTTCAGATTTATGTGGGATATTTTTCCTTAAGGATAAGGCTGGTTAGAGCTGCAGTGCCCAGTACAGGAGGTGCCAGCCACATGTGGCAACTGAGTGCTTGACGTGTGGCCGGTCTGAACTGAGATATCTGTAAGTGTAGAATATACATCAGATTTCAAAGGCTTGGAAAAGAATGTAAAAATTTCAAGAATTTTATATTGATTATAACTGGTAACATTACATATAATATTTTGGTATACTAGGCTAAATAAAATGTTATAAACATAATTACATCTGTTTCTTTTTGCTTTTTGTAATGTGGCTGTTCGAAAACTCAAATTACATAAATGGCTATCATGTATGGCTCATGTTATATTTCCATTGACAGTACTGGGTTCTTGGGAGATGGTTAACTCTTTAGGGATTCTGGGCACATTGGTCCGGAGTCTGCTCTTTGTAAGCTCAGAAACTAGTTCATCAAAGAGAAATAAGTTTTAGTTCATATTAACAAAAGATGCAACAGAGAACATCAATCTTTTATCAACAATTGCTGGGAGATGGAACAGATACCCTTCTGGTACTAGTGAAGCTTTCTTACTTGGCTACTTATATAGCCAAGACATCCCCATTCTGTTATGGAGATACTGGCACGACAAAGCAAACTATTAACCAAGAATTGCTTGACAAGGATAAAATGTAAGCAAATGAGTCAGAGTCCGATGCGACACTGCACCCACAGAGCCAGGGCTCAAGAAGTTTCTAAATTAGAGAAGCAAGGGCCTAGAAAAATCTCTAAAAGCATTTTAGAATACAGACCAAAACTTCCTATCCTCCCACATCGAGTTTTTATTCAAACGTGCACATTTATAAGAGGAATTCAATCCAGCTTATATGTATAGATATTTTTCTCTGAAAGTCGCAAAGTGACTCCAAATCTAAAAAGGATGCATTTAAAAGTATTACAAATATGAAAATATTCTGTCTCTATGGTTTGAGTTTCCAATTTTTTTTATACTTCTACACAAGACAATCTCTTCCCCCTAGAAACTGCAGCTAATTTTCCACCTGTATTTCATAAAAATTACCAAAATTCTACACTATTTCTGATTCCACTTTTTAAGACACAAGAAAATTCCCAAGATTTTATTTCTTACACTAGTGCTATTGCTACATTGTACAAAGAGAAGACCTTTAACTGAATATAGGATTGTTATCACAGGGTTCCTTAAAAAAAAAACCCCATCTATTATTATAATTCTTATTCATTTTATTTTTAGAGATGGGGTCTGTTGCCCAGGCTGGAGTACAGTGGCATGATCATAGCTCACTGCAACCTCTAAATCCTGGGCTCAAGAGATTCACCTGCCTCAGCTTCCTGAGTAGCTGGGACTACATGTGTGTGCCACTACACCTGGCTAATTTTGCACGGGATAGGGATGGAGGCCTGGCTATGTTGCCCAGACTGGTCTCAAACTCCTGGCCTTAAGTGATCCTCCCACCTTGGCCTCCCAAAGCACTGGGATTACAGGCATGAGCAACTGGGCCCAGCCTCTTGTTCTTTTAATTTCAGAAGTTGACACTGTGATTCTGAGATATTGTCTACTCTAAGAGCCTATAGCCCTTTACATACTTACAATAGATGACCCAATGAATGATGTCACCTTTTGTTTACAGCTGTTGTTCTCTGGGATTTCATAATAACATTGCTAGGCAAATGAGAAAATACCAGATCTTTAAAAATGAAAAGGAACCTGGAGTAAAAATTAAGTGATAATCTCCACCATCCCAGTATCACCATGCTGGGACTATCATTTCACCCTAAACAAATGCAAAGGTATGACACAACTACATAGGATGCAGAGCCACATTCCTGTTAGGCAACTCTGACAAAAAAGATTCAAGTGGCTCTACCTGCTCCAGAATTACTAAGACACTTTTTTCCTGGAAACCTTGGTACTGTCATTTTAAATAATTGTTAGGTATAGAAATACACAGAATTATCAAAAGTTAACTCTCCCTCCCACAAAGTGGTTAATTTTACATATAAAATAAAACAGCCGTCAAAATGTAAACCTTGCTATACTTAATGTGTCTGTAATAAATCATGAGATCAGGCAGCCCTCTGCTAGGACTGGCATAAGGAACAAATCAAAACACAGATTGCTCTGTATTTGTTTCTACTGCTGCTCTACCACAAAGTTAGAGGCTTAAAAGAACACAGATTTTTTTCTCCTACAGTTCTGGAGGTCAGAAGTCCAAAATGGATCTCTCTGAGCTAAACATCACAGTGTCAGGAGGACTGTGCTCCTTTCTGGAGGCTCCACGGGAGAGCTCATTCCCTTGCCTCCTCCAGATTCTGGAGACTGTGTGCATTCCTTGGCTTGTGGCCTCCTTCCATTTTCAAAGCCAGCAATGGATGTTTGAGTTTTTCCAATAATGTCAACTCTCCTGCTGTGACTCTTCTGCTTCCCTTTTCCACTCAGAAGGTCCTTGTGATTACACTGGGCTCACCCAGATGACCCAGGATAATCTTAATGTCAACATCAGCTGGTCAGCACCCTTAACTCCATCTGCAACCTGAATTCCCCCTTCCGTGCAGGATGAGTGAGAATCCCTTATCTGAAATGCTTGGGACCAGAAGTCTTTTGGATTTTTTTTTGAATTTTGGAATATTGTCATTACTTTTCATATACATCTTATATGCAGATTGAAGGTAATTTTGTATGTTCTAAATAATTTTGTGCATGAAACAAAGTTTTGACTGTTTTAACTACGACCCATCATGTGACGTTAGGTGTGGAATTTTTCATTTATGGTGTCACATTGGCACTCAAAAAGTTTCAGATTTTGGAGCATTTTGGATTTTCAGACTAGGAATGTTCAAGCTGTGTAACACAACAGATTCATAGGTTCTGGGAATTAGGATGTGAACATCTTTGGGGAGCCATTATTCTGCTTACTACCATCTCCAACAGTAATTAGAAAACAAAGCAACCTCAAGTGTACAAGCTACTCTCCTCCGATAAAGATTTTTAACTATTTTAATTTACAACAAATGAAAACCCTAAAGCTAAAAAAATAAAAAGAATGCTGTTAGGACAGGAGGCCTGAGATTGCTGCTAGTCTTGCTCAGCTGAGTGTGCTGAGTGGGGGATGGGAGAATGCATGCTTCCTTCCCGGATCATCACCAGGGTCGACCATGCACTCAGAAGCTTTTACAGGGAAATGCTTGATAACACTATAGTGAAAATTAGTATCAACGTCTTTTTTCTTTTTTGAGAAAGGATCTCACTCTGTCGCCCAGGCTGGAGTGCTGTGGTGCAATCTTGGCTCACTGCAGCCTCAGCCTCCCAGGATAAAGCAAACCTCCCACATCTGCCTCCCAAATAGCTGGGACTTCAGGTGTGCACCACTACACCTGGCTAATTTTTGTGTTTTTTGTAGAGGAGGGGTTGCATCATGTTGCCTGGGCTGGTCTCAAACTCCTGGACTCAAGCTATCCACCCGCCTTGGCCTCCCAAAGTGCTGGGACTACAGGCATGAGCCACAGTACCCAGTCTATCAATGTCTTTCAATAGCAATATTGAAATATATAATCTAGTTGTAATCCTCCACATGGTAAACCAAGGAGTTGATCATATGTTTGAACAGGTGCAATTTTTTTCTTTGGCAAAATTGCATACACAAAGACACAAATAGGGCCCAAACTGTGAGAAACATGCTAGATTCCACAAGCAACAGTGCAGTGATTAGACTCTGCAGTCAAGCTGCCTGCTTTCAAAATCTAATTCAACTATTTACCACCTGTGTGGCCTTAAGTACGTGACTTAACCCCCCTGTGTTTCAAGTAGGATCCTTAAAGTGAATTTTAGGAGTAAATGAGTAACAGTTTTAAGTACTTAGAACAAACCCTGACACATAGTGAATATAAGTATTTGTTAAATAAACTTTTAAATGCTCCTGCTTGCTGCTTATAACTTGCCAATGAAACTATATTTCAAGGGAGCAAACTTCTCAGCCCTAGCTAATTTACCATATGGCATATATTTTATATATACGTAAATATATTCAATGACATTCATGCAGAAGAACTGGTATATTACACTAACCAAAACAATACCCTTTGTTGCTATGAAAGTTTGGTAGCAACTACTGGGGTAGTAATAACTGGGTGGTTCAACAACTCGCTGAACAAATGCAAATATCAGAAGACAGTAGCAGCTGTGTTAAATAAACTGTCTCAGGGCCTCCTAAAGAAAGACGCACAGCACTGGCGAGGACAGTAGGGTTTGTGATTCTTAGTGGCCCGGGCACTTTCTGGGACAGTGGTGTTCATGGTACAATACTCCCCAGAAGCCTAAGCTCTGTGAGGGACAGTACCAGTTGTGCTAGACTACCGCTACCAGCATCTGCTAAGAGGGCAGGCATATTGTGACTGTGGCTTGAAAAGCTTTTCAGCATTCACAGCTGATGTTATACACTTCTTATGAAAGTTCTTGAATTCAATGGCAGTGTACAACCAACTTCAATCATTTTATTTTAACCCCAAAGGAAACGGGGAGGGAAAAATATGGGACAGGCTCCAGCTCCTATTAGCACAGCCAAGATGTAACACTTGAATGTGGATATACCATTCCAAAAGATACATGCCACCTTAACGAGAAAGAATGGTTCCATTTGACACAACGGGACTGAACTCTTTGTTTTAAAAGTTAGAAGTGCAGCTTATATGCAGAAAATAATGATTGCTGAGCCCTTGAATATTTACCATGAAGCAGGCATTACTCTCAATGTTTTATACACAGGGAGCCATGTAATTCGTATAGTCACCTTATGGGGTAAATATTATTTTACTCCCATTATACAGCCAAGAAATGGAGGTTCACCTGTGGAAGCTGCTCCAGGGTATCTAGTGATGAGTGGCAGTGCTGTGACTCAGGTCCAAGCCGGCCTAAGCCTGTCAGGGTTCACCTCTGGCATAATTTCATGATCTTAAGGCAGCACGGACCACAGAAATGTTCCAGGAGAGCATACACATACAGTCCTATATCAAACTATGTCTCTCAAAACCCAACATATCGCTGAAGCTAGTGGAGACAAAACAGAAAGCCATGCAGGGTACTGGGAAGTGCATGGCATTAGAATCAGCTGGGCCTGGCCTCAACTCCCTGCTCTACTTCCCACCAGCTCTGTACCCTTGGCTACTTTAAGGGTACTTTTGCCTTGTTTCACCTTTAAACACTTTCCAAATTGCTTCCACACCTACAGAGTGGATATAATTTCCATTTTGCAGAGCTGTCTGAAGATGAAGATAGCAGTTCATTTAATCTTCACTAGTACTTATAGTATCATTATTTAACCACCACTATTTATCAACACTAACTCCATCTTCTGTGTTTGGAGAAGCTTGGAGAACCCACACAACTGACCTCTCTCTGTTTCAAAGACTGAACTTCACGTTCAACTAATGCTGCAAGTCTTCCTGAGTGGTCTCCACTTCTCTTTGGAAACAGGACTCTATCTAAGGTCTAATATCTAGAATCTATGAGGAACTTAAACATTTACAAGCAAAAAAAACCAACAACCCCATTAAAAAATGGGCAAACCCACAAACTGACTTCTCAAAAGACAACATACACACAGCCAACAAGCATAGGAAACAATGCTCAACATCATTAATTACTAGAGAAATGCAAATCAAAACCACAATAGATACCATCTCACACTAGTCAGAATGGCTATTATTAAAAAGTCAAAAAACATGCTGGCAAGGTTGCAGAGAAAAGGGAACACTTATATACTGCTGGTGGGAATGTAAATTGGCTCAGCTAATTACTGTGGAAAGCAGTTTAGAGATTTCTCAAAGAACTTAGAACAGAACTACCATTTGACCCAGCAATCCCATTACTAGATATAGACCCAAAAGAATAAAAATCATTCTACCATAAAGATACATGCACATGTATGTTCATCGCAGCTCTATTCACAATAGCAAACACATGGACTCAACCTAGATGCCCACCAACAGTGGACTGGATAAAGAAAACGTGGTACATACATACCATGGAATACTATGCAGTCATAAAAATGAATGAAATCATGTCCTTTGTGGCAACATGGATGTAGCTGGAGGCCATTATCCTAAGTGAATTAACACAGGAACAGAAAACCAAATACTGCATGTTCTCACTTATAAGTGGGAGCTAAACACTGAGCAGACATGGACCCTAAGAAGGGAACCACAGACACAGGGGCCTACTTGAGGGCAGAGGGTGGGAGGAGGGTGAAGACTGAAAAACTACCTATCAGGTACTATGCTATCTGAGTGACAAAATAATATGTACATCAAACCCCTGTGACACATAATTTACCCATGTAACAAACCTGCACACCCAAAATAAAAGCTGGAAGGAAAAATAAAGGAATTGCATGGCTGACAAGGGTGGCTCATGCCTGTTATTCACCACGTTGGAAGGCTGAGGTGGGAGGATCGCTTGAGTCCAGGCATTCAAGACCAGCCTGGGCAACATAGCAAGACTCTGTCTCAATTTAAAAAAATAAAAGAATAATAATATAAATAGTAAATGGGGTATAGTGAAAGGAAAGACTGTACATATAAAAGAAATAATTCAGTTAGTTGCACAAGTTTAGTTTGAAAGCTTTAAGCGAGATATCAATTTAAATAAACACAAACACAAAATTATAAGGCTGAATTTCAAATTGTATAGGGGTTTGTCAATAGAGGGGAAACCAATTATAAAATAACTCATTATCTGATTTGACTTTAATTCTATTAGCTATTTCTTTAAACTTTGCTTTGAATTACAAGTCATTGTTAGAAATTAATAAAGTGAACTGATCTGGGTATCTGTATGAAGTGGCTGAAATGAACACTACTCATATTCTAACATCCTTTATCAAAACCTTAAAGATAAATTAACACTGGAAATCAAAATAGAAAAGTGAATGAAAAACTAAAATTTTGACTCAGAGTAGCAAAGATGTGATATTATTGTAAAACTTGAGAATGTTTCAAGAAATGCTTTATATTTATAATAAAAATAAACTAATAGAAATTTCTCGCACTTTCATTAAATCAGCCCCAAAATGTCAAACAACAAATGTGTAATGTTTTAAAAAACAGGTGACCTATTTAAAATGGATGGAACTTATTCTAAAGGTAGTGATAAGTCTGCTAAATGCAACACCTGAAAGTATTTAATTCATCTGTCTCACTGGGTTCTAATGCTTCATCAAAGTGTAGAAGTAGAATGTCCTTCAGAGAGCTCCTTGGCAAAATTAGCACCTCTCCATTCTGCTATACTTCCCCAAAAAAGACATTTAGCTTCATGGCTAATAAAAATAACACACACAAACAGTACTTTAAGAAAGTTTGTATGTTCCCGTTTCAACAGATAAATTCCTTGCATAATGAGCTACTGCTCCACTGTGCGACTCCATAGAGAAGGTTGATCCTATTGCTGAAATCTTATGAGATATGCTAAAGGAACGCAGAAATTAAGACTCTGAAATTTTAAATTAAAGAGACAGGGAAAAGTTCTCTAATTCTGAATACAGTTTAGAAAAAAGGGCAGCTAAATTAAACATTATGTTTCACTTTTTAAAATGCAAAATAACTGAAATAATCAAGAATGTGTACACAGACATAGCTAGAAAGATTTAATGCAGAGCTGCTTAAAATAGTGAACACTGGCAACAAACTAAGTGTTCAGCGATAGGGGACTGGTTGAGACACAGCCACAAAACAGAAAACTAAAAATGATGCTGTGTAAGAGTATGTTAGTGACATACAGTTGTCCATGTTTGGATGAGGAGAGAAAACGTAAGTTGGAACATAGAGAATGAACCCATTTTTGTAGAGATAAATTTCAGCTGCTGCAACTTCAGGAAAGTTACTTAATTTCCCTAAAACAGTTGTATCCTCAGTAAAAGAAGGTAATAAGAGTACCTACCTCACCGGGTTGGAGTGGGGATTACAAGAGATTTGATGTATAAAGCAACTGTCACGTTGCCTGGCCCATAGTAAGATCAATACTCGTTAGCTGTTTGTGTTATCTGTGCATAGGGGCAAAATATAAAGAGGGGGCAGATAGAAATGTTAAATGATTTTCTGGGTGGTGAGATTATGGCTGATTTGTTTTGCCTATACTTATAAATTTCCATAAGTAACACATTACTTATAATATGGGGAAAACTAATAAGTTGGAATACTCATACAAGGATAATCCTCTTAAAAATCTACCATAGTGTTTTGTTCACAGCAAATAAATCTTTTTTTGTTTTGTTTTGTTTTGTTTTGAGACAGAGTCTAGCTCTGTCACCCAGGCTGGAGTGCAGTGACGCAATCTCAGCTCACTGCAACCTCCACCTCCCAGGTTCAAGCGATTCTCCTGCGTCAGCCTCCCGAGTATCTGGGACTACAGGCGAGCACCAACATGCCCGGCTAATTTTTCTATTTTTAGTAGAGATGGAGTTTTACCATATTGGCCAGGCTGCTCTTGAACTTCTGACGTCAAGTGATCTGCCTGCCTCGGCCTCCCAAAGTGCTGGAATTACAGGTGTGAGCCACTGCACCCAGCCACACAGCAAATATATCTCAGTTGAGCTGAGCTGACCCTTCAGATTTCATTTAAACAAGCTTGCTTTGAATATTTAAAATTATTTAAACTGAAGAGCTATCACTTGTCCGTAATATTTTACTGTGTAAAGCAAGGCATACTTTTATTATTCGGCCTCATAAAGAATTTACGAGCCCCTATTCAAGACCATTCAGAATGCCACCAGATCTCTTATTATCAGTGGGAGGCAGCCTATGACGGCCTAATCACTTCTTGTCTCTTCCCAAGTCCCCAGCACTCTCCTTTTTTGACTCCTTTTTTCCCCTCTTGATAATCACAGCCTGAGGTCTCTACTGGACTATAAGCTTTGGGGTAGCAACTATCTCCTTCGTTTGCATTGCTGGCCCCTAGCACAGTGGCTGTTATGTAGTTGTTGCATACTAAACGTTAAGCAAATAAATATCTGATACTAGTAGTTCAAGACAAAGCCTTCAATTTCTCCATTGAGACAACACGCTAAAGGTGGGTAAGTCATTGTTTAGTCTAAAACTGTCCAAAACTCTCAGTAATTATTCCTTTAAAAAAGAAACATCTCACCTCAAAGCATCACTTTTAAAAAAAGTTCTCACTGATACTCCATTGTCTATTTTAATAGTTCTAAGATTATTTCTATTTTTCCCCTATATTTTGTTTAAAGTCCCACAAAAATCCCAAAGAGTTTAAGTAAACTTGCTCAAAGGAACACAGCTCAGAGAGCCTCAGGTCTCCTGGATTCCCATGTCCATGATCTCACTACACGGTACTGTCGTAGGACAGCTCCCAGATCTTTCACCCTGTAAGTTGTTATAGTTATGGTAAGAGCAAATGTCTTCAATAACGTGCACAAGTGCTAAAGTTTCTTCCAAACATTTCCTAGGGCTTTTATGAGATTCTGCGAGGGGAGAAACTCAGAACAAGGTGCAGCCACCTCAAGGTGTCCAAGTGTTTCCCTCTAGGTTCACAAGTCAACTAGCTTTACTTAAAAATGAAACCAAAGGAACCAAATTAAACATTAACTTGTTAAAAAAAAAAACACTTCAACCAGACTATTGTGAAGTAAGAACATTAGAAGACCAAGGAAAGGGCCATAAAGAGGAAATTTTGCACTGCTTGCACTGCTTCTTTAGGAAAAAAAAAAGGTAAAGGTAAAGTTAGCTTCCTCACGTCCTTTCTTCCTGTAAATTCCAGGTTGTCACTTTCAGCCATTGCTCTGACATTGTTTAAACAGTAAATGGCAGTTCCCATGACACAGGATGGAAACCATAACCTTCTCAGGTATCCGTACTAAAAATGTTTAACTTGCTGAAAACATCACTTCCCAATCTAAGGAACTTGCCAAAGGATTTCACATGCTAACCCTCGGCCCACCAGGCTTATAAGGAGGACATTCTGTGGAAATTAATTGGTTATTACCTAAGCCAGCTGCAACACACTATTATTTATATATAAACAGCTATAATTTGTTGGGGTCTGCTTTGTACCAGACATTATGAGAAGTCTTTTGCGCTTTAATCCTCATTATTATCCTCATTATTAATCCTTATTTAATCCACCTTATTATCTGAAGTAGCTATAATCCCATTTTACTGGTTCAGAATGTTTAATGTGCCTGAGCACCCACCGTTAATAGAGGAGACTGGTAATGAAACCAAGGATTTGAAAAGTTAGGTACAGATTGAAAACCCACGCCGAATCCAGTGACACTAAACAGTTGAATCTCTTCAAAATATAACACACATGTCAAAATGATTTTAAGGTCATTTCAGAGCAGGCAAGACTTGAAATAGAGGACCGGCAACATTAATAAATAAAAAAGACTACAGGACATAACATTTTGAGTTGGTTTCAAGCCGTGGATAATTAATGATTATCCATACCTCTGGATGGATGTTGACAGGGGTTCCCCGCCCCTTATTTTCGCTGAGAAACCAAGTCTTCCCTTCCGTAAAGGGAGCAGCTCTGGAATGCCACACGTTGAAGGGTTTCGGTGTGGGCTGCCCAGAGCTGGGCTGTTACTGTTCACACATCATCAGTAAGTGCCTCTCAAAAAAAAAAAAAAAAAAAAAGAGAAAGAAAAGAAAAACCACACACACAAACACACACACACAGTCCCTCCTCCACCAACTGAACTTCAGCCCTGACCTCCGGAGTGGTTCTGGACAATCTGGGGTTTAACCTGTGCCCTTCCAACGCCAGGACCGGGGTACCCGAAATGGGTTGCAAATGAATGAGATGACTGCTCAGAGGAAGGAGACTAAGGCACACATCTCTCCTCCAGACCACAAAATCGAGGAAGCATGCCCTGGGCGGGGAGGGTGGGGGCCGGATTAGAGCCACGTCCCCGCTTCGCAATCCACCTTTCCCCTCCCGCGCTTCGGAGGACTCTCCGCTCCCCAGCCCATCCTCCTCCTGGCCCCTCCGCGCGCTCCTTACCCGCTGGTGGCCAGGGCTCCAGACACTCCCAGCTGAAGGCACTTGCTCCCGGGAAGGGGATTTGCCAGGGGATGGAGCCCGCTGCCGCAGCCGCCGCGACCAGCCCCGGGCGTCACCACCCTCGGGCCGAAGCCGCTAGAAAGTTTGCTCGGGGTCTCGCCCTCCCACGCCGCGGCCTGACTAGGGGAAGCAGCTCTCCGGGTCCCTCCCGCGGCCGCCGCCCCCGAGGCCGCACTCGGCGGCGCTGCAGCACCGGCCAGGCTCCGTGCGCGCCGAGGGCTGGGTCTCCCCGCCCCACTCGGCCCACGGCGCGGCGCTCAGTGTTGACCGCGGCCCCGCGCCCGCTCTCCCCGCCCGCCGCGCGCGGCCCGCTCCCTGCGCCCTGCGCCCAGCGCGCTCTTGACATCATTCATTCTCTCACACCCTCGCCCGCCCACTCCATTTCCAAACAGTGACTCACCCGTCGGCCCGGTGGCAGCAGTGCCCGTTCCTGCTGCCGTGGCTCTCCTGGCGCAGAGTGGAGCTCGAAAAACCTGCGCGACTTCTTAAGAAGAAAATCCCAGCCGACTCTCCCCTCGCGGCTGTTTAAGGTGCAGAGAAGGAGGGGCTTGGCAGGCAGGGCAGTTTGGCTCCCGGCCGAAAGGCTGAGGGCCTGGAGCTGACCTCCCTGAGCGGCAACAGAGATCAATCTGGGAAAGTTCTTTGGGTGCCACTCCCAGCAACTTTCAGGGGTGGGGCTGGAACGGGATCCCCCACCCCCGCACCCGGCCTGTTTCGGAAACTGCTTCCTGACGGCGTGTGAGTGGGCTTGGGAGCGCCAGCGTTGATTCAGAGGGTTTATCGGTGTTGACCGGGCCTAGGTCAAAGAGGTGGGTTTCCAAACCTCACAGCGTTGCCTGGCAAGGTTAGTCATCAGTCCGCATGGTATGAGCTGGAAGGTTGCTCCAAGCTAATGAGGTGGCAGCACTGTCCCTTTCGTGCCTAACCATCGTGTCATTTGTCCTGTTAATTGATTTACTTCTCACTTAAGGAATCGTAACCAAAATAAACAGTGTAAGTAGTTATTTGCTTAACTGAATACTGCGCTTTTCCGCAGCTTTTGGGGCCCAAGGCAGCCGTGTGGTTTCTTCGAAGGCCTCAGTAGTTTTTTAAAAGGGGGATTGCTGTCTTTAAAATGGTAATGGTTCTACATTGTCCTGGAGTTGCTATTCATACACCTGCTGGGCAGTTTTCAAAGTAAACGATGGCAGCCTCAAGGACTCTAACTAGGAATGACCAATCCGAGGGAATGTGGCTAAATCTTTCTTGACATAAGTTTTACATTAATGTCTCCTTCTGGACAAGATAATTATGTTTAGGATTTGCGCTGGTTTATGGGTGCTTCCATATAATCAACAAAAATAATGACGGGAATCTTTGGGTTTCTAGTGCAGATATCATGTGGGTCAACAGTCATTTGTGGCTATTAAAGATGATGGTAACAGAAAAGAATATACAAGGCAGGCAATCCCCAAACTCGCAACTTCAAGATGTCGTCACAGTACAGGCAACCAAAGAAAATGGACAAATGGGATCATATTAAGCTAAAAAGCTTCTGCACAGCAAAGGAAACAAACTGAAGAGACAACCCACAGAATGGGAACTATCCATCTGACAAGGGATTAATAACCAGAATATATGAGGAGCTCCAACAACTCTATAGGAAAAAAAAATCTAATAGTCCGAGTAATAAATGGGCAAAAGATTTGAATAGACATTTCTCAAAAGAAGACATACAAATAGCAAACAGGTATATGAAAAGGTGCTCAGGCAATAAATACTGGCGAGGTTGTGGAAAAAAAAAGGAACCCTTGTGTTTGTGGGAATGTAAAAAGTATAACCACTATGGAGAACAGTATGGAAGTTCCTCATAAAACTAAAAATAGAGATACCGTATGACCTAGCAATCTCACTGCTAGGTATATATGCCCAAAAAAGGAAATCAGTGTATCAAAGAGATACCTGCACTCCTATGTTTATTGCAGCACTACTCACAATAGCCAAGGTTTGGAAGCAACCTAAGTGTCCATCAACAGATGAATGGATAAATCGTTACATATACCCATGGAGTACTATTCAGCCATAACAAAGAATGAGATCCTGGCATTTGCAACAACATAGATGGAACTAGAGGTCATTATGTTAAGTGAAATAAGCCAGGCACAGAAAGACAAATTTCACATGTTCTCACTTATTCATGGGAGCTAACATTTAAAACAATTGAACTCATGGAGACAGTAGAATGATGGTTACCAGAGGCTGGGAAGGGTAGGGGGGATGGGTAATGGGTAAAAAATATATATATAGTTAGATAGAATGAATAAGGTATAGTATTTGATAGCAAAACAGGGCAACTACAGGCAACAGTAATTGTGCATTTTAAAATAACTAAGAATATAATTGGTTTGTAACATAAAGAAAGGATAAATGTTTGAGATGGTAGATATCCCATTTACTCTGATGTGATTATTATGCATTATGTGCCTATATCAAAATATTGTGTGTACCCCATAAATATACCTACTATGTACCTACAAAAATTAAATTTAAAAAAATTTTTTTGAGATGGAGTCTTGCTCTGTCGCCTGGGCTGGAGTGCAGTGGCTTAATCTCAGCTCACTGCAACCTCCACCTCCTGGGTTCAAGCAATTCTCCTGCCTCAGCCTCCCGAGTAGCTGGGATTACAGGTGTGTGCCACCAACCCTGGCTAATTTTTGTATTTTTAGCAGAGACAGGGTCTCAACATGTTAGTCAGGCTGTTCTCGAACTCTTGACCTTGCGATCCACCCTTCTCGGCCTCGCAAAGTGCTGGGATTTACAGACATGAGCCACTGTGCCCGGTCCCCCCAAATTTTTAAAATATAAAACCAAAAAAAGATGTTGTCACAATACAGAAGTTTCCCCCAAATGAAAATGCTCCTAAAATTAACCAAGGGCTCAACATCATTGTTGTGGAAAATGGACTCTTTTAGAGCTACTTTTAAAGGTTAGAACCCAGAGGAGACCACCAATCGAAAGTTATTGTCCTGGGGTTTATTTTTCCCCTTCAATAAGGAGCTCATTTTCAAATTTACAAAGCCCAGGCATTTTGCCCAGAAGGCAATAGCAAATGGATTGGTTTGCTAGGATGCAGTCAAAATTCAAATCAGCAGTTTTTATAGACAATCACAGAGCTAATTCAGAAGCATGGGTGTCCTATCCATTGGTAACACTGAATGACTAGATTCAAATGTATAGCCATCTATAAGTAAGTTTGCGTGAATATCCCACCTACTCCCTACTTCATGATCCAAATATTTGGACATTATGGGATAAGTCTAAATACAATTTTCTACAGATCTCAATTGATATTGTGGGCTTTTTGGCCTGTGTACATGGATAAAGTCAAAAAGCTCCAAACAAAGCTTGCAGTTCTGCCTGCACTGTTGGCTGATATAAACCCTGTAGTTCCCTCATAAGCCTCTGTGTGGAAGGCTGTTGAATGGGTAGTTTTGAATTAGTGGTTACTATTGTGCCTCAGTTTAAATATTGTGAAATAAGTAATTAGGTCATTTTATTATACCATTTAAATATCCCCAAGTACATATATTAAATAATATAATTGATAATGGATGATACGAAGTTTTTTCAATCTATTCATTATCAACATATGAGAAAGCAAATTACTCATCTTAATTTCTATGTTTTAAGAAATAGTAACATCCTTTTCACAGAAAGATGATTTTTTTTTTGTTTTTTAACTGCACCTTTTGTTCTTACCATGTATGAAAAGTGACAAAATTTGCAATTCATCACCTTTCAAAAATAATGGCACTGAGTGTTTCAAGGGAGAGAAATGGATGATAGATAAGTGTGTTCTTGTCCATTGTTTTCTCCAAGGCAGCATAAATCAAGTTTTACAGGTATTTCTTTGATTTGATAAAACATACTGATTTAGGAAAACATGTAGATCTATAGTACTTATTTCCTCTTACAGTAACTCGAATCTGAACATATCTAAAGTCATTTGCTCAACCCACAAATTTGTATTGAATTCCTACTTTGTGCCCATGGCTGTTTATCTAAGAATCTCCATGGTCCGGGCACAGTGGCTCATGGCTATAATCCTAGCACTTTGGGAGGCCAAGGCAGGCAGATCACGTCAGGCCAGGAGTTCAAGACCAACCTGGCCAACATAGTGAAACCCCGTCTATACTAAAAATACAAAAAATTAGCCAGGCATGGTAGCACATGCCTGTAATCCCAGCTACTCAGGAGGCTGAGGCATGAAAATCGCTGGACCCTGGGAGGGGGAGTTTGCAATGAGCTAAGATCCTTTCACTGCACTCCAGCCTAGGCAACAGAGCGAGACTCTGTCTCAAAAGAAAATAAAAAAGAAAAAGAAAAAGAATCACCATGTTACCTTCTAAACGAACATATGTCTCAGGAATTGAAAGGTTTTTCTTTTTTTAATTTTGCATGAGGATGTTTATTGCAGGATTTGCAGATCAGTTGGGATATGAGGATGAAGCCAAAGATGACTTCTATATTTTTTTTGGTTTGAGCTCTTTGGTGGATGGTGGTGCCCTTTACCAAGACAGGGAGTGCTGAGACAGCAGCAGCTTTTGGGGGGCAAATGATGAGTTTCAAACTTGATGAGTTTGAGGTGTGAGATGTATAAATGAAAAGTGAGCAGCTGATGATACTAGTCTGGAACTCAGAAAAAGAGGCATGGACTGGAGATACAAATTTGAGAATAGCCAGCATGTAATAGTAAAGGATTCCACGGAAAATCAACCGAGATTGTCTGGAAATATTAGAGAGTGAGAAGATGTCCAAGGGAAAACCCATTATAGTTTAGGTAAAGTAGGAAAACATCGCAAATGAGGCTACAAATACAGGTCCAGAGAGAGAAGAAAACCAGGAGAATGTGGTGACAAGGAAGCCAACGAAAAGCCTCTTTTTGAGAAAGATGAGATGCCATTTATATCAAATGTTCCTGAGACAGCAAGTGAAATAGAGACTAGAAAATGTCCATTGGGTTTGGTGACATTGAGGTCTTTGTTGACCTTAACCAGAGGGAGTTTGCTTATGCTATGGAGATGTGGAATTCTGATTGAGTAGGGTGAGGAAGAGCTGGTTCAGCAGAGAACCTGTGAGTTGGCTTCCTGGACAGCTGGTCAGTAAAGGGTGCACACCTGGCACAGTGGCTTACACATGTAATCCCAACTCTTTGACAGGCTAAGGTGGAGGATTACTTGAGCCTAGCAGTTCGAGAACCCACCTTCCCATCTCTACAATTAAAAAAAAAATAGACAGGTATAGTGACACACACCTGTAGCCTTAGCTACTTAGGAGGCTGAGGTGGGAAGATCGCTTGAGCCCAGGAGATTGAGGCTGCAATGAGCTGTAATAGTGCCACTGCACTCCAGCCTGGGCAACAGTGCAAGACCGTGTCTCATAAATAAACAAGAGGGATGCTAAAGCATTCCCAGAATAAGTTTGTTAAAATATAATTTGGGTTGGTGAGAAATGAAGAGTGACTACTAATGGGTACAGGGTTTTCTCTAGACTGATGAAAATGTTCTAAAATTGATGGACCACTGATGGGAAGGAATCTGTAAAGGACATAAGGAAAGAGGTAATGGAGAGGTTAGTGAGGAGTTGAGGTTCATGAGAAGTCAGGAGGAAATAGCATCTGAACACAGATGGAAGTAATAGCCTGAAAGATTAGAGGGAACAACTCCTCCAAAACAACAAGGGAGAGGAAGGGAAAAGAAAAGCATGGGAGTGGTGCATCTGTGTTCATAGGCTGCTTGTACAAAGTTGAAAAGGTTCTTTTCACACCTGTAATCCCAGCACTTTGGGAGGCCAAGGTGGGCGGATGCTTGAGGCCAGGAATTCAAGACCAGCCTGGGCAACATGGTGAAAGCCCATGTCTACAAAAAACACAAAAATGAGCCAGGTATGGAACGAATGCCTACAGCTACTTGGGAGGCTGAGGTGGGAGGATGGCTGGAGTCGGGGAGATGGGGGTTGCAGTGAGCCAAGATTGTGCCACTATACTCCAGATTGGGTGACAGAACCAGACCCTGTCTCAAAAAAATAAAAGAAAAAGTTCCTTTTGATGCTTCAATTTTTCTGTTAGGAGACATGGGTCAGTTTTCGATTGCTGCTATACCAAATGAATGACAAATTTACCAGCCTAAACCAACACCAATGTATTATCTCACAGTTCTGCAAGTCAGAAGTTCTATAGACTTCTCTGCTGGTTTCTCTTTTCTGAGTTTCATGAGGCTGACATCAAGGTGTTGGCCAGTTGGGCTCTCATTAGGGGACTCTGGCAAGCTTCCAAACTCATTCAAGTTGTTAGCAGAATCTAGTTGCTTCCAGGTGCAGGACGAAGGTTTCTAATATCTTGCCGGCTCTCAACTGGGGACCACTCTTAGCTCCTAGAGGCATCTGTTCCAGATCAGTGACAGTGTGTGGAATGCTCTCACACATGGAATGTTTCTGCCTTCTGCTTCAGCCACATCTTCCTGCCTGAGCTGGTGAACATTCTCCACTTTTAAGGGCTCATGTGATTAAATTGGGCCTACCTGGATAATCCAGTATACTATCACTGTGTTCAAGCCTACAATCCTAATTACATCTTCAAAGTCACTTTTGCCATGTAATATAATACATTCACAGGTTCCACAGATTAGGGTGTGCTCAACTTTGTGGGCCCATTCTGCTGACCACAAGGTGACATCATCAACTGAGAATAAGGAAGTAGAAAAAGTTCTAAAAACAATGGAAACAGTTTGAAGTAACCATTCTGGAAAGTAAGAACAAGAACTTTGTAAAATTGACAGGTGGCACCAAAGGCTGAATCGAAGTCAGCACTATAGATTACTATACTCTTGTATAATCAGGTATAATCTTGGTATTAACTAAGTGGCTGTCTCTAGTAGCACTCAGCCACCTGGGCATAAGCACAGAGAATGGAGCTGGTGGTTGGAATCGATAGACCAAAAAAGAAAAAGCCTAGGATGGCATCAATGAAACCATGGACTAGGAAATAAAAGATGGTCAGGGAGACAAGCAAATAGAGGAGGAGGCTAATGAATAAGGGAAAAGTGAAAGGATCAATGGCCTAGGGTTTCCAAGGACATTGCAAAACATATGGACCAGGGGTAACAGATGGAAGAATTTGGAAACGTAAGAGGTCAGGTGGTGAGATTTCTAATTTTTAAAAAATATTTAATTGACAAGTGAAGATATTCAAAGTATACAATGTGATTTGATATATGTATACATTGTGTAATGATGATCACAACACATTTGACACCACTCATGTTGTACATTAGATACCCAGAACTTGCTCATCTTACAACTAAAAGTATGTACACTTTGATCAACATCTCCCCCATTTCCTCCTCCCCCAGGCCCCAGCAACCACCATTCTACTCTGTTTCTATGACTTTGACTTATTTATTTATTTATTTTACTTTTTTGAGACAGAGTCTCGCTCTGTTGTCCAGGCTGGAGTGCAGTGGCACAATCTCTGCTCACTGCAACCCCTGCCTCCCAGGTACAAACGATTCTTGTGTTTCAGCCTCCCGAGTAGCTGGGATTACAGGAGCAACACCACGCCCAGCTAACTTTATATTATTAGTAGAGATGGGGTTTCGCCATGTTGGCCAGGCTGGTCTCAAACTCCTGACCTCAAGTGATCCACCCGCCCTGGCCTTGCAAAGTGCTGGATTACAGGCATGAGCCATCGCACCCAGCCAGTTTGATTTTTTTTTAGATTCCATAGGGAGAAAAGAACTGTTATCTGAGAATGCTAGTTCTTTTAATTATCAGGTGCAGAAAAACCTTAAAGTGAACCCACAGTGATGTCTCACTCCCCACTTTGAGCTATGTATTCATGTTTTGAAACTTCTTGCTATTGCCACAAGTAGCTATAAATTAGCCTAATAATGTCACACTGGACACTATAACTCACACCCTATAGCTTAACAATGTTTAGCCAATCACTAATCACTATTATTTCTGTAACAATAAGCCAATGAGAATTTCTGACAAACAACTGTGTATGAGTCCCCTTTTTTGCCTTTAAAAATCCACTTGTAACTGCTGCTAATTGGAGTGTATATTCAGGGCAACTTGAATCTGTGCTCCTGAGTTGCAATTCTCAAGCTTGGCCCAAATAAACTCTCCACTTATATTAATTTTGCCTCAACTTCTTCCTTTTAGGTTGGCACTGCTATGAGGATCCCTGCCTTTTCCCTTTTCCTCCCTCAGGACCCAAAGACCACTAACCTGTGCTTAGATGTATGTGATAATGAATGACAAATCATGATGAATATTATGGAAACAGGTAGGAGAAAAACAGTTAAAAAGTACTGAGCAGCTCTTGGGGAAGAGAGAGAGAGATTTCAGTAGGGGTAGAGCTAGGGCCACTCTGCTGATCAAGAAGAGGAAGCCATGGGGTCTGCTGGGATAATATACAGCTGTGGATGGAGTAGGGGTGGTTAGGGAGTAAACTGATAGGGCTAGAGAAAACAGTATAAATATCCATCACTCAGGGGAATCTGGTTGAAACATAATGCTTGAACCAGAAGTAAGGCTGGTCTAACCTGTGGAATTCTATGTGTGTGCTTGACTGGCTAACATTGCTTTGTTTTTACTGTATGACCTTCACTTCCATCATCAAGGGGTAAGTGTTGGGGCCATATAGGACCTGGCAGATATAGGCGGAGAGTCTTCTGGAGAGTACTGGGAACACACGCCTTGGAAAATTCAGCAGCAGCAAAGGAAAGGAGTTCTGTACATTGACAACGATTTGATTCCCAGGGGGACTGGCCTAGTGCAGCATTGCCTGAACTTGCAAGTTTCCTAAGGATCATCACCATGTGGGATTCACCCATGATTTAATGAACCCTCAGGGGAGGGATTCTAGCCACTATTTCAAGTAAGTGCCTGAGATGATTTTTACGTTGAGAAAAATTTGGAAATTTTTAGGCTAAGGTGATAATCCTCAATTTTTTTGCTATGCAGTAGATGCAAATTACATACTATCTAAAGAAATATTAGCTATAATGTTCATCAGGGATGATGCCATCTTTTTGGAAGGGGCTATCAAAATTATAAGACTGTCTGGGGTTGGATAAGAGAGAGAAGGGAAGGGAAGACAGAGGTGACTTAAATTGTTTGAAAAGCTTCTCCAGGGAGACTGAGGCCTCTTCTCAGTGGCCTCAATAGAAAGAAGAGGCCTTAGGTCGGATGTGGTGGCTCACACCTGTAATCCCAGCACTTTGGGAGGCCAAGGAGGGTGGATCACCTGAGGTCAGGAATTCAAGACCAGCCTGGACAACATGGTGAAACCCCACCTCTACTAAAAATACAAAAAATTAGCCAGGCATGGTGGCGGGCACCTGTAATCTCAGCTGCTGGGGAGGCTGAGGTGGGAGAATCACTTGAACCCAGGAGGCGGAGGTTGCAGTGAGCCTGATCGTGCCACTGCACTCCAGCCTGGGCAACAGAGCAAGACCCTGTCTCAAAAAAAAAGAAAAAGAAAGACGAGGCCTCACCATCCCATTCCCAATCTCCTTCATTGTTTGTCAGTCACCAGCCTAGACTAGTCTAGAGGAAGGGAATTTACTAACAAGCTTAATAGTTATATTCCGGTTTTGAGAGTGTTCTGTGACTATAATTCTTGTAAGTCAGTCACTAGAAGGCTAGTCACCTTAGTGTTTTAGCAATATTGAATGTCAAGCCTACCAAACTAAAGACCAGACTCTTAACAGACTGGTGCCCACACCAGGAAAGTGACTCCCTGTAGGATACATCTGGACAGCCTGCTAGCCTTCTAGACCACACATGTCTTTATCGACTGCCTCTCCAGTGGTTTCCCCTGGCTCTATTCCAGTGAGAAGTACACATACATCCTCCTCTCCACAGTTTATTGGGGCACTACATATGATTAAATCACCTTACTCCAACTTGCCCTTCCTAAAAGTACTTCAATTGCAAGTTAAAACAGACTTTTTTTCTAATTAAGAGTGTAAAAAAAAAGTGATATTGCCAGAGGACATGCTAACTTCATGCAGACCTGACTTTTCAGCAGTTAACTCAAGCTGAATTGTCTAACGAGAAATATACAAAGTCTGCTTGATTATCCAAACTTTTCTATAATGAAGGGAAGGTAATAATTGTGCAGTGCTGTATTTTCCTTATGAAAGTATCCAGTCAATGATCTCAAACATGAATAAATACTATGTCAATAATCTTTACAACTTCCTAGTAGTTTATATGGTATGATAAAGAGACTGAAAGAGGAGTAATAATAGACTGAAATCTTGACTTCTCCTCAGCCTCTTCAACTCTCCTAAGCTTAAGTGTGTTTTCAGATAGTAACCATTAAAGTATATATCATACATATGATCTATAAATTCAATGTGAAATAACACCTTGCATTTGTACTAATGGTGTTACTGAAAAGAATCCAGAGCGCTTACATATGCCATTAACTCATTTGTTATATTTTACAACACCCCCTTAAATAAAATTTCTATGACTTTTTAGTCCGCATTCAGTAATTAATATCAAATGTTTAAATATTCAAAAGAAAGTAATTGCCTATCATTATTTTTTTTAAAAAAACATTTCATATTTCTTTTTGGCCTTTCAAAATCCAATGTTTTCTACTGAATTTCCTGACATAATACCCCAGCCTCATAGACACACCCAACCTGATAGTCTTCATTCTCTCCTGCCCTTGCCCTGTTCTAGCAGGTTCACATAAATTAATCTCGTCTTTCTTTTAACCCTCTCTTCCTCTCATGTGGTTTAATATATTACGTTTACTTTTCTTCTGATTAAATTTGAAGGAGGAATTTACCTTATTTTTGTGGCATATATTCCAGGTTTCACTATTAGCAACTTGTTGCTATTCAATAAATACATTTAATTAAGTGTCCTTTTCACCCATTTCAAACCCATTTAACCCATAAACATTTATCAAGTACTTATTGTATGCTGAGTTTTATTTATTATTTTTATTTTTAATTTTTTTTAATTTTTTATTTTTTGAGACAGGGTCTCACTCTGTCACCCAGGCTGGAGTGCAGTGGCACAATCACAGCTCACCACAGCCTCGATTTCCTAGGCTCAGGTGCCCCTTCCACCTCATCCTCCTGCATAGCTAGGACTATAGGTGCCTGTCAACACACCCAGCTAATTTTCGTATTTTTTTGTAGAGACAAAATTTCTCCATGTTGCCCAGACTCGTCTCAAACGCCTGGGCTCAAGCAATCTACTCACCTCGGCCATACTTTCCAAAGTGCTAGGATTACAGGCATGAGCCACCATGCCTAGCCTGAGTTTTATAAAAGAGACAAAAGAGTAGCATATATTCCTAGTTTCAAAGTGTTCTCAGGCCGGGTATTATACCAGCACTTTGGGAGGCCAAGGCAGGAGGATCTCTTGAGGCCAGGAGTTCTGGACCAGCTTGGGTGACATAGTGAGACCCCGTCTCTAAAAAAAATTAAAAAGTTAGCCAGGCATGGTGGCGGGCACCTGTAGTCCCAGCTACTCAGGAGGTGGGAGGATCACTTGAACTCGGGAGTTCAAGGCTGCAGTGAGCCTGGATTGCACAACACTCCAGCCTGAGCAACAAACAGAGTTCTCAAAAAAAAAAAAAAAAAAAGTTTTTTTTTTTCCTCAATACGGTTGGGAAAAATAAGATAAACACTTAGAATTATATTCATCATAATGTAATCATATTTCACCTGGAAGTAAATTAAAATTTATTTTCATACGTTTTCAACCCAACTTATGGGCGACATGCCAATCCACTTAGAACTGGTTTTAACTGTTTCTGGCAGTGCCAACAAGCTAGCTTCTGGCCTCCCACTGCCCCTCCTACATGCTAAGTAATTTAAGTTGTAGATAACTACATAAATAGAAAAAGTTAACAGAAAAACCTAGAATAATAATAGTAATTATATTCACTGAAATGCAGAAGCATAGGCATATAGCTATACATGTACTCATATAGTTAGGATCTTGGCAAGGAAAAGATGCATACTCAAAGAGTTTAACAAAAAAGACCTTAATGAAGGGACTGTTTATAAAGGGTGTAGCAGAGAGGCCAGCACAAAGATACAATAAAAAATGATGAAAAACCCAGTGTCTACTGGGAAGTCATTACCACCTGTAAGCTGTAAGGGGAAGGAAAAATGTTTCCAGAGCCAACAAGAGCTGGAATTATGGAAGAAGGATTGTCTGAGGGGAGCTGCTGGGCGAGAGCTGTGGCCTTAGGTGGAGGACTGTAGCTGCTCAGAACTGCAGCAAAAGAGGGAGAGAGTGAGAGGTGCAATTATCCCGATCTCTCCTCCTACTCTCAGATTTCTTCCTGGTATCTCCTACTGATGGACCCCCGATCAGAAGCTGAAGGGTGAGGACACCCAGGCGATGCAGTCAGCGTCCAGGCGTAGAGAACAGGGCTGAGAAGGGTGGAGAATGGATCTGGAGGAGGAAATGATGAGTAGCCAGCACAACTCCCTAAAGCAGTAAATTCCAGCATCCCCAGCCCAGTTTGGGATAGGAATAATAGGACAAATGGAAGAGACCATAATCTCAGAATTTCACTTAGCCAGTTACTCTGTCAGGCCACCTCCCACTATATCTACCAACTGCTATACAGTTTAGATATATAGTTGTATGCCAAGCTGTTAACATTCTATCCTCTCTTATTTTAGTGGAAAATGCTCTTTTCTCAGGCCAAACCTTAACCTCTACAGTAAGGGCCAATAAGGAGAAAAGGAATCTATGTAAAGGTAAAGTGAACAGGTTTTCCCTGGACAATCCCAAGTTAAAACATACACACGTGGCCGGGTGCAGTGGCTCGTGCCTATAATCCCAGCACTTTGGGAGGCCGAGGCAGGCAGATCATGAGGTCAAGAGTTTGAGACCAGCCTGGCCAATATGGTGACACCCCATCTTTACTAAAAATAGAAAAATTAGCCAGGTGTGGTGGTGCGTGCCTGTAGTCCCAGCTACTCGGGAGGCTGAGGGAGAAGAATCGCTTGAACCCAGGAGGTGGAGGTTGCAGTGAGCCGAGATCGCACCACTGCACTCCAGCCTGGGCGACAGAGCGAGACTCCATCTCAAAACACACACACACACACACACACACACACACAATAATCATGTTAAGGTTTCTAATGCAAAAACTCCTTGAATGGCCTCTCCTCAGAAACATGCAGATAATCTATGCTCAGGATCTTAATTACTTACAATTAATTTGTGAGACCATTATAGGGCTACAGTGATATACAAGTAATTCTTTTTTTTTTTCTGAGATAGAGTCTTTCTCTGTTGCCCAGGCTGGAGTGCAGTGGTGTGATCTCGGTTCACTGCAACCTCTGCCTCCCAGGCTCAAGTGATTCTCCTGCCTCAGCCTCCCAAGTAGCTGGGATTATAGGTACCCACCACAATGCCTGGCTAATTTTTGTATTTTTTAGTAGAGACGGGGTTTCACCATGTTGGCCACGCTGGTTTCTAACTCCTGACCCCAAATGATCCATGTGCCTTGGCCTCCCAAAGTGCTGGGATTACTGGTGTGCGCTACCACGCCCAACCTACAAGTAATTCTTGAGTGTCACCATTTACCCATTGCTTAGCCAAATTAAGACTCTGAGGCCCTTTGCCTGTAGTAATGACTATCTCTGGCCACCTAATCTGAGCATGGATTCCAAGGCATTGCCTGTTGATGGCAGAGTTCTCTCAAATGATTTAATTTACGAGACAGTGAAAGGAAAGTAGCCTTCTCTTATTCTCACCTACTTTCTGGCTTCCAATTCCACATTATCTTGACCAACCTGTGACAACTTTAACTAAAGAATTTTCACAATCAATAAACTCTGCTATAGAGCAGATGAGGACAGAGAAGCAGATGTGGGGCTTGTCAATGGGGGCCACTAGTGTCCCTCGCCAGAGCAGCTCAGTGGAGCAGACCTTCCCACCTCATATGCCAAGGCAGGCTGGTAAGTCATGAATGATTACAGGTGAGCTCAAGATAAGCCCCTTCAGTTTCTGACATGGCCAGGAGCAGCTAAAGTTACCTTGTTTGTTGTCCTCAGATGCTGAATAAACATAATAATTTTCTTTGGGTGTCATGACATGGAATAATTGGGAAGAAGTCCTACAGAGTAATAGCATTGGAAATCAAGTTGCAAATATGAAGGAATAAGTGGAAAAAAGGAGGCTGTGGCCACAAGTATAGGGATTTCTTTCAAGATATAGGTCAGTGAGTGGAGAGAGAGGAAACGGAGTGATTCAAAGCAGATTCAGCAGGCAGATGCTTGAGCACATTTGTAGAGAGTAGAGAAGAGAGAAAGAAATGAAAAATACAAGTGAGAAAAAAGGTATAGTGTTAATGTTGAGAGGAAGATCACTGAAGGAGTTTACTACCATGTCTGTGATTTTCTTTGTTAAATAAGAGGTTGAATTATCAGCTTAGAGAGGCAGGATCTTGATGGGGGCTTAAGAGAGAGATAAAGATTTGAAATATCTACTAACAGAAATGAGAAAGGGAGTTGGCAAAATATAAGTAAAATTTTTCCAGCGTTGAAAGCCAAGCTGATAATGGAGCTCATACATTTGTAATGCAGCTAATCAGCAGAGTCACATGTTTAACACAGCTGTGCCAGGACACCTGGGAGCTTGAGTCCAGTCAGTGGTTTGATGGTTTCATTTAAGACCAAAACCTGAAGGAGCAACTATAGTAAGAGAACAAGCTGGCAAGATAATTGAGGCAGCTGGCCAGGCACGGTGGCTCACGCCTGTAATCCCAGCACTCTGGGAGACCGAGGCAGAGGATCATTTGAGGTCAGGAATTCACAACCAGCCTGAACAACATGGTGAAACCCCATCTCTACTAAAAATACAAAAAAATTAGCCAGGTGTGGTGGCGTATGCCTGTAGTCCCAGCTACTAGGGAGGCTGAGGCAGGAGAATTGCTTGAACATGGGAGGTGGAGGTTGCAGTGGGCCGAGATCGTGCCACTGCACTCCAGCCTGGGTGACAGAGCAAGACTCTGTATCAAAAACAAAAACAAACAAAAAAAAAAAATTCAGGCAGCTGATAATAAGAAGAGGAATAGAATTTGAGCTTGTTAGAATATGGACTCTTCCTTAGTTGTCTTTTTATTTATATATCTTCAGCACCTGGATCAGTACCTGCTTTCCTTAATCTTACCTGTGGATTAGAATCACCTGGAGAGCTTTAACAATTCTTATACCTAAGCTGCACCATGAACCAATTATATTAGAATCTCTAGGTGGGGACTACTCACAGTGTGTGTGTGTTAAGCTCTACGAATGGTTCCAGTGTACAACCAGGTTGAGAACAACTGGTCTAGAACAATGGTATAAAGTAGAAACCTAATAAATTTAATTCAGTGAGGGGAGAGAATTCAGGTTAGACTACAAAGTCCATGAAGGGGAGGAGGAAACTGGGGGGTTTGGGAAAGGGATAAGGACCGAGTCTCCATGTGAACTTGAAGTGTAGATTTGAGGACATTGTTGTCAGAGAGAGAGAGAGAGAGAGAGAGAGAGAGAGAAAGAAAGAGGGAGATTTACAAGTTTATTGTTTTGGACTGGACACAGTTCCAAGTAATGATACGATTTAATCTAGTAGTGACCAAAGGTCTTTTTGGCACTAGTGACATGGAGCAAAGCTTGCTGTTGTAGTGGCAGTACAAATCTGAAGTTTGTGAAGTTACCTGTTAAGTTGCACACGGGAGGGTCAGAAGGGAGGAGAAGGGGAGGAAGACCTGCTGTTCATGGCACTCAGATTGGACATTGATCTCAACTGAATTGGCTCTGACTTTCACTTCCTTCTGTTATCTTCATGACCCCAAATCCATGTTTTTCAGCAGGTTCTTCTTGCCATCTGAGTCCGTGATCATCTTTGCTTCCCTGGGACTGGGCCTGTCTTAGTTGAAGGCTGGGAAAGCAAAGAGTAAAGCGAACAGTAAAGTAGGAAATGCTAAGTTCACCTCCTTTACTTACAATTTTGCTTGAGGTCATTCTTCCCAGGGTATCTATTGGACAAAAATAAAAACAAAACAAACCATAAATCCTCTCGTCTGCAAATCCCATATTGCTTTATGAGAAAAACAGTTAAGGTCAATGACCTTTAACATGGCATTTCTTCTTTATTTAAATAAACTAGTTATTGCTCATTAATCTTATTACAACTCATAACCTCTATATGGATTATGCCAAGTCACATTGTACTCTGATGAAGAAGTCGGTGCTTAGAGGGGGTGGGGCTCCCATGAAAGAGCTAATTTACACTCTTCCTGTCCCCCACCAGCCAAGTCATTCCCAAGGAATTTAAAAAAATTGTTTGATAGGGTATGGTCAGGTGGTGAAGACATTTGTAACTCATTATTTGATTTTTTGAAGAAGTACTTGTACTCCTCCTCCAGGTAAGGTAAAACATTAACCTTCTGGATAGAAAACTACGGTCCTAATCATCTCTGCGTCACTGCTGGTCACATGGCATATCTGGGGGCAGCTTCAGACAGCAGCATGTAAAACCCATGGTACAATGCTTAAACAACATCTGATTAAGAATTGTGGGAGATAGGCTGGGTGCGGTGGCTCACGCCTGTAATCCCAGCACTTTGGGAGGCTGAGGCGGTGGACCATGAGGTCAGGAGATCAAGACCATCCTGGCCAACATGGTGAAACTCCGTCTCTACTAAAAATACAAAAATTAGCTGGGTGTGGCAGCATGCGCCTGTAGTCCCAGCTACTCGGGAGGCTGAGGCAGGAGAATCACTTGAACCCAGGAGGCGGAGGCCTGCAGTGAGCTGAGATTGCACCACTGCACTCCAGCCTGGGCAACAGGGCAAGACTCCATCTCAAAAAAAAAAAAAAAGAATTGAGGAAAATAAAACTGTGGGAGATAATCTCTTTGTGGGAGATAATAAGCACCGAAGCCAGCAAACACGGGTGAATGCTCCTCCAGCACCTGCAGCAGTGGTATCACATTTTTGAAGTTTCAGGAGGACAAATAATACTCCTCACTACAGAGAATAGCTGAACCAAAGAAACAGTCACAGTGAACTCTGTACATATAAGAAAAAAAGGGGACATTTCAAATGAAGATGTGAAGTGCTCAGCAAAGCAGCGTGACTGATGAAGGATACTAGGTCTCCACCTGTTGTCACTACCCTGCCCAAGTGCCCCCTTCCATCTCTCAGTTAGGATCAACAGCAGCTTCTGAAGGCATCTCCAGCCTCCAGTTTTGGTCCCCTCCATTCCATTCCACTCTCTGTGGCCACCAGACTCTAAGATGCCTTCTGTGCCTTCTGGTTTTATCACTATCCTGCTTAAGCCCATTGCATAGCTTCTTGTTTCTCCTATTTCTCAGGATCAAATACAACTGCGAGTGTAGCTTAAAATGTTTATTATAACTTGATTTCTGTCTACCACTTCATTTTTTTCTTTTGCTATTCCCAGCTCCCATTCTGTGTTAAACTTCTTTTAGTTCATCTAAAATGGTGAGGCTCTCTGGCCTCCTTTTCTGGAACCTCTCTTTCCCTTCTTCTTTATCTGGCTAACTCCTTCTTATTTATCAGGACTCAATTTAGATATCCTGGTGGGTGCTCCTTTAGCACCCTGAACTTTTTCTATTATAATTACATTTCTAAGGCTGTTTAATTATCCGCTTTTCTTGCCAGACAATATCAGTTCTCATTGAGTGTTTAATATTCACCATACCTCATATTAAGCATGTTTCTTGGCATATCTCGTGATTTTCACAACAATCTTGTGAGAGAGACACTTTATTACAAATAATTAAATCAAGTCTATGTTAAGTAATTTGCCTAAACCTTAATAAGCTGCATATGGGCAGGATGGTGTCAGTCTTGCCTCATATGATCCACAGCAACAAGTGTATACCTAACTCTTGGATATTGCTAGCACTTACATTGCACTTAGAATGTGCTTGGCATATCTCAGTTCTACATCTCAATAAGATGAGGAAACTGAGGGAGCCCTCAAGATTGTACAGCTTTCTTAGCCAGGCTTCAACTAAGCAGCTGGCTTCAGAGACCATGCTCTTAACTGAGACACTGTTCTTACTTTACATGAACAGAAATGCTTAGAATTGCAGAAATATTAGGGAGGTAAATGAAATAGTCAATGAAGCAAAAAAAAAATTTGAGATACCACCATTTAATAAGGCAATTCCTTAGTCCTTGAAACTCTTTGAGATTGTCTCCCATGAAGTCTTCCACTGCAACAACAGAAAGATGGATGCAGAGTTCTGGCCAAATGAAAACATGTCTGAAAGAAGGAATCTGTTTTTATACTGGAGCATCCGAGCCTCACTGAGCAGTAATTAGTGATATAAAAATATTCGCCCAGGCACAGTGGCTCACGCCTGTAATCCCAGCACTTTGGGAGGCCGAGGCAGGTAGATCATGTGAGGTCAGAAGTTCGAGACCAACCTGGCCAACATGGTGAAGTCCCATCTCTACTAAAAATACAAAAAATTAGCCAGATGCAGTGGTGCATGCCTGTAATCCCAGCTACTTGGGAGGCTGAGGCAGGAGAATCACTTGAACCTGGGAGGCAGAGGTTACAGTGAGCAAAGATCACACCATTGCACTCCAGCCTGGGCAACAAGAGTGAAACTCTGTCTCAACAGAAAAAAAAAATCCAACCAAAACATTTCCCTCATTCTTTTGGCACTGAAATATGTACTCAAATGACATTCTCTTGAGAAAACGGGGGAGAGAAATCCAATGGGATTAAGGTGAAAAGTTGAAATCAACCAGCTATACTGAAAGAGGTCTGTTGTGGTCTGGGAAAAAAAGATTTGGAAAAATCCTTGCAGTTCCTAACAAGGCAAAAAAGTTTAGTTTGGTCTTGTCAAGTACAAATAGAACTTGGGTGGCAGAGAAAAAAGGCAAAGGAATGCTTTTATCGTTGTGTTTTTCTCCCTTCCCAAACTGGAAAATTTTATTGCTCTTTCTCTTCTGATTTCTGTATTGTTTTGGCAGTTTCTACCCCTAAATAATGGTTTTGAAAGACCATCTCAGCATTTTTCTTTTTTATAAAGTATAATACATTTGAATAATAAATAGAAAAAAAATTTCTTTTTTTAGGAGATGATGATTTGGGAGGAATGAACCCCAAGGGTTGGCTAAGAGAGTGACAGACACCCCCAATCATC
Source organism: Homo sapiens (assembly GCF_000001405.40). Classification (NCBI taxonomy): domain Eukaryota; kingdom Metazoa; phylum Chordata; class Mammalia; order Primates; family Hominidae; genus Homo; species Homo sapiens. The sequence continues at coordinate 107,805,984 of NC_000004.12, read as the reverse complement.
AGATGATGTGTCTCTGCTGCTGTGGTAGCCCCAGTGAAGGAGACCCCAGTAATTGTCACGAATTTGATTCCAGAGCCTTATTTATCTAGGCTGCTGTCCTTTTTTTTTTTTTTTTTTTTTTTTTTTTTTGACACTGCACTATCCTGTAACTTATGTCTGGGATTATGTCATGGAGAATAGCACTGATTGGTGTTCTCAGTCCCTCAGTCAAATATATTTACCTCATTGCACTCCATGTACATCCTATCTGACTATTGATAAGGGCCATTCTCAGGGTTTTTTTTTTTTAATGTGAAAGAGAAATAAACTTCTATGTTGTTTAAGTCCCTATTATTTTGGGTTTTCTAAAACTTGCAACCAAATCTACACCTAATTATATAGTAAGAAATGCAATGACTAGCCATCAAAGCGTTTTTAAAAATTGATTGAGGTGAAATTCATGTAATATAAAATTAACCATTTAAAGGTGAACAATTCAGTGGCTTTTAGTACTTTTGCGGTATGTGCAACCACCACTTTTATCTAATTTGCAAACATGCCTTCACTCCAAATACAACTCTTACTTAGTAAGCAGTTTCTCTCCATTTCCTATTGATGATGTTTAAGCAAGGAATGATGTGATTTGATTTACATTTTCAAAAGATTACTGTTGGAAAAAAATGGATTGTGGTAAGAGTGAAAGCAGGAGATAAATGAGGAGGCAGTTGTGACAGACCAGGCAAGAGACAATGGTTGTTGAACAAACAGGATGGCTGCGGAGATGGTGAGGAGTTCACAGGATGAGGTTAGGATTTACTGATGGGTTTAGAGAGAAGGAGGTGATAGAAAAGGAGGAACTGAGCCTGACTCATAAGTGTCTGGCCTCAGCTTCTGGGCAGAGATAGAGAAGACTAGATTTACGGGAGAATGATTAAAAATTCAGTTTTATACATGTTAAGTTTGAAATTTCTGCACTAGACAGACCCAGTCTCCTACTTGTTTTACCCATACTCCATTATGGTATCTATTCACTGCACAGCGCTAAGAGGAACCTTTAAAAATTTTTTTTAAAACTATCCAATAAGTCCATGTCTAATTCTGGAGTTAAAGCTGAAGTCATTTCAATGATATATAATTCTTATATTTTCTCCCCCCCTCCAACCCTCTCCTCGTTACTTCATTGCCTACACTCTCCTTGCTCATTCTGTTCCACCGATCTCCTTGCTCTTCCTTGAACTTGCCAGGCACATTCCTCTCTCAGGACCCTTGTAGTCTCTTCCTTTTGCCTGGAATAATTTTTCTACAGATATCTTAGATACCTTCCTGACTTCATTTCCTTCAAGTTTTGGTCACATTTCAGTATCTCAGTGAGATCTACACAGACAATCTCATTTAAAATCCTAACTGCTCTTTCATCCCTGGCACTCTACTCTTTCTTTTTTGTATCACTTCTATTTCATCACCTTTTGTTATACTATAACACTTCTATAAAGTCTATTATTAATCTTTGTCTTGTCTCCTGTGAAAGCATCATGAGAGAGAGGTATTTGACATTAATCTGTCCCAAGAACCTAGAATATTCCCTGACACATAGTAGATACCCAATAAATGTTGGCTGAATGAGTAAAAATAATTATTTGATGTCTAAAAGGAGATGTTAAATAGGGGGCTGGGTAGAAGAATCTGGAGCTCAGAGGAGAGGTGAGGTCTAGAAATATTAATCTAGAAGTAGATAGTAGTTAAAGCCATGAGAATGGATGAAATTACCCAGAGAAAAAGCATAGCTAGAAAAGAGAGGTCCTAAGACCTGGGGAATTTCAATATGTCAAGGTCAGGTGGAGGTGAAGAATCCAAGAAAGAAGATAGATAATTAGGACCAGTAATGTATGAGAAAAACCAGGAGATGCCTGGAGAGGTGTTGTATAGAGAATGACCAACAATATCATCTCTGGCTGTGGAGCTGGGGAATATAAAGCTAGAAAAGCCCCCAGTATATTGGCAACATGGAGATCTTTGCTAACCTCAGTAAGAGAAGTTTCTGGGCAGTGGAAATGGCTCAAGGATAAGCTGGAGGATTGCGCTGTCATACATCCTCACTAAATAAGAAAAGAGGAATAACAAGAGATAATAACACAACGTCAAAACATATAAGAAAGAAAAGAAGAGCGGGCAACAATGGCAATACATTTTTGGAATATGGAAAGTATATGGAGAAGTAGAAATGGATTTGACACCTGTGTACTTGGAAGAAGTAACAGGAATGAGAAATTTAATGAGGAACGAGGCAGTTTGCCATGTAGGAACCCTTAGATGTTCTGCACTTGGATTCTCCAGGTACTCCAGGTACTACAGAAGGCAGAGGTGAGAAGCCTGGATGAAAACAGGAATGCTTGTTGAAAGTTTTATAGAATGATTGAGCTCACCAATCCCCTGCCTTACATGGCCCAGCCAGAAGACCCTATCCCCATGTGCTTCCAACCTGCCCAAGGAGTCTTATTCTCTGGAGAAATTTGATTAGAGACTCTTGACTTTGAGACACTAGGACTGGCAAAAGGACAAGGCATGGAGGCCTAATATGGAGAAAATTGTCACACTGAATTGTAGTTTCTGGACTCCCTTCTCCTGCTCTACTTCCAGAATTTTGGCAACAGACTGGATAGCAGATTGAAGGATTCTTCTCTGGAGAATCTAAATTACCCCTGAGAAAAGACTGACATGTACTGATAATTTCAGAATCATCCAGTGAAAAGGTACTGTCATGGTCAGTTTGGGCTTTCATAACAAAAAACCGTATAGTCTGGGTGGCTCAAACAACACATATTAATTTCTCATGATTCTGGAGGCTGGGAAGTCCAAGATCAAGGACCATAAAGATTCCATTCCTAGTGAGGGCCCTCTTCCTGGCTTGTAGGTAGGCACTGTCTTGCTGTGTCGTCACATGTTGCACACACACACACACACACACACAGAGAGAGAGAGAGAGAGAGAGAGAGAGAGAGAGAGAGAGAACTCTGGACTTTCTTCCTCTTCTTATAAGAATAAGGATATCCTTATATCCTTATAATTGTATATAACTATTGCTATATAAGGATACTAATTCCATCAGGGAGGCCCACCTTCATGTCCTCATCTAAACCTAATTACTTCCCAAAGGCTCCACCTCCAAATACCATCACATTGAGGCTTAGACCTTCAACAAATATTCCGTCCATAACAAGCACCCTAACATTTGTAGCTGACAAACACCCCTCAACCTTGACATGCATACGGAGATTCCTTTCAGAATATAGACTAAGGCAAAGCATGATTGCGTTATTGTGAAGTGTAATCCCAGGGTAGAAAATAAGGGAAAAAGAAAACAAAGAAGAATGGGAAGCAAGTATGACATGATACAGTGACCTCTGCTTCCCAATAAATCACTAAAATAAATAGCCATCACTTGACAGGTGTATCCCTTGGCTATATGGAACATCTCCACATAGGTTATGTGGGGAAAAACTGAACACCCAATAAACTGTTTCAAAGCTGTTTTTCCAATAGACTCTTCCAAAGCAGTAGGCAAGGAAATTAGAACAATTCAGTAAGTCCAACTTCTGACTAATCAGAATTTGAGAAAGAGGGAAGAGGGAACAAATTATCAAGGAGATAATATGTCTAAAACTGAACTTCATGGGTTTCCACATTGAAAGAGACACTTAATACCTAATACAATCAATAAAACGTGGTATTTCGGAACCAGCAACAAAGATGCAACACCAAGAGATTATTAAGAGAAAAAAATAAAGCAAGTGAAAAGGATGAGCATGCAGAATGGCATGGACTGCTGAGTAACATACAGAATACTAGATGAGGGTGGAGCTGTGACTTTGATATGCAGAGTCAACTGAGTCAGTATGAGGTAAAATTGTTTTTTGACATGTAAAGACTGAAGAATTCCCCTTCCATGTACATTTGAATCAAAGAAAACTATTGGTGTATAAATTCTAGCAATACAAAAGGAAAACGAGATCCAATACACAGAGGTGTGGCAGTCAGCCAACCACTTACCCTGACCCATGCTGCTTTCTTCCTGGGACACACTACTACATTCCCTAGCTCCTCTTGCTATTAAGTGTGCCCACATGGCTGACTCATAGCCACTTTAACAGTAGTGTTTATGAATGGCACCATTTCCAGGTCTGGCCTATAAAAACTTACCACACATATTCCTCCATGCTCATTTCCCCTTTGGGCTGGCTGGAATGGGAATGGCTCCCAGGCAAACCGAATGGAGTGTGTTAAAGACAGCAAAGCGCTCCTGTCAACCTGGTCTCTGAGTGGCTGCATGGAAGAGGGCTTCCTGCCAACTAGTTCACTATACAATTTTGTACGTGTCTTAGTTTGGATTGCTATATCACAATATCATGGGCTGGGGGGCATAAACAATGAACATTAATTTCTCATGGTTTTGGAGCTAGGAAGTCCAAGATCAAGGTGCTGCAATATCCTCCTTTTCTTATAAGGCCACCAATCCTATGGGATTAGGAGCCGGCCCTTAGGACCTCATTTAACCTTAATTACCTCCTAAAATGCCTATCTATAAACACCGGAGTTAGAGCTTCACTGCATATGGCATAGGAGGGGGAGACACAATGCAGTCCATAGCAGTGAGTAGGAAATAGACTTCAATAGTGTGTTTTTATACATTTTGAGATCTATTTATAATGGCAGTTACCTTACCTTGATTAATAGAAGGGGATACAACAGAGGAAAGAGTGAGGTTTCATGCACAGGTCTTTCAAGAGGGCAACCAGCTTATCCTACCTGGGGTAGAATACAGAGGTCTTTAGGAGGGAGGTTGCCAGGTGAAGAAGGAACTGATGTGTTCAGATGTCTGGCAAAAATTATTAGTAGAGTTTCAGCAGCTCTATCAGAACATTTAGAAAAAATATAATGTTAGCTACATGGAAAGCTAAGCAAAGACAGTTTAAACTCTAGGATAAACCACAATATTCATAAGGAACAACTTGGGTCAAGCAGTGAATATTTACTGCTCATAGTAATGTCAATGACTGTGACTGCTGACTTAGCCAAACATTATAGTAAAGTGATATTGAGAGGATGAAGAAAGAAAGGGAAGTTCTCTGTGTGTGTGTGTGTGTGTGTGTGTGTGTGTGTGTCTTGACAGAGTTCAACTTCTATAACAGGAGGTGAATTTTAAAAAATTAAAATAGATCAAGAAATAGCAGTAAATCGTTACCAGTAAAAACAGCATGAAAGTTGAAGGTGGTTTCCACTGGGAGTGGGATAGGGGAACAGGACTGTGGGCTGGGCAGGGGAATGTGAGTTTTCATTAAAGCCTCTTAGTACTAGCCAAATATTTAAAATTCTATGCACATATTGATAAAAATCATTTACACATTACAACTTTTTTTCCTTTTTTTTTCAGTAAGATTGAAGGAGAGGTGAAGAAGGAGATATAGGAAGTGTAGACAATTCCTTCAGGAAGCTTTGCCTGCAAAGTGTAGCAAGGGGTTGGGGCAGCAGTCCAAACATTTAAGGGAGGACTTAAACTTAAAAAAATTATACTAATAATATTTAGTTAACCCATCAATTAGTGCAGGGTTTATAATGAAGAGCAAAGTCCCCTGCTCCACCCTTTCCAACTCATTGTTTTCTGTTCACTTATAAACATTTCAATGCTGGCTGCTCTCAGTGCCCTACTGTCCACATGACTGCAGTTTCCTGCCCTGTGAGAGGAAGACAGCGATATCTGCTAAGGGACAGGGGCAACCGCTCTCCAGTGAGGGAGTGACTGCCGCTGGCACAATCCTCTGCCCTGTTCTTCCCACCACCCAAGCCCTTCGGAGGGAATGAGTGCCCAGAGGGGAGGCTAGGAAGTCAGAAGTAAGAGCATTTCCACAGTAGTGCTCTGCAAAATCCTGTGGACTCTCAGAATCACAACGTCCCACTAGGAAAATGCCGGTGCAAAGGTGAAAGAAAAAAGTCAATTCCATTTGCAGCGTCGCTGAAAGTGAGAACCGAATTTGATTGGGGAAGTGAAATGATTATCTCTGCCCCTCTTGAGGAGCAAAGGAAAAAATGAGCTCAAAAAAGCTTTTCTGTTGACATCATTGTCCAGTCCTCCTGTGACTGTAATTATTAATATAAGCAGGCATAGAGTAGTTCTTGGGGTGACGCTTCTACTGAGAGTATTGTGGGTAGGGATGTATTTTATTGCACTCAAGTGCCTATAACCATAACAATATGTTATAAGCATATAATGTTTACTTTCTGAACATTGGTGAAGCAACCATCCTGCTATAGAACAACCAAAACTGTAAAAGATTTCAAGACAAAAATCTCCTTAGGAAAATGACTTAGCTGGCCTGCAGATCATTATCTAATGATTTTTAAAGATTATATTTTAAATTACTTGGCATCCTGTGCTTCTCCTTTTCCCCACCACATTTAAGAGGATGATAGATCTATCTAGTTTAATGTAATATAACCCATTATATAAAGTACTGAAGTTGAATACTGAATAGGCAGGACTAGTGCAAATATATATACCACTGCTCTACAGTGGGAATTCATTTTGGAGGCAGGTTCTGGTAAGTAACAAAACATATACGCTGAAAAGGGTTGGGAAGAACCTTCCTCTCTGATGTTTCCCATGATACTGTCAGTCATACCGAAATGTTGACAGGGGCGTAAAGGCACCTCATCTTTTAGTTGTGCATGTGATTACATCAGCCTAGAAAGGGGAGCTCAGATAACTTCCGGGACTGGACATTTACTGGACAGTAAAATGGGAGAGATGGTGAGTCCCAAGAGTATATACATGAAATTAAACCTACACGTACACATACACATACGTATACACACACACACCAGCCACATCGTGTTGTCCAAACAAGGATCTGCTGGTCACATCCTTCCTAAAGGCTACCAATTTATGATCTTTTCTTAGCTGTAGGAAAATTTCTCTGTCCAAACTGTGGGATCAAAACAGATCTCAAGAGTCAGCAGGATGTCTGACTCCATCCTGGAACAGAGAGATTTTGTCCTAAGGTAGTTAATCCAAAATGATTGCCTGAAGTCCCACTCATCCTTCAAGGCCTGCTCAAGTCCAACTCCTCTTTGAAATCATCCCATCTTCCTGTGAGGCTGTGCCTTACCTTCCGCAGGTAGGTAGGCTGTGTTCTGGTGTTACAGTCATTCCAGTGTCTTCTATTTCTGTGGCTGGGACATGTGTCCGCTTCAGCGTGTGGATCTCAATGCCCGGCCTTCCCTCTAAGCCCTATTAAACGCTTTGTAAAATTTAAACTAAGGGATTTCTGAGCATTTTGATTGGCTTATAGAAATTATAAAAGATTCTAGAACTATATCCAAATGAAAGAGTACCTCCCACTCAAAATATTCTCTCAGACCCAAATTGGTGTTCTTCAGAACACTAGTCCCAAGAAGTGCTCCCTGAAAAGTGCTCTGTGGTCAAACGCTGTGCTCCATATCCTGATTAACAGTCACAAGACATGTTGGCATTGTAAGGACTCTGAGAAGATTAGAAGAGATTAAAGAAAACACTTCTTTTCACCCAGGGTTCTCTTGATAAATTTGACCACAGAATCCCTTTCCTTTTATTATTATTTTTTAATTGGAGAAAAGGCATACAAACTTATTAACATGTACATAGGGAGGACCACAGTGATTACCCTTAGACTCCCATTTAATAGAACCATTTGATGACTTATTCCTTGGAATGTAGCCCTTGGGGAGGCAGCACCCCTTAGTGGGCAAGGATGTAGACTCTGGCCCCAGGCTGCCTGCAGTTCAGTCCTCAGCATTCATTGTCCTTGGGAAAGGTATGTGACCTCTTCATGCCTAAACTCTCTTACCTATAAAATGGGCATAATAATAGGACATATTCTTGTAGGCTTATTATGAAGATTACATGCATTAATACGTGTAAAGTATGTGCCTCAGCCTAGATTTGGGGTTTAGGCTAGAAAATCAGGACTCTCTCCCCACTCCAAATTCAGGAACGACTGAGACTTAAGATACACATCAAATGATTCGCTTTGCTACCAATGAAATCTGTTGAGAAAAGGGGACCCCCTTCCTGGCCATACCCACTTCACATCTATTCAATTCAACACTTTTAGTCACTGAACAGGATGAACATGCAGGTTTCTTTGTAGGGGAAGGCAGTCTACGGCAGGGTGAGTGGAGAAAGTGTTTTGTGTACCAGTTGGCTAGAGCTCAGAACAGAAATATATGGTCTCACAGCGCTGGAGACTACAAGTCTGAAATTAAGATGTCAGTGGGGACCATGCTCCCTCTGAAGCCTACGGGGGAAGAATCCTTCCTTGCCTCTTCCAGCTTCTGGTAGCCCCACACATGCCTTGGCTTGTGGTGGCATTAACTCTAATCTCTGCCTTCATTGTCACATGGTATTCTGCCTGCCTCTTGACTTTACCTTCCCTCTTCTTGCGTCTGTCTCTGTCCAGATTTCCTCATTTTATAAGGAAACCCATCATATTGAATTAGGGACCACACTAATAACCTCATTTTAACATGATTACCTCATTAAAGACCCTATTTCCAAATAAGGTCACATTCTAAGGCATTGGGGGGTTGGGAATTTAACATCTGTTTCGTAGGGGAACACAATTCAGCCTATAGCATTCTGAGATCAGGCCCTCTAAAAGAGAGAGAAAAGTGACCAAAGACCAATGCTATTTCTTCTTTCCTATGTCACCAATCAGAGATATCATTCCCCCTTTCTTGGGAAGGAGATGGGGAGGGGTCAGGAGAGTCCAGAAGTGTTTCTAGTCCTTTCCTCCAAGGGCTGGAGTTTAGAAATTTCTCTCTTTCCCTATGAAAAATGAAGAGGTAGGGACAGAATTCCTCACCCCCATCCCCAAAACATAACCCAAAGATAGCTTTGGGATTAAATAGGTATTTGGAACTGCCTGTGGCCATACCTTAAAATTTGTCAGTTGGAGTCCCTTCTTCTATCCTGGGGCTCAACAGTATACCTGTTTGTACTGAAAAAACTCGTTTCCTAGACACTGGGAGACTTGAATACTCTTTCATGTTGCACTAGTGGCCACCTCGAATTGGCTATGTTTTTGGGACCTATGTCCTTCCAAGCCTGATTTTGTTGTTGTTGTTGCCAACACACTCATTGGTCTTGGAAACAGCTTTTAACAGCTAATGCGCAACAACAATTTTTATTTATATTTTTAGCAAAAACTCCGGAGAGTGAAATTAATATTCAATAATGAGAAAAAAATGGAGTTACACATGGGGCAAAGATCATTTTAAATAGCAATGGATAGAACAAGCCTGATAGCTTCATTTGGGGAGAGGAGCTAACAACTGGTAAGTGTTCACCAAGTGCTTGTATTAACTCATTTAGTCCTTGAGTTCTCACACCCTGTGAGGCTTAGATACTGGGCTGTGGGGTTGGGGCATCTGTCTCCAGAGTTTGCATTCTTAACCGCTGAGCTACACAGCCTCCATTGTATAAATTAGAGCAGATTTCGCTTACCTCTTTACTGTCAGAGTAGTTTGTATACGTTCTTCCACAGCACTTAATAAATTCGAAATAATCCCCCTTCCTTTGACCTCTTCTTACTCCTTAGATTGTAAGTCCCTCCAGGACAGGAACCTGTCTATGCTCATCTTTATTGGCTAGTTTGCTGTCTCTCACTTTGTAGGTAAGTTTTTAGTTAAATGAATGAATACTATTCTTGCCAAAGAAGCTTTTGAAGAGTTTTCTGTTCTACACAGTTATCACAGTCTTTCTTCTTATTTATTTATTTTGCTGTTTTATAATCTGCCAGAATTATCATAGTCTTGAAAGTAACATGATTCATGTATGGTGATTGCTTCAAACCCAGAAACAAAAATGTCCAGGCTAATGATCTATATGCAGACAGGTGACATTATGCTGATCATTCTTCTTCACTAACTAGAACTCTCCACACAGTTTTGATGGACAAAGCCCGATTTCTCCCTAGATCTCTAAGTGGAAGCATCCAGAGGGTGGTGCTTGGTGCTGAGTGCCTGAACATCTTCAGGGAACCTCCTGAGAAGTCACTTAAATAGGCTTTTCCTAGGCTCAGGGGGACAGGATGACTCTTTGGGCCATTGTTAGTAAATAATTGCAAATTGATTCCATGCCCTGCTCAAATGTGGAGTTCACATACATAGTGAATTTCAGGACACAAGAATGACACTTTTGTTACATTCTACTTCCTATAAGCCACCAGATTTCTGGGTCACCTGTGGCTCAGGACTGATCTAATAAATTCACAGAAGAAAATGCAAGTATTAGATAAATCTGAAAAGCTAGCAATAACCCACCACGTGACCTGCTTTGGGAGATCGAAGGGGAAGAAACTCTGGCTAATTGGCTGCTTATTAAACTAAACAGCTTGCTCCTTGTGCTACTCTGGACAACTTTTTCATATAGAACAAATGAAAGAGCAGGAGGAAATAATATGTTCATGGGAAAATGGCAGGTTCTGGAGGCTGGTTGGGAGCCAGATGGCAGGAATCGTGGCAAAGAGTAAGTCTGTTTTGTTTTCTAAACTCAAAGAAGAGAGAAAAATGGATATTGCTTCTTACTTCAATGGTCTCAGGGCTACCTAGATCTTTAGATATTTGTTCAGTAGCCTCTGTTTCTTAATTAATTCCTTTGTTTATTTATTCACTTATTCAACAAGCCTTCATTGTGGATCTATTGTATGCCAGGAACTCAGCAGGACACTGAGAGTGCAGAGATGAATGAGACCTAGTGCCCATTCTCCAGAGTTTAATGAAAAATTCAAATGCAGCAATGGAGTAAACTAAAAGCAGCACCTCGAAGGCAGGGAGAGAGACTTATTTCACTGTTGTATCACCAACACTATGGTATCACCAACACTATGGTGACTGGTATGTAGTAGGCATTTAATAAATATTTACTGAGTGACTTAATGAAGGCATTAGCCATATATTAATTAAACAGTTACATGGTAGTGTTAAACTACCAAATACATGTCATATGGATAAAGACTTCAATTATTACCAAAAAGTGATTTGCAGGGTAACAATTTAGTTAGGATTTGCTAGTTGGGAAAAATATCTCAATATAATGTACACAATAGACATTCGTTAATATATTGAATCCTCAACTGTGCTGCAGTGCTGCTGAGTTTCAACTATGCTTTAAATGATTCGTCCTGACTTACAAGTTCGGGGGCAGCATGTTCTTCCTTAAGATGAGCTAATGTTGCATTTAGCTGTGGCTCAACCTGAGCAAAGCAACTCACATAAAAAGGACATCAATTGTTCTAGTTACCGCTGCGAAAAGAATAACATGGCACGGGAAAACAGTTGCTTTGAGGACATTTATAACAGTTGGTGTGTTTATATTCTTATTGATTTCTGATAGCGCTTTAAAAATAGAAGTAATAAATTATGCATAGCCAAGACCAATAGGAACTGCAAGGGAACTACATTTAAAAGAAGTGGCCCAAGAACTGTAAAGTCAGCTGGCTTCAGCAAGAATTCTGATAATAATTTATTTGTTATAGCTACTAGCCTTGCTTATCACCTTGGAAGATGCTAAGGAGTGTCTCTGGTGTGATTACAGCCATGGGTCATAAGCCAGCTATGGAGAGCGCACAGCTGACCCAGGGCCTGCCTAGACTTAGGGGTTGTTAATGGGAGTGGCTCCAGCACTATGCTATTCATCACAGATTGCCTTTGCAGGGCCACTGAGTTCCTCTCATGAGACTCTGTCCTCTGTTACTAAGCAGAATTCTCCTCATGTCATGCAAAGGGATTGACAGAAATTCCGGACAAGAATGTGATAGGGTTGCATTTATTCAACAGCAGGGCCAGTGAAACTGCTAGTTTGAACATTCCTTAACCATGGTTTGTCTTGTAGCTGCATAAGGAAGTCTTGAGGCAATAGCAATCCTGCAACAAAGTAGTGGAATGCACATTAAGCTCCCCTAGTTAGAGAGCTCTAGGGATGAAGAATTGGACTTGGAGCTTATATGATGTGGTCTCCATGGAGTCCAGGCTTAACGTGTGACAATTTGATTTGAGGCATGGTGAAAGGTAACATTCCCCAACTCCACCTAACAACATTAGAAGACAAAAATAGTTATTGGGAATGCTTAATGCCTTCTAGCTGTTCAGATGGAGAAAGATATCCAGAAGAAAGTGGAGAAGGTGTAAAATCTGTGTGGAGAACACAGGGAAACATCCAAATAGCTTCTACCTGTCATACAAAGGGATTGCATGGGCACCTGCTGTTAGCCCTCTCCTGCTAGGACCAGACAGGAGGTGAGCTAGCTGCTCTTCTGAAGGATGCCTGAGTGATCCAAGACTGGATAGCCATCACTGGGCATGCTACCCTGTGATGATTAAAAGGCACATCTCAATCTTTTTTTAAAAAAACTTCATCTTAGGGCAGGGACCCAGAACCTTTGGAAAATGTTTGACCAATGTACTGAGACCTTTTCTCCTGACATGCAATGTGGAAATAAAGTTTATTCTTTCAACAAATACTTATTTATTGAGTGTTTGCTACATTCTAGTTGCTGGGGCTACAATGGTAAGTGAGAGACCCAGACTGCCTTGATGGAGCTTGCTGTTAGCCTAGTGAGGGAAGACACTTTAAGAGCAAGTGACAAAAAAAATATGTATTTTCAAATAATGATATTTGTTGTGAAAAAGAAGTATCAGGTACTTGAATCATTGCTATAGGAGATTCTAATTTAGAAGTGGAGGATTGCGGAAGGCCATAGTTTGAGTAAATGATATTAAACTGAGAGTTGAAGGCTGAGTCAGAGTCAGTAAAGATGTTTGTGTGTGTGTGTGTGTGTGTGTGTGTACCTGTGCCTGTGTGTTCGAGGGGTGGGAGATGAATGTTGGAGAGATGGGAAGTATCCTAGGCTAAAGGAACAGCAAAGGTCTTATGAGGGAAGATGGGCCCTTTTGAGGAACTGAAAGCCAGTGTGTTGTCCCATGGTGGTGGAGGTAAAGATGGCCACGTTGAGCCTCTGGGATATTATCATAAGGGTAGGGGTGTGTTTGCCAATGACTCACAGTGGGATGATGGAGTGGAGCACAACAGTGCTTATCAGCAGAGGTTCCTCAAACTGTGCAGGGATTAGAATGTGACCATGGGTGCAACACCCATGAAACAGGGTCACATTTTACAGCACATTTTGTAGGTTATCAATGCCGGTGATAGTACTTTATCAAGACTATGGGAAAGGCATAAAATCATGCATCATTATAAAATGTCAGATGCCATGAGCATGTGTGTGACCATCGAGAAGGCAGAGGCAGTGAGCAGATAGGGTGCCAGCAGAAAGGGAACCTGAAGACAGGTTTTTACCCCACATCCCACCCTAACAGAGCCTCTCCTTGCCCCTGAGCTCAAGAAATAGGAGGAACATTTAAATAAATCATAAATCAATCACTAGACTCTTTGTCTAAGCTTGAAAAAAAATTGCTGTATGTTTTTTAGAAAACCAGGCTGTGAAATCTTTCACATTCCAAAGAATGCCTATGGGTCTGCCCACATTTGCAAAGCCTGCACTGGGATTTTGTTTTCAATAAATATCTTAGCAATAATCCCAAGGAGCATGTACTTTATGTTTTTTGTAAGAATGCAATTCAACATGCTTTGCATTTCACCTGGAAAGGGATTTCTTTTAAATTTGGTGTATTGGAAGCATATGTACAATTGTATTTCAAAACCTCCAACCCCAGTGAACCAGGGGAAACCGTATGGATTAGCAGAGGAAAAGGCTATCATTTCAAGTTATGGTTTTATGAGTTCAACTGCCAAATATTTCTTTAGAAGGAAGTTGCATAAAAGCATTCTACATAGGCCACCAGATGGGTCATATGATCCATTGTTTGCAGGTGTATTAAGTCAGAAGAGTAATACATTCTTGGCTTCTAGCAAATATTACAGATCACAACCATGTCTGCTACAGAATGAATCTGAATGGGTTGGAGAGGCAATGGACTAATTGTTTCGGAAGATTGGGAATGAGAACAAAAATGTGCTAGGAATGTACAGTATATACGAACCCCATGCTCTGCTCAGCAGATGACTGGCAGTCTCTAGTCTTAAGACAGTAAATCCGAATTAATATGTACCCTATCATATGCCTTATTTCGTAGAAAAATAACTTTCCTTTCCTCTGTCTCATTTTCTTAATGTTAATAAAATGGGAAAATAATAATAAACTAATTGATAGCTAAGAAGTATGGCTGTGAGGAAAAGTGATTATAAAGCTATTGGCAAATGTAGGCTGGATCCACAGAACTGAGCAGAATAAAGTTTCAACAAATATTTCTCAGGCCCTACTTGCCACAGGATTGTGAAGTTGGCCTTCTAGACAGCACAGCCAGACTGTTCTCATTGCCTTGCAAGGTTTGGATCCTGGAGACTGGATATAGCCCGCTGGACTAGACAATCTAACCATAAAATGTGAAATAAACAAGACTGCTATAGACTCAGTATTATAAAACTCATTGCTGATTGAGACCCACTTTAAAAATCCAAATGATTCTATACTACAATGCAAGGAAAATTAGCACCCTCAGGTGTGAAAATGGCATGAAGGTGAGAGAGTTAAATTCTGATTACCATTTAGAGCCCAAATGATTTCAAATGCTTCTTGCCATATTTTAATTGTTTCAAATTAATTCATTCTTTGCAGTTACTTCAGGTTCAATGACTTTAAGGTCCCATTTAGGCAACATGCTAATCTTTTAAGGAATAATCCCTAAAAGGGATGGTTGAAGGATTTAATAATTAATATTGGGGAAGTAGTGCTAACAAAAATGGAAAGGATTACTTTGCCCATGCTAAGCACTATTTTATTTAAAATTGGATAGAAATCTGTTCTGATTTAAAAATTTGTATTGGTACTTTGGTATTACAGCTAAAGTACACTAGGGTATTATGAAAATGGAAAATGCTCTTTAATTTCTCTATTTATTGAGTTTCACATTTTATGAAGTTTTTTTGTAATTTCCCAACAAGTAGTGAAGTCCTTAAAAACAAGTAAATGCTCAGCGCATCAAGGTGTATAACTTTTTCAATAAACTGAGTGTTTGTGATATAGCTATAATCAAGAAAAGAAACTTTTAAAATAGTAACTAAAATTTAACTTTGCAAATCATATGCTAAAAGTTTTACATATGTTAATAAATTATGTCAGATGAAATCCAAATCTTCTTAATAATTTTAAAAGGGGAGGAGAGAATGTTTAGAAACTGAGTTACAGTAGTTTGGAGTTATAATAGTTGAGATACTGCTTTTAAGTATACAGTTAAGTGCCTCATCTTCTTGCCTTGCTCCCACCAGCTGTCTTTATTTGAATACAGTGAAAACCAGAGGAAAGGATGGCTTCATGTGATACAGTGAAAACCAGAGGAAAGGATGGCTATTTGACACTGTTTCTTTGGATTCCTTGGCAGAGAAACAAACTCATTGCCTAAAATATCATAAGGTCTTGCAGTAGGTCAACAAAAGCCTTTTAGATATGAACCATGCTTATTTTCAGGCACTTAATACATTTTAGATGCTGAAATAGTAGGCCCAATGAACAAACGCTTTTTTATTATGTTTCTATCCTGGTGCATGAGAATGTAAAATCTATTTGCCAACTGTGGGAATTAACTTCAATTAATTAATTTTACAAGACTTAAAAGGATTTTAAAAATTTTTAAATCTTAGGTAAAGCATAATACTGTTACTTCTAGTCTGATTAATTTCAGTACCTGAGACTATTTCCCGCAAGGATCTGTGCTTGGACTTGGATTTGCAGATTTTCTCCACTCCATCCTCTAGTTCTCTTTTTAAACATTTGATTTATTTTTTCCTTTGCCAAGTCCTGCTGGAATCTCTTAAGGTCATTTCATAGATTTTTGGACTCTTTTAGAAGGAGGAAAGTCAGTCCAATGTTTTGTTAATTTAGGAGTTGTAGTAATTGAGGTGACAAGACAGAAAACTCAGTAACAAATTCCTTTCTTTACACTATTTCAGGAGTTTTGACCCACATTTGTTTTCCACCTCAGTTTCAGTATTATTTCTGTACAACTTTTGCAAGTTGAACTAAACAATAAAGTTGCACTAAACAATACAAGTCTGAAGATATGCTCCATATGTTCTGGGCAATTTCTGTCTAAAGCAATTAGTAAGAATATATGGGACTTGGTATAGTCTTTAAATGGGATTTGCCTCAGCCATGCTTTAGTAAGCAAATTTGTGATCAATAGCTTATAAAATACTCCTGAGTTTTTGTATTATTGAACAACTTGGTCTACCTTTAGCCTGTAACTCACTTTGGGACTTTAAAGCAGTTTAATTCCATTGTCATTCTGGATAAAATAAGCTGTTATAAATCCAAGTAAGATGGAAGCTTCCAGCTGTTCAGAGATTATGTTCTTTCCTTATTCTAAATTATAGAGACATATGTGAGCCCATGGCTTACAAGCTAGGGATGCTATTTCCAAACTCCCTTGCAGCTAGAGATGGCCATGTATCCAATGTCTCCCTGATGGAGTATCAGTGGAAGTGATACGTGTTTATTTCCAGGTTAAGACTTGGAAACACTGCATGTTCACCCCACCATTCTCTTTCCCATCTCTGGGTGGTAAACATGGACCATCCTGGGACTGAGTTTCAACCATGAAGTTGAGGAAAACACCCTAGACAATGGAGAAGAAACAACAGTCATTCATTCTTTCAACTAATATTTACTGAGTCTACTCCATGCAGGTGATGGTGGCAGTGGCCTGTATGGAATAGCCGCTGTGGGGATGCCAGCTGCAGCAGGAGATGCATGGTCAAGGCTGCATGCTCTGCAGAGCTGGTGGGGGTGGCAGCCCTGCCCCCTACCAAGTTGGCGGTGGGGAAAGGGAGCCCCTGTGCTCCTGGGCACAGCTGCAGCCACCTAGCCTCAGCTCCAGCTCTGGGCATCCCTATGCTCTTGTGGGACCCAGGAAGCCCCTTGCCCCTGCAGGCTTGAAAGTGCCTGCTCCTGCTCCCTGGCCTCTTCCCTGCTCCTGGCATCCACTCCAAAGCAGAGCAAAGTTTTGGCTGAGCCTGGGTGCTGTCACAATCCAGCTGCATGTGTGTGTGTGCTCGGGACAACACTGACATGCCAGCCCCCTGCTGACTCAACCCCCTCCAGAATTTGGATGCCGACAAGCATGGGAGGGAGGCCAAAGTGGGGATGAGGGTGGTTCAGCACTGGCCTGCAGGCGCCGCCTGGGCATGAACAGCCTGGGTGCCATGGAAGGCATGTTAATGGCAGCAGGAGGCAGCAGCAGGCTCCTGAGCAGAAAGGGGTGGGTCCTTGGTGAAATCCCACCTTCAAGTCAGGGAAGGCCTGAAGCCTGGGGGCCAGGCTGCCAGTTCTGGGTAGAGTCTGCTGTGGAGTGAGAACTTATGGTGCTTTTTCCTGTCCTGCCCATGGCCACCTGTGGACCAATCAGCACACACTTCCTCCCTTCTGAGCCCATAAAAACCCTGGACTCAGGCAGACCCACACAGATGTTGGGACTACCAGCTGCAGGAGGGAGATATGAACTTCAGGTCTCCTTGACTCCTCAGGAGTACCTGCATGTGGAAAGGAGCTACCCACTCAGGTCTTCTGAGAGCTGTTCTGTCATTCAGTAAATCTCCTCTCTGCCTTGCTCACCCTCCAGTTGTCCATGTACCTCATTCTTCCTGGACATGGGACAAGAACTCAAGACCAGCTGAATGGTGGGACTGAATAAGCTGTAATACAAACAGGGCTGAAACACCCCCCCCCCCCAACCCTCTGCTCACTACATTGCTGGCATCGAGGAGAGAAGAGTTGTGACCCTTTGGGGAGCTCACACCTAGGGGCTGCCCGAGCCAGGGCTGTGACACCCTCTTTGGGGCTCTGTGGTTCCTGGTGTCTCCAAGCTTCCAGGCACCACTGTGTTCCCCTCATCCAGATGTGGGTACCTGCAGCAGAAGCTGCTTGTGGTACACCCTGGTTCAGCCACAGCCTCACACAACCACCCACCCTGTTGAAGCAGCCAGCGTGTCTGGCTGTGCACAGTGGCTGGACCCTGCACTTGCTCACTTACACACCCATCACTGTTCTGCACCTGGCTTGACCTCGGCAGGTGTGGGAGCCAGGCCAGTAGTGCAAGCCACGTGCAGCCTGCCAGGCTGAGTGAGTGGAATGAACCCAGTGGGCATGAGTAATGCTCAGGCAGAAGGCACCACCAGCCACAGAGGTTTCTGGCTGGTGAAGGATCCCATGACACAAGCAGCGTTCAAAATACTGGTGATATGTCAGTAAACAAAAGAGAACAAAATCCTGCCTTCCTTGAACTCAGACAATAAAAAAGGTAAATAAGCATAATGTATAGTTTATTAGGAACAAATGCTAAAGAAAAAAATAAAGCAGGGAGGAAAGATTTGAAATGCCAACTTGGTATTAGGCCATTATAGGAAATAAAATGTGAGCAAATAGTAGCACAGACAAATTAATGGCAGTGGGAGGAGAAGCTGTTGATTTCTGGATATTCTGAAGATAAAGCCATGAAGATTTGCTGAGGGATTAGATACACGGAATAAGAGAGGAAAAAAAGAGTCAAAGGTGACACTAAGATTTTTGGCTTGAGGAACTTGAAACAGGATTAGTGTTAAGTTAGATTGGGAAGACTATAAGAGGACTTGGGGGGAATACTTGTAACTTTATTTTTGATATGTCATGATGATGATGTCTATTAGACTCCAACTGAGGTGATAAGTGACCCATAGAACATCTGGGTCTGCAGGTCAGAAGAGGGATCCAGACTAAAAGTATTAATTTGGAAGCCATCAATATAGATGCTATTTAATACCACAAGACTGGATGAGGTCACCTAGGGAGTGAGTAATAATAGAAAAAAGAAATAGCCCAAGCACCATTTAGAGGTAGGGGAGATGAGGGGAAACGAGCCAAACAAAAATAAACCCCAGAAAAACAAACAAGACCACAGATTTTAATCAACTGAGACAGGGCAGTGAAAAAGATAGGCAGTATGCCAGATAAGTATGATATGATGTTCTCAAAGGCAAATGAAGTGAGTTAGAAAGATGGAGAAAACTTGGATCCCTGAATGACTATGTGGAGCAAAGCGGCCCACTTACTCACCTGTGGGAGGGTAAATGAGAGAAAAAATAGACTTCATTATTTTGAGTCCATCTATGTGTTGTCTCTTTGATACAAAATTTTAAACTTTTATTCTAACATCAGGCAAATAGTCAACAGTATCACGAGATAAATATCCAACAACAAAACTAACATTTATAAAAGTTCTCAATGTTAACTTTGAAATGTGCTGTGTTTGTTTGTGTTAAAAGAGTTTAAACATTTTTATGATTTTTTTAAAAAAACATAATTTAGAATTCACTACCACCTTTTTACTCTTAGATAAAGACTTGTTTCTGGGTAAACAGAATCTTCTTATATATCTAACAACCGTTTCCAGCTTCATTTTCCAGAGAACTCTTCAGAGGGGAAATTGAGATAGTGAGAGATCGTTGATTCAAGGAGCACTTTTTGTGATCTTTGACTCCAGGCATCCTATGGTTCTGTTGTATTTAATTCTCCTGACTTTCAAGGGCCAAGAAATCTACCTCCTCAACCAGGTTCTACTAATTATTCTGTCTGAAGGAAATAAACAGGAAGAGATAAATTAATTTTGATACCCATAATTTGTTACATAGCCTTCAAATTTTGTTTCTGTGCCCAGATATTTTATAGTATGCACATATTCGCAAGATAGTGGCTAAATATTACATGAGAAAACTACACTAAGATTTTTAGACAAAGTCTGTTTGATGTCATCCCTTTTCCCTCACATCCTATTATCATCTTGTACCCCGAAGACATGAGGCTCTTTGCCACCATTTTATCACAGTGCTGATTTTGTACTCCTGTAAGCTTCCATTTTAGGCAAATAATGTTTGTCATGGTCCCAGTGTTTTATATGATTTAAATGCCATTACGTGCTCCCTTTTAGAGATGACAGAGAATGCAACAACAGTAAAAACAAAACAAAGTTGCTAATGCAAATCTGACTTTATCGAATATGTAGTAATACTAGGAAATACTGAATAGGAACCACACTTTTATATCTGACCAAAATGGAAATATCTTAACTCAGAGAAATAAAGAGGAGAATAAGTAAGTACCTTGAGTAGTAGGTTGCCACATTTCTTAACCTTTTATCTTAAAATGGCAAATTTCTAGAGTTTAAATGGCATCATACATCATAAGTCAGAAGATCTGAGTTTCAATATCAGTTTAAACACACACCAACCTTGGACTTTTAGGTTTTGGGGAATCATTAAATCGAGTGAGTGAGCAAAACTGAGGGCCAAGGAGGAAGTGCATTCAATGTGCTAGAAAGTGGTATCTATTCAAGTTGCCAAGATTGAAGGAACCATAAGCATTTCTCAAAGCTCGGTGTATATAATCCAAAACGTGCAAGTCAGGAGACGAGACCTAGAAGAGAAGAACAGTTAGCTGAGTTCTGTCAAGAAGGGAACTTTCCAGGAAAATGGTCTAGAATAGGTGTTTGGCAGTGACCAGAATGGGTGAGATATGGGATGATCGCTAGGTGGATGCACTATATTCATATGAGATGGTACCTATCCCACAGCCATTGTTTGATTTTTTTCCCTCATTTCCTCATTTGTACATTTATTCCTTCACTCATTTAGCAAACGTTTGATACCAAAGACACAGAACTAGGCAGGGGACATAAAATGGTAGGCAGAGTAGACATGATTCTTATCGTCATGGAATTTACAACCTAGTAGAGACCACAGACTTTAATCAAATAATCTATATAGCTTGCAAACACAGTGCTTACTATTTGCCAGTTACATTATTCTAAGGATTTTATGAATATTAACACATTTAGTACTCATAGCAACCTATGAGGTAGGTGCCATTATTATCCTCATTTTATAGATGAGGCAATGGAAATACAGAGAAAACTTGGCCAAAGTCACCTAGTACATGTTAGAGCTGGATTTGAATCCTGGCAATCTGGCATCAAGTTCCACACTCTTAAGCAATTGTTTACAATCTCTGTTAAGTGTTCTGTAGGAAAAATGTAGAATTCTATAATAGCTTCTAATTAGGGTATCTGATCTAATTTGGAAAGAAGAAATGAAATTTGACCAGAAGTGTAAAGAAAGTTGTGGTCATTAGTGTCAAATGCTCTACGTAGTTTAAGCCAGTGTTCCCCAACCTTTTCGGCACCAGCGACTGGTTTTGTGGAAGACCATTTTTCCACGGATCGGGGGAATGGCTTCGTGATGAAACTATTCCACCTCAGATCATCAGGTATTCGATGGATTCTCATAAGTAATGTGCGTCCTAGATCTCTCACATGTGTAGTTCACGATAGGGTTTGCGCTCCTATGAGAATCTAATGCCTCAGCTGATCTGACAGGAGATGGAACTCAGGCGGTCATGCTCCCTTGCCTGCAGCCTACCTCCTGCTGTGCAATCCAGTTCCTAACAGGCCATGGACCAGTACCCAGTCTGGACCCAAGAGGGTTGGAGAACTCTGGTTGAAACAATAGGAAATTAAAGATGGGACACTGAATTTTACAATAGAGAGGTCAATGGTGAACATATTTAGAACAGTTGCAGAAGACTCTAGGAGAAGATAAATCGCTCTCAGTTCAGGGATAATTGCTAGAGCTGTCCAATGAAGAATGTCTGCTCTGGGAGGTGGGAAGTTTTTTCTTTTAGAGATTTTTTTTTAAGAATAGGCTAAAAACCACCTACCATAGGCTTGGTACCTGATATGTGCTCAATGAATATATGCTTACGAATTGGTAAGGATGTTATAGAGTGTTGGATGTTCAACTAGATAAAGATCGCTTCCAGTCTTAAGATTCTATGATAGCACTAATTCTGAATTTGTGATAACACAGCAGATTTGGTTATGCTGAAGTTTCCTTTTGCCCTGTTAAATGGCTTGATTTAGAAATTTATAACAGATGTGAGATTTTTTTTCTCTTGATTTTTTTTTTTTTCATTATAAGGAAACCATCATTTCAGTAAGAAAGATTATTATAACTACAGGTTGGCATTGGGTCATATTTTAGGCTATTTGTGATGTAATCATATTTTCCAGCTCAAGAGTTTTATGTGGAGAAATTTAGATCTAGTATTTTATTTTGAAGTACCCAAACCATCTTTGCTCTTGCTTTTGGTATTTATCTAACTTTTTGTGTGCCATCCTAGTTCTCCATCAGGGACTTTGATTTTTCTCTGCAAATACAGTACAGGGGCCTTGTACAGGCACAGGGTCCCTAGTCAAACCTGTATTTAATATTTTAGAGACTGTTTAAGACAAATTGTTTTTAAACCCTGGCAGTCCAATTTGCATATGATTAATGTACTCATCTAAAAAAGGATATTCTATATCCTTTGTTAAAACTTTTGACATGATCCTCATGGTAGCTGTATGCTGTTACTTTATACAAATAATAAAATGATATTTATATAAATTAAATCTATAATCTAAACATTGAGTTCTACTGAATTTTTCCCAAATTAGTTGCATTTGTGAGAAAAGGTAGACAATTTCTAGAAAAGAACACAATGGCTGGTTGTAATCTCTAAGCAAAGATGAACAATAGTTGTTGCTTAATTCCTTTCCAAAGATGCATTTTTCTCACATTTTGAAATAGTTGACTTTCAGGACATAAAACACATTATAATTCTTGTTCTTGGACTACTGCCTGGGGAAAGTGGCAAGGAAGAAATTTCCCTCTTTTTTTTCATCCTTCCACAGTTTTTGAGAGTCATGGAAATTCTGAAAGGACCCCAATGGTGGCTCTGGTTTTAAAATCTGATCTGGATACCCATCTACCACTGTCATTGCAAGAGAATCTGGAAAGCAAACAGAGAATGTGAATTCCTTTCCACTTTGGGGAGAAAAAATATATATATTTTAAGGGTTCTAGTAGAAAAAAAAATTTTAGGTAGATTAATTTTATGGTACCCTTGGAACATTTAAACAAACCGAATAACGCCTCCATTTAGTTGTTCCTGCTGTACTGGCATAAAAAAAGCAAATTTTACGATCTTTCAGTGATACCATCTGAGGTAGTAATGGAGCAGTTCCAGAATGCAAACTCACAGAGTGTATTTTCAATGAAGACAGCAACTGCAGGGTAAGTTAAACATCCACTAGAACGAAAATTCCACAGGGCGGGCACCTACAAATCCCTCATTGATGGATATATAAGTGATTTCTAATTCCTCTCAGTTATAAACAGTCCTCTACCAATATCCTTGTACTTTTCTACTTTTTGTGCACTTATCTGAGTAGGTCAGAAGAATAAATTTCTAGAAAAAAACCTGCAAATTAAAGAGTAAGTATATTTTAGATTCCAGTAGTTTTTTCCAAAATGCCCTTCAAAGAAGTTACAGCAATCTACACTTTCTGAAATTTGTGTCTCAGAAATATTGGCTCAAGAAGAAAATCACTAGGGAGACAGTTACAAGCTATATATATGTGTGTGTGTTTATTAGAAATTAGAGCATATGTCATTAGATTCTTGTTGAACTTTGAAGATACCAACTTGCCCACTATCCATTCTCAAGAAACCTGGGTTGATGACACCTTTGATTTCTGTGCTGAGACCAGAGACACTGCTTCCCAGTGATTCATTATGTTACTTTGGTGTGTCTTCAAAAACTCCTAGGCTTATCTGGTCATCTGGATTTTTGCTTCATTCCCTTTGCCAGTTATTGATTAGGAATAGACAAGACAGAGGGAATGATAACCGTGGGGAAGGTAGAAATGAAGAACAGGAGGTGCTCACTCACCATGCGTTTGTGTGTGTTTCTAACTGAAGCATACATATGACCAGAATTTCCCAAAGGACGCATTTTGAGTACACATAAATGAAAGCACTGGGGAGTTGGCAGAGCTTCGTATTTAGGAGCACAGGCACTGGTGTAAAAAGCACAGCAAAAAAAAAAAAAGAGGAAAATACACTGAAAATCATTTCCCAGTTATCTTTCAGAGCCAAGCCTTTAACCCTTTTCAAATTTTCTATGTTTTAGAATTTTCCTATAGTAAGCATGTATTTTTGGAATGTATTAGATTTCCACATTGGAAAAAAAGAAACAGAAGACTAAGAAACTTTGGTTTTAGTTCTGCCACTTCTTAATTTTGTGATCTTTGGCAAATTTAAAAGTCTTGCTTAGTCTCAGTCCTCTCATTCTTAAACTATGAATAAATGAGTTAATTGTGAAGATTAAATGAGATAATAGACAACATCCTTAGTATACATTAAGGACCTGGCATACAATAGGGACCCAGGAATTATCATCACAATCACTGTCATCACTGTTAATATTATTGGTAGTGTAGATGGTAGTGACCAGACCTTATACAGGCATAACAAGCTAGTCCAAGGATATCTAAGAACTCCTTCAAATAACTCATAATTGAAAAAGCATTGACATTCTCAAGGAAACAAGTACAAGAAGACTAGCAAATAAATATTACAGGTTTCCCTCAAACAATGTCTTTCTTTCCAGGTAGACTTTGAATAGAGATTCATTTTAAATCTGAGGAAAACTATGCATTTTAAATCAATAGCTTGCAACAGGTGTTATGTACCGTCCAGATTTTCCTCAGGAAACATAATTATTAGCACTAAATTTGGGATCAGACCAATATATGTGACTGCTGCTTGTAATGCTAATACTAATACTTATTATTTGGATATCCAATAAGGGTGCAAGATATTGGTTATGTTTTTTCTTTCTCTTTTTTTCAAAGACTTGTTCAAAAGAAAGTATGTTTATTTTTTAAGGCCAATTTCTCAGTTTTTGTAAACATGGCCCCTTATGGTTCAAATCTTTGGATTTATTCAATTGGGAACTCTAATTCTTTGAACTTTTAATTGGTTTATTAATAATCTACTGATAATTTCAGTTACCTTTGGAGGATGTTTTAATTTCCACAGTTGAATATGTACTATTGTAAGGTAATGGATGTGCTTTGGTCAAGGATAGGCTGAGGTAAACATCCTGTATGACACAGCAGGATTGGAGCGCAGGCGCACAGTCCCATGTATAATATAAGCACAGTTATGTAGACATACATAGGGGGCTCATCACATGGCTTGGAGCCACTGTTGTTTGTGAGGTGCATAAATGCAGCACTGACCATGTGGGTGAGCTGCTGAATAAAACCATGTCTTATCTGCCTACTGTCTCTTGGGTGTTCTTCCAGCTTCCTGCTCCCCATCCACCCACTCCCCTCAGACCTCAGCTAGGACTTGAACCTAACAGCCATTATGATTCTTTAGAATTCACATGTCAAGATAAATAAAACCACATTAAGTTTCTGGCTGAGGAGGCTGAAGAATTTTTTGACTTTTTAAATTTTAGTTGTTTAAAATCATCTCACCACTTCATTTCTCGTAGTAAGCAGTCTCTTCTTTCTGACTAGCAATAGCTTGAGCTAGTTTCTTGGCATTTTCTTGCTTTCTTTTTTCCAGTGTTTTTTGTCTCTATCTGTCTGTGTTGTGGAAAGTCTCCGGTTTATCAGAGTTAAGTGATGAACACTGTTACTCTTAGGATTTTTCATTAAAAAATGATTGTGTATGAATCTGGAAAATGAGGTTTTTGGCTATCTACTTTGAGCTCACCATTCTAGTGTTGATCTAAATCCTAGAGCCATTAGTCCTCATTTTTTGTTAGTAAATATTTTATTTGTTATTGCTATTTATGTCCTTATGCTTCAAATTATGGTTTATTTTCAAATCAAGCCTGGTATTTTAAAATAGTTTACTTCATCAGAAATATATTAGTGTATATTTCTATTACAGTAAAAAAAGGAAGATTTTTTTTAAATATTACTTTTTTAGAAATTTGAATTGCAAGTGTATTATGAAGTCTTTAATTTTCAATTTTCAATTTTTTGTATCCTCAGAGCCTACCACAGTGCCTGGACTGTGTAGACCCTTGGTAAGGGTTTGTTGGTGCTGAGGCAACCAATTCCTCTGGTTAAAAATCTGCCCAAGTATTTATTTAGCAAGATTTGGACCTGTGGTTCTCAGCTGCAGCTGCACATTAAAATCATCTTGGTGATTTTTAAAATGCCTATGCTCAGGTTCCACCACAGGACAATTAAGTCAGAATCTCAAGGGGACTGGGCACAGGCATTTTGTGTTACTTAAAAGCTTTCCAGGTGATTCTAATCAGTGCCAGGGCTGAGAACCACTAACGCAGGCCAAACGTTTGTGAAATTTATTTTAATGTATACCAGAATACATTTTTTATTTTATTATCATTACATTAATATCTAATAACCTAGGCTTCCTATGAGATTTGATATATGCATTTGCCCTATTTTTAAGGCCAAGAATAAAATAAATTCCCCTACCTGTCACCTCTCCTTCCCCTTCTGTTTTTAGTATATTTAAGAATTCAACATGAGAAAAATGGACTAGGAAAGTAACAGAGTTTTGCTCTTTTAGCCTTTGTTCTACCCCCTGGGGTTATTATGACTTTACTCTTTGGTCAGTAGTACCACAATTAGCTCTAGAAATGGCAGTTGGCAAGTACATGTGCATAGTTAGTGAGGGGCCTATCCTGCAAATGCTATTTGGGATCAAACAAATAGTGACTTGTGGACTTGAAAAACTCAATGAGAGAGGAGAGTCAACATTTAGAAGCTATTTAAAGTTCAAGGAGTTTTTACCCTTCAAAGGCAAAGCAAAGCTAAATGAAGGGGTTTAAAATCATAGTTCTCAGTGTGATGTTTTTAAAAAGTCTTACTTTTGTAGCTAGTTTGGGGTATAGTTTTGGATAAGATGATAAACACTGCTTTCTAATCTTTTTCCTCCATAATCCTAGCCTGTTTTATAACTCAAGGGTAAGAAGTAGCAGAATTAAAGGGCTTCCTGGTATGCTTTTGTAGTAAAACACTGTATTCTTTCCATAGCAAATAAAACAGCCGCAAAAGTTATGATTCCACTTGTAAGATAAATAAATGAAATAATTTGAGGGGTTTATAAAGAGCTGTCCCACACAAAAATACACAAAAGAAAATGTTTATCGAGTGAATAAAAATAGTTTATCAGTAAAGCACAAGATTTTGAGGAAATATTTGTTCTGAAGGAATTGGTGTTACTGGAAAATCATGATAAATAGGTCACTTTAAATTATAAATGAGTACTTTTGTACTAAGTTTATCAAGTATAAAGAAAAAAATTAACTATTAAGAGAAAATCTAGTCAGTCAAACTAGATCATTTAGGTCACCCAAATTCATTCTAATTGGATTTAGTTAAATTAGCAAGATAATTACCATCTTTGAGTTTATTTTTACATTTTATTACATTATTATTACTTTTTTCATTACCATGTGTGATTATAATTTCACTATTCAGTAAATAATCAATTCAAAGAAATTTTAAAAATGACTTAAATAGAATAATGGTTTTATTATTTCTTAAGATTATGACACTTTTATGTTAACAAACTACTCAGTTGTTTGGTCAGTATCAACACATGGAGATACTTTGAAGTAAACAAGTCTAAAAGCTAAACTTTGAATAAGCCTGTGTACATGAATTTATATTTCATTCTATGTTCTCCCTTATACTTTTTAGTGTTTGTGTATGAACTAAATGCTTGAAAAATTTTAGGAAGTAAACCATGAAGCAGGTCTGTAATGTATTTAAACTGTTGTGATTGTACATGTTTGTTAAATGAATTAAATTAAATAAGTAGATTTAGAAAAAGGACAATCAAGTTACCTGTGAAGCTAACAGAAGAGTTCTCCCAAACATGAAATCATGGCATATTACTGTTGGTCTTCTACTCCTGACTATGAGTTTTCTGTTTTACTCCTTTATTTTATTTTCTTTCTTTGTTTCCTATCTCCTTCCCTCCTCTCTTTTCCTCTCCTCTCCCCTTTTTCCTTTCTTCCCCCTCTCCCTCCTTCCCTGCCTTTCCTCCTTCTCTTTTCTTTCCTTCCTCCCTTCCTTCTTCCATAAAATATGCAGTGAGTTTATGCTATGCACCAAGTGTTGTGCTAGCTGTGGAGACATGAGCAAGAGAGACCTAATGCCCCCTTGATGGCAAAATTTATTTATTTATTTATTTTTACTTTTATTTAAGTTCGGGGATACATGTTCAGGTTTGTTACATAGGCAAATGTGTGTCATGGGAGTTTGTTGTACAGATTATTTCATAACTCAGGTATTAAGCCTAGTACACATTGTTTTTCCCAATCCTCTCCCTCCTCCCACTCTCCTCCTTCCGATAGGCCCCAGTGTATGTTGTTCCCCTCTTTGTGTCCATGTGTTCTCATCATTTAGCTCCCACTTATAAGTAAGAACATATGGTATTTGATTTTCTGTTCCCACATTAGTTTGCTAAAAATAATGGCCTCCAGTTCCATCCATGTTCATGCAAAGGACATGATCTCCTTCTTTTTTGTGGCTGCATAATATTCCATAGTGTATATATACCACATTTTCTTTATCCAGTCTTTCACTGGTGGGTATTTAGGTTAATTCCATGTCTTTGCTATTGTGAATAGTGCTGCAATGAACATACATGTGCATTTGCCTTTATTATTATTATTTTATTTATTTACTTATTTTTTTGAGGCAGAGTCTCGCTCTGTCCTCTGTCACCCAGGCTGGAGTGCAGTGGGGTTATCTCGGCTCACTGCAACCTACACCTCCTGGGTTCAAGCAATTCTTGTGTCTCTGCCTCCCAAGTAGCTGGAATTACAGGCATGCCATCACACCCAGCTAATTTTTCTATTTTTAGTAGAGATGGGGTTTTGCCATATTGGTCAGGCTGACCTCATGTGATCCTCCCGCCTTGGACTCCTGAAGTGCTGGGATTAGAGGTGTGAGCCACGATGCCTGGTCTGCATTTGTCTTTGTAGTAGAATGATTTGTATTCCTTTGGGTATATACCCAGTAATGGGATTGCTGGGTCCACCGGCATTTCTGTCTTTAGGTCTTTGAGAAATAGCAACACTGTCTTCCACAATGGTTGAACTCCCACCAATAGTGTATAGACTATTTAAAAATTCACATGGAACCAAAAAGAGCCCGTATAGTCAAGACAATCACAAGCAAAAAGAACTAACCTGGAGGCATCACGCTACCCAACTTCAAACTACACTACAGGGCTACAGTAACCAAAACAGTTGGTACTGGTTCAAGAACAGACACATAGATCAACGGAACAGAATAGAGAACCCAGAAATAAGACTACACACCTACAACTATCTGATCTTTGACAAAACTGACAAAAGCAAGTAATGGGGAAAGGATTCCCTATTCAATAAATGGTGCTGGAATAACTGGCTAGCCATATGCAGAAAATTGAAACTGCACCCCTTCCTTACACCATAAACAAAAAGTAACTCAAGATGGATTAAAGACTTAAATGTAAAACCTAAAACTATAAAAACCCTGGAAGACAACCTAGGCAGTGCCATTTAGGACACAGGCACAGGCAAAGATTTCACGATGAATATGCCAAAAGCAATTGCAATAAAACAAAAATTGACAAATGGGATCTAATTAGAATAAAGAGCTTCTGCACCTCAAAATAAATTATCAACAGAATAAACAGGCAACATATGGAATGAGAGAAAATTTTTACAAGCTATGCATCTGACAAAGGTCTAATATCCAGCATCTATAAGCAACTTAAACAATGTTTTTTTGAGATGGAGTTTCACTCTTGTTGCCCAGGCTGGAGTGCAGTGGTGAGCTCTCGGCTCACTGCAGCCTCTGCCTCCCTGATTCAAGCAATTCTCCTGCCTCAGCCTCCTGAGTAGTTGGGATTACAGGTGCCTGCCACCATGCCTGGCTAATTTTTTGTATTTTTAGTAGAGACAGGGTTTCACCATGTTGACCAGGCTAGTCTTGAACTCCTGGCCTCAGGTGATCTACCTGCCTTGGCCTCCCAAAGTGCTGGGATTACGGGCATGAGCCACCACGCCCAGCCAGGAACTTAAATTTACTAGAAAAAACCAACCCCATTAAAAAATGGGCAAAGGACATGAACAGACACGTCTCAAAAAGAAGACTTAAACAAATTTATGAGAAAAAAACAACCCCATTGAAAAGTGGGCAAAGGACATGAACAGACACTTCTCAAAAGGAGACATGTATGCGACCAACACTCATATGAAAAAAAGCTCAACATCATCGATCATTAGCGAAATGCAAATCAAAACCACAATAAGATGCTACCATCTCACACTAGTCAGAATGGCTATTACTAAAAAGTCAAAAAAAACACAAAACAACAAAAAAAAAACAGATGCTCGTGAGGCTGTGGAGAAAAAGGAATGCTTTTACAATGTTGGTGGGAGTATACATTTTTTATTGTGCTTTTTTATAAATAGAATTTTGACAGTATATCTTTCATCTTGATTTTGGGGTTATTATCAGTCATTTTACTAAGGTTTTTTTCATATTTATTCTTTTGGATCTAGTTCTGCTCGGATACATGTTCCAATTTTTTTTTCTTTTTTTGGTGAGACAGGGTCTCACTCTGTCACCCAGGCTGGAGTGCAGTGGCACGATCTCTGCTCACTGCAACCTCTGCTTCTCAGACTCAAGCTATTCTCCAGCCTTGGCCTCACAAGTTGCTGGGACTACAGGCATGAGCCATCATGCCTGGCTAATTTTTTTTTTCACTTTTTTGTAGAAACAGTTTTTGCCATATTGCCCAGGCTGGTCTTGAACTCCTGAGCTAAAAGCGACCCACCCACCTTGGCCTCTCAAAGTGTTGGGATTACAGGCGTGAGCCACTGTGCCTGGCCGACATGTTCCAAATTTTGACTGAAGGAAGGTGTCTTGGCTACAAACTAGATTGATCAAATAGACCTTCCAAATGAATGGCTTTTCAAATGGGTAGAGATATGTGTATGGGGAAGATAAATTTCATGTCTAAGCATTAGTAGAATGGTCCCTTAGGAGGAGATGGTTAATATTGCACAACTAGCATTTCTTATGGCAATTTTGAGATAAATAAAGAAATCCTTGGTTTTGAGAATTGCTCTGCTATCTACAGCTGAAGCCTCATCCAAAAGCTCATATTTCAGATTCTAAAGATGGATACTTCAGTTTCTCTCTCTCTGTGTGTGTGTGTGTGTGTGTGTGTGTAGGCACCACACTATAGCTTTCCTCTGAGTGAGATGACAATAACAATAATAATAGTTATTAAAATAAAATGTTACCATTTATTTGGTGCTGTGAGCCAGGATCTTTGCTAAGCAAAGCAATGGAATAAAAATGGAATTTCACAAAAGACACTAAGTTCTAAGAGGTCAATGACACTTAAATGCTGTCTGTAGTGTATCTGAAACAGAATGTCATAGATTGAAAGGGAAAGGAGAAGAACATGGACTAGCTGATGCTACCTTATGGTAGTGAAGGATCTTTCTGACAGCTGTCAGGGTGTTCTCAGCTGGAGCTTCTAAGTCATGACGTCCCTCTCACTGCCGGAGCTATTGTGTTGATTGGATGATCGTCCAAGGTGGAAGGTTCTTCTGCAAGGTAGCAGCAGTCCTTCTATATTTCAGTAGCATGAGGCCAGTAGTGAGGGACCATCAGGCCCTGAACAGGAGAAACAACCAAAGATGGTGTGGGAGAGAAGGTATATGCTTGTGATTTCACCCTCCTGGGGTTCCTTAGTTTCCATGTATGAACACTGACCTGTGGTCATTTGGTGGGGAGAATGCTGGAAATATGCCTGGTGCATACTGCACAGAGATTTTATGAGGCCTGTAAAGCCAGTGACAGAGGCCAATTTAGAGGCCTAATTTGAGGAAGAGTTGGAAATGCTTAGATTGAGGTACAACAATTTAGCTGTTTAACCACATGTCAGTACCAGGTAGCTAATGATTTATACCATTTTGGAGACTATTTGGATGCCTGAGTGCCATTTTAGCTACTTTCTTTCCCCACTCACCCCCACATACCTTTTTTTCCCCAGAGATAAATAAATATGAAAAAGAGCTGGAAGCAAGGGAGTTTCCACTGAAATAACTACTGGCTAATAAGTTAGCCTCCCACAGTTTCATCGATGCTGGCAGAATGCATGAGGCTCATGGATCAGAGATAAAGGACTTCAATACTCACAGCAAAAGCAGTTATGCAAGTATCACCAGTGTTGTGCCAGTTCCCCAAATCCCACAGGATGATCAGAAGGCCAGGCGGAGCGTGCACAGCAGGGGTGTATACCACAGGAGGGGAACCCTAATAAATCCATTGCTTTTTAGACAGCAGCAAGCAACCCTTCCTTTGCAAGGAGACAGGTACAATGCAAGATCTACAGTGCTTTATCTGATGTTCAGGATTGCCAGGTGCATCATCAATCTTGAAAAGTGGCTCATGGCAAAAGGGACGGGGCGAGTATAGTCAAGACTGCAATTTTGGCTCACTTAGCAAGATATGTGGGAGTACAGGAAGCTTATGGTGGACTGCTTTTCTACAATTAAAAAGGACAAACTTCATTTTCAGTATTCAACCAGTCACATGCTTATTGGCAGCAACATAGTGATTCTTTGTATTTCTGTGAAACTGGTATTCAGCTCAAAGCAAAACCCCAAAGATTAGCTACCTGGAGGCTTAGTCCCCTGACATCCTAGGAAGGATATTGATGCAGTGACCTGCCATGATGCTGTTTACTTTCAGTCTAACCAGACCTCCCTTAAGTCTTGTAACCTGAACTTGAGCAGGGCCAAGGGAGTTGAACTTTAAAGTTCCCTTTCTAGGGATGGAGGAGTGGGTAGTATTCTTTTCTTTTCTCTCTCCTCACCTTACCCCAACTATATTAAGTTGCATAAGGAACAAGTTATAGAAGAAGGATAGGATTAACATACCTAGAGCTGGGTTGTGGGTTGTGGGTGGAGAAAAGGAACGATCAATTAAGAAAATCCTAGTAGTGTAAGTAGGAGTAATTTCACAGGCAGGCTTAACTTATAACCTTTACATTGAAATGTATGTGTGTATGTATATATACATATTTTTTTTCTCTTAATGTTTCAGAGAAAATGTGTACTTCATCTTCTTAATCTATGTGGTCTCTTTCCACTTTTTCTCCTCTTTTCTTTCCCTTTGTCTCCTACCCTTTCTATAATCTATCTTTCCTTATTTCTCTCTATTATAAAGATATTTCAGAGAAGTTCTAATATGGTTTGGCTGTGTCCCCACCCAAATCTCATCTTGAATTGTAACTCCCACAATTCCCACTTGTTGTGGGAGGAACCCAGTGGGAGGTGATTGAATTACAGGGGTGGGTCTTTCCCACTCTGTTCTCATGATAGTGAATGAGTCTTACGAGATCTGATGGTTTTAAAAATGGGAGTTTCCCTGCACAAGCTCTCTTTTTGCCTGCTGCCATCCATGTAAGACATGACTTGCTCCTCCTTGCCTTCCGCCATGATTGTGAGGCCTCCCCAGCCACGTTGAACTTTTGTAAGTCAGCTTTTGTAAATTGCCCAGTCTCGCGTATGTCTTTATCAGCATTGTGAAAACAGACTAACACAAGTTTCTTTAGAGATCTCCTTGTCCTTGAGTCAGGAAAGACAAGTTTCATTTTTACAAATCAAAAGTACACATTTATTTAAACATAGAGTTGTATGTGTCTCTGGGTAAATGTACCTATATTATCTTTTTTAGGTTTCTTTCTTTAATTAACAAACTTTATTTTTCAGAGCAGTTTTAGGATCACAGAAAAATTGAGCAGAAGTTTCCATGTATCCCTATGCCCCATACATGCACAACCTCCCCGCTATCAACATCCTGCTCCCCAGTGCTACATTTGTTACAACTGATCAACCTATATTTACACATCATTATCCCCAAGTCCACAGTTCATTCTAGCGTTCACTCTTGGTGCCGTATATTCTAGGTTTTGACAAATTGTAATGGTATGTATCCACCATTGCAGTACCATACAGAATGGTTTCACTCCCTAAAAATCCTCTGTGCTCTTCCTATTCATCCATCCCTCCCTCACCAACCACTGATCCTTTCACTGTCTCCTTACTTTTGCCTTTTCCAGAATTCATATAGTTGAAATCATACAATATGTAGCCTTTCAGATTGGCCTCTTTCACTATTAATATGCATCTAAGTCTTCTCCAAGTCTTTTTATGACTTGATTGCTCATTTCTTTTAAGTGCTGAATAATATTCCATTATTTGGATGTACCAGAGTTCATTTACCCAGTCACATATTGAGGGGTGTCTTGGAAGCTTCTAAATTTTGGCAATTATAACTTAAGCTGATATAAACATCTGTGTGCAGGTTTTTGTGTGGACATACGTTTTATGTTCATTTGGGTAAATATCAAGGAGTGTGATTGCTGGATTATATGGTAAGAGTAGGGTTAATTTTTAAAGAAATTACTAAGCTTTCTTGA
The DNA here is from genome assembly GCF_000001405.40 of Homo sapiens. NCBI lineage: Eukaryota > Metazoa > Chordata > Mammalia > Primates > Hominidae > Homo > Homo sapiens. Next base: position 107,771,498 of record NC_000004.12, on the reverse strand, counting down.
AAAGTGGCTGTACGATTTTATATTCCCACAAGCAATGAATGAGAATTCTTATTGCTCCATATCCTTCCCAGCATTTGGTGCTGTCAGTATTTTGAATTTTGGCAAATAAGCGTGTAGTAGTATCTCACTGTTGTTTTAATTTGCAATTCCCTAATAACATATGATGTGGAGAATCTTTTCATATGCTTACTTGCCATCTGTATATCTTCTATGCTTACTTGCCATCTGTATATCTTCTTTGGTGAGGTGTGTATTCAGGTTTTTGCCCCTTTAAAAAATTGGTTTGTTCATTTTCTTATTGTTAAGTTTTAAGAGTTATTTGTATACTTTGGATAATTGTTCTTTATCAGATGTATATTTTTCAAATAATCACTCCCAGTCTGTGGCTTGTCTTTTTATTCTCTTGACGTTGTCTTTCATAGAGAAGAAGTTTTTTTAAATTATAATGAAGTCCAGCTTATCAATTATTTCTTTCACAGATTGTGCCATTCGTGATGTATTTAAATAGTCATGTCCAAAACCAAGGTAATCTATATTTTCTCCTACGTTACTTTTAGGAATTTTATAGCTTTGCTTTTTACACGTAGTCTAGGACCCATTGTAGTTAATTTTTGTGAAGGGTCCAAAGTATAGGTCTGGATTAATATTTCTGCATGTGGATGTCTAGTCGTTCCAGCACCATTTGTTGAAAAGACTATCTTTGCTATATTGTATTGCCTTTGCTTCTTTGACACAGATCAGTTGACAGTATTTATGTGGGTCTACTTCTGGGCTCTCTGGACCTGTTCCATTGATCTATTTTTCTATTCTTTTGTCAATACCACACTGTCTTGGTTATTGTAGCTTTATGTTAAGTCTTGAAGTCAGTTTGTGTCAGTCCTATGACTTTGTTCTTCAGTGTTGAGTTGTTTATTCTGGCTCTTTTGCTTCTCCATGTAAACTTTAGAATCAGCTTGTTGATATCCACAAAATAACTTGATGAGATTTTGATCCAGATTAGGGTCTATAGATCAAGTTGGGCAGAACTGACAACTAAATAATATTGAATCTTCCTAACCATGAACGTGGAATATCTCTCCATTTATTTAATTCCTCGTTTATATCTTTTATTAGAATTTTAGTTTTCCTCATATAGATCTTGTATACATATTGTTAAATTTATACTTTAGTATTTCATTTTTGGGAGTGCTATTGTAAATGGTAATGTGTTTTTAACTTCGACTTTCATTTGTTCCTTGCTGGTATGTAGGAAAGCATTGACTTTTGTATATTAACTTTGTGTCTTGAAACCTTACTATAATTGTTTATTAGTTCTAGGAGTTTGTTGATTCTTTTGGATTGTTTACATAGGTGATCATGTCATCCCTGCACTGGTTCCCGCCGAGGTTTCTGCTTGTGGGTTTTTGCTCTGGTAAGTTGTGGTTCTGTGTATATCCCTGACTCTCCAATTTTGGGGGCCATTTATGCTCTGTGATCTCCCTTTTCTGATGGATCTAAGAAGAGTTGATTTTCAGTTTGTTCAGTTTTCTGCTTATTGTTAGGATAGGGTAGCCACTTCTAAGCTCCCTAAATCCTGAACCAGAAACCCTGATAATAGAAGATAATAGGTTATTCTATTTCATATTTCACTGAAGTGGGCTTTCAGTTGTAAACATTTTCAAATGAACGCATTCCTATCACTATTAGAATGTGTTCTGATAAATTGCTGCCATTACTTATTAAATTTAATTCTAATGCCTTGCTACTGTAATTCTAGTATGGATATTTATGCTGGTGAGACAACTTGTGTTCAAAAGTAAGTAAAAAAATCACATTATAAGGCTACACATTATTTTGAGCTATTTGCTACTTTACTCTCCTCTTTTTGTGAACATTGAATTCAATATAAAGTAAAACGGTTAACCAAAGTTCAGCTAAAACTATTATTATTCTAAAGTAACTGGAAATGAATGAAGCTCCTCCCTATCTCCAGGAATAAAAAGAAATGGCATAATTTGGATGTTACTCGATTACCTACCAACAAGCAGATTTTGATTTTGTTAGCAACAGAGGAAAAATAGCTACTCAGAAGTTTTGATGTACCTTTTAAAAAATATCAGGTAGGAATCTAACATGTTTATAAAGCCTTTTAAAACTAAATTATCTTTGTAAAATGTTTGAATAGGCAATACTAGAAAAATTCAAAACACTCCAAAGAGCATCCAGGATAAAGTAAGTTTCCCCAGTACCGTTAGCCACACCCTTGCCCAGAGGAAATCACTGTCACCAGTTTCCTTATATGTCTTTCCAGACATATTCTGTAATCTCATATTTTCACAAATGGTGGTGATGATGATCACAAATCATAACATTTATGCCAGACACTGTTCTAAGCACTTTCTATATATCATCACATTTAACCCTGCCACTAACTATATGATATGTACTTAATCTTAATCCCATGATAGGACTTTTAGAAATAAAATTCTAGAGACAGAGAAGATAAGTAAATTGCCTATCATCACACAGCTGGTTTGGAAGAGCTAGGATTTCTTTTCTTTTCTTTCTCTTTTTTTTTTTTTTTTAAGATGGAGTCTCGCTCTATTGCCCAGGCTGGAGTGCAGTGGTGTGATCTCGGCTCACTGCAACCTCTGCCTCCGGGTTCAAGCAATTCTCCTGCCCCAGCCTCCTGAGTAGCTGGGTCTACAGGCATGTACCACCATGCCTGGCTAATTTTTGTGTTTTTAGTAAAGATGGGGTTTCACCATGTTGGCCAGGCTGGTCTCGAATTCCTGACCTCAAATGATCCACCTGCCTTGGCCTCCCAAAGTGCTGGGACTACAGACTGCACCACTGCGCCCAGCCTGGAAGAGCTAGGATTTCATTCCAGGTGGTTTGGCTTTAAAGCCCAGGGTTTTAATTACTACATTATTGGCATGCTCTACACACCATTTTGTACCTTTCATGTTTCACTTACTACTTTGAAATTGTTTCTATCAATATACATAGAACTAATCCATTTGTTTTAGTGGCTGAACACTATTCCAATTATATCACTTTCCAACTGAGGCTGATATTGTTCTCCAGGGATATTTGGCAATGTCAGAAGGTATTTTTTGGTTGTCACAACTGGAGGGAGGTGTTGGCTACTGGCATCCAGTGGATACAGTTTAGGGACAACCCACTACAACAAAGAATTATCCTGCTCAAAATGTCAATAGTACTAAAACTGAGAAACCCTGTGGCATACTTTCATTTAACCTGGTCCATATTTTTCTAAACTAAAATTCAGCTAAAAGTATTAATAATCAGAAATTTGATTATGCACTTTTGCACTCTAATTTCTATAAGCTAAAAGAGTTGGAAAAAGAAAGTCTGAAGTTGACAATTCTAGATGATTTTGAGTATTCATAGAGACTTCTGCCTATTTGTGAAACCCTTAAGGACTCTGAGAAGGGCAAAACTGAGAAGGCCCAAAGTTTTTGATTGATCTTGTTCAGTCCCAGAAAACATTATTTGATTGACCTGGTTCAGTCTCTCCCTTGGAGTGATAACATATCAAAATAGAAAGCTGACTTTCATTTGCCTAATTAAAATACTGGTAATCCAGAACGCGTTCAACTCCAGAGAAAATTGGGCTCTCTTCATTTCCCTTTAAATAAGGAGGACTGATGGGACTGGCGAGTCTCCTGTTTGATCAGGAGCAATTTTAAAAAGCTACTAGGGTGGACCATCTTTGAAGATGTAATTACCTCATAAGTTCTATTTAGATTGTCTGTATTTATCTATGTTTTTCAAAAATAATCAAAGTAATATATGCTTGTGGTAATTCAAATAATGCTGAAAAATACAAAATAAAAGTTTCTCTCCTGCCCAGCCTAATCTTACTTCCTAAGGATAACCATTATCAAGAGTTTATTATATATTTTTCTAGATGTATTTTTATGTCTGTACAAACATCTGTGTATATATTTATTATAAATACACACATATAGTATTTTTCCCACAAAAAATGAGCTCTATTAATTTACCAAAGACTTATATTTCCATTCCCATCCCATCATTCATCAATTTGTCATGGATTATTCTCCAAGGCAGCCCAAACAGATCTAACTCATGTTTTAAATGACCATATACTGTGTTATGTAGTAAATCAAAATTTATTTGGTAATTACCCTATTGTTGGTAATTTAGATCATTGCCAATTTCTCCTATTTGATAATTCAGCAAAGAGCGACATGACATATATAATTTACACACTTCTATAATTGCTTCTCAAGGATAGATTCTAGAAGTAAATTCGCCAGGTCAGGGAATTTAAGTATTCCCAGTGCATAAAAGTGCCTATTTGCCCGAACCTACTAAAACAAGTAAAAAGAAATTTAAATGACTAATAATAGAGACACAAATGAAATAATTATGGTGCTATAATAGATTAGTTATATGATATTAATAGATACATTATTGCATAAATACTAAAATATTAAGCTTAAAGGAAGTTTTAAATGTGAAAATGTTTATAACATACAGGGTAAATAGTAGAATGCTTTGTATATAAAATTATGTGTGTATAATTTCTACTACTAGTTCCTACTACTAGTTATGTGTGTATAATTTCTACTACTAGTTTCATTGCTGAAACTAGTAGTGTGACATAATTATGTTTCCTTTCCTTTCCCCTGGAGCCAATAATTTTGTCAATTATTCATTCACTTGTCTTCTAAATGCGATTTCACATATTCCAATGCTTGTCAGATAATCTGAGTGCCATTTTGAATTTATTTCCAGAAATCTTTACTCTCCTGCTCCAATCTTGACTGGTTGCCTTGTAGTTCCATTTTATGCTTCGTTACTCTGGCACTTTCTTTTGATATTTTCCTGGGAAATCTCCTCAGCTGTCTTCTCTGTGGAAGCCCATGTTTCCAGAATCCTAGCTTCTTCTTTACTGATTTTCTCCCTATTTGAGAATTTACATGCCTGAAAATGGCTTTGAATCTGTAGCATATTCTCAGGGGTCATTCAGTTTCTGTCTTGAAAGTTTCTCAAAGTCTTGTCCCTGGGATGTGTGTGTGTCTGGCTGCGAGTATTTGGGGACAGGGAATGAGGGCTGGCAGGGATTGGGGGTGTGTTTCTCTGGTAAATATATAGATTCCACCTAATCCACCTATTTTCAGTCCCATATCTCCTCTTGAATCTTTCTGTTCCCATTGTCTGTAAGCCTAAATTCTTTGTGATTCATGTTCTGTAAGGAATAAATCTCAAGTCTGAGAATTTGGAAGGGGATGTTGAGGCTTTTCAGGGTCTAACCACCTCTTACACAGAATTTCCAATGATTCTCTTAATTCCAGACCTGGGCTTTGTACTCCCTTTCTGCAAAACCCAATTCTTGAGCCTTTGCAGCTTGGTTCTGTTTCCTCCTTCTAAAGAAACAGGTTCAGCTTCCTCTATTCCCCTGAGTAATCAAGCTTTCCATCCTCCAAAATACACTGATGTTTCCTGACCCCCTGTGTCTTCTCTCCTGTAATTTTGATTCTTTTAGGCCTATATATTTTAAATATTATTATTGTCATATTAATAGGCATTCAGGAGAGAATAGAAGTGATACATCTATTCAATTCACCAGGTCAAACCAGAAATCTCCATTTCTATTTAAATAATCCTGTGGCATTATCTTTTTCTTTTCTTTTTCTTTCTATTAAGAAATTTTTTTCAAAGATAATTTTGGCAGAAATATAAGTAATGAATTAAGACATTATCTTTTATTTCAAAACATAGTGATTAAAATAAGAGTAGCATTTTGATTCTTTGAGCTATTTTGAACATGGGATTTTTAGTTGGTCACAGATGACTTTTTATTGTTCCCCTGAATATCCCTTTCTTCCACTATGCCTCTTCATAATCAGTTTGTTACATCAGTTCAAATGCAACATTGCTATGTCTCTGTGAGTATCATCTCTTCCTAAATCCTTCAATTTCTCCAAAATTACATTTCTCAGGAAATTCACTTTAGTTGTCATAACTTCTCCATATCGTTCTATTTGTGTAGAACACAGTGACTGTAGCAAAGCTGTCAGAGTAAAAACAAGACAATAGTTAGCTTACTAGTTCTTGTACCTGTAACTCCCAGAATTTTATAGTGAATTTCTTTTAAAATCCTCCACTTGAATATCTGCCTTCATCTCTGACGTTGTCTGCATTTAGTACAGGAAGCAAGGAAAGGAGAAAGGATAGATAATATTGTGTTAATTAATATGTTCATGTTGGGCTGGGTACATTGGCTCACGCCTATAATCCCAACATTTTGGAAGATCAGGGCCAAAGGATTGCTTGAGGCCAGGCGTTTGAGACCAGCCTGGGCAATGTAACAAGACTCTGTCTTTACAAAAAATAAAAATAAAAAATTAGCTGGGCATAATGACCCATACCTGTAGCCTAGCTACTTGGGAGGCTGAGGTGAGAGGATTGCTTGAAACCAGGAGTTGAAGGTTACAGTGAGCTATGATTGCGCCACTCAACCCCAGACTGGGTGACATAGTGAGACCTTGTCTCTAAAGAAAAGTACCATATTGATATAAAAATAAGATAATGATAAATAGTTGATGTAAAATATAAATAATTAATATTCACAAAATTAAACACAGAAACAAGTAACCAAAAGAATTTCCCACATACCAACAACTAGTATAGTATAGTACTTTGGCAATATTTCTATTATTTTAGAGAGATAGATTGTCTCTATATACTGTTTACATAGAAAAAGTTTCAAGTTTTGGATACCAAACAATTGATGTTATTTAATTTTTTCACTGAATTGACTCTTAGTGATGTATAAACATCATTAAATTTGCTCTACTTTTCATACTTTTTGAGTTCAGTTTCATGCATGGTGGGCTTAAGTTAGCTGTGTGTATATGCTCATTCCTATAAAAGAGTTGACACTGAAAAATTAAAATTTCACTCAATCATTGACTTATAACAGTTCTTTTATTATATACCTTATAGTGAAGCTGTCCTTGAACAAACTGGCTGCTCAATATATATTTAATTGAGTTTTTAAAATTTGTTTAGGGATGTTGGTACATAAAAACTGGCAAACTATACGGGAAGTTGTACAAGCTAGTTGTACATATATCATGTAAGAATGATTTTTTGTATAATGACTTCTTTTTCTCTGGGTAGACACACAGTAGTGAGATTCCTGGATCAAATGGTAATTCTACTTTTAGTTTTTTTTAAGGAATCTCCACACTGCAATTGCAAAAATATGGAACCAGCCCAAACACCCATCAATTAATGATTGGATAAGGAAATTGTGGTGTATATGTATATACCATGGAATACTACTCAGCCATAAAAAGGAATGAATTAATGGCATTTACAACAACCTGGATGGAACTGGAGACTATCATTCTAAGTGAAGTAACTCAGGAATGGAAAACAAACCTCGTATGTTCTCACTCATAAGTGAGAGCTAAGCTACCAGGATACAAAGGCATAAGAATGATACGATGGACTTTGGGGATTTGGGGGAAAGTGTGGGAGAGAGGTGAGGGATAAAAGACTACAAATTAGGTTCAGTGTATACTGCTCAGGTGATGGGTGCACTGAAATCCCACAAATCACCACTGAAGAACTTACTCATGTAACCAAATACCACCTGTTTTCCAGAAACCTATGGAAATACAAAATTTAAAAAGAATTTTTTTATTTCATGTATAAATTAGAAATGAATTCACGTATTCTGTACTGGAAAACTGTTATTCTGTTAGGCATTCTTCCATGCACAGTCTCTAGTTAACCTACTAAATTATCAGCTCACTTTATATCTTTGACTTCCCCTAAATAGTGTCTCCTTTCCCAACATTTCAGATAAGAGAAAGCTTGCTGCCCAGGCAGAATCCCCTGAGCAGCTGCACTTGCCTCATTCTCTGCAGCCCCGTCTGCTTTGTTGACCTTCCTCAAGACCTTTCAATATAAGTATCTGAGGTTTTGTTTCCAAGTCTTTCTTCCAGACTATGGAGTGCAGCTGAGAAAAAAAATATATATATAAAGCTCATTGACTCTCTATCTATTTCATTCCCAACACTGGCTCAGTTTTACTCCCTAGGAAACTTCCTTACCAATTGGTGATGAAGAACATTCCAAATCTTCATCACTTTTATCAAGCCTATCATTGTGGGTATTCTGCCTTTATCTCTGCCCTATCAGAGAAAATAACAACAGCTACCATCTAATGAGCACTTGCTGCCAAACATTTTACACAAAACAACACAATAGATCTTTTTATTCCCTTTTTTTTTGTAGGTGATGAACCAGAACTTCAGAGAGAAAAAGAAACATACTCAAGGGCATACAGCTCATGCCTTCATACAGCTCATCAGACATATTCGATTCATGCCTCATTATCCTTTTTTCCCTTTATTCTTTTAAAATATAATATTTGATACATACACAAAGATATAATGTATAATGTACAATCAGCCCTCAGTATCCACAGGGAATTGATTCCAGAATCCCCTGGGATACCCAAATCTGTGGATGTTTGGGTTCCTTATATAAAATGGTATAGTATTTGCATTTCACCTGTGCATATTCTCTTGCATAATTTAAATCATCTCTAGGTTACTTATAGTAACCAGTACAGTTTAAATACTATGTAAATAGTCATTTTACTGTATTGTTTTAAAAATTTGTGTTATTTTTATTGTTGTTTTAGTTTGTATGTTTTTAAATATTTTTCAATCTGTAGTCAGTTGACTCCAGGGATGCAGAACCCATGAATATGGAGGGCTGACCACATAGATAATTAAAGCTAAATAACACAATGAATGTTCAAAATTCCATCTTCTAATGTAGAAACTAGAATATAACCAGCACTGTTGCACTTACCTATGTTTTTCTCCCTTCTCTCACTCTGCGGCCTTCCCCAACTTTCTGAGGTAACCACTGTTTTCAGTTTTTTATTTACCATTCTCTTGCTATTGTTTAGCTTTTAATTTTAAAAATAATGTAAAGCACAGGGAAGTTTCAAGAACATTGCAAAATTTCCTGTACACCATTCACCAGATTCAATTATTATCACTTGCCAAATTTGCTTTCTTGTTATCTCTTTTTATGCATGTTTTGTTGTTTGAACCATTTGAGAATAAGTTGCAGATGACATCTCATTGCCTAAATACTTGAGCATATGTTTTCTAAGAATGAGAATATTCAATTATCAAAATTAGAAAATTTAACACTAATGTAATACTTTACCTAGTCTATAATTTATTTTAAAATTTCTTCAGTTGTCCTAATAAAATAGTCCTAATAAAAATATCCTTTATAGCCACCCTGTTCTACCCTTCCATCTCCTCCTCCCCCGGTACAGGATCCAATCCAGGATCCCGTATTACATTTAGTTGTCATGTCCCTTTTGTTTCCCTTAATCTGGAACAGTTCCTAAGTCTATCTTTATATTTCTTGACCTTGACATTTTTTAACGGTTCAGACCAATTATTTTGTAGGATGTCCTTGAATGTAGGTTTTCTTCATGGGATGTTTCGTTATGATTGCATTTAGGTTATCCATTTTTTATCAGGAATACTATATAGATGAGGTTGTGTTCTTTCCCATGCAACACAACAGAAATAATAAAATATCAGTTTTTCCCAATTTTGATATTGTCAACTTTGATTACTTGGTTAAGGTGATGTCTTCAAGGTTTATTCACTCTAATAGTACTGTTTTTTCTTCTTTGTAATAAAGTAATTTAAGTAGAAGTAGTTTGAGAGGATGTAACTACTCTGTTGTTTACCAAATTGCAACCCACTAGTTTTGGCATTGGTTGGCAATTTTGTCTGAATCAGTTATTACTATGATGATTGCCAAATGGTGATTTTCTACCTTCATCTTTCCATCTACATAAGATTTTACTCTAAGGTAGAAAGATTTTTTCCCTATTTATTTATTATAAATAGAAATTTATCTGTTTAATTTTAGTATAAACTTTTCTCATTGATCACCATTGCCATCTGTTATATATCAAGTTTCCATATATTCTTTGGTCTTTCTGGGTTCTCTCTTTCGTTCAGTTGGTCATTTGGCTTTTCCCTATGCCAAAATACTATCTGAATTATTATGGCTTCATCATTAGTTTCGATATCTTGTTGGCCAAGTTTCCATTTTTAATTGAGGCATGCCATGGATATTCTTGCTTTTCCATAAATTTCAGAATTATGTTGAAATTGTCATGTTTCACAAAATTTCTATTGATATTTTGATTGTGATTATATTAGCTCTCTTGATCAATTTGAGGACAACTGACTTTGAAAAAAATTGAGTTTTCCTTTCCATGAACACAGCCTATTTAGATCTGAGTGTATTTTAATAACGTTTCATAACGTTTCTGTACAGGCTTTATTATTATTCATTAAATTAATTTTAGGTATTCTATTTTTGAGCTATTTAAATGGAATCTCTTTTTACATTAAATTTTCTTTGTGCTTGTTATGCTCTAGAAATGTTTACTGAGTACTTGTTAGATTTTTATAGAAATGCAGCTGAATTTTGCATAGCAATGATATGGTAAACTTACTGCTTCTAGTAGGTTGTCTTTGGAATTTTTGTATACACTATTGTATCATTTGTAAAATAATGAAGTCCTTTGTCTTCCTTTCCAACCTTTCATCTTTGATTTATTTTTCTTGTTTTTCAGCGGGAAATTAATAAAATGAGTAGGAGAGTGCACAGTCCTGGAGATATTGCTTCACTATGCGAATCAATCCTGGTCCTAGCAGTTTGGCACCACCCGGCGGTGATTGTCCACTCCAACCTAAATATTGACGGGATTGATTCCGGGCCTGTAGTTGACTGGACGTCAGGAAAGCAGTAATGATTCCAGGAAATTCCTAGCTAGATAGTGCAAATTTTGTTGGCCCAGTTTGGGAATATTGAATGGGGCAATTACTGAGCAAGCGGGATTCGAACTCCACTTCTCCTGTGGATTTTGTGCTAGTTTGCTGCCTGGCTGCCCTATCTATTATGTACCCTATTCCATCCCCCAACCTCAGAACAAAAGCAATATTCCTCCTCCCTATCTGTTCTACATGTAGGATAGAGTGGTGGATGGGAGCGAAACATCCATTTTATAGTTTTAGAATTTATGTTATCCTGGATATATTTCCATAAGGTTATACTATATTTAAGTATTTGTATATATTTTCTCTCTCCTTCCATTATAATCTAGGCTTCAAAAAGGTAAGGATTTTTATGTTTTCTTCCCAGTGAGTAGAAGAGTCCCTAGCCTGCAGACACTCAAAAATAGTTGTTGAATAAGATGAGTGAATGAATATTGAAATCTTCCATTATATGGTAGAGTTGTCCATTTCTTCCTGTAATTCTATCAATTATTGCTTTATATTTTTAAGGCTCTTTTATCAAGCACATACAAAACTGAAATCATTAAAGCTTCTTGGTGAACTTAGTTTTCCTTAATAATGTTTTGGGGTGATTTGTTTTTGTTTTTATATTTTTGGTCATAAACTTGTTTCAATACTAATATTCCATCAAGATTTCTTTTGGTTAATATCTGTCAGGTATATCTTTTTACTAACTTTTTACTATGTCCTTATGTTTTATGTCCCCGTATTCTAAACAGTATTTAGCTGGATTTTTTAAATACAACTGGACAATCAACCATTTAATAGTGAGTTAAGTTTATTTATGATTGTGAATATTATTGATGCTCAGTTTATTTCTAAATACCTTTAAAACCTGTTTAATCTGTTTATTGATTAAAAAATTAAACAGTTACATTTCTAGAAGATCCTTCTGTTTCTTTTTCTAATAATATTTCTGTAGCCTTTTTTGTCTACTTATCTTTATAGTTCTGTTGTTTATTTTTTTAAACATTCTATACCCAATCCACCACTGGAATAAAATTATAATATTTATACTATGTAATATTTATACAATGCTAATATAACTGGTACATATATTAGGTAAACACATATATGCCAGGTATTCTTACAAAATTAATAATATATTCTCTTTAACTCAGTGTATTCAAAATATCATCATGCCAACCAGGTACTTTTTCTTTTTTTAAGACGGAGTCTCGCTCTGTCGCTGGAGTGCAGTGGCGCAATCTTGGCTCACTGCAACCTCCACCTCCCAGGTTCAAGTGATTCTCCTGCCTCAGCCTCCCAAGTAGCTGGGATTACAGGTGCCAACCACCACACCCAGCTAATTTTTGTATTTTTTAGTGGAGACAGGGTTTCACCATGTTGGCCGTGATGGTCTCGATCTCTTGACCTTGTGATATGCCCACCTCGGCCTCCCAAAGTGCTAGGATTACAGGCGTGAGCCACCATGCCCAGCCCAGGTACCCTTTTTTAAACTTTACATGGATTAACATATTTAATCCTCATTTTGCTAACTAGTCCTGTTTTACAGATTAGGAAACTGTAGTGGAGAGAAGTAAAAAAATTGGACCAAGTCCAGATAGATAGGTAGAATTCTGAGCTGGGATTTGAACTCAGGCTGTTACTACAATATTTTGAATATTCAGTCTGATAATGGGGAGGGGAAGACAGCAAACATTGTTTTTATTTTTGCTAAACTTAAAGGCAAAAGAGCATTTGATTCTTGCTTTGTAAAACTGCTAGTGATTTTTAACCTTTTCATGTGGTAATTAGCTTTTTGCATGTCTTCTTTATCGTTCCTATTCTTTGTCCATTTTGGTCTTGGAGTCCTAAGTGATGTTTTGTATTAAAAGCTCCTTAGTGTAAAATATATTTTTATAATAAGGTATATTTTTATTTAAAGAATTTTACATTTTTACCAGGAATGAAATCCCAGTTCACATTTTCACTTCCTAAGGAAAATTAGAAGATTTGCAAAACAATTACTTTTTCGTAGAAACTACACCCCTACTCTTCCTCATCCTCATGACAGGAAATTCTCACCTGTTATTTTTAGTCTCTGAGCTCAAATTTCCATAAGAAAACACATGAGGAAAGGAAAAAGTATGTATACCTCTGTTATATATATTATATAAAATATCATCTCTAGCTCTCTGTAAAATTAAATAAAAGCTTATTATTTCAAAGAACTAAACTACTGAAAATACCTTAAACAGAATATGGCACAATTAATAAATAGATACAGCTTAGATTTGTTATTTTAAGGAAAAAATAAAATTAGAAAATATTTTAGAACGATTATATAAGATATAAAAAGGGATTATATAAGATATAAAAAAGAAATGCTTTATTTTTAAGAATTAAACACCATACAGTTCCTTTATGGAGAGATCTAAAAGCTTATCTGATGTTTAAAAACTAGAAGGAAAAAATGTTTAAGAAACTAAAGAACTATATACTCCTATTTGGAGGCTCTCAGCATTTGCCATCTATCAGACTAGATTTTAGAACAGCAAAATTTAAAAATGTTGCCATCTAGTGTTCACCTTTAGAATTATTCCCATAAAATTCGTGTAATATAAAAAGGTTACTTCAAAATATAACTGGATCTTGACTCTTTAAAATTGGAACCAGAGATCAAGAAGGAATTTCCTGAGGTAACTGAGGAGAGTTTTAAAAATTTAGGGAAGAAAGGAAGAGGTTACTAATGATTATGTATCTATACATGTGAAGACAGCTGTGAATGAGGAAAGCACTAGAATGAGAAAGTAGCAAATGCCCAGGATCATTTAGGGTAAATAAAGAACATGAGGGGAAGGTTGGGAGAAAAATCTTTGAAATGGTAGGAAAATACTGCAATTAGTCATGGAAATGTATTGGATGGGAAATTAAAAAGAATAAAATATATTGGATGTTTACAACTTCTGAAGGAATTTAGTTTGTTTTAGGTAGTAATAACCACGATTTGTTGAGTGTTTAGTGAATGCCCATGTATTAGTCCATTCTTGCATTGCTATAAAGAACTTCCTGAGACTAGGTAATTTATAAAGCAAAGAGGTTTAATTGGCTCACAGTTGCACAGAGTGTACAGGAAGCATGGCTAGAGAGGCCTTACGAAACTTAGAATCATGGAGGAAAGCGAAAAGGAAGCAGGCATGTCCTACATTGCCAGAGCAGGAGGAAGAGAGCAAAGGGGGAAGAGCTACACGCTTTTAAACAAGCAGATATCGTGAGAGATCTCACTCACTATCACAAGAACAATAAGGGAAAATCTGCCCCCATGATCCAATCTCTTCCCACCAGGCCCCTCCCCTGACACATGGGAATTGCAATTTGACATGAGATTTGGGTAGTGACAGAGCCAAACCATATCATTCTGCCCCTGGCTCCTCCCAATATTGTCTTTCTCATTGCAAAATATAATCATCCCTTCTCAACAGTCCCCAAATCTTAACTCATTTCAGCATTAACTCAGAAGCCCACAGTCTGAAGTCTCATCCAAGACAAGGCAAGCCCCTTCCACCTATGAGCCTGTAAAATAAAAAACAAGTTAGTTACTTCCAAGATACAATGGGGATACAGGTATTGGGTAAATACACCCATTCCAAAAAGGGGAAATCAGCCAAAACAAAGTGGCTACAGGCCCCATGTAAGTCTGAAACCCAGCAGGGCTGTAATTATATCTCAAAGGTCCAAAATAATCCCCTTTGAGTCCATGTTGCACATGCAGGCCACACTAATGCAAAGGGTGGGCTCCCAAGGCCTTAGGCAGCTCTACCCCTGTAGCTGTGCAGGGTACAGCTCCCTCAGCTGGTTTTATGGACTGGCGTTGAGTGCCAGTGGCTTTTCCAGGTGCATGGTGCAAGCTATTGGTGGATATACCATTTTGGGGTCTGGAGGACAGTGGCCCTCTTCTCACAGCTCCACTAGGGAGTGGCCCAGTGGGGACTCTGTGTGAGGGCTCAAATCCCACATTTCCTCTCTGTACTGCCCCAGTAGAGGTTCTCCACGAGGGCTCTGCCTTTGCAGCTGAACTTCTGCCTGAACATCCGGGTGTTTCCATACATCTTCTGAAATCTAGGTGGAGGCTGCTAAGCCTCAACTCTTGCCCTCTGTGTACCACAGGCTTAACACCACGTGGAAGCCAAGGCTTAAGGCTTGCACCCTCTGGAGCAGCAGCCTTAGACATATCTGGGGCCCTTTTAGCCATGGCTAGAGTTGAAGCAGTGGGGATACAAGAAGCAGAGTCCTCAGGCTGCACAGAGTAATGGAGTCCTGGGCCTGGCCCACAAAATCACTCTTCCCTCCTAGGCCTCTGGACTTGTATTGGGAGGGGCTGCCTTGAAGTTCTCTGAAATGCCTTTGAGGCATTTTCCCCATTGTCTTGACTATTAACATTCAGCTCCTCCTTACTTATGCAAATTTCTGCAGCTGGCATGAATTTCCCCCGCAAACAAATTTTTTTTTTCTTTTCTAGCACATGGTCAGGCTGCAAATTTTCCAGACTCTTACGCTCTTCTTCCTTTTAAATATAAGTTTCAGTTTCAGATAATCTCTTTGCTCACATATATGAGCCCATTCTGTTAGAAGCAGCCAAACCACATCTCGAATGCTTTGCTGATTAGAAATTTCTTCTGCCAGAAACCCTAAATCATCTTTCTCAAGTTCAAAGTTCCACAGATTCCTAGAGCAGCGGCACAATGCCACCAGTCTCTCTGCTAAAGCATAGCAAGAGTGACCTTTGCTCCAGTTCCCAATAAGTTCTTCATTTCCAGCTGAGACCACCACAGCCTGGACTTCATTGTTTATATCACTACCAGCATTTTTAACAGGTCTCTAGGAAGTTCCAAACCTTCCCTCATCTTCCTGTCTTCTTCTTTGCTCTTCAAACTGTTCCAACCTCTGCCCATTAAAAAGTTCCACAGCTACTTCCACATTTTGAGGTATCTTTATAGCAATGCCCAACTCCCAGTACCAATTTTCTGTATTAGTCCATTCTCTCATTGCTATAAAGAACTTCCTGAGACTGGGTAATTTATTTAAAAAAAAAAAAAAAGGAGGTTTATTTGGCTTATGGTTCCACAGGCTGTACAGTGATCATGGCTAGGGAGGCCTCAGGAAACTTACAATCATGACGGAAGGTGATGAGGAAGGAGGCATATCTTACATGGCCAGAGCAGGAGGAAGAGAGTGAAGGGGGAGGTGCTACACACCTTTAAACAACCAGATATTGTGAGAACTCGCTCACTATCATGAGAACAGCAAGGGGGAAATCCTCCCCCATGATCCAATCACCTCCTACCAGGACTCTCTTCCAACATTGGGGATTACAATTCAACATGAGATTTGGGTGGGGACACAAATCCAAACCATTATCAGCCAGGTATTATAAATGTTTTGCATATAATGCATATTTGACTTTTAAAATTATGCCGTTAATTACTCCCATTTTACAAATGAGAAAATTGAGGTACAGAAAACTTGCAAAGCTGGTAAGTGGCAAAACTGTGATTTGTGTAAACCAAGAGACTGTCCAATGTCCGTGTTCTTAATCTAGGAGGGCTATACTTATTCCTACAGTAAGTACAGAATTTAGGTTGGGGTCACTGTATAACATTCAATATAAAGTTTAGTCAACTATCCAAATAATTTTGACCCAATTTTATTATTAGGATCTAGTGTCTGCACTGGTAAACTCATCTAACGATTGCTCAGTTTTCTCTTTTACACCATGCTATACTTGTGGTAAATTTCAGTACATAAATTTGTCTTTCCAATATAAATATTTTAATACTCCTCTTTCATTTGTAGAGTATGTACATTAACTTCTTTGATAGCAACGGTAAATTTCTTCTCTGCAAATCTTGGTCCTCTTTGTTATCTCTGGTACAGTTATGGTCACTGTTACAAGCTGATCTGTGTCTCTGCCAGATTTATATGTTGAAGTCTTAATCCTCCAGTACCTCAAAATGTGACTGTATTTGGAGACAGCGTTTTTAAAGAGGTAATTAGAGTGAGTCCTAATCCAATATGACTAGCGTCCCTATAAGAAGTGGAAATTTGGACACAGATGGCTGCAGAGGGAAAACCATGTGAGGACACAGGGAGAACATGGCCACCTGGACAAGGAGAGGGGCCTCAGAAGAAACCAACCCTGAAGACTCCTTGATCTCTAACTTCTAGCCTCCATACCTATGAGAAAATAAATTTCTGTTGTTTAAGCCACTTACTCTGTGGTAGTTTGTAATGGCAGCCCTAGAAATTTGATACAGTCACTGTTTCAATTAGGGTCTTTGTTTACAAATTAAGATTCTTGCTAGTTTAAGCAGAAAAAGGATATTTCTTAAGGAATATTAGATAGCTCAGAGAGTCTTTGGAGGGTTAAAGAGTTGGGTTTGGAGGCTATGCAGTCAGAAACAATGCTCTAACCACATTGTGAGATTGTGGCAGTAAAGGCTCTGATGCAACTGGACACTAAAGCATACACCACTCACTCTGGATATGAAACATCAGGAATTCTGTCATTCTGACCTTGAGAGATGACATCTCAGCAGCTACCTATGCCAAAATGTGGATTTCCTTCAGCTCCTGCCTTGCCATGTAGCTCATTTCTGGGATGATGTCTCACATGGGTGTGTGTGATTGGGGTAGCCTAGGTTATATGCCTGTAGCTTCGCCGCAAGTGAGTGTGGCAAAGTGAGCTTTCTGGCTTCTACCATGTGGAGGTGGATTAAAAGGCAGAAAGTTGCCTAGATGTGGAAAGGGTGCTCAAAAGGTGATGCTAGGTCAGAAAAGGCAAAGGAAATCAACTGTAAAACTTCAGTAGTATGATTTTTTGGCCAGTTGCTCTTTGCTACTGTCCCTGAGAGCTAGTTATCTTTTCCACAGTCCTTAAACTTTTCTTGAATCTACTTTTTTTTTAACTGAATAAACTCTCCCTTCTCTAGAATTCAAATAACTATCAAGTACAAATAACTGAATCTTCCCACCCCATCCTATTGTATACCCTTCTAAGAAAGAAATTAAGCAGGTTAATATGAAGGTGCTATTTGTCAAGTATTTATCCCTCCCAATATTGGTAGAAGAACTTCCAACTTTCCTTAGTGAATTATTCCATTTTCCATCTTTTCTTATCATTTGTGTGGGAATAACATCTCCTACTGTGCAGCCCCTCCCCAAGTTCCAGAAGACCTGTGGCTTAGTCTGGCCAGTCAGAACATTCCATACACTGCCCTCACCCCAGCCTTGTGATAAGTTCTAGAATAGGTGGGTTTATTGTCAAGGACAGAAAGATAAGATGCAGTCCCTGGACACCTCCTAGCATGACAGACCTGCATCTCTCTGGTTCCTGTCTTTCTGCTGAAGTTTTTAGTCTAGGATGGCAGCCTGGAACAGCTGCGGGCCAAACTGATATTCCTCATTAAAAACTTTTTCCAGAGTAAAGCTGACACAGATGGACGGAGAGCTGAGGGATTCATAGAAACAATCCTCATGTCTTCTGAGCATTCAAACCAGCTGTGTTAGAAGTTTGTACTACATCTAAACTTTTCAGTTCTTTATGCCTATAAAGACACTTTCGTCTTAATTGCATTTGAATTGTTTCACTCACTTGTGACCAAAGGAGTCCTGACTAGTTTGATTGGTTAAAGAGTAATCAGTGCAGATTTTCCCCCCAAATTCTGTTTTAACAGACATCTATAGTATCTCTACCTTGATGTCCAAGTGAAAAAATAACTTGGTCTTATTTTTATACAAGTATGTACATAAGTATGTATTGTGTATACCTATACCCCCATACTCCTCCATGCATAGACACAAAGTAAAAATGGAATTAACATATCAAAGATTTTATCCATCTTGGGTTCTTTCTCTTTAGATAAAATATCATTTTTTTAGGATTTGATGAGAGGTAAAACATATTTGCATATGTTTTTCTGTAGTTTTTGCTTTATCTAGGTTTACTCCTGTCATGGTTAATTTTACTGTCAACTTGACCAGGCTAAGAGATGCCCACATAGCTGGTAAGACATTATTTCTCAGTGTGTCTGTGAGGAAGTTTCTGGAAGAGATTAGCATTTGAATTGGTGGACTGGGAAAAAGAAGACACACCTTCACCCATGTGGGTGGGCATTGTCTAATCCTTACAGAGCTCAGTAAAACAAAAAGATGGAGGAAGGATTAATTCACTCCCTCTCTCTCTACTTCTTCTTTTCCCCCCAGAGAAGGTCAGGTCTCCCTCTCTCTCTCAGGTTGGAAGGCAGTGGCATGATCATGGCTCACCACAGCTTCAACCTGTAGTGATCTTCCTGCCTCAGCCTCCTGAGTAGCTGGGACCATAGGCATATGCCACCACATCCAGCTAATTTTATTTTTTGTAGAGCTCGAGGTCTTGCTATATTGGTCTTGAACTCCTGGCCTCAAGCAACCCTCCCACCTTGGCCTCCCAAAGTGCTGGAATTACAGATGTGAGCCACTGTGCCTGTCCTCACTCTCTCTTCTTGAGCTAGTGGATTCATCTTGTCCTGCCTTTGGACATCAGAGCTTCCAGTTATTGGGCCTCCAGACTCAGAACTTACACTAATGGTCTATCCTGGTTTTCAGGCTTTCAAACTTGATTGGGAGTTTCACTGTCAGCTCTCCCAGTTCCCAAGCCTTTGGATTAAGGCTAAATATTTACACCAAGGGCTTTTGTAACTTTCCAGTTTGCAGAGGGCAGATTGTATACACACATTATGTCCAACAAATCACAAAGTTAACGTAAAAAAAACTAGAAGAAAGGAAAACATTGTGGAGCATCACAGAGAAACTTTCTGTTCTTCAAACCAGTGAGTCACCGTACTCATATCTATAGTTTCTTCAGGGTACTCTTTCATGTCTCAGTCAGTTTATTATTTATGCAGAAACACAACTAGAGAGCAGTTTCTTGATCTATTCAGGTATAGTACCTTTAATGAAATAATTACTTCTAAGTAAATTTAGATTGAATTATAGTGATCTGTTTCCTTTAATACAACGGTTGCTCTTAAGATTAGCATAGTAGAATCTAATTTATGATTAGAAGGTAAAGGAAAGTTAACACTAGGCACTGTATGCTAACCAATGAGGTAACATAGAGTACTACTGTTGCTTGATAGAAATAAATTCTTATAGGAACCAGAGAGATGCCAGTCTGCCTGAATTATAATACTTCCATTAAATATGTGTTATACTCCAGCATTTGTCCTGGAATTGTCAGATGAAAGACAGATCAAAAGGTCAAAACTGAAGAATTGAAGCCAACATGTTAAAAAGAAACACAAAACAAAGTAGACAACCCTATGATAGCCTCCAAACACTTGGTTGAAAGAAATAGGAAAAAAATGCCCTCTTTCTTCCAGTTTTTCCTTAAACAACATTATTAACTTTGTGCTTTATTGGACATAATGTTATTTAGTGCATCTTTTTGTATTCTCTTGAAATGTGTTACTGTAATTCCAAAATGAAAACTTAGTCTTAAATATTTAAATTCTTATTAAACAACTCTGCTTAGTCATTTGCATATACTAAAACATCTGTATGAAATAATTTGTGTAAATATCAGAAAGTCATGCCTAGTAATGTTAACCAAGAAGAATGCAGCTTTAATGTAAGGACAGAAGAACTGTGATTTAGGATCCTGTGCATCTTATGCTACTAGGCTGCTCAGCCTAGAAAAGGGTGAGTTCTAAAATGGGGAAGATTCTCACCATTATAACATAGTAATGCAACATCTGGGCTTCTGAGTGGCTTGCTTGAAATGAATGTGTGGGTTTTTTTTCAGGACTCTGCATCACAAAAACGCAGGATATTATAACCTACTCGGTATTTTGGACATCGAAGGAGAAAAGGACTAGAAGTTATGGGAAGGTTGAGCAAAAGAGAAGGAGAAAGGAAGAGGATGAGGAGGAGAAGGAGAAGAGAAGAGGAGGAAGAGGAGGAGGAGAAGGAGAAGGAGTACTGTGTTTCACTAGTGCATTTTACCTTCTGCACGGTAAATAATTAGTACCCCCAAGCTTATAAATAACAGGATGGTGTCCTCTGACTAAAATTAGGGCTAGTTTTTATGTTAGGAATTTATAATTTCCTAATTGCTATTGAGATTTCTTGCAGCATAAACAAACAGATGTGCTTTTAATTAGATTAGCCTCTTATAAACAAATGCGTGTCTCAAGTTCAATCCAATTTTTTCTTAGTTTCTTATTGTATGCAAGCATTTTAATTTGTTTACTGCAAGAAATATGTACAATTAAATTGGTTTCTCTGTGATTAAATATTTTATAACTTTTATTTGATTTTTAATTTTTACTGATAAAGAGGTACAAAAGTAAATGAATGAAAATTATTATAATAAACCATGAAATTATTTAAGTCTCTATAAATAAATGATATTTAAAGTATTTCCTCTAAAATGGGTCATTTCTGAAATAGACATATGTGTTTATAAATGTAATCTTGGTGCAATACATTGTTTATGTAGTAATTTTTCCAGAATAGTTAATATTTTTTTAACTATTGCTGCCTAATAAACTACTTCAAAACTTAGTGGCTTAAAACAACAAGCATTTTATCATCTCACACAATTTTGTGCATTGGGCATTTGGCTTGGACATACAGAGAGGGCTCATCTTGGATTTGCTTGATAGCTACTGGGACTGGGACATCCAAGAAGGCTTCTTTACTCCCATGTCTGTCACTTCATCTAGGATGGCATGAATGATGGCATCTGGCTAATGCTCAACAGGGTCATATATCTGGGACTTCGGTTCTTCCTGCAGGGTGGGTTCCTTGGTCTTTTCCAAATAGTCTGAGAACCTCTTTTTCTCCATGTGGCCTCTTCATGCAGTTTTTCCAGCAAGGTAGCCACACTTCTTAAGAGGCTGTGAAGCTTGAGTCTGGAACTGGCATACAGTCACTTCTACCGCATTCTGTTGGCTAAGTAAGTCGTCACAAGTTCAGCCTGGATTCAAAGTAGGTGAGGACTACATAGGAGTATGAATACCAGGATATGTGGTTCATCAGGGGTAGGGGGTAACTGTGGAGACTAGCTACAATACATGTGTCCTTTGACAGTGTGATTTCCTGGATCTTCAACTGTATACTTAAGTGTCTCTCAAGATGTATGTTTTGTGTAATATGAGGCTTAAGAAATGTTTTTCAGAAAAAGAGCACTCGTATTATAAATTTGAGAGATAGTACAATCTATAGCCCTTCACTTGGGCTCACTGGCATGTTAAAAGTGGTAAGAGTTTTGCAGCATAAAAATCTGTTTAATTTGTGTAACACAGCGTTCCTCAGATATTTAAGAGTATAGAACTGTGCCTGGAACTTAGTAATCATTCATAAATATTTGTGGAATGAAATTTATCAGAAGATCCTTTTTCACAAAATGCACACTGCATTCCCAATGAAGTGGTGTTTCCACTGAAGGAACTTTGGGAACACTGGTCTATTATGGAAAAGAGTAGTATGTGATTCATTTTCTTCCTGACCCATGGCTTCTATCTGGGTGTTTCCTAGTGAATTGGTTGTTGCACTTTAAATGACATGATCCCATCTCCTGGTCCCAGGTGACAAGACCCAACTGAGCACCTGACCCAAAGGCAGCCATTCGTAGCTCAGCCAGCAATGATAAGGAAGCCTAGCACAAAATCTTTCTAAAAGGGGGAAGATTCTCACCATTATCAAATAGTATTGCAACATCTGGGTTTCTGAGTGGCTTGCTTGAAATTAATGTGTGGGTTTTTGAGGACTCTACATCACAAAAACTCAGGATACTGTGACCTACTCAGTGTTTTGGAGCCCCCAAAGAGAAAAGGACTAGAGGTTATAGGAAGGCTGAGCAAAAGGGATGGAGAAAGAAAGAGGATGAGGAGGAGAAGGAGAAAACATGAGTAGCTTAAATTGGATTGTGATAGGCAGATCAAATTATATCTTCTCTTTTGAGTAGTTTGAATTTGAGAAAATCAGTCAATTAGTTGGTAGGGGTAAGACAAATAGCAGCAGAAGCTAAGAGTAACTGAGTTTCCATTATATGCAGTCCTAGGGTGCTCTGCCTATTTTCTGGTTGTGTGGCTGCTGAAAACACCTCCTTTCCCCTTTTCTTCCCTCCATCTTTAGAATAAAACTCCATTAACTGACACAACCTGTCTCAATTTCTTATTATGGGAAAGAGTCTAACTGTACGTAACATCAGGAAAAGAGTATATGCACTCTTGTTCAGAGTGAGAAAACACTCCTTCAGTTGTTTAGCTCGGGGAGAAGTGCCACTACTACATGTCCCTTCACCAATGTGCAAGCCCAGTGGGGACTTCTATTGGGAAACCCAACTACAAGTCATGCTGGTAAACCAGCTGGTTAGGCAGCTTTTTCAACTGCTGGAGGAAATGCTTTTGTCAATAGCTGCAGAAAATAAAAATTGCTCTAGGTGAGAATGTTTCTTTAAAGGATCTCTGAAATATATGCTGAAAATTATAGTTTTGAGCATGTTATTTCCCCTGGATGACTATCGGAAAATAATGAGAAAAGTAATTATTTAATTAACTTAAATAGAAGAAGGAGGCAATGAGTGGAAAGAGAGAGCACATGGACACCCATGAAGCTGGAACTGTGCCAATGTTAACTAATTACCAAAACAGAGCTATCTAGGGAACAATGGAAAACCAGGAGATAGGTTCTGCTGGCATGCTCCCTAGTCTGAGTATACGGTGAAGTCAAAATGCAACCACTCTCTAGGATATTTATTAGAAAGAGGGAGCAGGTAATATCACCCAGATAATTCATTTTAAGTCCACAGAAGTGAGAAGAAGCAATAGAATACTGATATAACACCATGTCAATCACTGGTAAGGCGGCATTAACGAAGTTGAGATGCCAGAGGTAAACAGAATTTGCCAGCTGTTGTTGTTTGAAAAGGTTCAGTGGATGTTGAGCATTTGAGGATTTAACATGAGACAGAAGCATATTTGCATTGGGCTGCCAGGATTCTTTTTTAAAAAAATAGTCTTTTTTGGGGCAATTTTAGATTTGTAGAAAAATGAAGCAGACAGTACAGAATTAATACATACCCCCAAACCCAATTTTTCCAATTGTTAACATCTTACCTTAGTATGGTACATTTGTTATACTTAATGAACTAATATTGATGCGTTATTGTTAACAAAGATCAAGTTTGTCAAGATTTCCTTAGCTTTACCTACATTTTCTGTTTCGGGATCCCATCTAGAACACGACATTATGTTTATTTGTCATATCTCATTAGTCTCCTCTTGGCTATGACAGTTTCTTAGCCTTTCTTTATTTTTGATGACCTTAACTGATTTGAGGAGTACTGTCCAGGTATTTTGTTGTATCCCACTGTTGGAATTTATCTATCTGCTATTTTTCTCATATCTCAACTGGGGTTATAGGTTTTGGAGAGAAAGATTACAAAGGTGCAGTGTCATTTCATCACATCGTGTCAAAGCTACATACTATCAACGTGATTTATTACTGTTGATTTTGATCATATTGTTGAGTGAGTGTTCGCCAGGTTTCTTCACAATAGAGTTACTCTTTTTCACTTGGTTTCTATTATGTATTATTTGGAAGGAGATATGCACAGCCCGTATTTAAGAAGTAAGGATTTATGTTTCTTTCCTTGAGAGCAGAGTATCTATATAAATTAGTTGGAATTTTTCTGCATGGGATATTAGTCTCTTCCATTTATTAATTTATTTAGTTGTTTATATCAGTATGGACTCACTTTATTTTATACTTGTGGTAATCCTGTATTACTTTATTTTTATTGCTCAAATTGTTTCATCTTTGACCATTGGGAGCTCTTTCAGTTGGCGCCTGTGCTCCTTTCACAGGCTCATACAATTATGGTAGTATTTTGTTTGTTTGTTTTTGTACTTCCTTACTTTCTGACACTACAACATGCCCCAGGCTCGTCTTGTATGTTTTCTGTCCTAGTTCTAGAATCAGCCATTTCTCCAAGGAACCCTGGTTCCTTTTGTTGGAAATGGTATTAAAAGCCACTGTGGCTTCTAACTGATATTTTATTAGAAACACCAAGATCTGGGCATTAGGTGTACTTGTTGCTACTGGGGTGTCATTGCTTTTGAGCTGTCTCAGCTGATAAAGAAATATATGTGCATATAATAATTCCATATGTACACATATGTAAAAATATTTCTAGACGAAATCATCTGTGTATTAAGCTAAACATGAATTCCTACCAACATCTTTAACTCAGATCCATTAGCATATGAATCATCCTAGCCCTACCTCCTTGCTCAACTATCAATTCCCACCCCAACAGTGAGAAACTTGGCTCCCACCATCTGCCATCCATTTAATTAATTGTTCAATTCTATTACACATGTATAGCAGCTTGGGAATGTTAACCTGTACTCCTATGGGGAATAACTTTAACACTAGAGTACAATGTCTATGTGCAGTTCCTTTTACCTTTAGTCTCATAGACTCCATTCATTTCCAAATTTACTTAGGCCAGCTCCCCCTCTTCCTGTAAGGTAATGAAGGAATAGAGGAATAATTTACAGATTAAAAGAGACTTAAAAGCATGTCATACTTTTAAATCTGCAAGACTAAATTACATTGTCTAAGGATATATATTTAAATGGTGAAACTTAAAAAATAAAGCAAGGAAATTATTACTATAAAAAGTATAGTTACTTTACTATACTTTTTACTATAAAAAGTAATAGTATTAAAAAAGGCAACTTCAACTTCTAGGCAGATAAAGAAAGTAGCAGGGATGGGACATACACTTCACCTGAAACAACTAAAATAACCTCAACACAATACTCTGTGGAACAGTGGTTTTCAGACTTTGGATAACAGGCAGTGAAGAACAGTGATCCTTGAGAGATGAGAAAACAAATGAGGTAAGCCCTATAATTGCCCCAGCTTACTAACTGCAGAGAGTTTCCAGGCTATTGCGATGGGAGGAGGAGCCTAGACAAAAACCAGCAGTTACGCTGAGTTAAGGATATGAAGCTGGGGTCCAAGAGATAGGGCAAATTACCAGCGAAGAGGGAGCTACCACAGAGAGAGCTCCGGAGATTATAGAAAGGCCACCTGAACACAGACAAGTGAGAAAACTAATGTAGGCCAGAGAAAACACCACCTAAAAGGAGCAGAGGGAAAATGTCGGAGCTCACACCCAGCAGAAAGAGTTTGTGTTCCCACCAGCCAGAGCGGAAAACTTTGGCATTGGGCAAAGTACTCAAGACGGTGTTCTGAGTAATAGAGAAAAATTAACCCTAAACAAAAAGCTGCTAAAAACAAGATGTGAATGAATCAAACTATTTCCAAGTAACTTAACTGTGACCCAGAACACAGCTCAAGAATTTTTTTTAATAGAGTACAGAAATATGCAGTACTCAACAAGGTAAAATTCACAATGTCAGAGGCTTAATAACTAGGAGGAAAGAAGAGAACAAAAAGAAAAAGGTATGAATGAGAAAAATGAATCAATACAAAAAGAAGTAAACATATATAATTAATAGATAATGACATTAAAATAGTTATATTTCATAAATTCAAAAGGATGGGGGAAGATTGTTCATGTTAAATAGAGGTATGAAAGATATTTTCTAAAAGACCCAAGTTGAACTTCTAGAGATAAAAAATAAAATGTCTGAGATGGGATATATAATTTTAAAAACATAATAAGAGAATGAACTGAATAAAACAAAGACAAAATATCTAATCAGACCCTTAACCAAAGAAGATATGTAGATAGGAAATCAGCACATGAAAAGATGTTCAACATCATCAATTATTAGGGAAGTGCAAATTAAAACCACAGTGAGAAACTGTTGCATATGACTACAGTGAGTAAAAAGACCAACCATATCAAGTGTTGGTGAGGATGTGGAGCAATTACAGCTCTTATATGTCACTGTGAGGAATGTTAAATTGTACAACCACTTTGGAAAGCAGTTCTGGCAGTTTCTACAAAAATTAAACATACACCTATCATATGGCCCAGTGATTCCTCTCCTAGGTTTACCCAGGGAAAAGAAAGCCTATGTCCACACAAAGATTTGTATATGAATGTTCATGGCAATTCTATTTGCAATAGCCCCAAACTGAAATGACCCAAATGTCCATCAAAAGATGAAAGAATAAACAAATCATGGTATATCCATAAAAATGCTATTCAGCAATAAAATGGAGTGAACTACTGATACACATGAAAACGCTGGATGAATCTCATAATAATTATGCTAAAAGAAGCCAGGGAAAAGAATACATGCTGCATCTCATTACTTACTACTCAGTTACTTTAACATATAGAAATTATTAATATTAAGACAATGTTTTACATAGAGTAAGGGGTACAAAGACCATTTGTGGTTTTGATTAAATTACTATTCTCAGATATTACTGGCACCTAAATTAAGAACCTGTAATAATTTTAGAGCAGAAAGAACATCCTGAGATAAATTTATCCACCTCCAGCCCTTATCTTACAGATGAGAAAGCTGAGGTTCATGAAGTTACATGGTTTACTCAAGGCCACATAATTGGTAGAAACCTAGAATTCTAGGAAGTTATTTCCACTCACTGTGAAGAGCTCCTTTAAATTACAGGCAAGCCATAATTTAATAATATAATTTTTAATAACCTGGACTTATAAAATTCATTATTTGGGGGCTTTTTTTCTAAGGAAAAAAGTGACTATGTTAACCACAAGGAAATGCTTCAGATGAAATTAATAAGTGATATTTCAAGGTTTCTTTAAGCCCTATTCCTCTTACCATGCTTTTATTCGAGTAAATTTCCTTGGTGGAGAAGGTATACCTTCACAGTTTTGCTGAGTCATTGGTAAAATGAAACTGCTTGACTAGAGGGGTAATTTTCTCAGACTGACCTAGAAATCTTCTGGCAAGTCCCAGAGACTTGAATGGGTAGGCCCCATCTCCTATTCCATCACTTTGGGCATGGGGTAGGATTTCAACATGTGAATCCTAAGGTGACACAAACATTCAGACCTTAGAAGCATTAGTTATTGGTTTCTCACAATAGAAAGTGAAAATTTATTTCTCTTCTCCTACCAGCACCACCACACACATACTTATTCTCATATCCCTTCAACTTTTCCATCTAGTTATATTGCAATCTTGTTAAGGTTTATATTCATAGTTTACATTATCATGACTATGTATGATTTAGAACTGAGCTATGTAGTAAAACCATCATTACTTTTGCTTGTAGCATAATATTTTTCCTCTGAATGTTTGTGTGTACATATACACATGTGTGTACATATGCATAGTTTTCCTTGTGGAATTCTTTGTTGTTTTTTCTCTTCTTAAAAAATAGTAACTTCTTGTGTTAAAAAAAGAGAAACATTACAGAAATATACACATGCTATTTTTTTTGTTTTAAGGAATACTTCATGGGCAGTATAGGAAACACTGCTGGTGCCTACCCATTTTCCCTTAATTCCTACTATCATGGCAAATATCATTCTGACTTCCACCTGTGAATAGTTCCATTTCTTTGCATGAGGGCTTCCTTTGGGACCAGTGTCTTCTTGACCTATGTGCATGCAATCCAAAAATATGAGGGAATGAATATTTCCTGAGAGTAGTCCTTGACTAACAACTGAAGAGTGTTGCATAAATACCCCAACTCCCTCTCCTCTTAGGTAATATACTCTGAGGCATATGTTCAATGCTGTTTCTTAGTGTTCCCTAGTGGGATTAAGCTTCAGTTTCCCATGATGTCTTTTTTTTGAGACGGTGTCTTGCTTGGCCCAGGCTGGAGTGCAGTGGCATGAACATGGCTCACTGCAACCTCCACCTCCCGGGTTTAAGCAATTCTCCTGCCTCAGCCTCCCGAGTAGCTGGGACTACAGGTGTGCACCACCACGCCCAGCCAATTTTTGCATATTTTGTAGAGAGGGGGTTTCTTCATGTTGGCTAAGTTGGTCTCCAACTTCTGGGCTCAAGCAACTTCTGGGCTCAAGCAATCCACCTCCCAAAGTGTTGGGATTACAGGCCTGAACCACCACGTCTGGCCCTAGGATGCCTCTTTGATGAAACACTATTGGTTTCCTTCCTGTCCCTGTAACACTTTCCTGCTCCACTAGATCCACTAGGATCACCTCCCAAACAAATTATTGTACTAGAATCCTTCTCCCTAGGCCTGCTTCTTAAACAACCCAAACTAAGACAATTAATGCTGAGCACAGCTAATTATGTCACATTATAAGGCACAAGATATTTAGCATCTCAGTTTTAGAGATGCTAAGATTGATCAGTGGATGCAGGTGGTGTCAGCCTGATCCCCTCATTATAAAATTCTCTTTCCTACCTTTCACCTAATACTTTTTAGCACTCACTGATGATCATTGCCTATATCTGTTAATATTACTTCATAAGGTATTTTAAATGGCGTTTTTTAAATCCAGTATTTTTCAAAAAATTAGCCAGGCATGGTGGCAGGCACCTGTAGTCCCAGCTACTCAGGAGGCTGAGGCAGGAGAATGGTATGAACCTGGGAGGCAGAGCTTGCAGTGAGCCAAGATCACGCCACTGCACTCCAGCCTGGGCAACGGAGCGAGACTCTGTCTCAAAAATAAATAAATAAATAAATAAATAAAATAAATAAATAAAAATAATAAATCCAGTATTTTTTCTGCATTAGCTAAAATTCTTCTGTCAGTACAAACTTTTCCTTTATCAACTGTTTGATTCCCCTGAAAAACAGTTTGTACAGAGAGGGTAGGACAAATGTGTCCTTTTTGATGACTTTAAGTAGTTATCACGAATTTAACCCTGAACTATTTCCTGTTGTCTGAATCATTTTTAATATAATTATTCCTAGTGGATACTCTATCAATTTCATTTTTTTCAAACAAGGTCTCTGAGGGCTTCTGACCTCTCTGAGAGCCATCTCACTGATCACCCTCTAGACCTGGGACACACAGTCATCCTGGGATTCCCTTCCATCAGTCTGGTGATTCCCTTCAGTTGTCTCCAGTGTAAAAATTCTTGTTTTCTGAATGCCATGTTTTCTCCTTTCATTTTCTGTGGAACATGTTCCTGGAACCAAGCCAGGTCTGGCTGCGTTTTCTCGTGGCCCAGTAACGGGAAGCAGACAAACTAGGGAAGAATGGAATTTATTGCTGTAACTGGATACAGGGAGAAGGCCGGAGATAATTCCACCAGACCAACTCAGAGTGTTACAATTTTCTTAGTGCTTATATAGGTTGGGGTTATGTGCCTACATGCAGTATAGCGTTTGCCTAAGCCTATTGGTAACTAATTTTGCTTCGACTAGAAGATCAGAGACAAAAATGCTTGCTAAGTCTGATTAAAAGGGCCCAGTACCTTCAAGGCCTGTCTACTGTGGTACAACAGTGATGACTTCTATCTTATCTCCCTTACAGCTTGGTCTGGAGATCTGCCTTAGGCGCTCCAATGAATTTATTCAAACAGCTGCCTCTCATGCCTTGACTCATCTCAGATTTCATCGACCCGAGATGGGTCCTGGCACTAGAAATGCAAGACTGTCTCTTTATTTTGGTTTGCTCTAGGTTACGGAGAAGCCCATGCAAGGCTCCTACTGACCATACGTTTCATTTCTAGCTTTGATGTCTGGGCACTGATTTCCCTAGGTTTAACTATTTGCTCAATGTTAAGGCAGCTCTGTGGAACTTAGTCTGTGTAACTGAAGTGCTACGCAGGCCTGTCTGTGTGATTGTCATACAGACTTTTCTGTGTGATTGTCAAGGAGAATTGGGCTGCCAGAATCCCCACTGTCAATTTGTGCATGATTTCTGTCATGCTTGTGCCAGAGGAGCTGCTGGGGTACTGGATGTTGTGATAATTCTGGCTACTTCCTGCTGAGAGGGGTCGTCATCAGGGGTTCTTGAACTTGGGGTTGGAGTGGAAGAGGTCCACCTGTTCTCTGAAGTATTTTTCATTTCGGAGTCTTAGGGGTAGCACCTGTTGAAACATAACTGCATGAGTCCAAGGAATGTTCTGAAACAGCACACCGTAACAATACATTCCACAGCATAAAGTGACTCCTATGCCTAGGAAAGGCTAAGAACATCAGAATTTTCTGCCACCAAGAGGGCCTTCCACCAAACCATGATGCAAGAAATCATTTAGTGACAGCTCTAGGCTGGAGATGGCCTGAATTTGCTGGTGCACATCTTTTAATGCCAGGGAGATGTTCCCAGAGTTATCTGGAATATACACACAGCATTCAGTTTTGATGAGGGCACAAGTTCCCCCTTGAGCTGCAGTAAGGATGTCCAAGGCCATTCGGTTTTATAGAATAGCCTTCCGCATGTGACACATTTCAGTATTTATTAGAGAGATGCTCTGGAGGCTGTCATTCAGAGCCCTTTTGGTAAAGTTAGCTAGGGCTTCTATGTGCCATATGACAGTTCCTAGCCCTACTGAGGGCATGAATATTGCAGCTAGATGATCATACTAATGAAAGACTGACCTAGTCCACCTATTAATCATATGTGGACAACAGGCTGGATTTTTTTTTTTTTTTTTTTTTTTACCCAGCAACCTTGTGCTATGGGAGGCCTAGAGTCCAGCGTCCTAGCCAGCCCACAGGGAGCCACAGCCACAAATTGGTGCCACAAAGCCATTGAGTCCTGTTGGGAGCATACTGGGCCATTGCTCCCAATCTTTAGGCCGGGCCGTTGAGACCAATCTGTGGCAAATACATCCCTTTGCTGGAGTGCTATAATATGTTGGCACCGATCTGGGAGAATCCATCCCATAACCCATGTGGCATTGGGTCAGTGGTCAAGGGAGTGGTTTCATTGTTCCCAACACAAGGGGGCTAGTTGACTCAAGTGCCCAGTAGAGGTGGTTAACCATATGAGCCCAACCCAAATTTGGAGAAAGCCACTCTGGTATCAAACATTTTGGGGTTTAAAAGTTTGGATGGGCACTTTTGGTTCTAACAAGGGAGTAGCTAGTGCTATAACTTCGTCTCTTGTTATGTTAATCAAGAATGGCTTTTCATGTCATTTAAAGGGTCATTTAAAGTTGTTTATGGGCCATTCTGACACATTTGCCCTAGTCACTCCCATCATTTGTGACCCAGTCCAGTGTTTTAAATCCGGGAAGACTTGTAAATGTCTCTAATATTTCCCTTGCATAGGTGAGACCCACCACAGTAAACTGTGGTGCTAGAAAGGGGTAACAGGCCACAGACCCAACAGGAATCCTGCTGGAGGCTGTCTGCATAGTCCTGTGCCCATTGTAGAAAGAGGTTAGCAGTGTGTGCGGAAACAATATTAGGTATAAAGAGAAAGAATAGGATAAAAGAAATTCTTATCGTTTTCTGAATAGAAACTTTAGGTCCTCTAGGGGCTCTGCCTCCCATTGAGTGGCTACAGGTGTTTCTGTGGTGGAGTTCTTGGGCGACTGGAATTTCTTTACCCACATATGATGAACCCAAGGTTTGATGCCTGCTAGTTTCAGTGCTGAGTCGGTAGTCAACAGCCCATCATAGGGCTCTTTCTATTTCTCTTGTAGTTGTTGGGCAGGACCAGCTTCCTTCCATTCTTTCTGCAGCACTTGATCTCCAGACTGGAACGGGTGGTGGGCTTCCACGGAGTCTATGACGTTTCTGTTAGAAGAAAATTTATGCAAGGGATTAAGAGTTTGTTCCAAGTGAGTGGCATAAGTTTTAATAGCTAGTTCCTTGTCTGGAGACATTCTAGCCACCTGGGACAAGTTGGCTACAAAAGGCCTCCTGAAAATGATTTCACAGGGACTTCATTTGATCCCACTTCTGGGAGCTATTCTTACCTGGAGCAGAGGAATCCCAAGCAACTGAAGCCACTTTAGCCGTGTTTCCTGACATAGCTTGGCGAGGGTTGTTTTTAAGGTATGATTTATTCTTTCAGTTTGTCTGGAGGACTGAGGCCTCCAGGCTGTGTGTAGCTTCCATTTTATCCCTAGCACTTTTCTTACTTGTTGGGCGATTTCCTATGTGAATGAAGGTCCATTGTCACTCTGGATAATGTCAGGAAACCCATATCGAGGAATGATTTCCTTTAGCAGTACCTTAACTACCTCCATTGCCCACTCAGAGCAGCATGGGTATGCCTCTACCCAGCCTGAGAAGGTGTCCACCAGAACTAGGAGATATTTGTACCCTCCTGGGGCAGGTAGCATTTGAGTAAAGTCAATTTGCCAATTCTCTAGTGGTTGTTTCCCTCTCCCTTGCTGTCCAGGCTGTCCTGTATTATGGTTGTTGGGCTCATTTTTAGTGCAAAAGTGGCATCGTAGGATTATACTTTCTAAATGGGCCCTCATTCCTTTTCGTATACTTCTATATGAAAGTTAATGAGGCATCTTGCCCAAAAGTTGTGCCATCATGAATATATTTTAGTATTGGGTGAAGGAAAGACCCATGTCCTGGGTCATTGAAAGTTGTGCAGCCATTCTGACACATTTGCCTTAGTCACTCCCATCATTTGTGAGCCGGTCCAGTGTTTTAAATCCAGGAAGACTTGTAAATGTCTCCAATCTTTCCCTTGCATAGGTGAGACCCACCACGGTGGTGCTAGAAAGGGGTAACAGGCCACAGACCTAACAGGAATCATGCTGGAGGCTGTCTGCATAGTCCTGTGCCCATTGTAGAAGGAGGTTAGCAGTGGATGCAGAAACAATACTAGGTGTAAACAGAAAGAATAGGATAAAAGAAATTTTATCTCTGACACCCAGATTAGGCCTTTGTCATTCAATTTCCAGTCATTTTTCATCCTGAATAAACCCTTTGTCCTTGGTAGCCTTTTCGTCCTCAAGACTGTACCTAGGTTTGAAGGCTGCCAAATCTATTTGGGGAATTAAAGGAACCCGGAGTTCAACATTGGAGCTGGCTAGGTGCCTGGCTGTGCAATCTAAGAAAGCATTTCCCCTAGCTACTTCAGAATTGTTGCACTGATGGCCTGGGCAACGCATAACAGCTATTTCTCTTGGGGCCTTTATTGCCTCTGGTAGCTCTAACACTTGCTTTGCGTATTTGATTTCAGTATTGTCAGCCTTCAGTAGGCCCCTTTCTTTCCAGATAGCACCCTGTGCATGGACTATTATGAAGGCATATTTGGAATCAGTGTAGATGTTGGCACTCTTACTTTGGGACAGTTGCAAGGCTCTGGTAAGGGCGATTGACTGAGCTTTCTGTGCAGAAGTCCCTGTTGGGAGAGTTCTTGCCTCTATTCCCTCTGAGACTCACTACAGCATAGGCAGCGTTCCTTCTTCCATTAATGACTAAACTTTTCCTGTTTGCGAACAATGTCCAGTTTGCACATGAGAGGGCTGTGTCCTTCAAATCTAGGGGACTAGAAAACACTTGATCAATAACTTCTGGGCAGTCATGTATTAGTTCCTCTGATTCCCCAGTAGGTGGCAGCAAAGTGGTGGGGTTTAAGGTTCCAGTGGTCTGCAGTTTCACTGCAGGGTCATCGAGCAGGATAGCCTGATATTGGCCCAATCTGCCCGCTGTTAGCCAATAGCCACCTTTTGTTCTAACAACGCCAAGACTTAGTGTGGCACAGAAATCATGGTGGGCTGACCTAGAGTCAGCTTCTCAGCTTCCTTGAGCAACAAGCAGGTCGTGGCTACTGCCCTAAGACAAGGGGGCCAGCCCCTAGCCACAGTATGGAGCTGCTTTGAAAAATAGGCCACAGGCTGTAGTATTTCTCCCAGTTTTTGTGTTAAGACCCAGAGTGCTAGACCTAGTCTTTCATGCATATAAGGTTGGAAAAGTTTGTGTGGGTTTGGCAGTCCTGGAGCCAGAGCAGATATTAATTTATGCTTTAGTTGCTCAAATGTGATTTGGTGTTCGATTTCCCATGGTCTGCTCCTTTTAGATATAGCTGCTTTACTATTAACCCATAATTGGGACTCCAGATTTTACAAAATCCTGCCATTCCTAGGAAGCCCTTTAGTTGCTTCCTGGTTGTGGGCATCACGATGGAGGCAATTGCACTTAGCCTTTCCACCGTCAGGGCTCTAGCTGCTCTTGTAACAAAAACCCTAAGTATTCTATAGTTTGCTTACATATTTGGGCCTTCTTACTTGAAACTTTATACTCACAAGCTGCCAAGTGGTTTAGGGTCTTTACAGTGTTTTCTTGACATTCTTGTTTTGAGGTGCTGGAAATTAATAAATCATCCACATATTGAAGTAGCACCCCATTTTCTAATTGTAAGCCTCTCAAGTCTTGAATCAAAGCCTCTCCAAATATACTTGGGGAGTTTTTAAACCCTTGAGGGAGCACAGTCCAGCAATATTGAAACTGTGCAGCTGTCTCAGGGTCTGTCCACTCGAAAGCAAACAATAGTTGGCTTTCTATTTCTACTGGTATGCAAAAGAAGGCATCCTTTAAGTCTAGCACTGTAAACCATTCGTGATCCTTAGGTAGTGAAGCAAACATAGTGTATGGGTTAGCCACGATGGGGTGAATGTCTTCCACAGTATCATTAATAGCTCTGTGATCTTGCACAAACCTATACTTATGGGAATGAGGCTTCTTTAATGGCAGGAAAGGAGTATCGTATGAGGACTGACAAGGTCTTATTAAGCCATATTGCAAAAACCAGATTAATGCTGGCTGGATAACTTCCAAGACTTCCTTCTTTAAGGGGTATTGCTTTTTTCCGGATAGGTTGGGGCCCTTCCTTCAGTTTGTTTTTTATTGGACTCACATTAATTTCCCTCTCAGGTTGGTCTCATGCCCAGACCTCTGGCTTCACCTTGTCAAAGACTTCTTGAGGAATTGCCTCTACCTCAGGGTGTGGGGCCTCAGTGCTCACCAGCAGTGCTTGCAGCTGCAGTCCATGCTCTGGAGGCATTTGAAGACACAGCTGACGTTTCTCTTGGGTGGAAGATGATCTGAGTCTCTAACTTGCATAGTAAATCTCTGCTAAGTAAAGGTATCAGGCAGTCTGGCACATAAACGAATTGGTGAATTATCAAATTGTTGCCCACTTTACATGAAAGGGGTTGCAGGAACTGTTCTGATTTCAATTGCCCACTTACGCTGACTATACTGACAGAAAGTATCAGAAAGCTCAGTTATTGGTGTATTAACTACTGAATAACTAGCACCAGTATCAACTTTAACCAAGGCTCCTTTGGGGAAATTTTGATGTCAGTTAGAGTTGGAGCTGCTGGGAGTCTTGGGCACCCTCAATCTTCCTCGGATTCATTTTTGGGCTTGACAGCCATAAGTGACCTGGGTTCCTTCTGAGTTAACTTGGGGCAGTCTCTCTTCCAGTGCCCTATTTCCTGACAGTAAGCGTACTGGTCCTTTTCTATTTTCCCTTTCTGCCTTGGGGGTCCTTTTTTCTCGGGTTTCCTCCTGCAGCTGCCAGGAGTACAGCTGCCTGCTGAAGTGCCTTGGTTTCCTTGGCCTCCCTGCTATTATATACCTTGAATGCAATGTTGATTAATTGGGAAGCTTCATTCCAACAGCCGCCTCCACTTTTTGTAGTTTCTTCCTAATGTCTGGGGCACTTTGCCCTGTAAAGGTCATATTCACCATTCTAATGTTTTCAGGGTCCTGTGGGTCTAACTCTGTATACTTTCTATATGTCTGACAGATCTGTTCCATAAATTCTGAGGGGTCCTCAATAGGTGTCTGCTAAAGTGCCTATACTTTGCTCAGACTTTCAGGTCTTGGCACCCTTGATCCAATGCCCTTTAGGATGCACTTTCTATAGTGTTCCAGATGATTCATCCCAGCTCCACCTGCCTCATTAGGATCCCAATTTAGGTCAGTTCAGGGAGTTGCCTCTTTAAGGTCTGGGCTATCATTGGGGCTTTCATCATGAAGGCACTATGCCTCCTCTAACACTAGCCTTCTAACACTAGCCTTCTCTCATCTGCCGTGAGCATGATGTTTAGGAGGGCTTGCACATCAGCCCATGTAAGGCGATGGGTAGCAAAGATAGCAGTAAACAATTCGGTCATTTTCTGGGGATCCACCCTGTAGGAAGAATTGGAATTTTTCCAATTCAGTAAATCAGACATAGAAAAGGACTATATGCCCAATAATATCCTGCCGGAGCTCCTTGCTAATGAACTCCCACAGGATATTGTTGGAGGGAAAATTGCCCTGCTCCAGGCTCAGTGTCTCCCCAGTCAAAATTAGTGCCTTGTCTATTATGGGAGGGAGAGACTATTTTTGCAGCCTCCTCCTATTCCAGGGGTGAAGGCCCTTCCCCCTTCTGAGCCAGTGGCGGGGCATTGGCTCCCTCTGGGTCGCCACCTACTGGGTTAAGTACATTTAACACTTGTTGAGTCTCTAATTCCTTTTCTCCCTCTCCCTGGGACTTGAGACAAACCTTGTCTGAGTGCTGCACCATTAGCTTATTTCCTTTGACCTCTTGATTATGCAGTAACATAAACGCTTGTACATAAGGCTCTTCTGCCTGTCTTCCCTGACACTGACAAAACTGTTCTGATAGATAGTAAAGTAGCTTAAAGATCAAAAAATTGGCCACCATTCCCCAGATCCCAAAACATATGTTGGCTAAACCGTATTACAATAGTGAATCATTTTCTTTTTAGTAATGGGAGGGTACCCATACTGTTTCCAATCCAACAGGATCTTTCCCAGAGGGCTCCCTGGGGGAAGGGAGCAGCATTCCCCATCTTAAATTCAGCAAGGCTATAGGTACAGACACAGAGATAGTTTCAGATAGACACGGACAGAGAGATAGTGTCAGATAGACACAGAAGGAAGTGCACCTAGGTGAAAAAGGCCTGCAAACCAAACAGCAAACGGGAGTACAAAAAAGACCTATTATCTTCCTAATGGTACTGAACAAAAGGCTTAATAGCCCAGATAAGGAAATAATATATGGTCTGGTTTTCCTCACTCTTTGAGCACATCTGCTTCTGCCAAACTTCCGTTCTTTCCCAGGTGATGAAAAGGATGTGTGGTTTTGTCCAAGGGACAGCCCTCAGTAGAGTCCCCAGGACAATCTTACCCAGCAGCTGCTGGGAGTTTCCTCACGACTGTCTCATTGCAAACTGCCAGCATCAAAGGCAGCCACCATCCTGGCGGCCTCCTGGCTGGCTCGACAAAATTTTTGTTCCTGGAACCAAGCTGGATCTGGCTGTGTTTTCTCGAGGCCCAATAATGAGAAGCAGACAAACTTGGAAAGAAGGGAATTTATTGCTGTAACTGGATACAGAGAGAAGGCTGGAGATAATTCCACCAGACCAATTCAAAGTGTTACAACTTTCTTGGTGCTTATATAGGTTGGAGTTATGTGCCTACATGCAGTATAGCATTTGCCTAAGTCTATTGGTAACTAATTTTGTTTCAACTAGAAGGTCAGAGGCAAAAGTCTGATTAAAAGGGCCCCAGTACCTTCAAGGCCTGCCTACTGTGGTACCAGAGTGATTATTTCTATCTTATGTCCTTTACAGCTTGTCTGGAGAGCTGCCTTAGACTCTCCAATGAATCTGTTCAAACAGCTGCCTCTGTTACCTTGACTTGTCTCAGATATGGGTCCTGGCACTGGGAATGTAAGACTGTCTCTATTATTTTGGTTTGCTCCAGGTTAGGGAGAAGACCATGGAAGGCTCCTACTGACCATATGTTTCACTTCTATCTCTGATGTCTGGGCACTGATTTCCCTAGGCTTAACTATTTGCTCAATGTTAAGGCAGCTCTGTGGAAATTAGTCTGTGTAACTGAAGTGCTATGCAGGCTTGTCTGTGTGATTGTCAGGGAGAATTGGCCTGCCACAGAACATATCCTCCAGTATTTCCTTGAGAAAGCGTATATAGCAATTCCAATTTCTAACTGAAAATACTTTCAGAGCTCTGAAGGTATTGGTCCATTTGTCTTCTAACTTGCAGTCTTTTTCTTGACAACTTCTAATTCATTTTTATTCCTGACTCTTTGTTCATGAACTCTTCTTCTCTTTAGAGGCTTGCAGGGTTTCCAAACAATTTCGAACTATTGTATAACAGTATTCTGAAACTTCATGGTGCTATGCTTTATGCTTTTTCCGTGCTTGATTTTATCTGTTGAGTTAGGCATTCAGGGAGGCATTTCAGTTCTAGGAAATTTCATTAAATAATTGCCATGGTTATTTCCTTCTGTGCGTTTTCTCTGTTTTTTTTTTTTTTCTTCGTAGAACTTCTAATACTTGGATGTTAGATTTCCTGGACTGTTCTTTTCTTTCTTTTCTAAAAAATTATGCTGTATTTCCCATCTCTTGGGATTTTTGCTCTGCATTCTGAAAGATGTATCAACCATTTTCCCCCATTCCTGCTACCATATTCAGGAAACCAATTTTGGTTCCTGAATATTTATGGCTTTGCCATTTCACTGATAAATCTTTCAGCATATATCTCACTAATATGTTTTGGCTCTGTGTCCCTACCCAAATCTCATCTTGAATTGTAATCTTGACGTGGAGGGAAGGAGGTGATTGGATCATGGTAGTAGTTTTCCCCATGCTGTTCTCATGATAGCGAGTGAGTTCTGACAAGATCTGGTGGTTTTATAAGTGGCAGTTTTTCCTGTTGTTTGCTCTTCTACCTCCATGTAAGATGTGCTTGCTTCCCCTTCCATCATGATTGTAACTTTCCTGAGGCCTCCCCAGCCATGTGAAACTGTGAGTCAATTAAACCTCTTTCCTTTATAAATTACCCAGTCTTGGGTATTTCTTTCTAGCAGTGGGAAAATGGACTAATATACTCTTAACTGACTTATTTAAAAAATATAATAACACTGCTATTTATCACACCAAAAAAGTAAGTCTTTTATATCGAGTTCAGAAACTCTTCAAATTTCCCATATAGTCTCATAAATTTTTAAAAAATTTCTTTTGTTTGGATCAGTGTTCAAATATGTTTCAAATATTTTAATTGCTCCATTTTTATTTTATATCTTATTTTATTCTTTAGTTTTTCCTCATTTATTTTTTCCTATCTTTGAATTACTGAAAACTCAGGTCATTAATGTTGTAGTTTTCCAGAGTTTGGGTTTGACTAATTGCATTTGTGGTGTTTTCACCTCTTCCTCTTTCCTCTGCATTAACTGCAAACCTATAAATTGTCCTGAAGACTTGATTAGAACCAGATTTGATTTGACTTTTTCATGATTTTCATCAGGAGGCAAAAAGTTATGGTGTTCTTTATTTTCATGATATTTGCAGCCATTGAGGATGTGACGGTTAATACTGAGAGTCAATGTGATTGCATTGAAGGATGCAATATTGATCATGGGTGTGTCTATAAGGTTGTTGCCCAAGGAGATTAACATTTGAGTCAGTAGGCTGGGGGGAAGGCAGATCTACCCTTAATCGAGTGGGCACCATCTAGTCAGCTGCCAGTGAATATAAAGCAGGCAGAAAAACGTGAAGAGGCAAGATGGGCCTAGCCTCCCAGCCTACATCTTTCTCCCATGCTGGATGCTTCCTGGTCTTGAATATCAGACTCCAAGTTGTTCAGTTTTGGGACTCAGACTGGCTCTCCTTGTTCCTCAGCTTGCAGACAGCTGAGGACCTTGTGATTGTGGGACCTTGTGATTGTGTAAGTTAATACTTAATAACTCATTTATATATATATCTATATATCTATGAGTTTAAGTAAAAAAAAATATGTATATATATCTCCTATTAATTCTGTCCCTCTAAGAGAACCCTGACTAATACAGATTTTGGTACCAGGAGTGGTTCTAGAGGAATAGAATATTAAGGATGGAGTTCTTTCATTGGTTTTGGGGTTTCTGGAGTTGTCTTCTTAATATGATTAGACCAAAAAATGCTAAGGACTCTACTTCTAATAATATGGAGAACACCGATAGTCCTTGGCAGAAACTGTTTAGAGAGTTACGCCAAATAAATACATTTGACACTCCTGATTCACCGCTCGTGAGAGGCAAGGAGTTTAGTGACTATACAGAATACCCTTGACCATATGTGGAGAACCAAGGAGCATAATGAAGCTAGTTGGTTGCTCCTAAGTCCAGTGGACAAAGTGATAAAACAAAATGATACACTCAGGGATTTTGTCTCCCAGCTTCAGAAGAAGATACTGAGCCTCAAGTCTGCTAAGATTGCCCTAAGTGAGATTCTTATCTCCTGCAGAGAAACTGCTATAATTGTGGAAAAACAGACACAAACTCTTATCATGCGAGTGGCTGACCTGCAATGAAAGATGCATGCAGAGCTTCGCCAGGTGCCTACTGTTAAAGTGAGGGCATTGATTGGAAAAGAATGGAACCCTGCAACTTGGAATGGGGATGTGTGTTGGGGCGGGTGGGGGGGGGGGCCTGATGAAGCTGGGACACTGAGTTTGTAAACTCTGATTAACCTTTTTTGCCAGAAGAAACAGCTTCCCCATCTCCAGTAGTGGCAACATCCCCTCCCTGACCCATGCTGCCATCAGCCTTTTCACCTTTGTCTGAGGAGATAAATCCTGCACTGCCTGAGGCAACAGCGATGGCTTCCCCTGAGGCAGTTGCCAGTCAAGATAATGATGGTTTTTCTCAGAAGCCACCCCCAACACCTCTGTTTGCCTCTAGATCTGTAAATAGACTGAAGTCCCAGCGGACCCCTAGAGGTGAGGTTGAAAGTGTGACCGATGGGGAGGTGCGCTACACTGGAAAATAACTGTTTGAGTTCTCTAATTTATTTATTTATTTTTATTTATTTATTTTTTGAGATGGAGTCTCACTTCTCAGGCTGGAGTACAGTGGTGCCATCTCGGCTCACGGCAAGCTCTGCCTCCCGGGTTCACGCCATTCTCCTGCCTCAGCCTCCCAAGTAGCTGGGACTACAGGTGCCTGCCACCATGCCCGGCTAATTTTTTTGTATTTTTTAGTAGAGATGGGGTTTCACCATATTAGCCAGGATGGTGTGAGGAAAAGAAAGAGAGATCAGACTGTTACTGTGTCTATGTAGAAAAACGAAGACATAAGAAACTCCATTCTGATCTGTACAAAGAAAAATTGTTCTGCTTTGAGATGCTGTTAACCTGTAACTTTAGCCCCAACACTGTGCTCACAGAAACATGTGCTGTATTGAGTCAAAGTTTAAGGGATTTAGGGCTGTGCAGGATGTGCCTTGTTAACAATATGTTTGCAGGCAGTATGCTTGGTAAAAGTCATTGCCGTTCTCCATTCTCTATTAACCAGGGACACAATGCACTGTGGAAAGCCACAGGAACCTCTGCCCAAGAAAGCCTGGGTATTGTCCAAGGTTTCCCTCCACTGACACAGCCTGAGATATGGCCTCGTGGGAAGGGAAAGACATTACCATCCCCCCCAGCCTGACACCCGTAAAGGGTCTGTGCTGAGGAGGATTGGTAAAAGAGGAAGGCCCTTTGCAGTTGAGATAAGAGGAGGGCCTCTGTTTCCCACATGTCCCTGGGAATGAAATGTCTTGGTGTAAAGCCGACCATTCATTCTATTCTGAGATAGGAGAAAACTGCCCTGTGGCTGGAGGCAAGATATGCTGGCAGCAATACTGCTCTGTTACTCTTTGCTACACTGAGATGTTTGGGTAAAGAGAAACATAAATCTAGCCTACATGCACATCGAGGTATAGTACCTTCCCTTGAACTTATTTATAATGCAGATTCCTTTACTCACATGTTTTCCTGCTGACCTTCTCCCCACCATCATCCTGTTCACCCTGTTCTGCTGCACTCCCCTTGCTGAGATAGTGAAAATAGTAATCAATAAATACTACAGGAACTTGGAGACTGGCACCGGTGCAGGTCCTCACATGCTGAGTGTGCCTGTCCCCTGGGCCCACTGTTCTTTCTCTATTCTTTGTCTCTGTGTCTTATTTCTTTTCTCAGTCTCTCATCTCCACCTTACGAGAAATTCTCACAGGTGTGGAGGGGCAGGCCCCCTTCAGATCGTCTCGATCTCCTGACCTCGTGATTAGCCCGCCTCGGGCTCCCAAAGTGCT
Organism: Homo sapiens; assembly: GCF_000001405.40. Taxonomy (NCBI): domain Eukaryota; kingdom Metazoa; phylum Chordata; class Mammalia; order Primates; family Hominidae; genus Homo; species Homo sapiens. The sequence goes on along the minus strand of NC_000004.12, from coordinate 107,728,643 downwards.
GGGATTACAGGCGTGAGCCACCGTGCCCAGCCTGAGTTCTCTAATTTATATAAATAGCAATCTGGAGAACAAGCATGGGAATGGATATTAAGGGTGTGGGATAATGGTGGAAGGAACATAGAGTTGGATCAGACTGAATGTATTGATTTGGGTGCACTAAGTAGGGATTCTGCATTTAAAGTTGCAGTTCAGGGAGTTAAAAAAGGTTCTAATAGTTTATTTGCTTGGTTAACTGAAATATGGATTAAAAGATGGCCCACTGTGAGTGAGCTGGAAATGCCTGATCTCCCTTGGTTTAATGTAGAGGAAGGGACCCAAAGGCTTAGGGAGATTGGGATGGTGGAATGGACTAGTCACTTTAGACCTACTCATCCCAGCTGGAAGGATCCAGAAGATATATTCTTGACCAATGCCTTGTGAAATAGATTTGTGAGGGCAGCGCCTGCATTTTTGAAGAGCCCTGTAATTGCTCTTCTCTGTATGTCAGATCTAACAGTGGGACCACAGTCACTCAATTACAAAATTTAAACACAATGGAAATAATTGGATACCGAGGTGGCAGGGGCCAAGTGGTGGCACTCATCTGTCAAAGGTAAGGTGGGCATAGCTAACAAAATGGACAACAGAGACAAAGTGGCAATCAGAATTTGTCTGACACGTTTAGAGCTCTGGCATTGGCTAATTAATCATGGTGTTCCTAGAAGTGAAATTGATAGAAAGCCTATTGCATTCTTACTTAAATTATACAAACAGAAAACTTCTAGGTCGAATGGACAAAAGACTAATTTGAATTATAAAAACAGAGGCTCATGCCCCTCAATCAATTTCCAGACTTGAGCTGGTTTACAGACCCAGAACCCCTTGAATGAAGGGGAGGCCCAGTTCCCTTGAGCAAGGACCCCACTACATTACTGACAATGTATGCAATGAATCTTTTCTCCCATCCTTCCCCAAAAAGACCTCTGGCCTTTTACCAGGGTAATTGTGCATTGGGGAAAGGGAAATGATCAGATATTTTGGGGACTACCGAACACTGGCTCTGAGCTGACATTGATTCCAGGGGACCCAAATGTCATTGTGGTCCTCCAGTTAAAGTAGGGGCTTATGGAGGTGTGGAGGAAAAGTTAAACATTAAATCTGAACTCAATTGAACATAGACAGAAACAACAGTCACCAAGTCCCGTAACAGGTTGCATGAACCCCTTGAGGCGTTCATCCAGCATTGTTTCGCAGAAATCTGTTCCTGTATGTTAGTTATTGAAAAACAACAGACAATCGCAAAAACAAGTTGACCTTTTTGTGTTCCTTGAAGCCAGGCACAAAGGGCCCTCGTGACTGGGACTCATGCCAAACAACTCGTTATAAACAAGCTAGGGTCCCAGACCACACTGAAGCTCCACAAGACTCCTCCTCGTCTGTGCACAGATGGGTGGCCAACTCTGGAGCCTAGGCTGTTGCATCCCAGTTTGGTGATGATTCCGCCATAGTTTGGTGAGTGTGTATGTGTGTGTGTGTATATATATACACACATATATATACACACAGTTTTATATATATATACACAGTCATATATATGTGTATATATATATGTGTATATATATATGTATATACATATATTGTATATATATATATGTATATATATATATGTATATATATATACCCTCTCCCTTTCCCACTGTGATTTGTTTCTTATATGTGTATTGCCATATACTTGGGATAAAGTCTGTTTACACTTAAAAGTATTGTGTGTGCCTTTTCTTTTCCCCTCGTGTGTTTCCTGTAAAGAGCAGGAGGTTAGTAATTCATGGAGTTTTAGCTCAGGTCCAACTTATAGTGGGTCCAGTGGGTCCCTGGACTCATCTTGTGGTCATTTCCCCATGACAGAATGCATAATTGGCATAGACATCCTTAGCAGCTGGCAGAACACCCACATTGGCTCCCTGCCTGGAAGGGTGAGGGCTACTATGGTAGGAAAGGCCAAATGGAAGCCATTTGAGCGGCCTCTACCTAGAAAAATAGTAAATCAAACAAAAAGTAAATCAAAAAATAGTAAATCAGAAACAATATTGCATCCCTGGAGGGATTGCAGAGATTAGTGCCAACATCAAGGACTTGAAAAATGCAGGGGTGGTGATTACCACTGCATCCCCATTTAACTCTCCCATTTGGCCTGTGCAGAAGACAGATGGATCTTGGAGAATGACAGTGGATTACTGTAAGCTTAACCAAGTGGTGACTCCAATTGCAGCTGCTGTACCAGATGTAGTTTCATTGCTTGAGCAAATTAACACATCTCCTGGTACCAAGTCATTGACTTGGCAAATGCCTTTTTCTCCATTCCTGTCTATAAGGCTCACCAGAAGCAACTTGCCTTCAGCTGGCAAGGCCAGAAATATACCTTTACTCTTCTACCTCAGGGGAATATCAACTCTCCGGCTTAGTGTCATAATTTTATTTGGAGAGATCTTGATTGCTTTTTGCTTCTGCAAGATATCACACTGGTCCATTACATTGATGACATTATGCTGAATGGATCAAGTGAGCAAGAAGTAACAAACACACTGGACTTATTGGTGAGACATTTGTGTGCCACAGGATGGGAAATAAATCCAACTAAAATTCAGGGATCTTCTACCTCAGTAAAATTTCTAGGGGTCCAGTGGTGTGGGGACTGTCGAGATGTTCCTTCTAAGGTGAAGGATAAGTTGCTGCATTTGGCCCCTCCTACTACCAAGAAAGAGGCACAACACCTAACGGGCCTATTTGGATTTCGGAGGAAATACATTCCTTATTTGGGTGTGTTACTCTGTCCCATTTATCAAGTGACCCGAAAGGCTGCCAGTTTTCAGTGGCGTCCAGAACAGGAGAAGGCTCTGCAACAGGTCCAGGCTGCTATGCAAGCTGCTCTGCCACTTGGGCCATATGACCCAGCAGGTCCAATGGTGCTTGAGATAGCAGTGGCAGATACAGAGGCTGTTTGGGGCCATTGGTAGGTCTCATAGGTGAATCACAGTGGAGGCCTCTAGGATTGTGGAGCAAAGCCCTGACATATTCTCCAGATAACTACTCTCCTTTTGAGAGACAGCTTGTGGCCTGTTACTGGGCTTTGGTGGAAACTGAATGTTTGACTATGGGTCATCAAGTCATTATGTGACCTCAACTGCCTATCATGAACTGTGTGCTTTCTGACCCATCTGGCCATAAAGTGAGTCATGCACAGCAGCATTCCATCAGCAAATGGAAGTGGTATATTTGTCATAGGGCTTGAGCAGGTCCTGAAGGCGCAAGTAAGTTACATGAGGAAGTGGCTCAAATGCCCATGGTCCCCATTCCTGCCACCCTGCCTTCTGTCCCCCAGCCTGCACTGATGGCCTCATGGGGCGTTCCCTATGATCAGTTGACAGAGGAAGAGAAAATCAGGGCCTGGTTCATAGATGGTTCTACATGATATGTAGGCACCACCCGAAAGTGGATAGCTGCAGCACTACAGCCCCTTCCTAGGACATCCCTGAAGGACAGCAATGAAGGGAAATCTTCCCAATGGGCGGAACTTCGAGCAGCGCACCTGGCTGTGCACTTTGCATGGAAGGAGAAATGGCCAGATGTGCAATAATACACTGATTCATGGGCTGTAGCCACTGGTTTGGCTTAATGGCCAGGGACTTGTAAGAAGCATGATTGGAAAATTGGTGACAAAGACATTTGGGGAAGAGGTATGTGGATGGACCTCTCTGAGTGGTCAAAAACTGTGAAGATACTTATATCCCATGTGAGTGCTCACCAACGGGTGACCTCAGTGGAGGAGGATTTTAATAATCAAGGGGATAGGATGAACCATTCTGTTAACAGCACTCAGCCTCTTTCCCCAGCCACCCCTGTCATTGCCCAATGGGCCCATGAACAAAGTGGCCATGATGGCAGGGATGGAGGTTATGCATGGGATCAGCAACATGGACTTCCACTCATGAAGGCTGACCTGGCTATGGCCACCAATGAGTGCCCAATTTGCCAGCAGCAGAGACCAACACTGAGCCCGCAATATGACACCATTCCTCAGGAGATCAGCCAGCTACCTGGTGGCAGGTTGATTATATTGGACCTCTTGCATCATGGAAAGGGCAGAGGTTTGTCCTCACTGGAATAGACATTTACTCTGGATATGGGTTTGCCTATCCTGCATGCAATGTTTCTGCCAAGACTACCATCCGTGGACTCACGGAATGCCTTATCCACCATTATGGTATTCCACACAGCTTTGCCTCTGACCAAGGCATTCACTTTACCACTAAAGAAGTGTGGCAGTGGGTTCATGCTCATGGAATTCACTGGTCTTACCATGTTCCCCATCATCCTGAAGCAGCCGGGTTGACAGAACAGTGGAACGACCTTTTGAAATCACAACTACAATGCCGACTAGGTGACAATAGTTTGCAGGGCTGGGGCAAAGATTTCCAGAAGACCGTGTAGGCTCTGAATCAGCATCCAATATATGGTACTGTTTCTCCCGTAGCCAGGAATCACGGGTCCAGGAATCAAGGGGTGGAAGTGGAAGTGGCACCACTCACCATCACCCCTAGTGATCCACTAGCAACATTTTTGCTTCCTGTTTCTATGGCATTACATTCTGCTGGTCTAGAGGTCTTAGTTCCAGAGGGAGAAACGCTGCCACCAGGAGACAAAACAATTCCATTAAACTATAAGTTAAGATTGCCACCTGGACACTTTGGGCTCCTCCTACCTCTAAGTTAACAGACTAAGAAGGGAGTTACAATGTTAGCTGGGGTGACTGACCCAGACTATCAAGATGAAATCAATCAGTCTACTACTCCACAGTGGAGGTAAGAAAGAGTACACATGGAACACAGGAGATCCATTAGTTCGTCTCTTAGTATTACCCTGTGATTAAGGTCAATGGGAAACTACAACAGCCCAATCCAGGCAGGACTACAAATGGCCCAGACCCTTCAGGAATGAAGGTTTGGGTCACTCCACCAGGAAAAAAAAACCACCACCTGTTCAGGTACTTGCTGAAGGCAAAGGGAATACAGAATGGGTAGTAGAAAAAGGTAGTCATCAATACCAGCTATGAGCACATGACCAGCTGCAGAAACGAGGACTGTGATTGTCATGAGAATTTCCTCCTTCTTTTGTTAAAAACATGTTTGTGCATGCATACACTTGTACTAAGAAAATATCTTCATTTTATTTCCTTTTCCTTTATCATGTGATATGAGATTCACTGACTTCATATCAGCATTTAAGTATTGTTAACTTTATGTAATAGTATGTGAGTTGGGGACTGCATTTCCAGTTGTACAAAGGACAGTTCAGTTATGTTAGACATAATTATGACCTTATTATTGTCTTATTTGAAGATTATGAATGATCTCAGGAGATGTGTATGGGTTCAAGTTGTCAAGGGGTGGACTTGTGATGGTTAATACTGAGGGTCAACTTGATTGGATTGAAAGATGCAATATTGATCATTGTCAGGTTGTTACCCAAGGAGATTAACATTTGAGTCAGTGGGCTGGGGAAGGCAGATCCACCCTTAATTGAGTTGGCACCACCTAAACCGCTAACAGGGAATATAAAGCAGGCAGAAAAACGTGAAGAGGCAAGATAGGCCTAGCCTCCCAGCCTACATCTTTCTCTTGTGCTGGATGCTTCCTGCCCTTGAACATCGGACTCCAAGTTGTTCAGTTTTGGGACTTAGACTGGCTCTCCTTGCTCCTCAGCTTGCAGGCAGCCTATTGTAGGACCTTGTGATTGTGTAAGTTAATACTTAATAAACTCCCATTCATATGTATATATCCTATTAGTTCTGTCCCTCTAAGGGAACCCTGACTAATACAGAGGATCATTGTCTTTATCCATTATTTCAGTAGAAAATGAAAAGTGGTGATATTAAAATGATATCATTTCTTCTTTATTTATTAGTGGTACTTCTGTAAAGAGAAACTTCTCTTTATCAATTTTTTGGGTCCCAGACAGTCCAGGGAAAGCAGAGTAAATGCTTAATTCATCCCCTTTATTTACCAGTTTTCAAAATAATGAGTTGGTTTCCTAGCATTCTCTAAGAGTGACAATAATTTTTTTTAAAATCATCATCATTACAAACACCTAGATTTAAACATATTTGATATGTTTTAATATTTTGTAGTTCTAGTCCATTTAGTGCTTTAATTCTCCCATCTTTGACATGGAAAAATTTCTTTAAATTGGTTTCTGAGTCCTTTTGACATAATCCGAGTAGCTTTTGACAGTTTTTTGTTATGTTTCCTGTTTGATGTTTCTGGCTCATTTGCATGACCCATATCTGGAATCATGAATTTGGATGGACAGTATCAATGTAAACTTATGATATATTTTACCTTAAAAAAAGTCTTTTACTAGAAATAAGGTCAAACTCACAGCAGTGAGCACTCCTAGAGCCAGATCGTTATATCTAAATACCATTTCCCTCTAATAAGAACCAGAACTCAGAGCAATGGCTAACTTCAGATGTGGCCCTATTTTCTCATATGAAGCTTGAGATCTTCTTCCAAGCTCATTCCTGTTATTGGCAGAATTTGAAATTATATTGAAATTCAGTTCTATGTATGAACCCCAGATTGAAAATTCCCTAGAAAAAAAGCTGAAGGGAACCATTCACATTTTAAGTAGTCAAGTAACAAGATCAGATTTCTGTTTCAGAAATACCGCTCTGACAGCAGGTGCAAGAATGGGGTGTGTGGCGGGGATGTGGAGAGCGGCTGCACAGCTGGGAGGATGTCCAGTGAACGGGCTTAATGATAACTCAGGCTGGATATAGGGGAGGCCTAATTTAAGACAGTAGCAGTGGGGCAAATAGATGGAGGGCTGATTTGCTAGTCACTAACAGGCAGCAGCCTCAGGTCTTGGTGATGGGGGCTGATTTGCTAGTCACTAACAGGCAGCAGCAGCAGCCTCAGGTCTTGGTGATGGGGGCTAATTTGCTAGTCACTAACAGGCAGCAGTCTCAGGTCTTGGTGATGGGCGGGGTCAGGGGCGGAGGGCGGCTGTGTCACAGGGGGGCAGAGCTGCAAGCAACTCTTTTGGTGCCAGGGGCAAGCTGCGGAAAAGAGAACTCAGAGTTATGGGGGGTGTGGGGAAGATAACTCCTGGAGGAAACTCTGTCATGCCCCCAGCCCATCCTCCTACGAACTAGCCCTGGAATAATTAGGTGAATTTGAAAATGTCCTCCGTAGGCGGGAGTTCTATTCGGGGTTACCTGCGGCCTCCCCGGTCCTGGATTTCAGTCCTCTAGGTATTTCCTGAGTAGCTCTTAATAATACAGAAGCCCCTTTCCGGTGTAGGTCGGTAAGAAGCACTGCACAGAAATCTGATGCGAAGTGGGGTCTCCTAGCGGAGAGGGAGGCACCTTATAAGTAATCACTAATCCAGGTTGAGATATTAATTATTGATGTCAAGAAATCGGGCTTTTATTATATCTTTTTAAAAACTGTGTCTTGAGGCCAGGCGCTGTCGCTCACGCCTGGAATCCCAGCACTTTGGGAAGCTGAGGCGGGCGGATCATGAGGTCAGGAATTCGAGACCAGCCTGGCCAACATAGTGAAACCCCGTCTCTACTAAAAATACAAAAATTAGCCGGGCGTGGTGGCACACGCCTGTAGTCCCAGCTACTCGGGAGGCTGAGGCAGGAGAATCGCTTGAACCCGGGAGGCAGAGGTTGCGGTGAGCCGAGATCCTACTACTGCACTCCAGCCTGGGCGACAGAGCAAGACTCCGTCTCAAAAAAAGAAAAAAAATTGTGTCTTGAGTAGAATTTTAATGTGGAGAATGAGCTGTTCGGTAAATCAATTCTTCCCTTTGCAAAGCTGTAAAACATTTAAAACATTTGGCCAGGGTGACATGGGCACAGAAGGGGCAGACAGGAGGTCGGCAGCCAGGTCTGTGGAGGAGTAGCCACAGGTGCAAGAGGCCGCGTCAGCGTCCTCCCAATCAGCCTCTGCTGAGGGAGTGCCGCGCGCGGCGAGCCGCGCACTCCCCTTGCCTTTCTCCCGGCGGCTGGTACTCGCTCTTAGAGATCTGCGTTAGCTCAGAGCTAGGCTCGGTGCCGCAGAGGCACCTGAGGTTCCACGACTGCATTCCAGGCCCCGCCCCTTCATCGGGATCTGGAAGGAGGAGCGCCGTGCGCGCCCGCGCCGGCGCGAGCGCTGAAGCTCCGCCCCCAGCTTCTACCTCCGGTTCTATCCCGGCGTTTCGCCCTTCCCCACAGACCTCTGCCCCGGACCCATTTCCGAGGCGCGCCGCATGCGCCGCGCAACCCAGGCCACGAGCACGGGCGCGTGCTTAAGTCAGCGCGCGCCCGCTCCGACGCGAGGAGGCCCCGCCCTCCAGCCCCGCCCCGCTCGCTGGCCTGCCCTCCTCTTGCTACCCTCCCGGCGCAGAGAACCCCGGCTGCTCAGCGCGCTCCGCGGTCATGGAGATCCCCGGGAGCCTGTGCAAGAAAGTCAAACTGAGCAATAACGCGCAGAACTGGGTAAGCTGGGGACGAAGGCGAGACGGCGAGGAGCGGAGGGGCTGTGGGAGCAGCTCGTTCCGGAGCCGCCGCCTCTCTCCCGCCTCCTCCGCATCCATCCTTCCAGGAGCGCGGAGGTGGGTTCCGGGGCTGCGGCGCCTCCCGGCTGGGGCCGTGGGTGGTTGCGAGGCAGAGGGGCGCGGCGCAGGGTGGGGATCTCGCCCTAGCTTGGCGCAGCGTGCGGTCCGAGCCACCGTTCGTGGGAAGAACGCCCCCCCTCCCCAGCGCCTCCGCTCAGGTAAGACCCCCAGGAAAATCCTTCACCCGTGAACTGGCGCTTGCTGAAACCTCCGGGTGCTGAAACCTGCGGCTGCAGAAACAGGAGCTTCCTGCATACCTTGGAGTGGCCTGAAGATGTGCAGAGAAGGCGGAGGCGGGCGCCTTCGACGCGTTCTTGGTTTTTCTTGGCTCTGCCAGTGCGGTTGGCCCAGGTTTGGGTCCATCTCCGTGTCTTTCCATTTCTGAGTTTCAGTGTGAAAGGAGAGTACCCAACAATGTGGTCATTCATGAGTTGAGACTGCCCTGAACTGAGGTTCTTTGTGTCTCTGTGTTAAATCGGAATGTTTAACAAGTAGGAGTTTGGAAGACTCCATTCCTGGTGACAGTCAGGTATGGGACCAGTCCTTTATAACGTTTAGTAATGACTGCCAGTTGACTTTGTAAAGTGCTGTGTCCTCATAACGTTGCTTACTTCCTTAATTTCTCTGTGATGAGAAAGAGCCTTATCTTCCTTTGTAAGTGTGCAGCAGGGAAGGGCCCATCTTTGGAGTCTGGAAAGGCACTGGTTTAAGTTTAGACGGAAACGTTATTTCACAGTCCAATGGAATAATAAGGTTTAAATGCAATGTCTCCCAAAACGTTACTTGCCCTAGATGAATCAAAGAAAAAAAAAACAAGCAATTTCAGGCAAATGTTCTTTGGAAGTCATTAATTTACCACATCTGTTGTTATTGTTATCATGAGTTGTTTACTGATTCCTCTCTCCTTTTATTTAACTCTATAGATGGTAAGGAGGGGAAGGAGATTTAAAAGATGAATTAGAACAGTGGAAAGAGCGCTGGACTCCTGGCCTGGTCTCTCATCCCAGCTTTGCCATTTACTAGCTGTGTGATCTTGAGGAGAGTCACTTTACTTTTTCGAACCTCAGTTGACTTAAGGGTATAATAGTATGTACTTCACGGGATTGTTTTGATGAACAAAGAAGACAGATCATGAATTTGAATGTGCGGTGAAACCACTGCCTTGAAACTCAGACTCAGTTTCGCTTCTCTTACCTTAAGGTGTTTCACGGTTAGGGAAATAAGGTTGGCTTACTTGGGGTATTTACAGATGATTTCTGTTACATTGTCCATTTATGTACTCATTTATTTATTAACATTTGCCACATGGTGCGTATTCTATGTAGAGACTTGTGCTAGACATGGTGGTGAAAAATGTGGGACTTACTGCTTGCCTTCTGGTAGTTCATGGTTTGTGTTGGGGTTGTGACATTTGCCAAGTGGTGAATATGTCTTTGTGGTCCAGAGTGAGTGGCGTAAGACAGAAGTTTTATTGCAATTTAGAGGAGAGATTAGTTTCGCCTGGGCGTTTTGGGAGGGTTTATGGAGGATTTCAGATTTCTGAGTCAGAGGGGAACTGCATGGATAAGTGTTGGGAATAAAAATTACTATTTTTTTTACTCCAGAAACATTGACGAAACTTGTTTGACTGCCCTGGAGAGTTTTTGTTGGGAAGTGGAGGTAAGGTTCAATAGGGAGGCTGGGGCTCCGTGATGCTCTTGTGTTTGGCTGCAGAGAAGACTTGATTCTATGGGGGATTTTTGATGGGGCTAGAATTTTAAATTTTCTGATCCTTGTAAATTTTTCTCTCCCTCATGGAACACCCGTCATCTCTTCCTCTCTCATATTTAAATCATCTTAATAGGCACAAGTGTGAAGAACCCATATACCTTTAAAATTCCTATCACAGGATAAAATTGGTAATCCAGGAAGAATGTTCCGCTGAAGAAATGTAGACCCTGGTAGGACCCAGATGGGGAAGCCCTGGAGACCAGACAAGGTTATAGTAAGGTTTAAATGAATTAATAGATTTGAAGCCTGCCTGGCACATGAGCACTATTTATGTTCTTGTTAATTCATCCAGTGTGAGGGGCTGAAGGGCTGGGGTAAGGTGGCAGTGGGACTAGAGGAGTAGCTGCATTAAAAACATTTAAGGAAGAGTTGAGAGGACCGACTAGATTTAGGGGATGAAAAAGGGAGGAATGTTAGAAGATGATCCTGAAGTTTTGGTCTGGGAAGTGGGGAGAAAGGTTGTTACCTGTGTGGAAATTGGGAAGTAGGTTGGGCACGGGGGTAAGGGTGATATTAGTTAAACACAAAGGAGAGTTTAGTGTGTGCCAGGAACAGTTTGAAATGTTTTACCTATATTAGCCCATTGAGTTTTTGTTACATTTCTGAGGGTGAATATTATGAGAGACAGTGGTTAAAAGCAGGACCCTGGAGCTGACTGCCTGGGCTGAAATCTGGACTCCACTATTTATTAACTATGTAACTTTTGGTTGGTCACTTAATTTCTCTATGCCTCTATGTGCTTATCTATAAAATGAGAATGATAGCCTCACAGGGATATTGTGACAATTAGAGTTAGCTCTTACTGTTATCATCCTCTATTACAATTAGCATTTGCATTTTATAGATGACAAAACTGAGGCACAGAGATGTCATGGAGCTTGTTAGTGCTGGACCCATTTTAAACCTGTTGCATTTGAGGGACAGCCTTAGTAGAGATAGTCTATAGAGGAAATATGAGCCATGTATATAATTCAACATTTACTAGATACCACATTAAAAAGTAAAAAGTAACCGCGAAATAAATTTCAATAATATATTTAACCTACTATATCCCAAATGCTATCATTTCAGTGTTTTTTCAATGTTAATATAAGTTCAACACTATCATAATTAATAAAGAGTTATAGAAATCTGGAGTTTTTTTTTTTTACAGTTAGTACACATTTCACTTCATACTATCCACTTTTCAAATAGTAGGGACATGTGGATAACATAGTTACAGAAATTGAGTTGTGCTGAGGTTGGAAGTAAAGGTTTCATAGTTAAATTTGAGTTAAAGAATATAAGGAAAGTAAATGTGAGACCAAATACTAAGCTTTGGATAATAGCTCCTGTTAAGGATTAGGTAAAGGAAGTGTACTCGTGGGAGACAATAGGCAAAGAGATGGGAAAATGTAGTCTTACAGCTCTGGGAAATGGTTAGAATTACAGGAAGTTAAAGTTGTCCATATACCTGTGGGAATAGTAAAGAAAAACCAAGAAATTGACTTGCTCTTGGAGCTGCCTCTTACTTCAGTCTGATAAAGCGTCAGATATAATGAATATCATTTTCTATCCAATTGAATCTTTCTCCAATGGGACCAGTTTTCATCTGCCCTTGGGGATGTGTTAGTTGGGCTGAGGGAAATTTGGGACACTCAGTTCAGGCCCAGGTGTCATTCACCCATTTTGTAGAATCATATTGGGCTGAAACCCTGTTGGACCTGCCTTACAGTGGAGTAGTGTCCTAAAAGAAGCGTTTGAAACTGGACGTGACATTAAGAAGCATATGCAGTCTCTGGTTTGCTTTTCCATTCACCTTTCACAACTCCCTGAATTTCCATAGCTCCAGCCCAACTTTCTGTCCATATCATACATCCTCATGGTTTTACACAAGCCTTTCCTTCTCCCTGGGATGCCTGTTACCCTTTGTCAGGGGCTGAAATGTTTAGAGCCTTGGACCATTTTACCTTAACAAATGTGTGGCCCTCATAGGTACATATGTTCACTTGCTCGTGGGCTGAATTGTTTGTGCTCTTCTGCATTATGTTGCATTCTCTCTGCTATTATGTATCTTGTGATCATACTTCATTATAGATGTTTTGTATCTACACTGAGCTTTTCCTGATATAACAGAATTGGGGATAAGGGGCAGATGCAAAGTAGCTCGGTAGCTCTGATATTGAAATCCTTAGATAATTCATTAGTATCTTACAAAAGCTTAAGTAACGGAATAAGCTCCATATGTGGGAGGATTCAGATTACGGTTTTGTCACTTACCATCTGGGTGATCTTGGGAACATTATTTAACTCCTTCATCTCTCAATATCCTCATCTGTAATGAGATAATAAAACATAACTCATAGTGAGGCTAATGGTGCATACCATATGGGGTTATAGTGAGGTTTAAAGAAGTTAATATATTTATAAAACTATGGTTCCTGGCACATGAGTACTATTCTTGTTCTAATTATTTATTAGCTCCTCAAATATTTAACACTTAAACTTTGTATGTGCCTTTGTTCCAGGTCCTGAGGATGCAGTGGTAAAAAGACAGAAAAGTGTCCTGTTTCATGGATATTACATTCTACCTGGGAGACAGTTAATTAAACCAAATAAATGAATGAAATAATTTTCCCTTTTACCAATTCTATCTTTCCCAAACAGCTTGTCTCCTTATATGTGGATGTTTTTCGTAGAAGGCCAGCAGCACATTCTGGATTTAGCTGAATACTCAGATGATACAAAAATGAAATAAGAACAGAGAAGTGGAACAGACAGCCAAACAAGAGGCCAATGTACTTGTCCTTCAGAGGATTGGCCTGGGTGTGGTCAGGGGCAGGCATTGGTCTTTTATTTCCCCCATCCCCAGGTTTAACAGAGAATTGATCTTTCTACCCTGGGAAGATGATACTAAAAAAATTGCCTGATGAAAAGGGAAGCTTAAACTTCTACCAATAACAGCAATAAGACGAATGATAGTGAGGTCTAGATCTGTGTTGTCCGGTTCACGATCCACTTGTGGCAACTGAAATTTAATGAACATTAAGAAAGTAAAAAATTCTATTTGTTAGTTGCAGTAACCACGTTTCAAGAGCTGCGTATGTGGTTAGTGGCCACAGGAATTGGACAGCACAGTATAGAACATTTTCATCATCTCAGGAAGCTCTATTGGACATTGCAGATCTAGATGAAGCTTTGTGATGGCTGCTATTTTTTTTTTCTACTTATCTGTGTGTTTATGTATTCAGGTATTTTTACTCTGTTCCCAAGAACAGGAAATTTCCAGAGTGAGTGGATACTTTGAAATTTTAGTTTTGGGCAGTTTTGCACCCTGGCTTCTGGTAGCATGTCCAGCAGTATTAGCCTCCCCTTAGCGTAGTTGCTTCTTCAGATTTGAAGTGTCAATATGCTTCCCAGCCTGGGTGTGTTACATTGAATTTTGAGGAGTAGTTCTCTATGCCAGTGGTTCTCAATCGTGAGATTTTACCAGCCCTAGGGGGCATTTGGCAATTCTGGAGACAATTTTGGCTATTCTACTTGCGTATGGAGGGGGATAATTCTTCTAACATCTATTGGAAAAGATTTCTTAAAAAAACCTAAATTTCTAAAAAAAATTCTTAAATCTGAAATGCAAATGTAAAATCCAGTTGAAAAATCCAATTGTTGTGGCATTTTTTTCCCCCATCAGCCTGGAAGTTGCCATTTCTTACTCTGAGATGGATCAGTTACTCATAGCATACCAGTAACAAGACAGGAAAACCCCAATCCTGAATTGTTTTGAAATCAGATTAAGTAATTAGTTCAAATGGAGGGAGTGATTTTTCTTTTTGGTGTTAAGCGGTAGTAGAGAGAATGTTCTCAGGGAGACTATTGCAGTGGCTATAGAGACTTCTGCAGTGGAGTTTTGCCGTAGGGGAGAGAGATTGGGCTCAGTTCCAAATACAGTAAGGAAAAGTGGGAATTTATGGTGAGGGAGCAGGGTGGGGGTCGGTGGATGGAAAATTACTAAGAGGAAACATTAAGAATTAGGGAGTATTCTGACTAAAACGATTTAACAGGGTTCTTGCTGAAGGCAGGCAGGCCAAGGTGATCAGACATCATTGGGGGATGGTGCAGCTTGAAGAGTTTGGTCAGCTATGGAGGATGGGGGATTTCTGCTAAAATTGGACTCTTGAAGACGTGCCCGAGGATAGGGCCCAGTTGAAAGAGGGTTCAGAAGGAGCCTGCCTAGTTTGATCAAGGAGAGAAATCTTGTCGGTGGTAATCGTTTCTGTGACATATCTTTTCCTAAAGACACAGTTGTTAAATTTTAACTGAATAATGATGGTGGAAATACCAGACATTATGTAGAGAAATTCAGTATCTGTCTTTGGATGAATGCAGCCATTGTGCAGGCTGTTTTCTCTTATTCTTCTCTCTAGTTACTTTGGTGCTTGCATACCTTACCTCTGTCTTTGTCTTTCATATTTTTTTTTCTTTTTTTTTTTTGTTTGAGACAGAGTCTTGCTCTGTTGCCAGACTAGAGTGCAGTGGTATGACCTTGGCTCACGGCAACCTCCACCTCACTGGTTCAAGTGATTCTCCTGCCTCAGCCTCCCGAGTAGCTGGGACTACAGGTGTGCACCAACATGCCCAGCTAATTTTTGTATTTTTAGTAGAGATGAGATTTTACCATGTTGGTCAGGATGGTCTCGATCTCTTGACCTCGTGATCTGCCCACCTCGACCTCCCAAAGTGCTGGGATTACAGGCGTGGGTCACCATGCCTGGCCTGTCTTTCATATTTTTAAGTGTACAATTCAGTGGTTTTTAGTATAGCCAGAGTTGTACAGCCATCACCAGAATCTAATTTTAGAACATTTACATGTCCCCAAAAAGAAACCTTATACCCATTAGTAGTCATTCCCCAGGCTCTGCATTTTCTCCTAGCCCCTGACAACCAATAATGTACTTTCTGTCTCTATGGGTTATGCTATTGTGGGCTTTCCTAGAAATGAAATTATATAATCTATGGCTTTTTGTATCTGGCTTTTGTCACCTAGGATAATGTTTTCAAGCGTCATCCATGTTACAACATGTATCAACTAGCCTGGCCAACATGGTGAAACCTCGTCTCTACTAAAAATATGAAAAAAATTAGCCACGCATGGTGGCATGTGCCTGTAATCCCAGCTACTCAGGAGGCTGAGGCAGGAGAATCGCTTGAACCAGAAGGCGAAGGTTGCAGTGAGCTGAGATCATGCCACTGCACTCCAGCCTGGGCAACAGAGCAAGACTCCATTTTGTATTTTTTTTTTTAATAGTTCATTCATTATATGGTTGAAGAAAAAAATCCCATTGTATGGATAATAACACAACTTTTTTTTTTTTTCTTTCCCGAGACGGAGTCTCGCTCTGTCGCCTGGCTGGAGTGCAGTGGCGCAATCTTGGCTCGCTGCAACCTCCGCATCCCTGGTTCAAGCTGTTCTCCTGCCTCAACCTTGCGAGTAGCTGGGATTATAGGCACGTGTCACCACGCCCAGCTAATTTTTGCGTTTTGAGCAGAGACGGGGTTTCACAATGTTGGCCAGGATAGTCTCGATCTCTTGACCTCATGATCCACCCGCCTGCGCCTCCCAAAGTGCTGGGATTACAAGCATGAGCCACCACGCCCGGCCACATCTTCTTTATTCATCAGTTGGTGGACATTTAGGTTGTTCCTACTTTTTGGCTATCATGAATAAATGCTATGAACATTTGTGCATAAGTTTTTGTGGTTAGTCTTATGTGGTTTTAATAGTTAATTTCAACCTTTGAGGTGGACATTAGTGTATTTTGGCTGCCCAGTCTCTGAACCTCCCTTGTATGTGTGGTGAATGCCTCACTGTGTTTGTGTTAGGAGACAGGGTCTGTTACAGATTAATGATTTCTTTATTTACCTATGTATAACTAGTTCTTTTTATGAAATGTTTTTGTTTTTATTGTGTCCTGAGTGTCTAGAAAGGATCAAACAACAAATAATGAATGAACAGATAGTCCCAGGCCCATTCTGACTTCTAGGAGTGTCTTAGGGCCGGAATTCCCAGTTGGAGGTAATGGAATGGAGGGCCCTTCCATTAAAGGTACTGATATAAAAACCTATTAAATATTTAGAAGTTCTTTAATCTTTAACAGAATAGTTGGAGAGCCGTAATGTGTATGCAGAGTGTATGCATGACAGATGGTACTGATGAGATAAGCATGCTAGTAACTTAGTCCTGATTCAGGACGTCTGTGGTAGGGCCTGAGATTTGCTTCCTAACAAGCAGCCAGGCCATGCCAGTGTTGCCACACAGCATATTTTGTAGTAGCAAAGTTTTAAGAGTAGCCTTTTCAAGTTGTTTTCTCAACATCCTCCAGGGATGTATGATCTTCACTTGCTTTTTATCATTGACTTATTAATATTTAAAATATTAATTTCAGTTATTAGTTAACTCTGTGAACTAAAGGTTTTAATTATCAAGAACTCTGTGAACTAAAGATTTCTTTTCATTGTATTCTACAGTCTCTCATTTATCCATATTGTTACGATCTCTACAGTTTCATCCATATTGTGTCTAGGGACATAAAAGAAATGTGCCTGTTACCATTTCAGGGATTTCTCATTGGAGGAATACACTGTTTATCAGTTTAGGGTGGGTGATAGGATGGATGAAAGATGTTGAAGTCCACAATTATGCTTAGTATTTGGTATATGCTTTGTGTCTTTATACATTTCACTTAAAAATGCACAATTCTTTATAAAATGATGAAAAATTCACAAAATATGAAATTCTCTAAGTAGCATCACAGAGAAGTTGATTTTCCTTACAGGCAAGTGGATAAAATAACAAAACGGCCATGTGGAAATTAAGATGGGTCAAAAAGGGCCACTTGTGTCATTGATGAGGATGGAAGTTTGTAGTATGTACAGAAAATGCATACCACAAATATCAGAGGACATGCAATATTAGCCTAGTGACAGGATTGTTAGTCATTTAGTTCTAAATGTAGTAAATATTAAATGGCCTTGCAATGAATTATTCCATTTCTGCTAGATTTAAGATTTCCAAATATCAGTCATCATTTCATTTGCAAGTTACACAGAGAAAACAAACCATACTTTAAAATAAATGTCTTGTATCTAGCTTTTATGAGTACTGACTAGTAACAAAGGAGGTTGGGCATTGTGGAAAATATGGATAATTGTAACTCATTGTAAAGAACATGGCTGTGCTTTGGTCAAGGATAGGTCGAGGCAAACGTCCAGAATGACTCAGCGAGTTTACAGCGCAGGTATATAACTCCACTTGTTATCACAGCCATGTAGCCATAACATGAGAAGGTTCATCATTTGGCTGTAAGCCACTATTGTCTGTAAAAGATATAATTGCCCTGCTGACATTGTATGGGTGCGCTTGCACCCAGAGAAGGAGAGAGAGAGCCAGAGCTGTCCATCTTTGCAGATGGACAGGAGCGAGCCAGGACACAGCTCGTCTTGCTCACACCCAGAGAGAGAGAGAGAGATTTAAGCTGTTGACCCTGAACGGAGAGCTGGCCATGTAGCTATGTGTGGGAGCTGCTGGACTAAGCAGTCAAGACAAGGCAAACAGTGTGAGAGAGCTAATGTGAGTGAGCTGCTGATGAGAGAGCTGCTGAGTAAAACTACCTTTCACCTGCATATGCCCCTGAGTGTTCTTTCAGCTATCTGCTCATCCACTTACTCCCTTCGGACCCCAGCATGAGCTGGAACCTGACCCCGAGCAGGACACTCATAGTCCTTGACCTACTTTCTAGGAAATAATATATAGGCACAAGAAGACAAATAAATGTGTTAATGGTACATAAATAACAAAAGAATGATATGGGCAGTAAATGTTATAGGGACTTCCTAGGTACACATACTTACACTGAGCCAGATATACATATATATATATTTTTCTACAAAGCACCCAGACTATTAAGTAAGAAGCACTAAGCTTGGTTTCTCTCTCCTGTGTATGGAAACTAGGGCACAGAAGACTCAGTATAGAAATGTACTTTAAAAAAAAATTCCAACCCAGAAAGCCAAGAATAGAAATTTAGAGGTGGAAGGAAGTAACTCATTCTCAACCCTTAATGAGTCATTAATGTCATGTTTCCTCAGCAGAATTATAGAAAGGATTTGGCTGAAGTGGGTGCAGAAGGAAGGAAAGGGGAAGTAGAAGAAGATTACATGTATAAGTGGCTGTGGAGTCTAAAAATTCAGGCCTAAGTCTACCACTTTGCAATTCTGTAACCACCCAATGCGTTCATTTTGCCTGCTGCCCACAGGCAAATTTATCAAGACAGGGTAATTGCAATAGAGAAAGAGTTTAATTCATGCAGAGCCAGCTGAACAGGAGACTTTTATTATTGAACAAATCAGCCTTCCTCAAAATTTAGAGGCCAGAGTTTTTTAAGGATAGTTTGGTTGGCAAGGCAATGGGTGCAGCCAGTTCGTTGGGGATGTAATCATAGGGGTGTGGAAGATAGTCCTAGTGTGTTAAGTACACTTCTGGTTGGGAGCACACAGGTGGTTGGTGGGTCCAGGTGGAGCCATTGAGAGTCAGAAATGCAAAAACCTGAAAAGACATCTCAAAAGGCCAATCTTAGGTTCTACAATAGCGATGTCATCTGCAGGAGTAACTGGGGAAGTTGAAAATCTTGTGACTTCTGGAATAGTGGCTGGTAATCATTTATGTTTACACCTTGGGAGGATTCAGGCTCCTCTCATCTCCTAACCTGGTGGTCTTTTATTAGCTTTAAAAGATGGTTTACTTTTGGGGAAGTAGTATTATCATTTAAACTAAAAACTAAATTTCTCCCAAAGTTAGCTTGACCCAAACCCAGCAATACCTAAGGGCAGTTTGGAGGTTAAAGGCAAGATGGAGGTTGGTTAGATCAGATCTTTTTCACTGTTAACAATTTTCTCACTTGTAATTTTTGCAAAGGCTGTTTCAATTCCAGTAGTTTTATAAAAGTGCTCTTTGATTTACTTTGAAAAATTGGGAGTTAGGACAATGTGGCAATTTTTTTTAAGTTTATTTTTTAATATGAAAAATATTGTTAAAAACTTTAGCTGAATTAAATTTAAAAGAGTTTGAGCAAAGAACAATTCGTGAATCAGGCAGCCTCCTGAGCCAGAGTAGGCTCAGAGGCTCCAGTGCAGCTGCATGGTAGAAGATTTATGGACAGAAAAAGGAAAGTGGTGCACAGAAAATGGAAGTGAGGTCCAGAAACAACTGGATTGGTTATAGCTCAGCATTTGACTTATTTGAACATGGTTTGAACAGTTGGCCACATTTGATTGGCCAAAACTCAGTCATTGGCACAAGGGTGGATACAGTCTGTTTGTCTCCAGCTAGGTTAGTTTAGTACATATGGAGAAACCTTTAGGCTGAACTTAAAATATGTAAAAGAGGTAGCTTTAGGCTTAACTTGATTTAACAATATCAAACATACATAAACCAAAAAAAATCTCCTTATATCCAGAGTACTATGTTTGCTGCCAGAATCTTTTTAAATGTAGGAGGCAAGAAACTGAGGGAGCATTCTTTTTAGAGATTAAAACAGACGGTCTCTACTTACCCTGTCTGTATTTTTTCTCAGCCATATTCTCAGCAGTTGATAGCTTGACAGATAATTTTTATGCATTCTAGCTTGATTTGATAAGAAAAGCAGAAGATATTTTACAGAGCCCAAATCAATTAAAATTCATTAGATATATGTTTCTTCTTGTCTATAAAGAGTGAAGTAACTTGGAAAAATCCTCAAACAAAATGACCAAGCCAAACAGGTTCTACCAGTATAGGCAGCAAAATGTGTATAGCACCCTCTGCAATTCCCTTTTAGCAGAGACTTTAGCTCCCTTTTCCTCCTTAGCCAGTATCAATGGGAGCTAAAGCTAAAGAGGTGCCACTGCTTCTCAAGATATACAAATGTCTACTTCTGAAGCCCTCTTTTTTAAGTTCTTGGAAATGTAGAGCTGGTAAGTTGTATTTGCTTCATCAGTTTATTGAAAAGAAATGAATCTAGAGACTCATTACAATTTTTTGTAAGTGATTATTAAATATGTAAAAGTATTTTATTGGAAATAAAGTATTAATAATTATTGTGTAAATAATTATTGTTAATGAGATGAGTAGATGGGAAGGGGTGCAGCTTTTGTGGCATACCTATTAAAAAGAGTTGTCAAATTGTCCCTTTGGTCCCAGAGGATTTTTCAGGTAATGGTAATGATGATAATAAGATTCAGATGTGTGGGAGATGGCATTTCTGCTGTACAGGATTGTGAAGGGGAAGGTAGGAAAAGAGATCCTTAATCTCATGGAAGTTGAAGATTTGTATAGAAATTTAATTCCTTAAAAGTCAAATCTGTGTATTGGTGGAGGTCAGCAAAATGACAGAATGGGACTTCCCAGTGCTTGTCTTCACACAGAAACATAAATTGAACAACTATTCTTGCACAAAAATACTTTAATAAAAGCTAAGGAAACCAGGTGAGAGATGACCGCACCTGGATGTAGCAGAGAAATCAGAAAAAACACATTGAAGAGAGTAGAAAGAACAGTTTTACATGACCTATATTACTGCCCCCAGCCTGCAACCTCAGGCAGCACGTGGAGAAAGATACCCTTTGCTTAGGGGAGGAAGAGGGCAGTAAGCAAAAGATTTTGCCTCAGAACCCAACACCAGGCCCACCTCAGTGAAACTCAGTGCAAGGCAGGCCCCCGTAGCCCCAGACTCCAGGATGGTACCTATGGATTGAGCGTCCAAGCCTACCCTGGTACTAAGCAGGATTCTGCAGCCCAAGGTTCCAGCTCCTCCAACCTCCACCACCAGGCCAGACCCAATTGATGCAAGTTTTAGACTTGTCTTAGGGCCAGGCTGGCCCCAGTGGCCCTGGGCTTAGAGCTACCTTTAGTACCAGGCTGGCTGTCACAGGCAGGCACCTGTGGATACAGGCTTCAAGCTGTCCCAGCTTCAGGCCCTCTCCAGGTTTCAGACCAGCTGAGAGCCAGGTTGGCCCACACAGCCCTGGGCTTCAGGTCTGCCCCAGTACAAGGCCATTCCCTGTAGCCCCACCCTCCAGGCTGGCTGCTGCAACCCCATACTTAAGAGATCCAAGGTTTCAGGACCATCCCAATACATCTCAGCACTATACCAGCTCCCATTGACCCAGGCTGTAAGACCATTTCTGTGGACCCAGGTTCCAGGCCAGCACCCATATGCTGAGCATCTAGGTCAGCTCCCATGGCTTCAGGGCAGGTCCTGTGATTCTAGGTAGGCTTCAGACCAACCACTGTAGACCTAGGCTTCCACATCCGCTCCAGCACCAGCTGAGCTCTGCCTACCTGCTGACCCAGATACCAGGCCAGCCTCCCTGAGGACTCCAGCAGCAAGCCTGCCTGTGCACCATGCCAGATGGCCTTCCCAGATTGGACAGGCTGACTGGTGAAGTGCTTCCCAAATAAAGCCAGTCTACAAAGACTGGAATCAGTCCCTACCTCTTCATTGTACAGATATTGATATAAGACAACAAGAAATGTGAAAAAACAAGGAGACTTAATACTACCAAAAGTATCAAAATAACCTTCCAGTAGCTGATTCAAAAGAAATGGAGATACATGAACTGCCTGAAAAAGAATTAAAAAATAATTGTTTAAGGAAGCCCAGCAAACCTCAATAAAATAGAAATAATTCAGTGTATTCTGGAAAACAACAAATGACCAACATGAGAAATTTAACAGATTGAAATTATTAAAAAAATAAAAAATTCTAGAGCTGAAAAATTTAATGAATAAAATGAAAAATGCAATAGAGAGCATCCATAGAAGCACTGATCAAGCAAAATAATTGTACTTGAAGACAGATTTCTTCCATAGTTAGAGGAGGAAAAAGAAGAATGAAAAGTAATGGAGAAAGCTTACAGGATTTATAGGACAGCATCAAAAGTACAAAAATTGAGGTATAGGAGTTCAAGGAGAAGAGAAAGAGGGTTACAAAGCTTATTTAAATAACAACAGAAAACTTTCCAAATCTGGGGAAAGGTATAAATAAGTACAGGAAGATCAAAAGTTCTAATCAGATTCAATCCAAACAAGACTACCTCAAGACATATAGTTAAACTGTCAAAAATAAAAGAGGATTCTGAAAGCAGCTAGAGAAAAGCAAATCACATACAAGGGAGTTCCAAAAATGCTAGCAGCAGACTTTTCAGCAGAAATTTTGTAGTCCAGGAGAGACTGGGTTGACATGTTCAAAGTGTTGAAGGAAAAAAACCCTGCCAACAAAGAATACTGTATTCAACAATGCTGTAATTCACAAACACAAACATACAGACTTGCCTAGACAAAGCTAAGGGAGTTCATCACTACCAGACATGTCTTAAAAGAAACACTAAAGGGAGTTCTCCAAGCTGAAATAAAAGGATGCTAATTAGTAACATGAAAGTATAAAACTCACTGGTAAAAGTAAGTCCACGGTCAAGTTCAGAATAAATACTGTAATTGTCGTGTGACAATAATTTATATCTCCGGTATGAATGTTAAAAGACAATTAACAATAGTGACAATAATTTGTTAAGGGATGTCTTCACTGTTGAGTTCTACCAAACATTTAAAGAAAGATTAATGCCAGTCTGTATTAGTTCGTTTTCACACTGGTATAAAGAACTCTCTAAGACCAGGTAAACTATAAAGAAAAGAGGTTTAATTGACTGACAGTTCTGCATGACTGGGGACGCCCCAGGAAACTTATAATCATGGCGGAAGGTGAAGAGGAAGCAGGGCACATCTTACATGGTGGCAGGAGAGAGAGAACAAGGGGGGAAGTGCCACACTTTGGAACTATCAAATCTTGTGAGAACTCACTATCACGAGAGCAGCATGGGTGAAAGCACCCCCATGATCTGATCACCTCCTACCATGTCGCTCCCTCCACACATGGAGATTACAGTTCGAGATGAGATTTGTGTGGGGACACATAGCCAAACCATATCACGATTTTTTCTCAAACTCTTCCAAAAAATTAAAGAGGGAATACTTCCAAATTTATTTTATGAGGCCAGCATTACCTTGATACCAAAGCCACAAAAGGACACTAGAAGAAAAGAAAATCACAGGCCAGTGTCCCTGATGAACATAGATGCGAAAATCCTGAACACATAGTAGCAAACTGAATTATATAGCACATTAAAGGATCATTCCTCCTTATCAAGTGGGATTTATTTCAGGGATGCAAAGATGGTTCAACATAGGCAATTTTTTCTTTTTTTTTTTGAGGTGGAGTTTTGCTCTTGTCACCCAGGCTCGAGTGCAATGGCATGATCTTGGCTCACTGCAACCTCCGCCTCCTGGGTTCAAGCAATTCTCCTGCCTCAGCCTTCTGAGTAGCTGGGACTACAGGTGCATGCCACCATTCCCGGCTAATTTTTGTATTTTTAGTAGAGACGGGGTTTCTCCACATTGGCCTGGCTGGTCTCAAACCCCTGACCTCAGGTGATCCGCCTGCCTCGGCCTCTGAAGTGCTGGGATTAGTGGTGTGAGCCACCATGCCCAGCTAACATATGCAAATTAATAAAGGTGATGCACCACACTAACAGAATGTAGGGCAAAAAACCTATGATCATCTCAATAGATGCAGAAAAATTATTTGAAAGAGTTCATTAACCTTTTATGATAAAAACTCTCAACAAATTAGGAAAAGAAGGAATGTACTTCAACGTAATAAGGGCTACATAGTTCAAGCCCACAACTGACATCATACTCAATGGTAAAACAGGAAAAGTTGAAAGCTTTCCCTCTAAGATCAGGAGCACAACAAGGGTGCCCACTCTTACCACTTCTATTCAGCATAGTACTGGAGGTCCTAGACAGAGCACTTAGACGAGAAATAAATAAAAGGCATCCAAATTGGAAAAGTAGAAGTTAAATTGTTCCTGTTTGCAGATGACGTGGTTTTAAATAATATGGAAAACCCTAAAGATTTCACCAGAAGACTGTTAGAATAAATAAATTTAGTAAAGTTGCAGAATACAAACTCAACATTAGAAAAGTAGTAGTGTTTTTATATTCTAACATTGAAGTACCTGTAAAAGAAATAAGAAAACAATCTCATTTATAGTTGCTACCAGAAAAATAAAATACTTGGGAATACATTTAACCAAGGAAGTAAGAGACCTGTATACTGAAAACTGTGAAACATTGATGAAAAAAATTGAAGACAGAAATAAAAGGAAACATTGTATGTATTCATGGATTGAAAGAATTAATATTGTTAAAATGTCCATACTACTTAAAGTGATCTACAGATTCAATGCAATCCCTATAAAAATTCCAAGGATTCTTCACAGAAATAGAAAAAGCAGTTCTAAAATTTGTATGGAACCACAAAAGACCCCAGATAACCAAAGCAATCTTGAGCAAAGATAACAAAGCGGGAGGTATTAACATTACGTAACTTTAAAACACACTCTGAAGCTATAGTAATCAAAACAGCATGATACAGAAACAAACATATAAACCATACAACAGAGCAGAAAGCCCAGATATAAATACATGCATTTATATTTAATTGATTTTTGACAAAGGTGCCAATAATACATGATGGGGAGAGGACAGTCTTCAAAAAATGGTGTTGGGAAAACTGGATATCTGCGTGAAGAAGAATGAAGTTAGACCCTTATCTCACCTCATATAAAAAAAACTCAAAGTGAATTAAAAATTTACATGTAAGATCAGAAAGTCTAAAACTGCTAGAGGAAAGTAGGAAAAAAGTTTTATGACACTAGTTTAGGCAGTGATTTTTTTTTTTTTTGGATATGACTCCAAAAGTACAAGCAACAAACATGAAAATAGACAAATGGGAGTACATCAAATAAAAATTGTCTCCACAGCAAAGGGTGCAATCAACAGAGTGAAGAGACAACCTACAGAATGGGAGAATATATTTGCAAACCATACATCTGATAAGGGGTTAATATCCAAAATAGGAAGCCAAACAACTCAGTGGCAAGAAAACAGTGCAATTAAAAAATAGGCAAAGGATCTGAATAGACATTCCTAAAAGGAAGATAGACAAATAGCCAACAGGTATATGAAAAAAGGCTCAACTTCTCTAATCATCGGCTCAACTTCTCTACTCATCAGGGAAATGCAATTAAAACCACAGTGAGCTATCACCTCACACCTGTTAGAATGGCTGTTATAAAAAAGACAAAAGTGTTGGTGAGGATGTGAGAAAAGAAAATCCTAGTGTGCTATTGTGGGAATATTAGTATAGCCATTATGGAAATCAATATGGAGGTTCCTCAAAAAATTAGAAGTAGAACTACCATATGATCCAGCAATCCCACTACTAGGTGTATAATGAAAGGATGTGAAATCAGTATGTAGAGTAGATATTGGCATTCTCATGTTAATTGTAAATTGCAGCACTATTTACCATAGTCAAGATATGGAATCAGCTTAAGTGTTGACCAGTTGATAAATGGATTAAAAAAAAGTAGTATATTTACACAGTGGAATACTATTGAGTCTTAAAAATTATACAAATCCTTTTGTTTGTTACCACATGGATGATAAAATGTTAAGTGAAATAAGCCAGGCACAGAAAGGGAAGTACCATATGATCTCACTTACATGTGGAATCTAAAAAAGTTGCACCTGTAGAAGTAGAGAGTGAATGGTGTTTATCAGGGACTGCGAGGTTTGGGGTCGAGTGGGGGTCGAGGAGGATGGTTGGAGGAGATGTTGGTCAAAGGGTACAAAATTTTATTTAGATACAAGGATTAAGTTCAAAAGATGTATAACATGGTGATGATAATAACAATGTATTTCTGAAAATGCTGCTGTGGACATATGTATGTACAAGTTTTATGTGATCATATGTTTTCATTTCTTGTGAGTATAATGTAGGCATGGGATTGTTTGGTCATATGATAACTCTGTATTGAACATTTTGAGGGGCTGCTGTTTTCCAAAATGACTACTATTTTCGCAACAACAAATATATGAGGATTCCAATATTTCCATATCCTCCCCAGTACTTGTTATTATCTGTCTTTATTACAGCTATCCTAGTGGGTGCAAAGTGATACCTTATTGTAGTTTTGATTTGCATTTTCCTGGTGGCTAATGATGTTGAATATTATTTAAATAATGTGGCTTATTGACCATTTGTATGTTTTCTTTGGAGGAAAGCCTGTTCAGATACTTTGAGGCCTAAGTAATTTTATGCTTTTTTTTTTTTTTTTGAAGCAGCTTTGGGAGAACATGAAGTTATAACCAGTACATTCCACTTTTTTCATTTCAGAAGTAGCTATCTCATGATACCCATAGGCATCTCTTTCACACTTTCTTTGGGAGTCTACTCAAATGTCACCTTCTTAGCATTTCTTGATTATCCTCTCTAAAGAGGCACTCTGTTTCCTTTTTTACCCTATGTTATTTTTCTACAGTGCACTTATCACTCTCTGATGTTGTAGTTAAGTTTTATTGGTTTACATTGTTCCCCAGTGGGATGTAAGCTAATTGAGGGTAGTGACCTTGTTTTGCTCACATGGCATACTAGTAGGGCCTCAGTAGATACTATCTGAATGGATGAACGAATAAATGAATGTGTGAAAGGACTAGGCTCTGGAGTCTGCCACTCACTAGTTTTGGGATCTCCGGCAAGTTATTTACCATTTTTCAGATTTAAAATCTTCATCTGTAAAACCTTAGTAGTAAGAGTACCTATGTCATTGGATTGCTGTGAGGATTAAATCAGTTGGCATGTGGAAAGCAGTAAACACCATGCCAGTACTCTAAGGAAAAAAAAAAACTGTTTTATCTTTTTCTTTGCTTTTGGCATGTTACATAGACTTTTGTGTGTTTGCAAGGAATATGTGTTTGCCTTTTAAAGGACTCATGTAAACTAGAATTTTTTTTTTCTTTTTTTTCTAGGGAATGCAGAGAGCAACCAATGTCACCTACCAAGCCCATCATGTCAGCAGGAACAAGAGAGGTCAGGTGGTGGGGACCAGAGGTGGCTTTCGTGGTTGCACAGTTTGGCTAACAGGTATGGTCAAGAGAGAGAAAGCAGTTTATTTTAAAAGCAGTGCATATAGGTAACCTTGGACTAGGCGTAAGCATATTTAAATTTTGAGCTCTGTTCTTGTATTTGGAGCATCACGACATATAACTGACATAGTTGCTTAATAATATTTCTTGTTATTTTTTTTTTTGTTCTTTTATAGGATTGCTGTTAAATAAAGGTAAAAACCACAATGAACCTTAAAACTACTTTTTCATAGATAGCACATTAAATTCTACACACTTCTGAGTGCAAATAAGATCTGGATTCTGCTCTGAGAAGCTAACAGTGAAAACCATACGTCTTAGTCTATTTTATGCTGTTATAACAGAATACCAGAGACTGGGTAATTTATATGAATAGAAATTTATTTCTCATAGTTCTGGAGGCTGGGAAGTCCAAGATTGAGGGACTAGCATCTTCTTGCTATGTTTGTAATACAGCAGAAGGCATCACATGCTGAGAAAGAGCAAAAGATTGAACTCACAGCCTCAATCCCTTTTATAGATGGATTATTCCATTAATGAGGGTGGAGCCCTCATGACTTAAACACCTCCGTTAGACTGCATCATTCAACACTGTTGCATTGAGGATTAAGTTTCCAACACATGAACTTTGAGAGACACATTCAAACCATAGCATGGTACAACCAGAAAGAATGAGTGGCAAGAATTTTCACAAAGTGAATTTCTATTATTCAGCTTTTGCTATGGCCTTTGATTGTTTCCCTAGAGTCTTGTCTTTTGGCTTAGTCATAGCAGGCTGGTGAGTGACTGAATTGATACAGATTTTGAAGTAGCTTTAAAAACGATGGATGCTTTCACTTCTGTGAATTATATTTAAAATTTTGATACATTTTGCCACATTGCCCACTAAAATTTTATCCCAGTTTACTCTCCTACCAGCAGTATGGGAGGGTGTTTATTTCCCAGTGTCTTTGTCAACAGTGGTTGTTACCAGTTCTTAAAAATTTGTGCTGATTGGCAAAAAAGTTACTCTTTTGTTTTTTTAATCATGTTTCATTTTTAGACAGGTCTGTTTGTTTTTGTATGAAAGAAGATACACTCTCACATTCTTCCCATTTCCTCATTCTTAATTCCAGACAGTTAAATTGTTACATTTTTATTGCCCAGGTTTATAGCACTTAATGGGTCAATAGTTGGTAGCTTCCCATCAGTTATTTTACTATGACATGTTCACTCATGAGCTCTTTATTTGAATGGTCTTTAATTGTCTGTATTTCATTGTTAAATAATTTTTGCAAGATGGCCTTCCATTAGGTTCTGAACTCCTGGAGGTTTTATGTTTGAGAATGACTACCTTTTATGCCAACTTGGCTGGGTAAAATATATATTTGGTTCATACTTTCTTGGTCTTGGAATTTTAAAAACAGTACTCTATTGTCTTCTGGCATTAAATGTTTTGAATAAGTGTGAGCCTAATCAGCTTTTTCTTTTTAGGAGCGTTCCTTTTTTCATCTGGATGACTAAGGAATTACTTATTTCCCTGTAAAAATACAGGGAAATAGAGGCTTTTGTCTTTCTCAGTTAGGTCCTTATCTGCAGTTGATTTTTGTGTATAGTGTGAGGGACAGATCCATTTTCGTTTTTTTCCATGTGGATAATCACTTATCCCAAGAACATAGATTTATGAGGGTGTCTTTTTTCTCTGATCTGCAGTGTCTGCTTTGTTTTATATCAGGTCTCCACTTATGTGTGGGCCCTCTGCTCTGTCCCACTGATATATTTGTCTGTTCCTCTGTTAATGCCACATTTCTTAGTTACTGTATTTTTATAAATCTTGAAGGACAGTGGAGTAAGTCCTCTTACCTTGTTCTTCATCAGCAATGTTGACTTTTCTTTTTCATTGTGACTTCCTTTTTTTTTTTGGCTCTTAGTGTTGTCTAAATCTTGTAATAGATTTAACCAATTCCCCTGAACTCTGTTGTTATTTAGTTTGGGATTGCATTGTATCTAAGATTAATTTTGGGGGAAAATTGATCTTTAGAATATTGGGTACTCTTTTTCTTGAACGTGGTGTTTTCCATTTATTTCATCACTAATGATACTTATAAATAAAGCTTATCTGATTTTTTGGTACTTGCTCTGTGGTCTAGTATGTAATAAGTTTTCAGTCATCACCTTGCCCCCACCCTATGCCTTCCTCAATTGGGACGGGATGGCTAGAATTGGCTGGAGTTGGTATTTCCCTTCCCCCAGGTCAGTTAGGTTCCAATAAAACCTCAGCAGGTTAGGCTTTGGTTAAATAGTTTCTCCTGAGTTCAGTCCTTGTTAAAAAAAAAATCTGGTGCTCTGGTGTATTTCAGAATGGAAGCACTTGGGGATTTTTCTCCAATATTTACTGTGAGAACCTGATTGAGCTCCTGGAGGTGAAACTCACAATGTTGTGGGGCCCTCCCTATAACGAGGTTCCTTTGAAATTTTTAACTCTCGGACTTGTCCACACTGAGCCTTAATTAATTCATCAATTACAGTTTAGGTTTTTCTGTGTGACACTGGTTCCCACAGTACTTTTCCCCACAGTGAGTCTCTGCTGCAGTCAATAGTTACTCCCTTCATTTGCCTGTCTCCCCATTCAT
This sequence comes from Homo sapiens, assembly GCF_000001405.40. Taxonomy (NCBI): domain Eukaryota; kingdom Metazoa; phylum Chordata; class Mammalia; order Primates; family Hominidae; genus Homo; species Homo sapiens. The sequence continues at coordinate 107,698,556 of NC_000004.12, read as the reverse complement.
GGAGGCAGTGGTTTGCCCCCTGTCCTCCCCTCACGGATCCAAGAAGAGTTATTCTGTTCAGGTTTTCACTTGTTCGGATGTGGTGGTGACTTTCAAGCTCCTCCCATGTGGACCTGGAAAACTTGTAGTTTTCATAAACGTGTATTTGAAAAGAATATGTATTCACCTGATGTGTGCAGTATTCTGTATAATAGATTAAGCTTGTCAGTTGTGGTGTCAAATCTTCTGTAGCCTTCATATATATGTTTTTTGATAATGATGTTGGACATGGAAGTCAAGATTTGTTTTTTTCTTGCAATTCAGATGCTTAACCTGGATCTGCCCAAGCTATTGAGTGATTTTTGTATGCTGTTTTGCTAGACGTGTTTCACTTTTTATCAGATTTTATTTTAGGGAAATTTTGTTGTTTTGTGTTTCTACATTGGTTGGTATATTAACTTCCCAGGGCTGCCATAACAAATTAACCACAAAATAGGTGGAAGAAATTTATTCTCCCACAGTTCTCGAGGCTAGAAGTTTGAAATTAAGTTTGTGGTGAGGTTGGTTCCTCCTGTAAGTGCTGAGGGAGAATCTCTTCTGTTTCCCCCTTGGCTTCTGCTGGTGGCTGGCAGTCCTTGGTGTGTGGACGGATCACTCCAATCTCTTTTTGTCTTATAGCCTTGTAAGAACACCAGCTGTTGGATCACCCTAATCCAGTATGACCTCCTCTTAATTTGATTGTGTTTGTAAAGACTCTATTTCCAGATAAGGTCACCTTCTGAGGTTCTGGGTGGACATGAATATTTGGGGAACACTATTCAACCCAGTAGAGCTGGTTTCTATTCTTCAGGTATACCAGTTATCCATATCTTAGATTTGGATTGCTTATCTTGTATTATCAGTTTCCTCTGACTGCTCTGTTGACTATAATTATCTAAATGAAACTGTTTATATCAGTAATTCAATTTTCAACAGTGCTTATTTGTTTCAAATTAAATATGCACTTAAAACATATAAATACACATGTATGTATGAACAGACACTTTTATTATAATTTAGGTTGTTTTTGTTGTGTAAAAGTTTAGAGTTTCAAACTTTTTTTTCCCTGATACTTGATGCTCAATTGGTGGTTAAAAACAACAATTCAAAAGAAATAACGAACAACCTTTTTCACCCTAGCCACCATCCCTTTGTTCCACCTACTGTTACTGTGTAACAATTTGCCTAAAACCCAGTGTTGTAAAACAATTGCCATTTAACTTTGCTTACCATTTTGAAGGTAAGGGATTTAAAAGGGCTCAGATAGGCAGCTATGCTTAGGGCTTGCTTGGTTGTTGTCATGCTGGCCTGGGCCACAGTCATCTGAAGTTTCAGCTGGGCAGGATGTCCAAGATGACTTACTCAGATGCTGCTGGTTGTCAGCTGGGAGCTTAGCGGGCTGAGAGTGGCTGGTACACCTGCTTGGGATCACGTTAGCATGGTGGTCTCAAGGGATTTAGTCACTGGCTTCTCCCAAATTAAGTGACCAAAGAAAAGCTGCATAGCATTTTGTGACCTAGCCTTGGTAGTCACACATCATCGTGTCACTATTTCACTACATTCTTTTGGCTGCAGGTAAGTCCTAAGGCCAGCCCACATTTTAGGGCAGGGAATTAGTACCTCTTGATGTGACAGTAGTAAAGTCACATTGTAGACACTTGTAGGATGGGATATTCAGTTGCAGCCATCTTTGGAAAATGCAGCTGGCTACAGTCATTAATATCGGTTTTTAATGTATAAAGCAACTGACACTGTATCGATGCTCTCAACATATCCTCCTCTTCTTTTTTTTTTAAATTTTTCTTTAAGGTCTGGGATACATGTGTAGAACGTGCAGTTTGTTACATGCTTGTGGCACGGTGGTTTGCTGCACCTGTTAACCCATCATCTGGGTTTTAAGCCCCACATGCATTAGCTATTTATCCTGATGCTTTCCCTCCCCTACCTACCCCCACTGGGAGGCCTCCACCTCCCCACCGATAGGCCCTAGTGTATGTTGTTCCCCTCCATGTCCATGTGTTCAGCTCCCGCTTATGAGAGAGAACATGCAGTGTTTGGTGTTCTGTTCCTGTGTTAGTTTGCCGAGGATGATGGCTTCCAGCTCCGTCCATGTCCCTGCAGACGACATGATCTCATTCCTTTTTATGGCTGCATAGTATTCCATGGTGTATATGTACCACATTTTCTTTATCCAGGCTATCATTGATGGGCATTTGGGTTGGTTTCATGTTTTTGCTATTGTAAATAGTGCTGCAATAAACATACATGTGCGTGTATCTTTATAGTAGAATGATTTATATTCCTTTGGGTATATACCCAATAATGGGATTGCTGGGTCAAATGGTATTTTCTGGTACTAGGTCCTTGAGGAAGCACCACACTGTCTTCCACAATGGTTGAACTAATTTACATTTCCTACCAACAGTTTAAAAGCGTTCCTATTTCTCCATAGCCTCTCCAGCATCTGTTGTTTCTTGACTTTTTAGTAATAGCCATTCTGACTGGCATGAGATGATATCTCATTGTGGTTTTGATTTGCATTTCTCTAATGATCAGTGATGTTGAGCTTTTTTTCATGTTTGTTGGCCACCTAAGTGTCTTCTTTTGAGAAGTGTCTGTTCATATCCTTTGCCCACTTTTTGATGGGGTTGTTTATTTCTTCTGTATTAAGTTCCTTGTAGATTCTGGATATTAGACCTTTGTCAGATGGGTAGATTGCAAAAATTTTCTCCACATATGCAAATCAGTAAATGTAATCCATCACATAAACAGAACCAATAACAAAAACCACATGATTATCTCAATAGACACAGGAAGGGCCTTTGATAAAATTCAACATCTATGTTAAAAACTCTCAATAAACTAGGTATTGATGGAACATATCTCAAAATAATAAGAGCTATTCATGACAAACCCATAGCCAATATCATACTGAATGGACAAAAGCCGGAAGCATTCCCTTTGAAAACCGGCACAAGACAAGGATGCTGTCTCTCACCACTCCTAGTCAACATAATATTGGAAGTTCTGGCCAGGGCGATCAGGCAAGAAAAAGAAATAAAGGGTGTTCAAATAGAAAGAAAGGAAGTCAAATTGTCCCTGTTTGCAGATAACATGATTCTATGTTTAGAAAGCCCCATAGTCTCAGCCCCAAAACTCCTTAAGCTGATAAATAATTTCAGCAAAGTCTCAGGATACAAAATCAATGTGCAAAAATCAAGCATTCTTCTACACCAACAATAGACAAGCAGAGAGCCAAATCATGAATAAACTCCCATTCACAATTGCTACAAAGAGAGTAAAATACCTGGGAATACAACTTGCAAGGGACGTGAAGGACCTCTTCAAGGAGAACTACAAACCACTGCTGAAGGAAATAATAGAGGACACAAACAAATGGAAAAACATTCCAGCCTCATGGATAGGAAGAATCAGTATCGTGAAAATGGCCATACTGCCCAAAGTAATCTATGTATTCAATGCTATTCCCATCAGACTACCATTTGATATTCTTACAGAATTAGAAAAAAACTACTTTAAATTTCATATGGAACCAAAAAAAAGCCCTCTCTTCTATTTTTTTTTTTATTCCAGTTAGCCTTCTGTACTACCATGAATTCTTTCAAGAGCATTGGTACATTAGACTTTAGTATTTTATCTCTTGTTTTAGAACTATCTTGGTTATGACACTCGCCAAGTTGGCAAGTAATAGTGCATAAATGTACTCTTTCCTTCTCTTTGTTTACTGAGTAAATACTGTTGGTATAGGAAGGTGAGTTGAAATGAGGGTGTTCTATTAAAATTAATTATATTATAAATTGGACTCCCAGATAATTGTATCAAGGTGGTTTGTGAGTGCTGATGATCTAGGAAAATGGAGGTACCTTTGTAACATTTCTTTCTTTTGTCCTTTCTTTTTCTTCCCTCACCAGAAATAATTTGGGCATATGACTTTGTTTTAAAATTTGGCATGCAGCTTTAGAAAAGTGGTAACGAGAGGACAAAGTGAATTCCCAACCATGTCTGCTAATAAAATTAGTTAAGCCTTTCTGAAGTTTATCAGTGATTTCTGATACGTTTGCTCATAGATATTTCATTAAAACAAACACTTATTATGTTTAAACTGTAGGTGTTTTCCTAGGCAAGAGGTAAATCTTAAAGAGAAATATTAGATAAGAACATTACTGAGAGATTGCTTTGCATAATGAATGTATTTAATCCTGTGATTGCAATTTTTTATATCTCTTGAGCCAGGAGTTTGAGACCAGCTGGCGCAACATATTGAGAATTCTGTCTCTACAAATAATAAAATAAGTTGGATGTGGTGGCATGTGCCTGTTGTCCTAGCTATTTGGAAGGCTGAGGCATGATCTCTTGAGTCCAGGAGTTTGAGGCTGCAGTGAGCTATGCAGCCTCTGCACTCCAGCCTGGGTGGCAGAGCAAGACTCTTGTTTCTGGGAAAAAAAAAGTATTACTACATAGTTATCCTTCTAACTTTACACATGGAATCTGTTTGGACTGTTTAATTTTAGGCTTGTCTGGAGCGGGAAAGACTACTGTGAGCATGGCCTTGGAGGAGTACCTGGTTTGTCATGGTATTCCATGCTACACTCTGGATGGTGACAATATTCGTCAAGGTCTCAATAAAAATCTTGGCTTTAGTCCTGAAGACAGAGAAGAGAATGTTCGACGCATCGCAGAAGTTGCTAAACTGTTTGCAGATGCTGGCTTAGTGTGCATCACAAGTTTCATATCACCTTACACTCAGGTATGTGGTTTTTGTGCCATTGCCTTTCTGCTTACATTTATTGAGAATATGGTATCAGGCAAAGCACATACTTTAAACATTGATATGTGCTTTGAGGCTAACTCTACTCCTCCCCAGCTACCATCTCTTTGTTCCTGTAACATAGGATTAAAATAACCTAAAACATTTCTATGCTGTGACTTTCTAAGTAAATCTGGTTTTGATAAAACCTGCTTTTAAAAAAGCCGTGAAGTATAACACAGTCATTGAATTTAAGCCAATGGCCAAATTATTTCAGGCTCAACTTTTCAACTTAATAAAACTATAGTGAATACTTGACAGATGTCAAACTCCGGAGAAAATCTAACTTTCTTAACATGTGCCCTACCATGGCTTCTTTGCTCAGAATTCGTTGTTCTTAGCTTGCATCATAGTTCCTCTTATTTTAGAGACTGCAGCAACAACAAACCATGTTTGTGTATTTCTCTGAAAAAATTATGTCATTTCTTATCTCAGGATTTTTGTTTCCTCCCTGCCTGGAAAGCACTCTTCTCCCTCCTGTTCCTGTTTTCACAGTGTCAGCTGACTTCCAGTTATAGATGGAGACTTAGGTTAGGTACCTTAACACATTATTTTATTTTCTTCAACTTTTATTTTAAGATCAGGGCTACATGTGCAGGTTTGTTAAATTGGTAAACGTGTGCCATGGTGATTTGCTACACAGATCATCCCATCACCTAGGTATTAAGCCCAGCATCCATTAGCTATTCTTCCTGATGTTCTCCCTCCCCAACCACAACAGTCATCAGTGTGTGTTGTTTCCCCCCATGTGTCCGTGTGTTCTCATTATTCAGCTCCCACTTATAAGTGAGAACATATAGTGTTTGATTTTCTGTTTCTGTGTTAGTTTGCTGAGGTTAGTGGCTTCCAACTCCATCCATGTCCCTGCAAAGGACATGATATCATTCCTTTTTTAGCTACATAGTATTCCATGATATATATATATATATATACACACCGTGTTTTCTTTATCCAGTCTATCGTTGATGGGCATTTAGGTTGATTCTATGTCTTTGCTACTGTGAATAGTGTTGCAGTGAACATACTCATGCATGTATCTTTGTAATAGAGTGACTTATACTCATTTGGGTATATACTCAGTACTGGGATTGCTGGGTCAAATGGTATTTCTGCCTCAAGATCTTTGAGGATTCACTGCACTGTCTTCCACAATGGTTGAACTAACTTACATTCTCACCTACAATGTAAAAGCATTTCTTTTTCTCCACGAGCTCACCAGCATCTATTGTTTCCTGATTTTCTAATAACAGCCATTCTGACGAGTGTGAGATGGTATCTCATTGTGGTTTTCGTTTGCATTTATCTAATGATCAGTGATGTTGAGCTTTTTTTCATGTTTGTTGGCTGCATGTATGTCTTCTTAAGAGAAGTGTCTGTTCATACCCTTTGCCCACTTTTTAATGTTTTTTTCTTGTAAATTTGCTTAAGTTCCTTGTTGATCCCATTCTGTAGGTTGTCTGTTCACTGTGATGATAGTTTCTTTTTCTGTGCAGAAGCTCTTTAGTTTAATTAGATCCCATTTGTCAAGTTTTGCTTTTATTGCAATTACTTTTGATGTTTTTGTCATGAAATCTTTTGCCTGTGCCTGTGTCCTGAATGGTATTACCTAGATTTTCGTCTAGGGTTTTTATAGTTTTGAGTTTCACATTTAAGCCTTTAATCCATCTTGAGTTAATTTTTGCCTATGGTGTAAGGAAGGGGTCCAGTTTCAATCTTCTGCATATGGCAAGCCAGTTCTAGCACCATTTATTAAATAGAGAATCCTTTCCCACTGCTTGTTTTTGTCAGGTTTGTCAAAGATAAGATGGTTGCAGGTATGCATATGTTATTTTTAAAAACCCAATTCATTGACTGTTGATATTGATAGTAGCTGTAGTGGTAATAATATTAACATTTATTGAACACTTAACTGTGTTCTGGTAACTGCTAGAGTGCTTTTATGTGAATTAACTCAAGTAATTCTTGTCTCCTAGTGGGGACACAAGGAAACAAAGGTGTGCATTGCCCAAGGTCACACACTATACTTGTAGAAGAGCACAGGTTTGCATCCAGACAGTGCGTCTCCTGGGCTTAGATGCTATGCTGCCTCCAAACCCCACTGGCTCCTTGACAGCTGGGACCGTGTCTTATTTGCCTTTGTAATCTTGATGCCAAGCCCGGCTCTTGGACCATATTATATGATTAGTGTTTGTTGAACAATAGCATACTCCCTTGGGAAGCCCTGATATCAGTGAATAAGCGAGTTAGTATAGAGGTGAGAGGCAGGGTCTTTGGAGTTGGAAACAAAGGGGCTGAAATCTCAGCTCTGCCAGTTATTGCTGCTGTGGCCTTGTCCAGCACACTTAACCTCCTGCAGTTCAAGTAATGCCTACAACATAGGGTTGCTCTGAAGATTACGTAAGTCATGTGTTTAAAGCCTCAGCACAGTGCCTGGCATGTAATAACTATTCAATAAATGGAATAAATTATATTAGCACAATTCTAGTACTGTATCATAAATTTTGATGGTTACTTGGACTTTTTTTTTTTTTAAACAAGATTTGACCTGTAAGAATTATGGATAAGTGTTAGATTGAGTATTATTTACACAGGTTCACTTAATTGAACCATGGCAGGAGTCCTAAAACATTCTGTAAAAACCATTTCTTGAAACCCTTGGGTCATTGCCAATATATCAGTTTAAAGTGTATAAATAATAGGAGCATAATAAGAGTTAGAGTTCCTGAATCCTTGGATATACACAATTTTCATAAAAATATGATATTGGCATTCTTATACCTTCTGGTGGGAATCTTGCAGCTCTCGGAAAAGGGGGAGGTCTATAATACCTGTTATGGAGAGCTATCAGCCGACACCTGGGTATCTAAGAGTGTGTGCTGATCTGCTTTGTGGCCCCCTTGTTTGTATAGTGTGGAGCAAAATCTTTGTTGACCTCATCTATAAAAGCACTGATAATGAGGTTTGGACTATGTTTAGGGCATCTGAAAATCCATGAAAATATTTGGATTGAAACATGCAATACAGGACATGTGTATTTTTCTGTATAGTCATGATTATATTTGTTCATTCAAGAGAAGTTTATTGGGAATTTCCATGTCAACCACTGAACTGAGCATATTGGTTCTGAAAATTAACCTGATACTTCCTATTCTGAAGGAGTTGGTAGTCTGGTGGGAATGCGGAGATGTGAAGAGTTACAATATCTTGAGGCAAGTGATGAAGTACATATATGTGAAAGGTGTTATGAGAGAATCACAGAGGAGCTGCTGCTTGAAATGAGTCATGAAGGATGAATCAGAGTATACTAGTTAGACCAGAGGGAGAAAACTGTTTCAGACAGAGGAGACAGTATAGTATGCTCAATGGAATGTGAGACAGTTTGTTTTTTTGGGGAACTGTAGGTAGGTTGGTGTGACTGATATGAAGGATGATTGTGAGGGGAGATGGAGCTGATCAATTTGCAGAGGCTAGGTGGTGACTTCTGCACTGCTCAGAAAGGATTTTGCCCCAAAAGGAGTTAATAGTTTGAGATTATAACAGAGATTGGTATCATTGGGTTTGCATTTGAGTGAGGTCATCCTTGAAGCCTGGATTGAGACTGGTCTGGAGGTAGGAGACTAGCCAGGAGGCTTGCCGTAGCACCAGCTCCTTCAGGGAAGAGGATGTGAACTCAAGCAGCAGCAATGGGACTAGTAAAGATGGGGGCATATTTAAGGGCTCTTGAGGCTTGAGTAGCATCAGTAAGACCTGGTGCCTGCTTGATTGCTGATTTTATGGGAGAGCAGAATGAAGCATGGTGCTTTCTGAATAAAGGTTGGTATGACTGAGTTATGAAGTACAGGATAGGAGGGGAGGACATGCGTATTTCATTTTTGGTGGGTTATGTTTGAAGTGCTAGTGGAGTTAGTCTAAGTGGAGATTACCACTGGGCCATCTAGGAAATTGGTTTTAGAGTTTAGGAAAGTTGTATGGGATTGAGATCTAGATTTAGGAATCATTAACTTTATTAGTTGAAACCTAGATGAGGACGATTAGATACAGAAGAGTAATAAGATGAGAGACAGGGATAGAAACTCATTGACACTTTCCTTTAAAAGGATAGTTAGAATAGTAAGATCATAGCTTAATTGCTATTCCAGACACTAAACTTGTAAAGCTGATGAGATGATTTTAATATACTGGAAAAAGATCTATGATCATATGTAGTGAGTATTCTGAGAACCCTGAGAAAGCAAGGGGCCTCATCAGCCTGAGCATGCAGGGAAGGCTTCCTGGAGGAGGTCACCATGGAGATGTGCTGTGAGGAAGCACATTGGTTTGTCCAGAAGAGAGGGGTTGAGTGTTGCTGGTAGGGGTTGGGTTGTGGCGTGGGGAGGCCTAAGGTAGAAACAGCCTGACCAGGCAGGTATTATCAATAGAGCATCAAGTGCAAGACTGAGAATGGTGGGGCCAGGTATAGGGCTGATGCCTCACATTAAGAAACTCGGATTTTACCCCAGTAGTGGCAGAGAGTCTCTGAAGAGTTCAGTAGGATGGTCAGATTTGCATCCTTTGCCACAGTGTAGATTATGGCTTTGAGCAGATCCGAGTTAGAAGCCAGAAGACCTGTAATATGTTGAGGCCGTTCAGACAAGAGAAGTGAGGTTGAACTAGGGAATAGGGAAAGATTGCAAACTGGGTTGGTGTAATATTTAGAAGTAACATCTGAAGGACTTTGTGACTGAATTAATGTATGGGAAAGGGAAGGAACCACTCTTAGGATTGTGGGTGTGTAGTGTGGTCTTCCTTGATTTGGGAAGCATATGAGAGAATGTAAACTTGAGAGAAAAGGGACTGGATTTAGTTTTGGACATGCTTAGTTTTTGGCACCTGTGATATATCCAGGTGGACATAGGAAGAATTTGGACATGTGTGTTTAATTTCAGGACAGAGGTCAGGGTTCAAGCTTCAGTGTTGATGTATGTGTTGTAGTTTATACTGTGAAGGCACTTGAGAGAAACGCTCAAGAACTGTGTAAGGTGAGCAGTGGGCTGTGATGGGAGTGTGGGCAACTCCAGTGTTAAGGGATGGGTGAAATAGGAGGAGCCCAGGAGGAGTCTGCCTAGGAAAGATCAGGGAATAACATTATAGGCATCCATAGGCATAGCAGTGGGAAAGCAGCAAAGAGGCCTGGTATTTTAAATACTGAAAAGGACCTATGGTTAAGGGAAAGTTTTTATATGATTTGTTAGTTCATTATGCTGAAAATTTTTTTAGAGACAAGATCTCACTCTGTCACTCAGCCTGGAGTGTAGTGACTATTCACAGGCACAATTGTAGTGTGTTACAGCCTGGAACCCCTGGGCTCAAGTGATTCTCCTGCCTCAGCCTCCCCAAGTAGCTGGGACTATAAGCGTGCTACACCACTGCCCTTAGCAGTTGTTTTGTTTTAAATGGGTGAACTTCCCTTAGCAGTTCATTTGTTTTAAATGGACTTGTACTTGTTTGTTGCTGGGGAGCAGGGAACCCAGCAAAGGGGGAATGCTGAAGATTTCAGGTGGAGTAGAGAGAATGGGTTGAACAGGTCCTGTAGGAGTTCATGAAAGGGGAGGGAATTCCTAGTATGTGAAGGTAGGAGTGGCAGGGAGAAAAGGATCATTAGTATGTAGATAAATTTGTATGACAGAGAAGAGATTTTGCTTGAAAGAGAAGAGATTGAGAGCTTATTCTTGGAGATTTGTTTTTTTTTTTTTTTTGAAACATGAAGTATGGTAATCTGGTGAGAGTGGAAGTAGGTGAGGATTGTCAGAGGGACCATAAGGAAGATGGCAAATGCTAAAATGAGCTGTGTGGAAAAAGGATGGTAGAAATTGCAGGGACCAGCTTTGAAAATATTGGCAACTGCACTTTGATTAATGGAGTATAAATGTGGAGCAAAGGGAGAATCAGGTTTTGAAGACCAGAAAGAAGAAAAGGTTGATTTACAAAGGAAACATTGTTCCAAAGGACAGAGTGGAGAGGGCTTAGAGGGAGCTGCAAGGGTGGTTACTAGAGAGTTGGGAGTTAGGAGCAGAAAAGTTAAGTTTGGGGAGTGTTAGAGAGGAGAAGTGGCTGCAGGGGGCTTGCATTTGGCAAAGAAGTAAACTAGCCTCAGGATTCTGAATGGATCTTTTTTGTGAAATTGCTTTCATGCCAGCTCAGGCTGGGTTTGAATGTGATATTAGAGAGAAGCCTGATGACACCAGCATTCAGGCTGGGCTTTGGCTCAGGATCCACGTAGAATTTGAGTGAAAAAGTTTGTGGTACATTCATTGTTTTCCTTCTGTACCTCCCCAATATCCTGGGTTAGTAGAACAGTATGCCTTTTAAAATTGTCATGAATAATAGGAATTAACCTAATAATTTCTTGGATTTTTTTTTCAGTTTATATTTAAAAACATAAATTTTGTCTATTTCCCACTAAATTGGATGAGAAGCACTTTTTACTCATCTTTAATATTAATATAGTACGTTTGTGATTTGTGTGATCACTTTTTATTTTATTTTTTTTTAAGGATCGCAACAATGCAAGGCAAATTCATGAAGGTGCAAGTTTACCGTTTTTTGAAGTATTTGTTGATGCTCCTCTGCATGTTTGTGAACAGAGGGATGTCAAAGGACTCTACAAAAAAGCCCGGGCAGGAGAAATTAAAGGTCAGTAATATTTTCTTCCCAGTTTCACTTTGCTTAGATATTTTATGTTCCCATATCTAGGATTGATATTTTCTAAGAGATTGGAAGTGTTAGAGTGACTTGGAGCTCCTTGAGGAGAGAATGTAGTCTTATTACACTGTTCTATCTCTCAGGCATAGCAGCAGTGCCTGGTGCTGGACTAAATGAGTCTTGTTGATCCTTTTGGAATCCTGTTCACTAGCCAGAGTTGGGGCTCGGGAGTTGGCGAAAACCTACTTGATAAAATTAGGTGCCTAACATTAAGTTGGACATCAGTTGCCTGCTGCCACCAATTCTACTTTCTTTGTTCCAGGGAAAATGGAGGAAATCCCATAGCTATTGGAAAAAATGCCTGAATTATAAGCATCTTGATGATAAGGATAATGCCTTGTACTTTATTACGATCCTTGGAATGGTCCCTTATTCATTTCATGTACTATTGTTGAATTAGATTGAATTAACATATCACTGATTCTGTTAAAATATATACAGCTGACCCTCCACATCTGTGCATTCCACATGTGTGGTTTCAACCAACCGTGAATTGCATATATTCCAGAAGAAACAGTATAAAATAATACAGCAATTTAAAAATAGTATAAATAACAAATATAGTATAACATCTATTTATATAACATTTACATTGTACTAGGTATTATAAGTAATCTAGAGATGATTTAAAGTATATAAAAGAATGAACATAGGTTATATGCAAATAGTACACCATTTTATGTAAGGGACTTGCACATCCTCACATTTTGGTGTTCACAGGGAGTCCGGGAACAAATCCGCATGATTACCAAGGGACAGCTCTACACCTTGCTTTTTAGGTTTTATGGTCCGCTTCCCAGAGTTTCAACTGTGATGGACATTTAGACATTGAGGGAGAAATTTAGAACCCAACTCTGCTCTGGCCTTTGATATTAATCATACTATTTATCTTGTAGACATCCCTTGACTTGTCCTGTTCCATTATTGTTAACAGAAACAAAGGACTTGCTGGCAAAAACAAAACAAAAACAAAACGAAACAAAACAAACAAAAAAACTAACTAAAGATACCATTGTTTAGGGATCAGTGAGTCATGCAGGTAACTTTTAAGTTTGCCTTCCCAGCAGGGAATGTGATAACCTGAGACTGTCACAGAAACTCCCAGGAGCTCTCTCAGAGATAGATTTTGGCATTCAGTTTCTGGCCCTGAAAACAAAAAGATACAGTGGGAAGGAAAATGGTAGTTATTCTGGGTTCTTCTGTATTTGAACCTGGGAATGCTTTGGCAATTAGGTCAGGTTCCATCTGCTGTAGTAGCATTAGTTCCATGGGCAAGGCTGACCTCCGGTAATGCCACTATGGAGAATCAGCTCCTTGATGGGGACTGCTGCCTGTCAACCCTCTACCTCATTAAGCTGTTACTTTCTTGACTCAGAAAGATCAGGCTGCTTAACCAGAATAATTATGACAATTGGAGGAAAACCTGTTTAGCCCTTCAGCTCCCATATTACTCTCTCAATGGCCAGTTTTCACTTCAGTCTTTGTGTAGAAATTTGGCACAGAAAAGCAAAATGGTGTGTCCAGGATCCTAAATAAAGTCTAAACCTTTTACTTACTTTAATTTTAGTTGATTTTGTTGTTTTTGAAAGAATGGATTGGTGAGGGAGGAAGGTTTGTCATCCTGGCTGGAGTAGGCTACTTGTGAGCAGGGAGATCATAGTGAACACTTGTGTGTGTTTAGAATTTAGCACAGTACATTGCCCAAAGCATACACCTGTCACACACATAGTTAATGCTTGTTGGATGGATGAGAAGGTGGAGTGGGAGTGGAATGTTGAACACACATTTGCCAATGCTTTGGCGACAAAAAGAGTTGAACTCTTGTAAAATATTTGAAGAGATTCGAGACCATCCTCGCTAACACGGTGAAACCCCGTCTCTACTAAAAATACAAAAAATTAGTCAGCATGGTGGCGGGCGCCTGTAGTCCCAGCTACTCAGGAGGCTGAGGCAGGAGAATGGCGTGAACACAGGAGGCAGAGCTTGCAGTGAGCCGAAATTGTGCCACTGCACTCTAGCCTGGGCGACAGAGCGAGACTCCATCTAAAAAAAAAAAAATTTTTGAAGAGATTTACTCTGAACCAAATACGATTGACCATGGCCCGTGACACAGCCCTCAGGAGGTCCTGAGAACATGTGCCCAAGGTCGTTGAGGCACAGCTTGGTTTTATACATTTTAGAGAGGCATGAGACATCAATCAAATACATTGGTTTGGTCCAGAAAGGTGGGACAACTCAAAGCCAGGTGGTGCGGGGAGCTTCTAGGCTATAGGTGAGTTTAAATGTTTTCTGGTTGACAATTGGTTGAGTTTGTCTGAAGAACTGGGATTGATAGAAAGGGAATTGTTCAGGTTAAGATAAAGATTGTGGAGACCAAAGTTCTTTTGAGGTCTTACAGTGGCTACCCTTAGAGACAATAGATGACAAATGTCCCCATTCAGATCTTAATCTCTTTAGGATTGGGAGGGTCTGGAAGAAAAAAATATAGTTTTGTTAATAAAGATTCTTTAAAGGTGCAAATTTTCCCCCACAAAGAACAGCTTTGCAGGGCCATTTCAAAATATGGCAAAGAAACATGTTTTGATGAAAATATTTTGATTTTCTTCTTGTCTTGCAATGTTATGCCAGAGTCAGGTTGGAAAAGAAGTCATGATATATAGGGTTAAATAAAACCTATCTGATGAAAATTTGTGGTTTGTAGGGCATGACTCCCCAGGCCCCTTAGATAGGAATTTGGGCAAGATAAAAAATCAGAGTTTAGTCCTCAGCTTTCTATTTGCAAGGTATGTATTTGGTGCCAAGTATTCAAAGATGAATAAGACCTTGTCCACAATGCTCTTGGGTCTCTTACAGTTTGTACTCTATAACTGGGAGTGTGTTTGTATTAGTCCAGTTTCTTGTTTACTTTCTCAACTGTTGACTACATTCCCCTGTTGTTGACTACATTCCCCTGAGTAGAGGTTGATAAAATGTTCCTTAGGTTAATGTGTGTTTGTGTGTGTGTCTGTATGCATACACTGATACTTAGGTTTGCCATGGTGCTGGAGTTCCTGATTATAGAGTTGCTTATTTTTTTAAAAAGCTTTTACTTGTAAATGATGCTTAGCAAGTTCCCTATCAACTCTATTTCAAAGCTGTAATGGTATATATTCCAGCACAGACAAGATTGTGTATATTCAGGGGGCCTCAGGCTTTTATAGACCTTTACATGACATTTATCGGACAGTCAGTATATCCTTGTATTAACCATTCTGATAATCTCAATTATTTTCATGATGACTGCTTAAGATAGTTTTTATTACCTGCTTAAATATGTTTTTTCTCACAATTTACATTTATTATTGTAATCACTTATGGATAAATTATCTAGTAGGAGAACTCCAGGGCTTCTAAAATGTTAAGCCACCTCTTCTAACCCAGTGCTTGTCAAGCTTTGCTGCATGTAAGCATTTCCTTGGGAACTTTAAAAAATCCAGTGCCAAGGCTGTACCCCAGACTAGTGAAATCAATCTCATGGGGTGGGACCTGGTGATTCCAGTATATCACCGCATTTGAGAATCAGAGCTTAACAGTTAGTGTTCTTAATCAGAATTATTTTTTTTTTTCCCAGCCATTTTCTTGTGACCCACTGCTAAATGGGAATACCGGTAACGCAGAAATTTTTTCTTGAGTTCAGGGCTGCAGGGGATGCTTAGAAATAGGAAATAGAAAAAAAATGAAATAAATGGGCTGTAGGTTTGTAGTATATATTTTTGAACTCTTTTGCTAGCTGTATTTTTTAATATTAATGGTAATGATTTTAAATTCATGCATACCATTCTAACCTAAGAATGACCTAAGCTTTCCGAGATAGACAAGCCTTGAATGACTTACGTGTGGGGTAAGGTCAGGGGTATAAGATAGGAATAGCGTATCTTTAACTCAGATAACCCTCTCTGGGAAATTGTCGTCTATTTGCTCTTTTCTTAGCAGTTATATGGTAACACATATACCATAGGAAAAATCTAAATAGTGGTTAATACTAAAATTATATGTGATTGTGTAATTTATTTTGTGATCTATTTACTATCCTTGTTTATGTTTAGTTTAAGCAAATAGTAGTTCATTTGTCTTAAAACTTGTTATCTGATGGCAGAAGAAGCCTGCAGAGCTTCAATTTGGCCACAGATAATTCTTGTGAATGTACTGGACAGATTGACTTAGTGTTAGTTTTTGCATTGAGAAAAAAATAATCTTGTCAGGTTTGGTTTTATGTCCATGTCCTGTAGAGAATTGAGATGCCTTGGATCACCTGGTATTAATTCCATATATCTTCACAGGCAGCTTGGGCATTTTCTTAAGACAAAAAAGAAAGAAAAAAGGTGACAAAAGTAGTAGAATTGATTCTTACTATTTGTGGATTTGATATTTATGAATTTGCCTACTTGACAAAATTTATTTGTAATCTCCACATCAGTACTCCTGGCACTTTCATGGTCAGTGCAACACGTCCGACACACCTGACACAGTTCCCAGCGAAAATAAACAAGGCAGCACTTTGCCTTCTGGTTTTAGTTCTCAAACCATAAACAATTATTCTTATTGCAGCCTATTTGGTGTCACATTTTTTACATTTTTGTGGTATTTTAGGTAGTTTTACAGTTTAAAATGGCCCCCAGTGCAGGAAAAAAAAAAGTTTAATTAGAAATCTCCCAAGAAAGATGCTTCATTACTATAGCCCTGTGGCTTGGGGGACAGCGCAGATACTAACTTCAATGTAGCAGAGATCTGCACTGAAAAAATAAACTATTTTAATTTTATTTTCCACCCTACTCTATTATCTGTTACCTTTTGCAGGTTTCACTGGGATCGATTCTGAATATGAAAAGCCAGAGGCCCCTGAGTTGGTGCTGAAAACAGACTCCTGTGATGTAAATGACTGTGTCCAGCAAGTTGTGGAACTTCTACAGGAACGGGTAAGAGAGGATGAAAGAAGGAATCATCAGAGAAAAATTATATCTCTCTCATAATCTTTCCCCTCCAAAAAAAAATGGTGGTGTTAATATTGAGTAACATTTGTATTTTAAATGCTTCGAAATGCCAACAGTGTTCTGTGTCTGTATGTCAGTGTGTGAGGTGTTGTGGGGAGCACCGTGAATGTACAGTATGTGAAATATCCCCGTCAGTATAAACCTCAGGAGGCTTAGGAGTCAGTCTTGTACTTTACCAGTAATTTTGCCACAGAAAAATACCTAACAGAAAATCCAGCCATGATTGTTCAGTCCTGTAACTTGATAGTATTATATTTTTCCATTTGAGGTATACAAAGTTGTTAACTTTTCTTAGATATTTAGAGTGCCCACATTTTCCTTGTGATAACATGATGATCTCCTTATGGGTGGATTCTAGAGAGGGACCTGTGGAGGATGTAAGTTTCTAGGACATAAGGACCTTTGGGTGCCTGGGCATATGGAGGCATGAAGAGGCTTGGGGTTCTCCAGGGTACTCAGGCCCACTAACAAGTGCACGGTTCCTTCAGACTTTAGTCTGGGTTTTTAGAAGTTTTCTTTCCCTTGTGTTTTGTCCATACTACCCTCAATCCCCTTTCCCCATTTCATTGGAGGGTCACATAGTTCACTGTAGTTGAAGAGGATCTGGCCTCTATGTGGGTGGAGGTCTTGGGTCAGTGATTACCCTGTCACCTTGTCATGCATTCCCCCCTTTGCTATTCAGTCCTGACCTAGGGGTACACAGAAAAAGACATCATCTTTCCTCATTCTGTCCTAACTGTGGGTTTTGGAGTTTGAACCCCCTCTTAATCTGCAAAATCCTGTAATAAACCTCTTTCATCTAGTGTATTTTATAAACCTCTTTCATCTAGTGTATCTTACTGGATATATTAGACATACAACTTTAAAAAAATTTCTTTGTCTGAATATATTATAAATGTTTAGCCTTTGAGTTTTTCCACATTATAAAATATCTACCAGGTAGGTAACTTGGGACTTTCCTTCCTAATTTATTTATTTTATCCAAACATTGTAGCTGAATATATAGAAATAATGTAAATCGATACTGCTCTGATGTTTTTCTTTGTATTTACTGATCAGGTATCATTATTTGCAGGCCACTGAGACATCCCAGGAGGTTTTATGCTTCATCATCTCTGCCTTCTAGGTTTCTTTTTAACTGACTTCTGCACTCTTATTCTAATCCTATTGTTCTACTTGTAGCTTCCTCCTTATCTCTCCAAAGCTGTCCCAGCATCCATTCTTTCATCTTCCATCATCAACCACACATTGATTAAAAGCCCACCACTGTAGTTATAGTCCTAGGCTCTAGTAATGCAAAGATTTATCAGCTGTGCCTCCATCCTTGAGGGATTTACATTATAAGTGATAGAAACAGACATAAGAGTGTTTAACTCCTAGGAAGTGTGTTAGAAATCATGATTTCAGTTATGTCTGTGGCATACTGGGAGGCACAGGGGCTTTCTCATCTGTTTGTTCATTTTTAGAAAATACTTTTACTGGGCATAGAATTCTGCATGACAGATTGTTTTTTCTTTTAGTGCTTTAAAGATGTTCCATTTTTTTTTAACTTGCTTCATTTCTGATGAGAAGTCTAATGTAATTCTTTTCTTTGTTCCTCTATGTGATTTTTTTTTCATGTCTGAATTTAAGATTTTGTGGTACTCCTTGGATTTTAGTGGGTTTAATATCATGTGTCTAGGTCTTGTAGTAGATTTAGGTCTTTTTTCTTACTGTTTAGAATTCCCCAACCTGCTTGGGTAGATATATATTTTTTTCATTAGTTTTTGAAAATTCTTGGCCATTATCATGTGAAATATTTCTTTTGCCTTTTTCACTCTTCTTCTGGGACTCTAGTTACACATATGTTGAATAATATGTTGTCCCACAGTTTTTAGATGCTCTGTTTCTTTCATCCCTTTTCTGTTAACATTTTAGCTTTGATAATTTCTGATTTTTATGTTTGCTGATTCCTTAGCTGTATCCAATATATTGATAGGCTCATAGAAAGAATTTTTAAACTCTGATAATCATTAAAAAACAATTCTGTCATTATTTGACTTTTTTTTGATAGTATTCATTTTTCTGTTGAAATTCTCCATCTCTCCATGCATGCTGTCCACTTTTTCATTAGATCCTTTAACTTAATCCCAGTTAAAAAGTCCTATCTTGAGGAGTGCTTGAATCTGGGGGGGTGGAAGTTGCAGTGAGCCGAGATTGCGCCACTGCTCTCCAGCCTGGGTGACAGAGCGAGATTCTGTCTCAAAAAAAAAAAAAAAGTCCTGCCTCATGGTTTGAACATGTGTGTTATTTCTGAATCTCATTTTGTTGAGATTTCTTTGTCATATCTCTTGACAGTGGGTAGTTTTTCTTGCTTTCTTGGTGTATCTTGTAATTTTTTGTGAATGCTGGACACTGTGTCTAGATGTACAGTAGAGATTGAGGTAGTGTTTATGTCATGGGCATGTTTCATTTTCTGTCATACTGTTACTGTAGTAGGTTGATTTAGCCCTCAGCTGGATTTGGCTGTCCTTATTCCTTATGAAGTTATTCTTAATGCACCAGAGGCTTCAAATTTCTGTAGTGGTGGGCTCTTTTACCTTGTACTTAGTGTGGGGCCTGGCCTGCTCATGGGTTTTTCTTAGTGTTCCTGCTTCATCCTCAGTGTTCCCTGTATGCCTGTACCACAGAAGGAGTCTTCCTCCTGCTTGTCTCTCAGCAGCATACTGCTGTGGCTTATCACTTGGTGCTAGGCTCATGACTGCGAAGTGGTGATGATTCTCAGTTTCCTGGCCCACCTTCAGTCTTAGGCGTGACCTGTGCTCCTGAGTCTTGAGGTGGGTTTTTCTCAGTGCTCCTTCCCCTCCCTGCATAACAGCTAATCTCTGCTTTCACCCTGGGAGGCTTGGAGGGGAGTTTTCTTTTCCTCACATGCATTAGCATGTTTTATATCTGTTTTGTACTGGCTACCTGGTTTGTATGAATGCAGGATCTTGGGCCCAAAAGGGTTTCCTTCATCTCCTCCTTTGTGGCAGACCATATTTGCTTCCACCCCTCACCCAGAAACAGAGGACCCTGGGAAGGTTTGAGGGTTTCCTTTCCTTTTTCATTAGCTTAAGGCTTTTGTGGATATGAAAGAAGGGTCTGGTGAGTGAGCATAGTTTTTTTGCCTGTGCCCCACTGAGGAAGACTTTTTTTAGTCTCTAGACCTGCTCCTGATTTATGTTTTGAGCACCTGCCATAGGCATGCTTGTGAGTGAGTGCAGGACCCCTTGTGTCTGGTACCCCCCGGTCCCCCATTGTACTAAGCCTGTCACACTAGTCTACACTCAGCCTTTAAAAGTTTTAAAGACATTTTAGCTGTTTTCCTCTTACCTGCCTTTATTGCAACTACCTCTTCCTCCCATGTTCTGCTAAAGGTAAGCAGTTCATGTGCCTGGTCTTTTCTTGGTGGGACTTGTCACTCTTCGGAAGCAGTTCATCTCACTGCTTTTTTTCACCTCAGCTCTGCAATGGGCTCAAGAAAGTTTATGATTGTAGATTGGCTGGCCTTTTCACTTGTTAGGTGATGCTCTCTTTTGGAATCTCTGTGTTTTGTTTTCAATGCATTGTCTACCCTTTCTCTTCACTTTTACTCTGTTGCTGTTGTGTATCGTTTTCTTAGAAATTTGCATAAAATTCTAGTTCTAGACATAGATATTAATTCCATCTCTTATTTTTTTTATTTTTTACATTCAGCTAATACTTAAATGGCAACTTGATTTTTTTTTCTTTTTTATACGTTAAGTTTTAGGGTACATGTGCACAACGTGCTGGTTAGTTACATATGTATACATGTGCCATGTTGGTGTGCTGCAGTCATTAACTCGTCATTTAACATTAGGTGTATCTCCTAATGCTATCCCTCCCCACTCCCCAAGCCACACAACAGGCCCCGGTGTGTGATGTTCCCCTTCCTGTGTCCATGTGTTCTCATTGTTCAATTCCCACCTATGAGTGAGAACGTGTGGTGTTTGGTTTTTTGTCGTTGCGATAGTTTGCTGAGAATGATGGTTTCCAGCTTCATCCATGTCCCTACAAAGGACATGAACTCATCATCTTTTATGACTGCATAGTATTCCACGGTGTATATGTGCCACATTTTCTTAATCCAGTCTATCATTGTTGGACATTTGGGTTGGTTCCAAGTCTTTGCTATGGTGAATAGTGCCACAATAAACATACGTGTACATGTGTCTTTATAGCAGCATGATTTATAGTCCTTTGGGTATATACCCAGTAATGGGATTGTTGGGTCCAATGGTATTTCTAGTTCTAGATCCCTGAGGAATTGCCACACTGACTTCCACAATGGTGGAACTAGTTTATAGTCCCACCAACAGTGTAAAAGTGTTCCTATTTCTCCACATCCTCTCCAGCACCTGTTGTTTCCTGACTTTTTAATGATCGCCATTCTAACTGGTGTGAGATGGTATCTCATTGTGGTTTTGATTTGCATTTCTCTGATGGCCAGTGATGATGAGCATTTTTTCATGTGTCTTTTGGCTGCATAAATGTCTTCTTTTGAGAAGTGCCTGTTCATATCCTTCTCCCACTTTTTGATGGGGTTGTTTGTTTTTTCCTTGTAAATTTATTTGAGTTCTTTATAGATTCTGGATATTAGCCCTTTGTCAGATGAGTAGATTGCAAAAATTTTCTCCCATTTTGTGGGTTGCCTGTTCACTCTGATGGTAGTTTCTTTTGCTGTGCAGAAGCTCTTGAGTTTAATTAGATCCCATTTGTCAATTTTGGCTTTTGTTGCCATTGCTTTTGGTGTTTTAGATATGAAGTCCTTGCCCATGCCTATGTCCTGAATGGTATTGCCTAGGTTTTCTTCTAGGGTTTTTATGGTTTTAGGTGTAACATTTAAGTCTTTAATCCATCTTGAATTAATTTTTGTATAAGGTGTAAGGAAGGGATCCAGTTTCAGCTTTCTAAATATGGCTAGCCAGTTTTCCCAGCACCATTTATTAAATAGGGAATCGTTTCCCCATTTCTTATTTTTGTCATGTTTGTCAAAGATCAGATGGGTGTAGATATGTGGCATTATTTCTGAGGGCTCTGTTCTGTTCCATTGGTCTATATCTCTGTTTTGGTACCAGTACTATGCTGTTTTGGTTACTGTAGCCTTGTAGTATAGTTTGAAGTCAGGTAGTGTGATGCCTCCAGCTTTGTTCTTTTGGCTTAGGATTGACTTGGCAATGTGGGCCCTTTTTTGGTTCCATATGAACTTTAAAGTAGTTTTTTCCAATTCTATGAAGAAAGTTCTTGGTAGCCTGATGGGGATGGCATTGAATCTATAAATTACCTTGGGCAGTATGGCCATTTTCATGATATTGATTCTTCCTACCCATGAGCATGGAATGTTCTTCCATTTGTTTGTATCCTCTTTTATTTCATTGAGCAGTGGTTTATAGTTCTCCTTGAAGAGGTCTTTCACATCCCTTGTAAGCTGGATTCCTAGGTATTTTATTCTGTTTGAAGCCATTGTGAATGGGAGTTCACTCATGATTTGGCTCTCTGTTTGTCTGTTATTGGTGTATAAGAATGCTTGTGATTTTTGCACATTGATTTTGTATCCTGAGACTTTGCTGAAGTTGGCTGTCAGCTTAAGGAGATTTTGGGCTGAGACGATGGGGTTTTCTAGATATACAATCATGTCATCTGCAAACAGGGACAATTTGACTTCCTCTTTTCCTAATTGAATGCCCTTTATTTCCTTCTCCTGCCTGATTGCCCTGGCCAGAACTTCCAACACTGTGTTGAATAGGAGTGGTGAGAGAGGGCATCCCTGTCTTGTGCCAGTTTTCAAAGGGAATGCTTCCAGTTTTTGCCCATTCAGTATGATATTGGCTGTGGGTTTGTCATAGATAGCTCTTATTATTTTGAGATACGTCCCATCAATACCTAATTTATTGAGAGTTTTAGCGTGACGCATTGTTGAATTGTGTCAAAGGCCTTTTCTGCATCTCTTGAGAGAATCATATGGTTTTTGTCTTTGGTTCTGTTTATATGCTGGATTATGTTTATTGATTTGTGTATGTTGAACCAGCCTTGCATCCCAGGGATGAAGCTGACTTGATCATGGTGGATAAGCTTTTTGATGTGCTGCTGGATTCGGTTTGCCAGTATTTTATTGAGGATTTTTGCATCGATGTTCACCAGGGATATTGGTCTAAAATTTTCTTTTTTTGCTGTGTCTCTGCCAGGCTTTGGTAGCAGGATGATGCTGGCTTCATAAAATGAGTTAGGGAGGATTCTCTCTTTTTCTATTGATTGGAACAGTTTCAGAAGGAATGTTACCAGCTCCTCCTTGTACCTCTGGTAGAATTTGGCTGTGAATCCATCTGGTCCTGGACTTTTTTGGTTGGTAAGTTATTAATTATTGCCTCAATTTCAGAGCCTGTTATTGGTCTATTCAGAGATTCAACTTCTTCCTGGTTTAGTCTTGGGAGGGTGTATGTGTCAAAGAATTTATCCATTTCTTCTAGATTTTCTAGTTTATTTGTGTAGAGGTGTTGATAGTATTCTCTGATGGTAGTTTGTATTTCTGTGGGATCGGGGGTGATATCCCCTTTATCATTTTTTATTGCATCTATTTGATTCTTCTCTCCTTTCTTCTTTATTAGTCTTGTTAGTGGTCTATCAATTTTGTTGATCTTTTCAAAAAATCAGCTGCTGGATTCATTGATTTTTTTGAAGAGTTTTTTGTGTCTCTGTTTCCTTCAGTTCTGCTCTGATCTTAGTTATTTCTTGTCTTCTGCTAGCTTTTGAATGTGTTTGCTCTTGCTTCTCTAGTTCTTTTAATTGCGATGTTAGGGTGTCCATTTTAGATCTTTCCTGCTTTTCCTTGTGGGCATTTAGTGCTATAAATTTCTCTCTACACACTGCTTTGAATGTGTCCCAGAGATTCTGGTATGTTGTGTCTTTGTTCTCGTTGGTTTCAAAGAACATCTTTATTTCTGCCTTCATTTCATTATGTACCCAATAGTCGTTCAGGAGCAGGTTGTTCAGTTTCCATGTAGTTGAGTGGTTTTGAGTGAGTTTCTTAATCCTGAGTTCTAGTTTGATTGCACTGTGGTCTGAGAGACAGTTTGTTATAATTTCTTTTCTTTTACATTTGCTGAGGAGTGCTTTACTTCCAACTATGTGGTGCATTTTGGAGTAAGTGCGGTGTGGTGCTGAGAATAATGTATATTCTGTTGATTTGGGGTGGAGAGTTCTGTAGATGTCTATTAGGTCTGCTTGGTGCAGAGCTGAGTTCAATTCCTGGATATCCTTTTTAACTTTCTGTCTCGTGGATCTGTCTAATGTTGACAGTGAGGTGTTAAAGTCTCCCATTATTATTGTGTGGGAGTCTAAGTCTCTTTCTAGGTCTCTAAGGACTTACTTTATGAATCTGGGTGCTCCTGTATTGGTTGAATATATATTTAGGATAGTTAGCTCTTCTTGTTGAATTGATCCCTTTACCATTATGTAATGACCTTCTTTGTCTCTTTTGATCTTTGTTGTTTTCAAGTCTGTTTTATCAGAGACTAGGATTGCAACCCCTGCCTTTTTTTGTTTTCCATTTGCTTGGTAGATCTTCCTCCATCCCTTTATTTGAGCCTATGTGTGTCTCTGCACGTGAGATGGGTTTCCTGAATACAGCACACTGATGGGTCTTGACTCTTTATCCAATTTGCCAGTCTGTGTCTTTTAATTGGAGCATTTAGCCCATTTACATTTAAGGCTAATATTGTTATGTGTGAATTTGATCCTGTCATTATGATGTTAGCTGGTTATTTTGCTCATTAGTTGATGCGGTTTCGGTCTTTACAATTTGTCACATTTTTGCAGTGGCTGGTACCGGTTGTTCCTTTCTATGTTTACTGCTTCCTTCAGAAGCTCTTTTAGGGCAGGCCTGGTGGTGACAAAATCTCTTAGCATTTGCTTGTCTGTTAAGGATTTTATTTCTCCTTCACTTATGAAGCTTAGTTTGGCTGCATATGAAATTCTGAGTTGAAAATTCTTTTCTTTAAGAATGTTGAATATTGGCCCCCACTCTCTTCTGGCTTATAGAGCTTCTGCTGAGAGATCAGCTGTTAGTCTGATGGGCTTCCCTTTTTGGGTAACCCGACCTTTCTCTCTGGCTGCCCTTAACATTTTTTCCTTCATTTCAACTTTGGTGAATCTGACAATTGTGTGTCTTGGAGTTGCTCTTCTGGAGGAGTATCTTGGTGGTGTTCTCTGTATTTCCTGAATTTGAATGTTGGCCTGCCTTGCTAGATTGGGGAAGTTCTCCTGGATAATATCCTGCAGAGTGTCATTCTCCCTGTCACTTTCAGCTACACCAATCAGAAGTAGATTTGGTCTTTTCACATAGTCCCATATTTCTTGGAGGCTTTGTTCATTTCTTTTTATTCTTTTTTTCTCTAAACTTCTCTTCTCGCTTCATTTCATTCATTTAATCTTCCATCACTGATACCCTTTCTTCCAGTTGATCGAATCGGCTACTGAGGCTTCTGCATTCATCACGTAGTTCTCATGCCTTGGTTTTCAGCTCCATCAGGTCCTTTAAGGACTTCTCTGCATTGGTTATTCTAGTTAGCCATTTGTCTAATTTTTTTTCAAGGTTTTTAACTTCTTTGCCATGGGTTTGAACTTCCTCCTTTAGGTCAGAGTAGTTTGATCATCTGAAGCCTTCTTCTCTCAACTCGTCAAAGTCATTCTCCGTCCAGCTTTGTTCCACTGCTGTTGAGGAGCTGCGTTCCTTTGGAGGAGGAGAGGTGCTCTGATTTTTAGAGTTTCCAATTTTTCTGCTCTGTTTTTTCCCCATCTTTGTGGTTTTATCTACCTTTGGTCTTTGATGATGGTGACGTACAGATGGGGTTTTGGTGTGGATGTCCTTTCTGTTTGTTAGTTTTCCTTCTAACAGTCAGGACCCTCAGCTGCAGGTCTGTTGGAGTTTGCTGGAGGTCCACTCCAGACCCTGTTTGCCTGGGTATCAGCAGCGGAGGCTGCAGAACAGCGGATATTGGTGAGCAGTAAATGTTGCTGCCTGATCGTTCCTCTGGAAGTTTTTTCTCAGAGGAGTACCTGGCTGTGTGAGGTGTCAGTCTGCCCCTACTGGGGGGTGCCTCCCAGTTAGGCTTGGGGGTCAGGGACCCACTTGAGGCAGTCTGTCAGTTCTCAGATCTCCAGCTGCATGCTGGGAGAACCACTACTCTCTTCAAAGCTGTCAGACAGGGACGTTTAAGTCTGCAGAGGTTTCTGCTGCCTTTTGTTTGGCTATGCCCTGCCCCCAGAGGTGGAGTCTACAGAGGCAGGCAGGCCTCCTTGAGCTGTGGTGGGCTCCACCAAGTTCCAGCTTCCAGGCCACTTTGTTTACCTACTCAATCCTTGGCAGTGGTGGGCACCCCTCCCCCAGCCTCACTGCCACCTTGCAGTTTGATCTCAGACTGCTGTGCTAGCAATGAGCGAGGCTCCGTGGGCATAGGACCCTCCGAGCCTGGCACGGGATATAATTCTCCTGGTGTGCTGTTTGCTAAGACCGTTGGAAAAGTGCGGCATTAGGGTGGGAGTGACCTGATTTTCCAGGTGCCGTGTGTCACCCCTTTCTTTGACTAGAAAAGGGAATTCCCTGACCCCTTGCGCTTCCTGGGTGAGGCGATGCCTCGCCCTGCTTCATCTCATGCTTGGTGCGCTGCACCCACTGTCCTGCACCCACTTTCTGACACTCCCCAGTGAGATGCGCCCGGTGCCTCAGTTGGAAATGCAGAAATCACCCGTCTTCTGCGTCGCTCACACTGGGAGCTGTAGACTGGAGCTGTTCCTATTCGGCCATCTTGGCACCACCCACCTCCATCTCATTTTTATTGGAACTATAGTTCTAGTATTTTTCCTTTTCGTTTTGATTGTAGTTTTGTTTGAGTTTTTTGTATACTGAATCTATCTTTTTTTTAACTTGAAATTTGCCATATCAGCGTTAGAAAGTTGGCCCTCTGTATCTGGAGTTCTATATCTGTGGGTTCCACATTTGTGGATACAAACAACCATGGATTGAGAATATTCAGGAAAATTAATACAACAATGAAAAAGAATACAATTTTAAAAAGAATACAATTATATACTTATATAACATTTACATTGTATTAGGTATTATATGTAATCCAGAGATGATATGAAGTGTATGGGAAGATGTGTGTAGATTGTATGCAAATGCTATGCCATTTTATATCACTTGAGCGTCTGTGGATTTTGGTGTCCTCAAGGAGTCCTGGAACCAATTCCTCTCAGATACTGAGGGATGACTGTACAGTTTTATTATTTGTTTTGATTTTTTTATATCTTGTTAGTGATTCATAAGTGTTTTATAAGATCTCAGAAAAATGCACATATTTAATAGATACCATTTTATATAATTTTATGGGGCTTATTAATCTTTGACTATAAATTCCAGATACTTCAGACATGTATATGGGATTATTAAGCTTAATTTGCTTTGGGTGCCACAGGTTTCTCCCACCTTCTTCCCGTCTTTCTCTCTTTAAATTCATAA